>NC_000016.10:14825134-16028918 GCF_000001405.40 Homo sapiens | reverse complement strand
TCCAGACCAACTGAAGCCGAGTTCAGATCAGACCGTGGACCCGGACAGACCTGGGTTCTAATCCCAGCCCTGCTATATTCTAGCTGATGACCTTGGGCAAGTCCCTTCACCTCCAAGCCTCAGTTTTTACACCTGGAAAATGGGAGTCGTTTGTCCTACTGCTTGCTCGACCTATCCCCCGGGACTGCCAGGAGGGACAAATGACATGAGGCCCATGGGACTGTGTCGTAAAGCGGAATTTCTCCAACCTAAGGCGTGGAGGTAGTGGTGTTTGCTTTGTAGGCTGGGTAGAAACACTGCATTGCAGGCTGGTTTTTCATCCGGAAGAGCTGACACCTTCCTGCCCACTCCCACAGTCGGCGGGTGGGTTATCAGGGAATTGCAAATCCATTTCACCTGCAGCCCAAGCCCTCTACCCACTGTGAAAGACCAAGGTGCTGGCTGGCAGAGAGAGGAGGAAGGGGTGGGGCACGGCTGTCAATGATTCATTTATTTATTGGTCAAATATATGGGCAGGACTTGCTTATAGGCCAGGATGTGGGTGAAGTGCCGCGGACGGAGCTGCAAACGAGACAGCGAGACCCCTGCCCCATTCAGCCTCCTGCCCTGGGGAAGATGGACAGTAAGTAAACCACGGTGCAAACAAATATATAATTACAATCAGAATTACAATCAGTGAGAGCTGCAACAAAGGAAAAAGGTCAGTCATTTGAGGCCCGATATCACCCCTTAATCACTGAGGGTTGAGGTAGGCAGAGGTTAACCAACCGTTTCTGGAAACGGCCAGCTGATAACAAAGGAACAAAGGAAAAGGAAGGCGGCAGGGGTGGAGGGGCAGCTTCTGTGTGAAGCAGTGCATAGCACGGGGCTAGCTGGCACGGCTCAATCCCAGCTTGCCATTTCCTAGCTGTGGGACCTTGGGTCAGTTCCTTGGTGGTGAAGATTAAATGAGATCAAACATGGTAAGTACTTAGAATAGTACCTGGCACAAAGTAACAGCCAAAGAAAGGGTAACATGAGTAGTAGTAGTAGTAATAATAATAGAAGCAGTGACAGTAGCCTCTGGTATATGGAAACATAAAACTGTACACCTTAAATATATTTTCGAGACAGGGTCTCGCTCTGTCACCCAGGCTGGAGCACGGTAGTGTAATCATAGCTCTTTGCAGCCTCGACCTCCCAGGTTCAAGTGATCCTCCCACCTCAGCCCCCCAGGTAGCTGGGACTACAGACGCACACCACAACACCCAGCTAATTTTTGTATTTTTTGTAGAGACAGAATTTCACTCTATTCCTTGAGCTAGTCTCGAACTCCTGAGCTCAAGTGATCCACCTGCCTCGGCCTCCCAAAGTCCTGGGATTATAGGCATGAACCACCGTGCCCAACCTATATACCATTTTTATTTGTCAATATACATCAATAAAGCTCAAGTGTTTGGGGGGGAAAAAACCCCAGTGGGTTCACAATACACCACTATACCAGATGCTTTATATATCAGAAGCATCTATGGCCCACAGACCAGCTATTTATAAATAAAGTTTCATTGGAACAGTCACACCCATTCATTTATGTATTATAAATGAGTATGGCAGCTTTTGAGCTACACAGCGGAGTTAGGGGTTGCCACAGACAGTGTATGGGATGCAAAGCCTCAAGTATTTATCAGCCAGCCCTTTCCAGAAAAGGTTGGCTAACCTCTGCCTACCTCAACCCCCACAACATACCAAGACACAGTGATTAAGGGGTGAAAACAGGCCTCAAATGACAGTCTTTTGCCTGCAAATCCAGTCTTCTTCAGCCTTGGCATCAACACGCAGGATAGAGACAGCCAGGGGAGGCTTGAAATGCAGCCCATATCCAGCTTAACAAGACCCTCAAATCCTAACCTTCCCTCGGCCCAGTAAAACTAAGTCCCCAGCCACTGGTAGAAAACCTGCCCTGCAAATGCAACAAGGACATTGACAGACAGAACACTGCACAGTTTTTTGTTTTTTGTGTTTTGAGACTGAGTCTCACTCTGTCGCCCAGGCTGGAGTGCAGTGGCCCGATCTCGGCTCACTGCAACCTCCACCTCCCAGGTTCAAGCAATTCTCCTGCCTCAGCCTCCTGAGTAGCTGGGATTATAGGCATCTGCCACCACACCTGGCTAATTTTTGGATTTTTTGATAGAGATGGGGTTTCACCATGTTGGCTAGGCTGGTCTCGAACTCCTGACCTCAACTGATCCGCCTATCTCGGCCTCACAAAGCGCTGGGATTACAGGCATGACCCACCGCGCCCAGCAATTGCCATTTCTAATTTGCACACTCAAAGAGCTTTGTCAAATTCTTCTCCTCAGGCCGCCTCTCTTCTATGGATCTAAACACAGATTTTCAGATTATCTCAAGTGACCGATAGGGAGGCCAACACAGGGTCCCCCCTTCACTGGCAAAAAAAAAAAAAAAAAAAAAAAGGAAATAGCCTTTTTTTTTTTTTTTTTTTTTTTGAGACGGTTTCACTCTCATCGCCCAGGCTGCAGCGCAATGGTGCGTTCTCAGCTCACTGCAGCCTCCGCTTCCCAAATTGAAACAGTTCTCCTGCCTCATCCTGCCACATAGCGGGGATTACATGGTGCACACCACCATGCCTGGCTAATTTTTGCATTTGTAGTACAGACGGGGGTTTTATCATGTTGGCCAGGCTGGTCTCAAACTCCTGACCTCAAGCGATCCACCCACCTCGGCCTCCCAAAGTGCTGGGATTACAGGCATGAGCCACTGCACCCGGCCTGGAAACAGCCTCTATCTGACGTGGAAGGCCTTACTTGACAACAAAGACAACTAACTTCTGAAGTAGGTCAAGGATTGACAATAAAAAAGGAGGAAAAAAAATCATGGGGCACTGGATTGTAATCCAGGGAGCATGTCATTTAACCCAAACCAAGGAGAATCTTTTGACATCACACACTAGGTACAAAAGACAGAGCCACCTCCAGGGGGTTTCCCAGCCTCAGACACTGAAATACAGTAACTCCTGTCCCAGATAGCATGAAAGCAGCTTGTGAACTGGTCCCTCTTTCATTTGAAATGAAAACAATTCAGAGAAGTCCTGGCTGAAGGCAGAGGGAGGAAAAGCCTGATTCATCCAAACAGAGTGATGTGTTCTTTGGCATCCACCATATTGACATCTACGTTTGGTACCAGATGAGCTGGCCAGAAACCCTGTGGTTTGAACCAATTAGGTACGGCAGCCCCAGGCACTGATTCTTGGAGCGCAGGGTAGTTTAAGGACCTTGTCTGGGTCTTTCAGCATGTTGACCTGTTTGTCAGAAACACTCTCAGCTTTTAGTTCTAACGGGTTTTCTGCTGGTTACCTCCGCTCTGCACTGCCAAAGTGCCCCCCACAACCCCTGCACCCAGCAGGAGGCAATGCGTGCAGCAGCAATAATGTTTAGAGCAGTGATCCTCAAACGCAGCTCTGTCACCAGCATCGGTGGCACCTGGGAACTTGTTGGGAACCGCAGATGCTCGGGCCCCACCCAGACCTACTGCATCAGAAACTGTGTGGGTGGGGACCAGCAATCTGTGTTTCAAGCGTGAGAACCCAGTGGGAGGGTTCCTGACACATCACCACTCTGACCCTCAGTGTCTTCATCTGTCAAGTGGGGAGACTGATCATCCTGCCCTACTGTGAGGACTAAATAAATAATACAGTGCACCCAGCTGTTATCCTTATTATTAGACGGAGCCTAAATGTCCAGCAGTAAGAGATTTGCCAGTATAACGTAAACACTGGTGATTTGTTTGCCCTGTTGCTTACCAACTGTGCAAAATGCCTCCCTGCCCAGGACCTCCGTTTCCTCTACTGGAGCACACCCCAGAATCTTTGCCCATGCCCTTTGCCCATCAACTTGTCTGTTTTCTTTGTTTTTTTGTTTCAAGAGATGGGGTCTCACTATGTTGACCAGATTGGTCTCAAGAAATCTTCCCCCCTAAGCCTCCCAAAATGCCAAGACTACAGGTGTGAGCCACGCACCTGGCCCTTTTTCTGGTTTTTGATGCTGTAGTGGGCACAGGGGAATATCCTGGCTCAGCCTCCCTCTCTACCTGCCTGGGTGCCTGCAAAGGCTTTTTAAGTGCCACCGACCTCACCCCCATGTCCAATGTATCCTCTTCCTTTGAGCCTGAGGATCTTCCACAACCTGTCCAACCTGAGTGTGTCATTCCACTGGTGAAAAACCTTTCCTCAGCTCCCACCACAGTAGGGTTAAAATTCCAAGTCCTGGCTGGATGTGGTGGTTCACCCATCCCTGTAATCCTAGCATTTTGGGAGGCCAAGGCAGGGCATCACTTGAGCTCAGGAGTTCAAGACCAGCCTGAGTAACATACAGAAACCCCATCTCTACCAAAAACAGAAAAAGTTACTTGGGCGTGGTGGCACGCAACTATGGTCCCAGCTACTTGCGAGGCTGAGGTGGGAGGATCGCTTGAGCCCCGGAGGTGGAGGGCACGGTGAGCTGAGATGGCACCACCGCACTCCAACCTTGGTGACAGAGTGAAACTCCATCTCAAAACAAACAAACAAACAAAAAATTCCAAGTCCTTATTGTGACACATAATTGCACCCTTGATCTCTGATGCTGACTCTTGCCTCTCTTTTCGCTTACATCCTAGCCCTTCCAATCTAGCCAAGCAGAATTCTTTTTTTCTTTCTTTCTTTTGAGACAGAGTCTTGCTCTGTCGCCCAGACTGGAGTACAGTGGCGCGATCTCGGCGCACTGCAACCTCCGCCTCCCGGGTTCAAGCAATTCTCCTGCCTGAGCCTCCCGAGTAGCTGGGATTACAGGCATGCACCACCACACCCAGCTAATTTTTTTATGATCAGTAGAGACGGGGTTTTACCACGTTGGCCAGGCTGGTCTTGAGCTCCTAGTCTCAGGTGATCTGCCTGCCTCGGCCTCCCAAAGTGCTGGGATTACAGGCATGAGCCACTGCACCCAGCCTAGCCAAGCCGAATTCCAAGTGATTCCCAACACCCACAAGCTCCCTCAACTGGACCTTTGCACATGCCAGTTGCTCTACCAGGAGCACCCTCCCACCCCACCACCTCCAAACATATTCACCTGGCCAGAGCCTCGCATTCCTTAGACTTGAGCATCCCCTCTCCTCCCTGGATGCTAGCCCTGGAGCCCCAGGCTGAGTCAGGGACCACTCTCCCAGCCCCCACAACTCCCAGCACTTCCCTCCCTCAGAGCCCCCACTGTCCATCCTGCAGTTGTTGGTTCAACTGCCTGCCACCCACCTTCCATCTCTCCTCCAGGGCAGTGGTCAAGGTCTGTTTCTTTCTAGCTCAGCCCCTGGCACAACACCTGATTATTAAATGACTGAAAGCATGACGGAGAAATGGAAAGAAAATGGAGTTTCAACGCTTTAATCAACGGTCCAAGATCAGGCCTTGGTGGGTGGGGACAGAGACTGATCATGAAGGGGCACGAGGGAACTTCCTGGCGTCCTTGCAGTGTTCTATATCTTGACAGGGGTTTAAAGTATTCCTTTACCAAGATTCATCAAATGCTAACTTGAGATCAGCAATTTCACTGTATGTAAATTTTAAGCAAAAAACTCAGAAGTGTAAACAGATCTTAAACTCTAGCTAATGATTTACTTGGAAGTGGGTGCATGAAAGAATACTAATATATTTCGAAGGAAGTTTCAGATATCAAAAAAACTAGGTTCAGTGGCTCAGGCCTGTAATCCCAGTATTTTGGGAGGCTGAGGTGGGAGGATGGCTTGAGGCCAGGAGTTCAAGACCAGACTGGGCAACATAAGGAGCCCTCACGCCTACAAAAAATTTAAAAATTAGCCAAACACAGTAGTGTGCACCTGTAGGGCCCAAGCTACCTGGGAGGCAGAAGCGGGAAGATCATTGGAGCCCAGGAGTTGGAGGCTGCAGTGAGCTATGATCACACCACTGCACTCTAGTCTGCGAGACAGAGTGAGACCCTATCTCAAAAACAAAAAACAAAACAAAAGTAGCCGGTTGGCTGGCTGATTAGCTATCTGGTTAGACAGACAG
Source organism: Homo sapiens (assembly GCF_000001405.40). Taxonomy (NCBI): domain Eukaryota; kingdom Metazoa; phylum Chordata; class Mammalia; order Primates; family Hominidae; genus Homo; species Homo sapiens. The sequence goes on along the minus strand of NC_000016.10, from coordinate 16,022,863 downwards.
ATATGTGACAAAGCAAGTTTAGCAAAATGTTAACTGTGGCTCTAGGTACCAACTATATGACTGCTCACAGTAGAATTCTTTCGACTTTTCTGTAGGTTTAAGAATGTTCATAGTAAAATGCTGGGGGGAAAATATTACATATTATACAGACAGGACTAAAAATACCTCTTACTGCAAACGAGCTGAGTAGCTTTCACTGAATGTTCCAAACCAGTGATTTGCAACCCTGAACCACCTGGAGATCTTGTTAAAATGAGTTTGACTTGGTAGGTCTGGGATGAGGCCTGAGACCCAGCATTTCTAGCAAGCTTCCGGGGGATGTCGAGCATTCCAACTGGTCCAAGGACCTCTGCTTTCAGCTGGGACCTAATAAATGATCTCCTTTGGCCTTGATCCCCTTATCTACAAGACCCTCCTCCCCCAAACCTAAACCACAGACTCAGTGCCAATGAGAAAAAAGGCAGGAGACTGGGGACCGGCCGGAGCTCTGGCAGTCTTGGTCAGCCCTGCCCAGGCTCCCAAAAGCCTCGGCAGCCCCAGAGCCAGAAGGACAGATGGGAGGAGCCCCACCAAGCAGCCAGGGCTGGAATAGACATCTGAGTCATGGAGTGGGAGCAGGGCCAGCTGGGGAGGATTGGCCGACTCAGTGACTCAGCACGAAGTGGCCTGGAGGAGCCAGCCCTGCCAGCTCCCACCCACGCCCTGCCTGACCTGACCCCAGCCGCCCCAGGCCTTGGCTGATCACTCTGAGGACAGGCGACAGGTGATGGATGGCCTGCTGCTGCTCTGAGGATGGGAGAGCAGCAAGCCTGGACTCTCCCCATCTTCCTGGCTCCACTGTGATTCAATCCCTGAGAGTGATGGGAAAACAAGCAAACAGGTTGTCCCGTTGTCCTCCTCCCCAGATCACAGGGCTCAGGTCTGGGACAGAGAGAGGAGGTGAAGCCAACAACAAATCGAGTTGCAACCCGTTTTCAAGAAGGGGCTGCTGACGTCCCCAAAGGAAGAGCACCGAGCCCAAAGCCACAAGTCTAGCTGATTCTCACAGGACCTGGTTCCTACCCTTCCTTGCCCCCATCTCAATTGCTAGGCTACGTTGCTAGGTAGTTATGTGGTTATTTTGTTTGTTTGTTTGTTCATTTGTTCGTTGTTTGTTTGAGACAGGGTCTCAGTCTGTTGCCCAGACTGGAGCGATCTCAGCTCACTGCAACCTCCGCCTCCCGGGCACAAGCAATTCTCCTGCCTCTGCCTCCTAAATAGCAGGGATCACAGGTGCTCAACACCATGCCCAGCTAATTTTTGTATTTTTAGTAGAGATGGGATTTCACCATGTTGGTCAGGCTGGTCTCAAACTCCTGATCTCAGGTGATCTACCTGCCTCGGCCTCCCAAAGTGCTGGGTTTATAGGTGTAAGCCACCACACCTGGCCTTGAACAAGATTTTTAAAAGCACTTAGCATCACTGAATTGCATACTTAAAATGGTTAAAATGGCAAATCTTAGGTTACATATATTTAACCCCCCAAAATGCAACATTAAAAAAAAAAATAAGGCTCTTGACACCATGCCAAGCCTTCAGAACATCTGTGCATACATCAGTCCCCTTCCTCTTTCTTGCTGGTAATACTTGAACAGGATGAAGGCAGAGAAGCAGCTTAATCTGATGTCCTGTGAGGCCTCATGCACACTTCACCCTTATGCAAGACATAATATACGTGCCACATGTACTGAGCACCTCCCCATATAACACAACAATAAATTACCACTACAGGCCCACCGTGTGCCTGGCTGTGTCTTAGGCACTGAGGTTACAAGGTGGATACTGCCACGTGAAGCCTCTAGCCTAACACAAAGCCATTATTTAGCCAAGACCCTCCCATTCAGCAGTTACAACCAAGCGAAGTGACATGATTGTGCACAACAGCCAGTCGTGAGTTCGAATCTCTGCTCTACTACTCAGGTCGAGCAAGGCACTTATGTCTGCGATTGTTTGTCTGTAAAATGAGAAAAATAGTACCAAGTTCACCAGGACTGCTGTGAGAGTCAAGTGAGACATGCATATAAAGAACTTAGCATAGTGCTAGCCAGTACACCGCAAGCATCTAATAAATGTCGATTCCCGTCCTTGCCTTGCATAGGAAGAAAGAATGCCTGCAAATGGAAAGGGGACAAAAAAGGAAGCTAAAAAGTCATCAGAGCTAAAGAAATGCTTAGACCAGGGGTGGACAAACTTCTTCTGTAAAGGGTCAGATGGTAGGTATCTTAGACTTTGTGGGTGCTACAGTCTCTGTAGCAACTACACAACTCCACTGCTGCAGCTCCAGACACCTGTAGACACTATGTGATGAACGCGAGTGGCTGTGTTCCAATAAAACTTTATTTACAAAAACAGGCAGCAGGCCAGATTCGGCCCATGGGCTACTGGCTAACTCCTGGTCTAAACTCTAATCTGCAAAAAGGTAAATGGCAACCCCATGGGGTTCCTGAACAGGAACCCAGAGGGAAGTTCAGGCTTCCTGGACAGAGAGTGTCAGCCAATCAAAGTGTTCTCTCCTGGACAGGTGCACAAATGTCAGAAATGCAGCAGCCTGCACACCCACATTTGACACCCTGCTGGATCTCACTGCACAAGAGGCAGACCACAGCCGGGCACGGTGGCTCAAGCCTGTAATCCCAGCACTTTGGGAGGCCAAAGTGGGCGGATCACTTGAAGTCAGGAGATCGAGACCATCCTGGCCAACACGGTGAAACCCCATCTCTACTAAAAATACAAAAACTAGCCAGGCATGGTGGTGTGCGCCTGTAGTCCCAGTTACTCAGGAGGCTGAGGCAGGAGAATTGCTTGAACCTGGGAGGCAGAGGCTGCAGAGCCAAGATCATGCCACTGCACTACAGCCTTGGCGACAGAGCGAGACTGCAAAGAGACAAACCACAGTGTCTTCCACCATCTTGGAAGACCAGCAGTGACACAGGAGGAGCCGAGCTGGGGGAGATGACACAGAAACAGAAAACAATGACTGGGGAGAAGAGTCAGGGTGTCCCAGCCCCACAACAGTGTAGCCTTTTAGCCGCCAGAGCTGAGAGCTTCATGTCACCCAGGGTGGCAGAGCAAATCCCAGGCCCAGGCTGCCAGGAATGCAGAAAGCACAAAAAAAGGTCCAAGTCAGATCTGTGAGTCACCCTGGTACACACACGCCCAGGGGAGAAGTGAAAGGGAATTTATCCAGATTCCCAAGGGAGATCAGAAATTAAGAAAGTCCCTCCTTCAAAAAGCTTCCAGAACCATCCATGGCAAGAGAGCTCTTCCCAGGCTCCCAGAGGAAGCTTGATGGGTTGGGTGATCCCCACGCCAGCCAGGCAGCCCCAACCAGACTCTGTTTACCCTGAGCAATCCAAGGTCTGCAGCCACCCAGTTGAGGTGTGACTTGTTTTGTATAAATCCCAGTTCTAAAGAATGGCTCGGCCAGACACGGTGGCTCACACCTGTAATCCCAACATTTTGGGAGGCCGAGGCGGGTGGATCACTTGAGGTCAGGAGTTCGAGACCAGCCGGGCCAAGATGGTGAAGCCCCATCTCTACTAAAAATGCAAAAATTAGTCGAGCATGGTGATGGGCGCCTGTAATCCCAGCTACTCAGGAGGCTGAAGCAGAAGAATCGCTTGAACCCAGGAGGCGGGGTTGCAGTGGGCCGAGATCATGCCACTGCACTCTAGCCTGGGCAACAAGAGCAAGAATCCGTCTAAAAACAAAACAAAACAACAGAAAAAAACAACAAACAAAAGACAAAAAAGAATAGCCCAACATTTGACAAACAGGGACACTCGGCTGCCACACACTTACACACACTGATACACAATACATATAACAGCCACTGACTCATGAGCCCCTCTCTTCTGTGTCAGGCACCAGCCAGGGATCCAAAATGGGGTGACCCCTGGGCTCAAGCGATCCTCTAGCCTTGGCCTTTCAAAGTGCTGGGATTACAGGCATGAGTCACCATTGCCTTTGTGAACTTTATACATATGCAAGCACACACAACACAAAGACACACACACACACAAACACACACATACATGAACATAAACACACTCACAAGCACACATTCACATATAAGCACATACACGCATATACATGCCTATGACTACCGAGACACACAAGCAGGCACATGCACACGTACACACAGATGCACAGGAATACATACACAGATGTGTGCACTTGCTCATTTCTCCAACCCAGCTCCTCTTTGGGCAAGGAAATACCAACACGGGACTCCTCAGAACATACACTGGGACATGCATTTCTTTTTTCTTTTTTTGAGACAGAGTCTCATTCTGTCACCCAGGTTGGAGCGCAGTGGTGTGATCTCTGCTCACTGCAACCTCCGCCTCCCAGGGTCAAGAGATTCTCCTGCCTCAGCCTCCCGACTAGCTGGGATTACAAGCATGCACCACCATGCCTGGCTAATTTTTGTATTTTTAGCAGAGATGGCATTTCACCATGTTGGCTGGGCTGGTCTCGAACTCCTGAACTCAACTGATCTGCCTGCCTCAGCTTCCCAAAGTGCTGCGATTACAGGTGTGAGCCACCACACCTGGCCTGAGACATAGGTTTCTAAAATCTCTTAGTTATCATCAACCTCCTCCTCCATACTGATGCCCACCAAGCCCTTTCGTCACCCACAAGGTGAGCCTCTGCCCCTCACAGAGGTTTAGGCCAAACCCAACAGAACCACAGAGGTGAAAAGTTCTCCCACTGCAATCCGCCCATTACCAGCTGACTAGCCATGAATCAGCATCAAATAGGTGCTCCAAGGCCTCCCTGCCCCATACTCACAATAAAACCCAAACAGCTCATCTGGCTCACAAGGGGGCTGTCCCACCTCTCAGGCACCCACTGTCTCTTAGCCTTCTCCTGCTGTGCTGGCTTTTCTTGCTGTTCTCTCCACACCTCCCCACCCCAGGGCCCTTGTACTTATTCCCCTCTGCCTGGAACACTCTTCCTCTAGGTGTTTGCTCCACCCACTACCTCACCCCTCTAGGTCTCCGCTCACATGCAGTTTTCTGGGCAGGCCTTCCCAGATCTCTCTTATCAAAAGCTGCACATGAGCCTGGGCAACACAGCAAGATCCCATCTCTATTTAAAAAAATAAAGAATAGGCGAGGCGTGGTGACTCACACCTGTAATCCCAGCACTTTGAGAGGCCAAGGCAAGAGGATCGCTTGAGCCCAGGGGTTTGAGACCATCTCCCCATCTTTAATTATTAATTAATTAAAAGTAAGCCAAGTTGGGGAGCAGGTGTAGGGAGAACATCAGGAGGAATAGCTAATGGATCCTGGGCTTGATTCCTAGATGATGGGTTGATCTGTGCAGCAAATCACCATGGCACACATCTACCTATGTAACGAACTTGCACATCCTGTACCTATACCCTGGAACTTAAAATAAAAGTTGAAGAAAGAAAAAAAATTAGCCAGGCATGGTGGTGTGTGCCTGTAATTCCAGCTACTCAGAAAGCTGAGGTAGGAAGATTGCTTGAGCCCAGGAGGTCAAGACTACAGTGAGCCGAGATCACACCACTGCACTCCAGCCTAGGCAACAGAGCAAAACCCTGTCTCAAAAAAAAGAAGAAAAGAATTAAGGGAAATTAATAAAGTGTTCCCTTTTGTTCTACTAGCAGAAACGGTGGCCATCTCTACACTCCTCACTGATAAGTTTCCATATTTACAGAATTTCTCTGAAACTGACAAAATAGACCAAGGATCTCACACTCAAATCCCTCAGGGGCCAGGCATTTGCCACAAGTGAGGAAAGCATGCCAGTATAATACAACAGGGAGTGCCGGGGACTCCAGCAACTCCTCAGCTCTGCCCTGTAGGATTATAGGCCTAATCTGTCAGAACTTTACTTTTCCAGAACATCTGGACAGCTAGAATTCATAAAAAATACCTGATTTGTAATTATCTGCTCACATTTTCCAAAATCACCATGCCAAGTGAGAAACCTACAGGCCTGCAAGACAGCAGTTCATCAATGACAAAGCAGATTCTCTCCTTCAGCTCCCCCAGCCACATCTAAGCCTCAGTTTTTCCATCTGTAAAGTAGGTGGGATGATATTCCCTGTATCAGGGGTTGAGGGAGGCTGGAACGAGATCCTGGATGGATCTAAGAAATGTTAGCTGGTACTGTGTCACGCATCTCTCTCACACACACACGCACACACACTCATCTGTGGTCACACTTACAGGGTCGTGGATGGTTTCCGAGAACAGGGGTGAGCGATCTGAGAAACAGGACAAGACGAGCTGAATGAGTAAGAGGGAAAAGTAGACGTAGAAAGTGATGTCACGAAACAGGTCCACCTGGGCATCCTACATGGTGGGGAAGGAAGGAAGAAAAAGATCACATTCTGGGGCTGGGTGTGGTGGCTCACGCCTGTAATCCTAGCACTTTTGGAGGCCGAGACAGGCAGAACACCTGAGGTCAAGAGTTGGAGACCATCCTGGTCAACATGGTGAAACCCCGTCTCTACTAAAAATACAAAAATTGGCCAGACGTGGTGGTGGGCAACTGTAATCCCAGCTACTCGGGAGGCTGAGACAGGAGAATCACTTGAACCCAGGAGGCGGAGGCTGCAGTGAGCCGAGATCACGCCACTGCATTCCAGCCTGTGTGACAGAGCAAAACTCCATCTCAAAAAAAAAAAAAAAAAAAAAACCAAGATCACATTCTGAGAGCAGGTGGCAGAAACCCACTCAGCCACAGGGACACTGCAGGCTCCCCAGGGGCTCCCAGCTCCCCCCGGGATGTAATGGCAGAAAGCCGGCTCCATCACGGGTAGTCTCACTGCTCACCGCTGCCTGATGGGAGGAAGACAGGGCTTGGGAGTGAAACAGAGCTGTATCAAGGCCTGGCTCTCTCACACTGGCTGTGGGATCTTGTCAACTTATTTAACCTTTCTGTGCCTCAGATTCCCCACCTATAAACCACCGGTGGTTCTTAACCAGGGGTGATTCTGCCTCCCAGGAAACATCTGGCAGTGTCTGGGGATATCTTCTTTGTGGTAACTTGGGAGTGTTATGGCACCCAGTCAGGGGAAGCCAGGGACACCCCTAAATGTCTACAAAGCACAGGACAGCCCCTACAACCAACGAGTCTCCAATCCAAAATGTCGATTAGTGCTGAGGCTGAGAAATTCTGTCCAAGTCACTGCAAGAGGTCAGGAAGATTATTCGTGACACATACACAGTCCCCTGCGAGGCACTTTGAAAACATGAACTCAATCAGCATCAGCTGCTATCACTCATAATAATATGTAGGCAATCAATAGTCAAATGTTCAGCTTCTTTTCCTTCCTTTGCCTCATGCCAGTCTCTAATTAGCTCCAAGATGGCAGGAACAGCAGGTTATTCCAAAAGCACACACTCCAGGTCAGGCGTGGTGGCTCACGCCTGTAATCCCAACACTTTGGGAGGCCGAGGCGGGTGGATCACGAAGTCAAGTGATCGACACCATCCTGGCCAACGTGGTGAAACCCCGTCTCTACTAAAAATACAAAAATTAGCTGGGCATGGTGGCGCGTGCCTGTGGTCCCAGCTACTGGGGAGGCTGAGGCAGGAGAATCGCTTGAACATAGGAGGTAGAAGTTACAGTGAGCCTAGATCGTGCCACTGCACTCCAGCCTGGTGACAGAGCGAGACTCCGCCTCAACAACAGCAAAAAAAAAAAAAAAAAAGTGCACACTCCTCAAAATTCCTAGCAGCAGCACACAGCAGCCAATGTAAACAACTTCCCCAGCCAGAGCAGCAACTGATGGGACAAAGGTAACGCGAGGACAAGCCTAGGGTCCCCCAGGGGAACAGTCACTCTGCAAACACCGTTCCCGGCTCGGCTCCATCCCAGCCTGGCAAAATTTGGAGCCGCCTGTCTTGCTGTTTCCTGCTGATGGGGCCAGCCTGGCATCGGCCCACAGCTCCTGCCCTTGGAGGTCCCATGGGAGCCCCTTGGAGCAACACAGACAAATCAGGCCCTGGGGAAAGGAGGTGCTAGAAAAAAGGCTGGGGCTGATTTAGTGAGGATTTGGTGGGGTAGGAAAGTCACCAAGGGAGAAGCTAGGTGCATGTGGTACCCAGCCCCTGGTTCCCATGGCAACGCATGACTTCTACACAAGCCAGAGGGACCCAGCATCTCTCCCTCCGGGTCCACTGAAGGAAGATGAGGAAGGAGACTGCCACTTACCTCTTTTAAGGCTGTCATAATTTTGGATCTCAGGATGGCTAGGGCACACACTAGGGCTACCAGCCAGAAAGTGAGCATGATCCCTGAAGACTGAACTCCCTTCCTCCTCTCCAGCTGAATTAAAAAGGTAGCAAGCAGCTGAGGAGAGAAGCACAAGACAGGAGTTGTTGGGTTTTTTTTTGAGACAGAGTTTCACTCTTGTCACCCAGGCTGGAGCGCAGTGGTGCAATCTCAGCTCACTTGCAACCTCCGCCTCCCAGGTTCAAGTGATTCTCCTGCCTCAGCTTCCCAAGTAGCTGGGACTACAGGTGCCCGCCACCATGCCTAGCTAATTTTTGTATTTTTAGTAAAGACGGGGTTTCACCACGTTGGCCAGGCTGGTCTCAAACTCCTGACCTCAGGTGATCCACTTGCCTTGGCCTCCCAAGGTGCTGGGATTACAGGTGTGAGCCACTGCTCCCAGCCACACTATTTCTTAATGGACCACGTAATAAATATTTTGGACTTCATGGGCCATAGACTACATCAAAACTACTCAGCTTTGCCACTGCAGTGTGAAAGTGGCCATAGACAAGATGTTAATGAATGGACATGCCTTCATGCCAATAAAACTTTATTTAAAAGAACAGGCAGAGAACCCAGTACAGAAAACAAAACCCACTTGCCCTGATGCTCAACGTTCCCGGGGTCAGCCTCTGCCCCATCGCCCCTGCTCTCTGCCTCGGCCATCTCTGCTCCAGCCACACACAACTCTCAAGTTTTCCCTGTGACCCTCAGGACTTTACATGTGCTTTTCTCCGCAGCTGGTCCTCTGCCCTCAGCCCCTTAAGCTTTTTAACAACTTGCTCATTCTCAGGCTTCACCTCCACCATCCCTCCCTCAGAGAAGCCTGGCTATGCCCCAGACCAAACCAAGCTCCCCTGCCTTCACCCTCACACAGCACTCTGCAGACGTTCAAACACTTTGTGCCTTTTGAGGAATCATTTGTTTAATGTCTGTTTGCACAGCTAGACTATATGGTTGTGTCTCCAACGCTTGATACAGAGTAGGGATAAAAAAAAAAAAATCAGCCAGGTGCAGTGGCTCATGCCTGTAATCCCAGCACTTTGGGAGGCCAAGGCGGGCAGGTCAGGAGTTTGAGACCAGCCTGGCCAACATGGTGAAACCCTATCTCTACTAAAAATACAAAAATTAGCCAGGCGTGGTGGCATACGCCTTTAGTCACAGCTAGCTGGGAAGCTGAGGCAGGAGAATCACTTGAACCTGGGAGGCGGAGGCTACACTGAGCTGAGATCATGCCACTGCATTCCAGCCTGGGCGACAGAGTGAGACGCTATCTCAAAGAAAAAAAAAAAAAACATGTGCTGGCTGCATCCTGTCCCATATTACCAGTGCCTGCATATCCTGGTTCCCTGGGATATAGTCAGAATGTTTCTGACACATTCACAGCTGAGCTGGTGGTCCTCCATTCCATCCCAGAGATCTCAGGTAGATAAAGAGAGGCTGAGGATCTCACAGGCCAGTTCACCTCTTGGCCAGCCCAGCTCAGAGTCCCCTGAGGAGTCAAAAGCCCCAACCCTCAGACTATCACCCCTGTTTCCCCCAGGGTGACAGAGGCATAAATGAACGATCAAAAGACCAGGAACGGCCAGGCACAGTTGCTCACGCCTGTAATACCAGCACTTTGGGAGGCCAAGGCACGTGGATCACCTGAGGCCAGGAGTTTGAGACCAGCCTGGCCAACATGGTGAAACCCCATCTCTACTAAAAATACAAAAATTAGCCAGGTGTGGTGGCGCGTGCCTGTAATCCCAGTTATTGGGGAAGCTGAGGCAGGAGAATCACTTGAACCCGGGAGGCAGAGGTTGCAGTGAGCCAAGATCATGCCATTGCGCCTGGGAAAAAAGAGCGAAACTCTGCCTCAAAGGAAAAAAAAAAAAGACCAGGAACAAGGAATGTTAAGGGAGGATGACCTACTCAAGTCAAAAACAGCTGACCACGTATGGTGGCTCATGCCTGTAATCCCACCACTTTAGGAGGCCAAGGCAGAGGGATCACTTGGGCTCGGGAGTTTAAGACTAGCCTGGGCAACATGGAAAGACCCTGTCTCTATTATAGTGAAATTGAAAAAAAAAAAAAAAAATCCACTCTAATACCCCACTGCCAGAACACAGAGCCCAAGACCCGAATTCAGGACAAAGCAAAGCCCTTTACTCTCTCATTCCCTCCATGCATTTATGGAACGCTTACTGCATGCCAGGCACAGGGCCAGGCTCTGAGGACACAAAGGGGAATCAAACCCAGCAGGAGAGCCAGGCGTAAAGCAGGTGCCAGGCTACACGCTGGGGCCTAGACTGGAAGCTGGCTCTACCACTTACTGACCAGGTGACCTTGGGCCAGTCCTTCTCCTCTCTGTACCACACTTTGCTTACCTTATTTACAACGTAAAAGGGTTAATAAAGGGATTAGGACAGTTCTTGGCAGAGAGTGGACAGCACATATGTGTGCTATATAGAATCATGGTCTGGGCAGGGCATGGTGGCTCACACCTATAATCCTAGCACTTTAGGAGGCCCAGACAGGAGGATCACTTGAGACAAGGAGTTTGAGGCCAGCCTGGGCAACATAGGGAGACCCTGTCTCTACAAAAATAACAAACTGGCCGGGGGTGGTGGCTCATGCCTGTAATCCCAGCACTTTGGGGGGCCTAGGTGGGTGGATCACCTGAGGTCCGGAGTTCGAGACCAGCCTGGCCAACATGGTGAAATCCCATCTCTACTAAAAATACAAAATCAGCCGGGCGTGGTGGCGCATGCCTGTAATCCCAGCCTCTCGGGAGGCTGAGGCAGGAGAATCGCTTGAATCCAGGAGGCAGAGGTTGCGGCAACTCAAGATCACACCATTACATTTCAGCCTGGGCAACAAAGCGAAACTCCATCTCGGGGGGAAAAATAAAAAAATAAATAAATAAAAAATAAATGTAGATGGGCATGTTGGTGCATGCCTACACTCCCAGCTACTTGGGAGGCTGAGGCAGAAGGATCATTTGAGCCCAGGAGTTCAAGCCTGCAGTGAGCTGTGATCTCACGCCAGTGAAGTCCAGCCTGGGCAACAGAGTATGACTCTGACTCTAAAATTTAAAAAATGAAAAATTAATTTAGAAAAATAAAGATTCATGGTCCTTGGCAACCTGGCTCCACGTTGTCTTTCCTGACCCCTCTGTCACATCCACTCTATCCCCCCAACCTTCACACCGTGTTCCTTCACCGAACACCTTGTCCTCCCTGCCTGCATCCTCCCCTTAACCTTCCACCCCTCCCTGGACACACTGTTCACCCTGCTCAGAATGTCCTGCCTTAAACTTGTTCTCTCCTTTTTTTTTTCTTTTTCTTTTTTGAGATGAGGTCTCGCTCTGTCCCCCAGACTGGAGCACAGTGGTGCGATCTCGGCTTACTGCAGCCTCCACTTCCCGGGTTCAAGCAATTCTCCTGCCTCAGCCTCTTGAGTAGCTAGGACTACAGGCGTGTGCCACCACGCCGGCTAATTTTTTTATTTTTAGTAGAGACGGGGTTTTGCCATGTTGGCTATACTGGTCTCAAATTCCCGACCTCAAGTGATTCTCCCGCCTCAGCCTCCCAAAGTGCTGGGATTACAGGCATGAGCCACGATGCCCAGCCTCCCTCCTCTTTTTACAATACTCAAGGGCTACACTCTCCGAGAACTCTCTGTTCAGGGCTCAGAAGCTGCAGGTTGCAGGGGCTAAAAGCATGGCATCTGGGGTCCCACCCCTGACTCGGCTGCACATTAGTGGTGTGATCTTGAGCAGGACACTTAACCTCTCTTGCCTGGTTTCCTCACCTGTAAGATGGGAACAAAGCAGGACCCATCTCACAGGGTTGTTGTGAAAATTCAATGAATTTCAAGACACGTGAAACACCAAGAATACTGCCAGGTACATACATAGTAAGTGCTCAATACACACCAGCTGTAATTAATAAAGTTGTTTCCTTGTCTCTGTCACTCACTAAGTTGTGTATCCCCCGGGACAGAGCAGTTTCCTATTTAGCTTAGCAACCCACCCCCTATGCCAGATAGTGAAAACTCAAGGCCATTAGACCCCAGGCAGTTAGTATATAAGTGACCAAAGTAGCCAATGCAAGAGCAAAGTGTGGCAAACGCAACAAAAGGGGGCATCTGCCACTCAATCAGTGGCAGGGAAGACAATAGGGCATGGTGGGGACTGTGGCAAACTGGACAACACATGCCCCATCCAAAGACTGCAGCTGGGGCTGGGAACAGTGGCTCATGCTTATAATGCCAGTGCTCTGGAAGGATCACTTGAGGCCAGGAGTCTAAGACCAGCCTAGACAACACAGTGAGATCCCATTTCTACAGAAAAATTTAAAATTAGCCAAAAATAAGCTGGGCGTGGTGACACACACCTGTAGTCCCAACTACTCAGAAGTCTGAGGTAGGAGGATTGCTTGAGGCCAGAAGTTTGAGGCTGCAGTGAACTATGATGGTACCATAGCACTCCAGCCTGGATGAAAGCGAGATCTCATGTCTTTAAAAAAAAAAAAAAAAAAAAAAAGGCTACATTTAATTTATATCCCAGCTCCAGCTGATCATTGCCTTAAAAAACTATGATTCTAGTCTTACGAGTTATTACTTTTGGTCTCCACTGAGCCCAGCAGATGGCCCAGGGGTCACAGCCAGCTCCTACTTACCATGGTGATGCCCAAGAGAGTTGGGCTGACCAGAAACACTGGGGCCAGGAATATGCCCCGACTTCTTTCCCAGAAAGAGTAGAAGAGGTCTGCCCAGCAGACGATCCACAGCAAAAATCCCAAGGCCTGGAAGAGAAGCACATACATATCCTACAACAGACCGCCCTGGAACCTCCCCCAGGGCCTGCACGAACAGCTCAGCCCCAGGGATAGGAGAACCAGCCAGCCTTCAAATGATCAGCCACAGTCCTAGGACATGGCACATATCCACTGGAATAAGGACAAGTCCTCGGTATGGTGAGCTGGCATCCAGGCCGGCACGTGATGGTCTGTAATCAGCCTGCTACGCCCCACTACCTCCAACAGGACTGTTTGTCTGGTCACCATGCTCCCCGGTGCCTGAACACTCAAGAGCTCAGCTCACAGCTCATCTCTAGCTGCAACTCCGGCGCACTGCACAAGAAAGCCCTCCACGACAACCATTCATTCAACCAGTATTTACTGAGAGCCCTCTACGGGTGGGATATGTTTCAAGGTGCATCCATTCTCAAATGATTCAGAAAAAATAAATTATAGCATGCATACAGAGAGAGAGAACAAAAGCTCATGATAAAACAAATGTAGCAAAAGATTAAAAAATCAGTGAATACAGGCCAGATTCATGCCTGTAATACCAGCACTTTGGGAGGCCGAGGCAGGAGGATCACTGGAAGCCAGGAGTTTGACAACAGCCTGGGCAACAAGGCGAGACCCTGTCTCTACAAAAAATTGTTTTAAATTAGCCAGGCATGGTGGTGTATGCCTGCAGTCCCAGCTACCAGCTACTCAAAAAGCTGAGGCAGGAGGATGGCTTGAGCCAGGAGTTCAAGGTTGCAGTATGCTGTGATCATACCATTGCACTCCAGCCTGGGCAAAAGAGCAACACCTTGTGTCAAAAAAAAACAAAAAACAACAACAAAAAAAAAAAAAACAGGAAACAGTGACTATGAGTGATGGATAGAGAAAATCAGGCAGCAGTTCCTGGTATCATCGCAACTTTTTTTTTTTTTTTTTTTTTTTGAGAAGGAGTCTCGCTCTGTTGCACAGGCTAGAGTGCAGTGGCACTATCTCAGTTCACTGCAACCTCTGCCTCCTGGGTTCAAGGGATCCTCCCACCTCAGCCTCCCAAGTTGCTAAGATTACAGGCACATGCCACCACACCCAGCTCATTTTTGTATTTTTAGTAGAGACAGGTTCACCATGTTGGTCAGGCTGGTCTCAAACTCCTGACCTGCCCGCCTTGGCCTCCCAAAGTGCTGGGATTACAGGCGTGAGCCACCACGCCTGGCCCATTATTGCAATTTTCCTGTAGCTTTAAATTATTTCAAAATAAAAGCCAACTTAAAAAAAAAATTAGGGGCCAGGCGTGGTGGTTCACACTGAGCATCCCAGTACTTTGGGAGACCAAGGCAGGAGGACTGCTTGAGGCCAGGTGTTCAAGACCAGCCCGGGCAACACAGCAAGTCCCCCCTCTCTACAAAAAATAAATTAAAAATTGGCCAGAAAAAATCTATATAAATATATTTAATTAAATAAAAAGGAGATCGGCTCAGTAAGAGGGGAAGAGCTGATAATCTCCCAGGAATGCCTTGAGAACAAGCCTATCATTCCTATTGCATAAACAGGGAAACTGAGGCTTGGGGAGGTTAAAAAATTTGCTCGAGGCCAAATACTAAGCGGCAGAGCAAAGATTTGTACCCATGTTTGTCTCCAGAGCTCCAGTTTTCACCTCCCACATTATTCTTCTGCCTTCTAGAAGAAGGAACTTAGGGTCAACTAAGTAGAAGAGAAATGTCAGTTATCACCAACCACCACTCCCCGTCCAGGTGCACCTTCCCACCCCCCACAACGAAACCCCCCAGTGACTTACAGTTTTGGTTTTGTTGAGAGGTGTCATCTGAATGTAGCCTCGGTCATGTCGGGAGAGATAGAGGAAGTAGAAGGGGAAACAGGCCCAGAGGTAAAAACAAGGCACCCACACGAGGACCGTGTTCTGAAAGCACTTGGTGAAGTCGGGGTTGCTGGTATTCCACGTGACATTCCAGTCCTGCGAACACAAACACAGGCGAGGGGTCAGCAGGACACACCCCAGAGGACAGGAGCTCGCCTGGAGCATGAAACCAGCTGCCACGGGGTTTGAAGAAACAGACAAGGCTCCTATATATCCAAGGACCTTTCAGGATGAACACGCAAACTAAAAAGATCAGTAGCCAGAAAGACTAAGAAATGAGGAACAAGGGATAAAGGTATGTGGTGTCTTCTGCACTCCCACCTGAGCAACAGAGACCCTGTCTCAAAATAAATAAATAAAAATAAAGCTCTCTTAACAGGAGCATACAGGTCAGGTGCAGTGGCTCATGCCTGTAATCCCAGCACTTTGGGAGGCCAAGTGGGCAGACCACTTTAGGCTGGGAGTTCGAGACCAGCCTAGGCAAGATAGTGAGATGCTGCCTCTATGAAAAACACAAAAAGTGGCTGAGCATGGAGCGTGCCTGTATTCCCAGCCACTCAGGCGGCTGAAGTGGGAGGAGTGCCTGAGCCTGGAAGGCGGAAGTTGCAACGAGCTGAGATCATGCCACTGTACTACACCCTGGGCAACAGAGCGAGACCCTGTCTCTCACACACACACACACACACACACACACACAACAGTGCATACACACAAAAAAACCCACCAACAACAAAAAGGTATGTAGCATCTCATCTCACATTAACAGTCCCCAGAACCTGTGGCAAGTCCCACTGTAGTACGAAAGATGGAGAGAGCCATTTAAAGGAACCCTGAAGGATATTCTCTTATAACCGAAGAGCCCTGTGTCATCTAGATCACTCTGACCTTGTGAACTGAGGACTTTCTAATCATCTTCATTCATCATCATCACCTTCCCCACTATGACCATCACCACCACCAATATCACTGCCAACACCATCACCACCATCACCACCATCATCATCACCATCGCCACCATCACCACCACCATCACCGCCACCGCCACCGCCACCGCCACCGCCACCACCACGGATAACAACCAAACTGCAGTTCTGTATGCCAGGCTTTATTCTAAGTACCTCATGTGTATTATCTCCTTTCATTCTGTAATTATTTTTATCATCTCCTTTTTCAGATGTGAAACTCAGGCACAGAAGGGTTAAATACTGTGTCCAGTATCACACAGCTGGTAAGCTCTGGAGCTGAATTCAAACTCGGGCAATGTTGTTCAAGTCTGCATTTTGCCACTGAGCTGTCCAGCCTTGGAAACAAATTTTGTTTCAATTACTTTTACTTAAAAAAAAAAAGCCTGTATTTTGCTAAAGAGCCATGCCAAATAGACAAATTCATAGATACATACATAAATAGATCAGATGTACCTGCCCAAGAATAAACCTCCACCATCAGCTGTTCTGTAATGAAGAATTTAAATTTTTCTTTTTTTTTTCTTTTTTTGAAATGAGGTCTTGCTCTGTTGCCCAGGCTGAAGTGTGGTGGTAAGATCACAGCTTCCTGTGCCTTGAACTTTTGGGCTCAAGCAGTCCTCCCACCTCTGCCTCCCAAGCAGCTATACTACAGGTGTGCACCACCATGCCCAGCTGAAGAATTTAAATTTAATTCAAGCCATAATCTGGCAACTGACTAAATAACTTTGGGAAAACTTACTACCCTTTTTGGGGTCTCAATTTCCTATCTCCACCACAATTCAATCGGATAAAATAAGAAGTACAAAATAGGTTTCCCCACCCACAGTTTGGCCCATAGATGGCTTGTTGTTATTGCTGTTGTTTTAGGCATACTTTTTGTTTTTAAAAAAATTAGATTAGATCCCAACATTTAAAATTTGATTTCCGGCTTTTTATTTTTATTTTTTTTTTTCTTGACAGAGTCTTGCTTTGTCACCCAGACTGGAATGCAGTGGCATGATCTCAGCTCACTGCAATCTCTGCTTCTCGGGTTCAAGCGATCTCGGCTCACTGCAATCTCTGCTTCCCGGGTTCAAGTGATTCTCCTGCCTCAACCTCCTAAATAGCTGGGACTGCGGTCACCCCGCTTGGCTAATTTTTTTTGAATTTTTAGTAAAGACAAGGTTTTACCATATTGGCCAGTCTAGTCTCGAAGTCCTAAACCTCAGGTGATCTGCCAACCTCAGTCTCCCAAAGTGTTGGAATGACAGGCGTGAGCCACCACGCCCGGTCTCTGGCATAACTTTAAAAATCAGAAAATCTTCTGGGCGCAGTGGCTCACGCCTGTCATCCCAGCACTTTGGGAGGCCGAGGCAGGAGGATCACGAGGTCAGGAGATCAAGACCATCCTGGCCAACATGGTAAAACCTCATCTCTACTAAAGTACAAAAAACTAGCCAGGCATGGTGGCGCATGCCTGTAGTCTCAGCTACTTGGGAGGCTGAGGCAGGGGAATCACTTGAACCCAGGAGGCGGAGGTTGCAGTGAGCCAATATCATGCCACTGCACTCCAGCCTGGCAACAGAGCAAGACTGTGTCTCAAAAAAAAAAAAAAAAATCAGAAAATCTGGTGGTGCTGGGCCCCATTCCTGTTACATGACCATCAGTAGGAGCTGGGAGGGGCCAATCTTTAGATTAGGCCCAGTTGTCCATTTGGCTGCGGTCCCCAAAAAGCCCACTTCTCCCACAGCCTTCCCATCCTACTGGCCTATGCACCCTCCAAATAGCTCTGATTCCAACAGCCCTCCCACGATCACCTGAGACCCCCATGGAGTGTCAAGGAACCCAGACCCTTACAGCTCCACAGAGCTTTAAAGCCATATCAAAAAAAAAAAAAAGTTAAAAATGAGAAATGAGGGAAATAAGATCACTTCACTTAAAAAAAAAAGTGTCAATCTGATCAAAATATACATGTTCCAATAATTAAAGAGATCTAGTTATTAGGTTGGGCGCGGTGGCTCATGCCTGTAATCCCAGCACTTTGGGAGGCCTAGGCAGGCAGTCAGGAGTCTGAGACAAGCCCGGCCAACATGGCAAGAACCCCCCATAAAAACATAATTTTTATATTTTACTAAAAACATAAAAATTAGCCGGGCAGGGTAGTGCACGTCTGTAATCCCAGCTAGTAGGGAGGCTCAGGCAGGAGAATCACCTGAACCCGGGAGGCAAAGGTTGCAGTGAGCTGAGACTGCACCACTGCACTCCAGCCTGGGCAACACAGTCTCCATCTCAAAAAAAAAAAAAAAAAAAGTAAACCTTACAAGGCCAACACATACAAAGAGATTTAGCCAGGAAACATCAAGACACAAACCCTAAAAAGGACAAAGTTCACGTCTTTTTGGCCTGGCGTATTTGGAACACAGCCTTGTAAAGAAGAAGTTGATCGTGGAGAAGGCATGACATCTCAAAGACTGATTATTTTAATTGATTTCATACTACTGTTAATTCCTGAGGTGATGGCTGAAAAAAGGATTAAACTGTTGGTGGTCATTATATACAGAACAGCTTCTGAGCAGTTGCCAGTAAAAGCTCATTCCAAAGGAATGTGCCCTGCTAGAAAGAAAACGATACCAAGACTTGACATATGCAGTTATGTATACAAGAGACATAGTTCCAATGTTAAACATTTAATTGACCTGATCCTAGCCCCAAATTATTCCTTGCCAGGACTATGCAACTGCTTCCTAAGTCTTCACTGCCTCCAGCCTCTCCTTGTCCTACTGAGTCCTCCCCGCTACAGCCAGTGCTCCCCACCACAGTCAGTGTTCCCCACCACAGCCAGTCCTCCCTATCATAGCCAGAGAATTATCTATGTACACATCCATATGTATACCCATGGATATATTTATCACCCAACCATGAACCCATCCATCCATCCATCCACCAATTCATCCATCCACCCACCCACCAATGCATCCATCCACCCAACTACCCACTCACCAATTCATCCATCCACCCCCCCCAACCAATTCATCCATTCAGCTACCCACCTACCAATTCATCCACCCATCCACCCACCCACCAATTCATTCATCCATCCACCTACCCATTCACCAATTCACCCATCCACCCTACCCACCTACCAATTCATTCACCCATCCATCCATCCACCCACCCACCAGTTCATCCATCCATCCACCCACCCACCAATTCATTTATACATCCACCTACCCATCCACCAATTCACCCATCCACCCTACCCACCTACCAATTCATTCACCCATCCATCCATCCATCCACCCACCCACCAGTTCATCCATCCATCCACCCACCCACCAATTCATTTATACATCCACCTACCCATCCACCAATTCACCCATCCACCCTACCCACCTACCAATTCATTCACCCATCCATCCATCCATCCACCCACCTACCAATTCATCCACCCATCCACCAACCCACCAATTCATTCATCCATGCACCTACCCATCCACTAATTCACCCATCCACCCTACCCACCTACCAATTCATTCACCCATCCATCCATCCATCCACCCACCTACCAATTCATCCACCCATCCAGCAACCCACCAGTTCATTCATCCATCCACCTACCCATCCACCAATTCATCCATCCACCCTACCCACCTACCAATTCATTCACCCATCAATCCATCCATCCACCCACCTACCAATTCATCCACCCATCCAGCAACCCACCAGTTCATTCATCCATCCACCTACCCATCCACCAATTCATCCATCCACCCTACCCACCTACCAATTCATTCACCCATCAATCCATCTACCCACCCAACAGTTCATCCATCCATCCACCAACCAATCCATCCACCTGTCTATGTATCCATCTACCCAACCAACTATCCATCCATGCATCCACCCATGTCTCCCTCTCTTTGTAATTATTTTTAATAGGTAATATATTTGTGTGCTAAAACTCTTTCAAATTACTCAAAAAGGTATACAGTGAAAAATATGTCTTTCTCCCCAAATTAACAGCCCCCCATTGCTACCCTACAGGCAAGCTACCATTGCTAACATCTTACATTCTTCCAGATATATTCCAAATACGACCTATTTTGTTGCCACAAAAGGCACTACGATACTCCATTCTATACCTTGCTTTTTTTTACTTAGCTAATATTAAAAACTGAACTTTTTTTTTTTTTTTTGAGACAAGGTCTCACTCTGTTGCCCAGGCTGGAATGCAGTGGTGCAATCATAGCTCACTGCAGCCTCAACCTCTCAGGCTCCAGCAATCCTCCCACCTCAGCCTCCTGAGCAGCTAGGACCACAGGCACACACCACCATGCCCAGCTAATTTTGTATTTTTAGTAGAAATGGGGTTTTGCCATGTTGCTCAGGCTGGTCTCAAAGTCCTGAGCTCAAGCGATCCACTCGCCTTGGCCACCCAAAGTGCTGGGATCACAGGTGTGAACCACCGCACACAGCCTTTGGAAACTATCTTTATCAGTAACATAGATGTGTTTTATTCTTGATATTTCTTTTGAACAAAGAGGTACAAGGGACAAGTCTTCTCATTCCATTCCCTATGGCCCTCCCCTCAGTTCCTCTCTCTAGAGGCAATGATCATGGGTTGCTTATGTCTTCTTTCAGAAAATATTTTATACAAAAATAAAGTAAATATACATCTTCTGTTATCAAATCGAAGGAAGCATACGTTACATAATGTTCCGTACTTTGCTTTTTTCTCTTAACCACAGATTTTAAAGATCATCCCGCAGTATACATGAACAGTTTCCTCACTCTTTGTTACGGCTGCTTTGTATTCTATTGTAGGGATGAACTTGACTTCCATCGGTCTCCTGGGGACTTGGCATTGGTGTTCCTCTTACAAACAATGCAGCATTGAATAAACAATTGAATTTCACACTCAAGCAAGAGTGTTGATAAGATCACTTTCTCTGCCAGGTGTGGTGGCTCCCATCTGTAACTCCAGCATTTTGGGAGGCCCAGGTGGGAGGATCCCATGAGCCCAGGAGTTTGAAACCACCCTGGGCAACATAATGAGACTCTGTCTCACATATATATAAACTTTCAAAAAAGGAACCTGCCAGGTCAAAGGGTGCCTACAGTAACATTTAGACAGACACTGCCCTCCAAATAGGGAACATCAATTCATACTCCAGCTGATAAGGTACAAAGGCAATTACTTCACAAAGCACAGCAGATAACAAGTTTCCGACCTCTGCCAATCTGAAGTGAAAAATATCTCTGTGTAGTTTAAGTTCCTTTTCTCTTTATCATGAGTAAAACTGAGGGTCTTTCCATATGGATTTAAAAGCAATCACGTTTTCCTGCTCAGAGGAAGATTCATAGACTTAGATATTTGCATTAATAAATAGGGCAGATCTAATGGCCTTCTCTCTTCTGCTGGGAAACAACTTCCCATGGCTCCCTATTGGCTTTTAAGAACCAACCCTGGCTGGGCGCGGTGGCTCACGCTTGTAATCCCAGCACTTTGGGAGGCCGAGGTGGGTGGATCACGAGGTCAGCAGATCGAGACCACAGTGAAACCCCGTCTCTACTAAAAATACAAAAAATTAGCCGGGCGTGGTGGCGGGCGCCTGTAGTCCCAGCTACTTGGAGAGGCTGAGGCAGGAGAATGGCGTGCACCCGGGAGGCAGAGCTTGCAGTGAGCCGAGATCGCGCCACTGCACTCCAGCCTGGGCGACAAAGCGAGACTCCATCTCAAAACATAAAAAATAAAAAAAAATAACCAACCCTTGCAGTGATCCATGAGGCCTTCCTTCTACATTCAAGTCCCATCTACTTCTCCTACAATTTCTCCCACCCTGTTCCCCAAATGTGCCTTACTCAGGCATTTACTTAAAGAAGTATTTACCAAGCTTGTTGTCAGATAATGTTCTAGACACTGTTGCAGGCACTGGAGATTCTGAAAGGCTGTGGTTCCTGCCTTCAAGGCATTCCCCAACTGCTGGTCAAATAAATGGTTTCTTCAGTCACCTCTTGCTAGATCCTCTCTCTGCAATGTCTTTCTGTCCTAACAAACTCCTATTCATCCTTCAAAATCCAACTCAGGTACCTCATTTAAAAAGCTTCCTCCACACTCCCCAAACAACCTGCCCCCAACCTTTGCAATGATCTTCTTACTTGTCCACCGTCAATTTCCTCCTTTGTTTTGGTTGTTAAGTAATAATCTGGCTAGGCACAGTAGTTTGCACTTGTAACCTCAGCATTTTGGGAGGCCAAGGCAGGAGGATCACTTGAGCCCAGGAGTTCAAGACCAGCCTGGGAAACATAATGATACCCTCTTTTTTAATAAAATAATTTAAAATTATTTTGAAAAAATTTAACAATTAAACAACAATCCATCCAGGTAGAGACTAGCTATGACCACTCACTTCCTAATTGAGCAGATGTAGATTCAAATTCAGGCCTTAACCCCATGTGAACTTGGGCAAGTCACTTAATTTCTCCAAGCTTCAGTCTCCTGATAAGTAAAAAGAGTCAGAAAAGCTGGACACGGTGGCTCATGCCTGTAATCCCGGCACTTTGGGAGGCCGACACGGGTGGATCACTTGAGCCCAGGAGTTCAAAACCAGCCTGGACAACATGGTGAAACCCGTCTCTACTAGAAACACAAAAATTAGCCAGGCATGGTGAACTCGCCTATAATCCCAGCTACTCAGTGGGCTGAAGCAGGAGATCACCTGAGCCTTGGAAGGTAGACACTGCAGTGAGACATAATCACACCATTGCACTCCAACCTGGGCAACAGAGTGAGAACCTGCTTCAAAAAAAAGGAAGGCCAGGAGCGGTGGCTCACGCCTGTAATCCCAACACTTTGGGAGACCGAGGCGGGCAGATCATGAGATCAGGAGTTCAAGACCATCCTGGCTAATATGGTGAAACTCCGTCTGTACTAAAAATACAAAAATTAGCCAGGCATGGTGGCATGCACCTGTAGTCCCAGCTACTCGGGAGGCTGAGGCAGAAGAATCACTTGAACCTGGGAAGCAGAGGTTGCAGTGAGCCCAGATCGTGCCACTGCACTCCAGCCTGGCGACAAAGCGAGACTCAGGCTGAAAGAAAGAAAGAAAGAAAGAAAGAAAGAAAGAAAGAGACAGAGAGAGAGAGAGAGAGAGAGAGGAGAGAGAGAGAGAGAGAGAGAGAGAGAGAGAGAGAGAGAAAGAGGCCGGGCACAGAGGCTCACACATTTAATCCCAGCAATTTGGGAGACCGAAATGGGAGGACAGCTGGAGCCCAGGAATTCTAGACCAGCCTGGGCAACACAGTGAGACCCCATTTCTTTTATTTTTCTTTTTCTATTTTTTTTTTCTTTTGAGACGGAGTTTCACTCTTGTTGCCCAGGCTGGAGTGCAATGGAGAGATTTCAGCTCACCGCAATCTCTGCCTCCCGGGTTCAAACGAGTCTCCTGCCTCAGCTTCCCGAGTAGCTGGGACTATAGGCGCCTGCCACCACGCCTGGCTAATCTCGTATTTTTAGTAGAGATGGGGTTTCTCCATGTTGGTCAGGCTGTCCTGGAACTCCCAACCTCAGGTGATCCGCCCACCTCAGCCTCCCAAAGTGCTGGGACTACAGGCGTGAGCCATCGCACCCAGCGAGACCCCATTTCTTTAAAAAAATTTTTTTGGCTGGGCACAGTGGCTCACGCCTGTAAACCCAGCACTTCGGGAGGCCAAGGTGGGAGAATCATGAGGTTAGGAGATGGAGACCATCCTGGCTAACACGGTGAAACCCTGTCTCTACTAAAAATATTAAAAAACAAATTAGCCAGGTGTGGTGGCGGGCACCTGTAGTCCCAGCTACTCAGGAGGTTGAGGCAGGAGAATGGCATGAACCCAGAAGGCAGAGCTTGCAGTGAGCCGAGATCGCAGCACTGCACTCCAGCCTGGGAGACAGAGCGAGACTCCGTCTCAAAAAAATATAAAAATTTTTTTTTAATTTTTTTAAAAGTCAGGAAAACACATCATTTGGAAGAGTTCTGGAGAGGATTCAATGGGACAATGTGTGACAGGTGCTGATACAGTCTAGAGACAATAAACCGTAGTAGCAGATACTAATAGTTGATAATAATCACCACTGCCACCACCACTGTATTGCCCAGAGATAAGAAGTCTAAAGGACAAAGAAAAGTTGTCCTTTCAAGCAAGAAAGTAAGCTACAGAAGAAACCAGAGAGCATTTAAGGACACCGGAACTCCAGGGAAGGAGAGGTCAGGAAACGCTGAGCAAAGGAAGGTGTTTCCCCTGCAGAAAGCAAATTGAAGAGCACAGGCTAGCTTCCTGCTCAGAGCCAGATGGCCAGCCCAGACCCAAAGGGCGGCTGTGGGAGGGAGCAGAAGGAAGGGAAGGAAGGCATGACGAGAGGAAATCTGACTCTGACCATGAACTATGACTGTTACAGAAAGCAGCCAACACGGGTCACCCCTGCCATCCACCCCCACATCACCTCCATCACAGCCCCTACAGCGGCCAACAGCATAGGTCACAAAGCTAAGATCATCTGAGGACCGGGCACAGTGGCTCACGCCTGTAAACCCAGCACTTTGGGAGGCTGAGGCGGGAGGATTGCTTGAGCTCAGGAGTTCAAGAAAAGCCTGGGCAACAAAGTAAGACCCTGTCTTCACCAAAAAAATTTAAAAATTATCCAGGCGTGGTAGTGCAGGCCTGTAGTCCCACCTACTCAGAAGGCTGAAGTGGGAGGATCTTTTGAGCCTAGGGGCTTGAGGCTGCAGTGAGCTTTGATCGTCCCACCCAGGCACTCCAGCCTGGGTGACAGAGTAAGAGACTGTCTCAAAGAAACAAAGTATCGGGACTGGGCGCAGTGGGTCACACCTGAAATCCCAGCACTTTGGGAGGCTGAGGAGGGCAGATCACTTGAGGCCAGGAGTTCAAGACCAGCCTGGCCAACATAGTGAAACCCCATCTCTACTGAAAAAGAAAAAAAAAATACATTAGCCAGCCATGGTGGCAAATGCCTGTAATCCCAGCTAGTCGGGCAGCTGAGGCACAAGAATCGCTTAAACCCAGGAGGTGGAGGTTGCAGTGAGCAGAGATCAGGTCATTGTCCTCCAGCCTGGGTGACAGAGCGAGACTCTGTCTCAGGGAAAAAAAAAAAAAAAAAAAAAAGGTATCGAGGCCTCCTGGATGTTCCTTACCGGCAGGGACCCTAATGTGTCCTTCTTTACTTTAACAACTCCAGGAGGTAAGAAGTGCGACTCTCACTACTGGAGGCTTCTGGGAAAAACGGTGAATAATGGGCAATACCTAAAGGCTCAAGGAAGGGACGATTCCCTGGCAGTCTGCAGGCCACTTGCTGTTCCCAACTCAAAGAATCACAGCTACCCGAGGCTGCTTCCTAATCTAGGGAAATCCAGCCAGGCCCACCACGCTCTGAGCAGAATCAGAAGGACCCAACTCTCCAGACACACAATTCAGCCACAAGAGATGAGTCCTGAACACGGTCACCGGTCACTGCACTGGCCCAGGGCCTGCCCTTTGGGGAACCTGGCCCACAGAAATCTTTACAGAGAAAGCGCAAGTCGGCTGGGCGCGGTGGCTCACGCCTATAATCCTAGCACTTTCAGAGGCCAAGGCAGGTGGATCACGAGGTCAGGAGATCAAGACCATCCTGGCTAACATGGTGAAACCCCGTCTCTACTAAAAATACAAAAAAATTCACCAGGCGTGGTGGCACAGGCCTGAGTCCCGGCTACGTGAGAGGCTGAGACAGGAGAATCGCTTGAACCCAGGAGGCAGAGGTTGCAGTGAGCCGAGATTGCACCACTGCACTCCAGCCTGGGCGATAGAGCGAGACTCCGTCTCAAAAAAAAAAAAAAAAGAGAAAGCGCATGTCCTCCCCAGCTCCCGGCTCCCTCCAACAGAGGCTTCTCCTTGCTGGACACTTCACCAGCTTGATCAAGTTGTGTCTCCATGCCCTCAGCCCTGACACTCAAAGAGTTGGGGACCCCGTCCAAGTCCGAGTGGCCCCTGACCTTTGTGTGTTCATAAAATTCCTGTTGCATAGCGTCATGTTTTCTGGGCTGAATGATGATGACTAAGGCACTAGGCATTGATCTAAGTCTTCCCATACAAGATCCTGGTGCTGACCTCCTTTCTGTACATGACCCTGGCCTTGACCTGCCTTCCTGGTTCAGCCCTGATTATCATGGAAGTCCTCGTGCACCGGGCAGCTCACTAACTTTGCCCTACACCCTTACTGCTCCCATCTGGATGGCACAGGTTCTGCACAGATGCTCCACCAGGGCCTGCAGGGATAAGGCAAGCAGGCCTGCAGGGATAACGCATGCAGCCCTGCCAGGGACCCAGCCAGCCAACTCCAGGACAGGAGGGAAGGCCACAGAGAGGATGGGGCAGACAACAGGCAGAAAAAGTGATTATGAATCTCAACTGCCACTGATGGGAGGTAATGAGGACATACTGTGTACCACAAGTTCCACTGAGGCCTGAGCATCCACTCCCAATTCAACCATCTCAATAACTCACAACCAGCTGGGTGCAGTGGCTCATGCCTATATTTCCCAGCACTTGAAGAGGCAGAGGCAGGAGGATAGTTTGAGGCCAGGAATTTCAGATCAGCTTGGGCAACACAGTGAGACTGTATCTCTACAAAAAAATTTAAAAACTTAGCTGGCCGGGTGGAGGGGTTCACGCCTGTAATCCCAGCACTTTGGGAGGCTGAGGCGGGCGGATCATGAGGTCAGGAGTTCGAGACCAGCCTGGCCAACATAGTGAAACCCTCTCTCTACTAAATGTACAAAAATTAGCCGGGCATGGTGGCGTGCGCCTGTAGTCCCAGCTACTCAGGAGACTGAGACAGGAGAATCGCTTGAACCCAGGAGGTGGAGGTTGTGGTGAGCCGAGATCAGGCCACTGCACTCCAGCCTGGACAAAAGAGTGAGACTGCATCTCAAAAAAAAAAAAAAAAAAAAAAAAACTTAGCTGGGCGTGGTGGTACACACCTGTAATCCCAACACTTTGGGGGACCGAGGCAGGAGGATCACTTGAGCCCAGGAGTTCGAGACCAGAGGTGGCAATGGAGTGAGACTCCCCACCTTCTACAAATAAAAAAATTTAAAAGTAGCCAGATGTGATGACGTTTGCCTTTAGTCCCAGCTACTCCAGAGGCTGACGAAGGAGGATCCCTTGAGCCCAGGAGTTCGAGGCTGCAGTGAGCTATGACTGCACCACCGAACTCCAGCCTAGGTGAAAGACTGAGACCCTGTCTCAAAAATAAATAAATAAGTAACTTGCAACAGTCGGGTTCTTATTGCTCAGTGGACATTTATCAGCGACTACTACCATGGGCCAAGGTCATGTGGAAGTAAAATAAAGTCTCCACTCTCACACAATTTCACTTTATGCAAAGCGGCCAAAACTACCAACAGCTAAAAAAAACAACTCTATGTATGCCCAATGGGAGCAAATGGCTTGAAGAAGAAGAAAGTGGGTGAAGCATAATGGTGGGTGGGCAGGTGCTAGTTCTTTATCAGGTAGACAGAAAGGGCCTCTGGGCCAAGATGACATTTCAGCAAAGGGCGAAAAGCAATGAAGAAACCTGTGCCGCCTTCTTCTGTCTATAGAAAGAGTAAGAGGGAAGATTCATTAGTTGCATCAGCCAAGCACCACTCTAAGTGTTTCACATTACATTTCATCCTCACACACAACTCTAGGACTCAGGTACTATAACGTAACCCATTTTACAGATACAGAACCAGGCCTGGTCATATATAACCTGCAAGCAGCATACACAGTCAGGAATTTGATGTTTCGTTTGTTTTTTGAGACGGAGTTTCGCTCTTGTTGCCCAGGCTGGAGTGCAATGGTGTGGTCTCGGCTCACTGCAACCTCCACCTCCCGAGTTCAAGCAATTCTCCTGCCTCAGCCTCGCAAGTACCTGGGATTACAGACGCCTGCTACCACGCCTGGCTAATTTTTGCATTTTTAGTACAGATGGAGTTTCACCATGTTGGCCAGGCTGTTGTCACATTTCTGACCTCATGATCTGCCCTAATCCCAGCTACTAGGGAGGCTGAGGCAGGAGAATTGCTTGAACCCAGGAGGCGGAGGTTGCAGTGAGTCAAAATCACACCACTGCACTCCAGCCTGGGCAACAGAGCAAGACTTCATATTGCAAAAAAAAGAAAAGAAAAAAAGAAAGAAAAAAAGCTAATTAATCTGCAGGGGGTAGGCCTGAAACCAGGGAGAGGAAGGCAACTACTATTTTTTGTTGTATTATCTTTCGTACTGTTTGAATTTTCTCCTCTGCATGATTTCTAAAATAATAATAAGAAAGCTAGTTCGCACTTCAAATAAATAAATAGCAGCAGGAATTGAAGGGTAGGACATTTCTAAATGCTGAGTTGGAAACAAAGAGAAAGCATGTATTTATTGGGTGCCAATAATAACAGCCAGAGTGATCACGCCAGGCACAGTGATTAAGTGCTTCCCAAGCACAGTCCATTTAAGCTTTCCAACAGCCCTACAAAGTCAGGACTATTAAAACTCTCCCCTTTCCTGGCAAGGGCTCTGAGGTCCAGAGAGTTTATGTAAATTGCTTGGGCTCGTCAACCTAGAAGAAACAGGGCCAGGATTTGAACCCACTGAGAGTCTGACACTGAGATCCACCACCTCTAAACCACGTGCTTGAACTCTAAGGCCTTTTGGTTTGTTTGGTCAGCTGGTTTTGTTTTTTGAGACAGGGTCTCACTCTGTTGCCCAGGCTTGAGTACACTGGCACCATCACAGCTCACTGCAGCCTCGATCTCCTGGGCTCCAGCAATCCTCCTGCCTCAGCCTCCCAAGTAGCTGGGACTACCTGGCACGCATCACCATGCCTGGCTAATTTTTGTATCTTTTGTAGATTCAGGGTTTTACCATGTTGCCCAGGCTGGTCTTGAACTCAGTCTGCCCGCCTCGGCCTCCCAGAGTGCCGGGATTAGAGGTGTGAGCCACCATGCCCAGCCAGAATTCTAAGGTGTTTGCAAGGTACATGGCAGACAGATGGAGCCTGAGGTCGCTTGGAGGCAAGATCTCCAGGGCCGGAGATCAAGTGAATGGCCTCAGGCCTCACAGATTCCAAATTCATCTCCCTAGAGCAGAGAAGCAAGATTTTGACTCAGACATGGAAACATTCTACAACTCTTCCCACCCACCCACCCCCGCATGTGAGCAGTGCAGGGTAGTGGTTAACAAAACAAGGTTCCAGGTCTAGGTTCCCGTCTCCACCACTTACAGATGTGTGCCCTCAAGCAGGGCTTCTTCAACCTCAGAACCGCTGGTATTTGAGCCCAAATAATTCTTGGTTGTCGGGGGCCATCCTGTGCATTGTAAGATACTGAGTGGCGTCGCTGGCCTCTGCCACTAGATGATAGTAGCACTCCCCACCTCCTCAAGTTATGACAATCAAAACTGTCTCTAGACATTGCCAAATATCTCCAGAGAGGCAAAAATCATCCCTGCTGCCCTAAAGCAAGTCAGTTCACCTCACCAGGCCTTGATTTCTTCATCTGTGAAATGGGACTAATTCTAGAACCCACCTATTACAGAGTTTAGAGAGTTATCAGGAGGGTTCAATCAGGTGACCCAAGTGCCAGGTTGCAGGAGCTGGTGTTCCCGGCAGCCAAGAGACGGATTAACACAGATAAGTGCAGGGTTCCTGTCATGCATTCATTCATTCAATCTATCATTCGATGACTGTTTATTGAGCACCTACTATATGCCTAGACCTGGGCTAGTCACAGGCATGGGGGAAAATCAGAAACGATATCTCTGTCCTCTTAAGACTCATAGTCCATCAAAGATGAAAGCTCACAGATAAGAACATAATGACAAAGAGCAGTACCTGCTGTGAAGGAAAGAGCAGGGGTGTCAGGACAGGAAGCACCAGAGTGGCGGTCTGGGCAGATGACATCCTAGCAGACTGGAAGGGTCAGGAAGAGCTGGCTGTGCAAAGATCTCGGGAAGCACATACCAGGCAGAAAGATGGCACAGGCAAAGGCCACAGTGGGGTGGGGTGGGGGGAGGATATGGCTGCACCAATGAGCTAGGACCCAAGATTGGGCGGGAGAAGTCACCAAAGGCCACCACATAGCCAATCTTGGAGGCATGGTACAGAGCATGGATTTTTTGTTCTAATTCTCACAGGAGGCCCTGGGAGTGCATTAAGCAGGGTCATGGCATCGCCTAATTCACATATTAAGACAGTGGTCCCTGGCCAGGCACAGTGGCTCACGCCTGTAATCCCAGCACTTTGGGAGGCCGAGGCGGGAGGATCACCCAAGGTTAGGAGTTTGAGAGCAGCCTGGCCAACATGGTAAAACCCCGTCTCTACTAAAAATACAAAAATTAGCCAGGCACGGTGCCATTGTGCCTATAATCCCAGCTACCCAGGAGGCTGAGGCAGGAGAATCGCTGGAACCTGGGAGGCAGAGGCTGCAGTGAGCCGAGATTGTGCCACTGCACTCCAGCCTGGGCAACAGAGCAAGAATCCATCTCAAAAGAAAAAAAGACAGCCATCCCCTTTTTGGCAGCAAGGATAGGTTTTGTGGAAGACGATTTTTCACAGACAGGGTAGGGGATGATTCGAGTGCATTACATTTATTGTGCACTTTATTTCTATGATTACATTGTCATATATAATGAAATAATTATACAACTCACCATTATGTAGAATCGGTGGGAGCCCTGAGTTTGTTTTCCTGCAACTAGATGGTCCCATCTCAGCTGTGATGGGAGACAGTGATAGATCATCAGGCATTGCATTCTCAAAAGAAGCACACAGCCTGGATCCCTCGCGCACACGGTTCACAGCAGGGTTCGCGCTCCTATGAGAATCTAATGCCACAGGTGATCTGACAGGAGGCAGAGCTCAGGCGGTGATGCAAAAGATGGGGAGCGGCTGTAAATACAGATGAAGTCTCACACGCTCGCCTGCCACTCACCTCCTGCTGTGTGGCCTGTGGCCTGGTTCCTAACAGGGCATGCATGAACTGGTGCCAGTCCGTGCTCTGGGGATTGGGGACCCCTGTATTAAGAGACCCTAGGAGAAGATCCTAGGGGAGATGGGAAAGGAGGCTGCAGCCATTGTCAAGGCAACGAAAGGGGTGACAGAGAAGCATGGTTCAAGGCCACTGCAGAGTCGGCGTGTATGGCCTTAGCACATTTACTCCTCCCCGTAACTCTAGGAGAAAGGTGAGGACCAGCAAGGTGAAGGAACAGCCCATAAGTGGGGATGCAAGGATGTCTGACTTAGATTCCATCCCGAGACAGGCACAGTGAGTACAGGTGCTGCTTTGTGACACCGCAGAGTCTACATTCACTGATCCACCTAATGAATGTTGATGGCCCTGCAGCTCCGCCCGCAGTGGGGGTCCTGCTTGGCGACACTGAGCTCTGTCCTGAAGCCCCCAGAAGAGCCGAGAGGTGCCATCCTTGCGGAACTTCACTCAACCCTGAGCTCGCTGGGGCTACTCTTCTTTTGCAGAACAAGCCCTGTACTTTTCATGTATATTGCAAGAATGAAAGGGGTCTGGAGTGGCGCTCTGTTTTGCCAACGGAAAATTAAGAAAAGGGAAAGAAGAGAAATAAGATTCACCCCACCACATACCCATAGCCCCCCGCACCCCACCACACACACACACAAAGCTTCCCTGCGATTTAGAGGCACAGGTGGCCCTAGACCCTGAGACACCCAAATTCCACTCCCTTGAGCTGGACGCTAAACGCCAGGAGGCACTAGCACTGCTGAACTAGAGACGACAGCAGTGATCTCCTAATCTCAGCCACACATGGGCCCTGAAGAGATATCTGCACTCCCGTGTTCACTGGAGCGTCACTCACAGCAACCAAGATGGAGACAACTAAATGTCTATCCGTGGTCAAGTGGACAAAGAAAACATGATCTATACATGCCATGGACTATCGCTCAGCCTTAAAAAGGAAAGAAATCCTGGCCGGGCGCAGTCGCTCACACCTGTAATCCCACCGCTTTGGGAGGTCAAGGCAGGCGGATCACAAGGTCAGGAGGTCGAGACCAACCTGGCTAACACGGTGAAACCCCATCTCTACTAAAAATGCAAAAAAAAAAAAAAAAAAAATTAGCCGGGCGTGGCGGCAGGCACCTGTGGTTCCAGCTACTCGGGAGGCTGAGGCAGGAGGATGGCGTGAACCCAGGAGGCGGAGCTTGCAGTGAGCCGAGATCGTGCCACTGCACTCCAGCCTGGGAGACAGAGCAAGACTCTGTCTAAAAAAAAAAGGAAAGAAATCCTGCCATTTGCAACAACATGGATGCGCCTGGAGAACATTATGCTAAATGAAATAAGCCAGGCACAGGAAGACGAACACTGCAAGATCTCACTCACATGTGACATCTAAAAAAGACAAACTCATAGAAGCAGAGAACAGAATGGTAGTTGCAAGGAGCTGGTGGTGGGGGAAACAGGGAGGTGTTGGTCAAAGCGTATAAAGTTTTGGTCATACAAGATGAGTCAGTCAGTCCTACGGTCTACTGTACAGAATAGTGTCTATAGCTCACAATACTATATTGTATACTTAAAAATTTGCTGATGGCCGGGTGTGATGGCTCATGCCTGTAATCCCAGCACTTTGGGAGGCCGAGGAGGGTGGATCACTTGAAGTCAGGAGTTCAAGACCAGCCTGGCCACTATGGTGAAACCCTGTCTCTACTAAAAATTAGCTGGGTGTGGTGGCAGACGCCTGTAATCCCAGCTGCTTGGGAGGCTGAGGCAGGAGAATCACTTGAACCTGAAAGACAGAGACTGCAGTGAGCTGAGATCGCACCACTGTACTCCAGCCTGGGTGACAGAGCCAGGCTCTGTCTCAAAAACAAAACAAAAAAAAATTGCTGAATGGTGCCAGGCACAGTGGCTCACACCTGTAATCCCACCTACTTGGGAGGCTGAGGTGGTAAGATCGCTTGAGCCCAGGAGTGGGAAGCTGCAGTGAGACGTGATTATGCTAATGAACTCCAGCCTGGGTGACAGAGTGAGACCAAGTCTCAAAGAAAAAGAAATAAAAATAAAACCAGAGCCCTGTCTAAGCACGGACTGCATACCAGGCACTGCGTTCAGGTTTCATGTACATCGCTCCATTTTATCACCCTAGCAGTCTATGAGGAAGGTACTGTAATGATTCCCACTTTTACAGAGAGGAACACAGAGACAAACAGGTGAGAAGATGGCCCGCGAGTCACAGGGGCAGGACCGTCCTGGATTCAAACCCTAGCAACTCTTCTGCACAACCAACCAAGGAACAGACGGGGCTTGGAGGGACGAAAGGCAAGACGACAGGGTGCTCCTAAATGCCACACTCAGAAACAACGCTGCAGAGGGGTAGCTCAGAAGCCAAGGGAAGCTGAGAAAAGGAGTGCAAGAGGCCCGTGGTTAGGTCAGGGCACCCGCTGGGCTTCTGAACATTAATCCTGTTTAGAGAGACAGCATGTGGCCTTCATTTCCCCACCGCACTCCTGAAAACATCTGGAGAAAGGCTAAAGTCTCCCAGCCCCGACACAGCAGGAGGCAAGCACGGCTGGCAGGGCCATGAGGTGAGAGGAAGGCGGCTGAAGCCAGCATCGCGTGGGCAGTGACGCGCCCTGGCATGCTGTTGGCTGGGCTGCACCCCACCCTGCCCCCTAACTCAGCAGAGCTAAGAATAAAGCCCAGTAACATCACAGGGGCAATTTCCAGACTTATCCCCATCACCCAGGAAGGCAGGGGCACGGCCATCCTTGCTCTATCCAGGCGGGTACCACAAATCCTCACGTCCAAGACACAGAACTGAACACAGTTACATGCAAAACTAATTTTTTTTTTTTTTTTTTTTTTTTGAGACAGAGTCTTGCTCTGTCTCCTCGGCTGGAGTGTAATGTCATGATTATAGCTCATTACAGCTTTGAACTCCCAGGCTCAAGTGATCCTCCCACCTCAGCCTCTCAAGTAGCTGGGACTAGAGGTGCACACCACCAAGCCTGGTTAATTTTTGTATTTCTTTCCAGAGATGGGGCCTTGCTATGTTGCCCTGTCTGGCCTCAAACTCCTGGGGCTCAAATGATCCTCCCACCCAGGGCTCCCAAAGTGCTGGATGAGCCACTGTGCCCAGTCCTAAGAATCCTGTCTTAACAGGGCTTCAGTGTTGTTAAGCACTAAAAAGAAAGCAGAGGTCAGGCTGCCCATCAGTGCCCAAATGTCAGCAGCAAGCATCTTGTTCCAACCTGCTTTCACCCCAACTCTCCCAAGCACCATGAGGCCTCTCGTGGAAGGCCCGTCCTATGAAGCTGACACTCACCCTCGTTTTCTCCATCCAACCCTGGCTATCTTTGCAAGGTTGCTCCCCAGCCACTTCCTCTCCTCTTATCAGACTCTCATGTTTCACCAAATAAATCCCTTAGTCATGTTCCAGGGTCTTGTGAGGGGTCAGGCATGTGCTGGGCATAGGGATATGTCTGGGGACACTGCAGTAACAGGACAGACAGCATTCATCCATTTACAGAGCACGGTTCCTAGGGCTGAGGGCCCAGCAGTGAACAATAGGGACCAAGGGCCGGCCCTCCTGGAGCTGACAGCCTAAAGAGAAGAGACAGATGGTTTAGAAAGGAGAGGATATGAAGACATGTGTGATGAAAAGCACTCAGAGAAGAGGGCAAGCCTTGCTGAGGACGGGTATTTAAATACAGGATTGAGCCAGGCACAGTGGCTCACACCTATAATCCCAGCACTTTGGGAGGCCAAGACAAGTGGGTCACTTGAGGCCAGGAGTTCAAGACCAGCCTGGCCAACATAGCGTGGTAGTGCATGCCTGTAATCCCAGCTACTCAGGAGGCTGAGGCACGAGAATCCCTTGAACCTGGGTGGTGGAGGTTGCAGTGATCTGCGATCACACCACTGCACTCCAGCCTGGGTGACAGAGCGAGACTCCATCTCAATTAAAAATAAATAAACAAATACAGGATGGAAGGAAACAGAGGAGTAAACCAAATGGCCATCTGGAGGAAGGGCACACCAAGCAGAGAAAACAGCCAGTGCAAAGGTCCTGAAGTCAGACCAGGCCTGGCATTTCTGAGAAACCGCAGAGAGGCCAACAGGTCTGAAGAATAACAAGCAGTGAAGACAGCGAGGAAGGAAGAAGGCAGGGAGGAGACAGTCAGTGCGGGACGCACAGGCCACCGCAGGGATTCTGACTTTCACGCAGGGTGACCTGAGGAGCATGGAGTTGATGTGCCGTGATCTATGTTTCAACACCATGGTTCTCAAGTGGGGGCAAGTTTGTCACTCAGGGGACATGTGACAACATTTGGAAACATCCTGGGTTTTCACAACTTAGGAAGAGGGTAGTGCTATTGGCACTCTGTGGACAGAGGCCAGGGATACTGCTTAATGGCCACAATACATAGGACAGCCCCCACGACGGGAAATATCTGGCCCCAAATGTCAACAGTGCCAAAGCTAAGCAGCCCTGTTTGAACAGAATCCCTCCCTGACCAAGCTTCTAGTCCACATCCCCAACACACCCCTCGTCAGGCAGATGGGGCTTCAGCTCCTCACCCTGTAATACTAGGCCAGCAACTAAACCTCAGTTTCCGCATCTGTAAAATGGGAATACTAACATTATGCAAATAAGCACTTTGTTAAACATGAGCCAGAGCACACAGTAGGTGCTCAATAAATACCACTACTAGTAAAACTTCCAGATCCACTTCTTGCTATAATATCCCTCCACATTCTCTCTTTTTCTGACACAGGGTCTCGTTTTGTTGCCCAGACTGGACTGCAGTGCCATGATCTCAGCTCACTGAAACCTCCACCTTCTGGGCTCAAGTGATCCTCCCGCCTCAGCCTCCTGAGTAGCTGGGACTACAGACACACACTATCACACCCAGGTAATTTTTCTATTTTTAGGAGAGATGGGGTTTCGCCACATTGTCCAGGCTGGTCTCAAACTCCTGAGCTCAAGTGATCCACCTGCCTCAGCCTTAGGATTACAGGCGTGAGCCACTGCACCCGGCCTCCTTCCACATTCTCTAGCCTAACCAAATGATTGATTGTGTCATTCAACAAAGATGTACTGAGCCCCTACTATGTGCCTGGAACTAAGCTGAACAGGTGCAGTACACAGAATAGCCCGTAAAGATGCCTACATCCCCGTCCCCAGAACCTGAGTCTCTTACCTTTCATGGCAAAAGGGACTCTGCAGGTATCATTAAGGACTTTGGAATGGGGAGAATGTCCCAGATCAGAGGTCCCCACGCTTTTTGGCACCAGGGATGGATTTCATGGAAGACAGTTTTGCCAGGGATGGCGGGGGGTGGCTTTCAGGATGAAACTGTTCCCCCTCAGATCATCAGGCATTAGATTCTCATAAGGAGCACACAGCCTAGGTCCCTCGCATGCACGGTTCACGTTAGGGTTCACGCTCCTGTGAGAATCCAATGCAGCCACTGATCTGACAGGAGGTGGAATTCAGGTGGTAATGCTGGCTTGCCCGCCACTCAGCTCCTGTTGCATGACTCAGTTCCTAACAGGCCACAGACTGCTCGCTACTGGTTCATGGCCCAGGAGTTGGGGACCCCTGTCCTAGATGATCCAGGTGGGCCCAATGTAATCACAGGGAATTATAAGGGACAAGAGGACGGTGGGAATATCTGAGTCAGAAAAGGAGATTTGAGGCAGGGCGTGGTGGCTCATGCCTATAATCCCACCACTTTGGGAGGCTGAGGCAGGTAGATCACCCGGGGTCAGGAGTTCAAGACCAGCCTGTCCAACATGGTGAAACCCCGTCTCTACTAAAAATACAAAAATTAGCCAGGCATGGTGACATGCACCTGTAATCCCAGCTACTCAGGAAGCTGAGGCAGGAGAATCACTTGAACCTGGGAGGCAGAGACTACAGTGAGCTGAGATTCCGTCTCAAAAATAAAAAAAAAGTAAAGGAGATTTGACAACACAAGCAGGGGTGGAGGGACATGAAACCACGAATTGAGGAAGACAGGTGGCCTCTTGATGCTGGACAGGGCCAGGCCATGGATTCTCCCTGCAAGCTTCCGGAAAGAACACCAGCCGTACATTTTGGACCTCTGACTCCCGAGAACTAGAGTGATGTGTGTTGTTCTCAGTCACCAAGTTGATGGCAATACCAGCAATAAGAAACCAATAGAGACTGGGCACAGTGGCTCACACCTGTAATCCCAGCACTTTGGGAGCCCAAAGCAGGAGGATCACCTGAGGTCAGGAGTTCGAGACCAGCCCGACCAACATGAAGAAACCCCGTCTCTACTAAAAATATAAAAATTAGCTGGGCATGGTGGTGCACACCTGTAGTCCCAGCTACTCAGGAGGCTGGGGCAGGAGAATCACTTGAACCCAGGAGGCGGAAGATGCAGTGAGCCGAGATGGTGCCATTGCACTCCAGCCTGGGCAACAAAAGCAAAACTCAGTCTCAAAAGAAAAAAAAAAGAAAAAGAAACCAATAGAGCAGGCAACAAAAATAGAGCTGGTGGGGAAACAAGTGTATCAAGGCATGAACACATGTCACCTTGCTGAGTAATGCTTGTTCACATCTCAATACCCTTGCCATGTCCCTGCCTTGACATCAGACTGAGCCCAACAGCACCTCCAGTGAAGCCCCGGGTTCTGCCCTCCCAGGGCATTTCTAATGCCTTTCTGAAATACCCGCTACATCCACAGTGGAGCTGCTTAGGAAAATGCTTTAGAATGGCAGAAGCTGGGGATGATGGAATATAGGAATTTATTTTTTAAATTTCACCTTAATAGGAAATATATGACTCTGTTTTTGCTTTAAGACAGAGTCTCACTCTCTCACCCAGGCTGGAGTGCAGTGGCGTGATCATGGCTCACTGCGGCCTCTACCTACCAGGCTCAAGCAATCCTCCCACCTCAGCCTTCCAGGCAGCTGGGACCACAGGTGTATGCCACCACGCCCAGCCAATTTTTGTGATTTTTGTAGAGAAGGGGTTTCTCCATGTTGCCCAGGCTGGTCTCAAACTCCTGAGCTCAGGCAATCCTCCCACCTTCACCTGCCAAAGTGCTGGGATTACAGGTGTGACCCACACTGCACCTGGCCATGACTCAATTTTTAAAAAATATATATGTGTGTACGTATGCATGCGTGTGCATATGTTTATATAATACATATATAGGCCGGGCGCGGTGGCTCAAGCCTGTAATCTCAGCACTTTGGGAGGCCAAGGTGGGCAGATCACGAGGTCAGGGGTTCGAGACCAGCCCAGCCAACGTGGTGAAACCCAATCTCTACTAAAGATACCAAAAATTAGCTGAGCTTGGTGGCGCACACACCTGTAATCTCAGCTACTCAGAAGGCTGAGGCAGGAGAATCGCTTGAAACTGGGAAGCGGAGGATGCAGTGAGCCACGATCACGCCACTGCACTCCAGCCTGTTGACAGGGCGAGACTCTATCTCAAAAAAAAAAAAAGTATATATCAAGGTAAACAATAAAAAGTTACTCTGCCCAAATGCAATTGCCTCTTTTAGTTTCTCATTTATCCCTCTGGAATTTCTTACAAATACAGCAAATACAACTACGTAATTCTTACTTGTCTGCTTTTTTACACAGAGGTAACATACCAAATATACCAAGTGGATCTCCACGTTTTCACTTAAAAACTGGACCTTGGAGGCTGCCGCACATCTGTGCACAAAGGGCTTCCTCGTCTTATGTCCTTCTGCAAGCATCCCACCCTACCACGGAAGGGGTGGAACCCACTGTATTCACCCAGCCCCTACTGATTGCCACTTGGGAGGCTGCTCATCTTTTGCTATTCTAAACAATGACACAATGAGTTCCCTTAGAAACTGCTTATTAAGCTAAAGAAAACATGAAGAGCCTGACCCACACACCAATCCGGCTTTGCTTAATGGCTCATAAGCCTAGAGGAGGCAGAAAACAAGGGAAAAGGCCCAGGTTACTTTTGATGACCTCAAGACACACAGTGAGAAACAGAACAGTAGCAATAAATGCAGACCCAGGCATCTCTAAGGGAATTTAGTCTTTAAAATATCACTAAAGGCCAGGCGCGGTGGCTTGTACCTGTAATCCCAGTACTTTGGGAGGCTGAGGCAGGCGAATCACTTGAGGTCAGAAGTTAGAGAGGAGCCTGGCCAACATGATGAAACCCCGTCTCCAATAAAAATACCAAAATTAGCCAGGCATGGTAGTGGGCACCTGTAGTCCCAGCTACTCCGGAAGCTGAGGTAGGAGGATTGCTTGAACCTGGGAAGTCAAGGCTACAGTGAGCCGTGATCATGCCATTGCTCTCCAGCCTGGGAGACAGAGCAAGACTGTCTCAAAACCAAAAAAAAAAAAAAAAAGTGTGGTGTACCATTAGAAGACATGTGATTTGCTCAGTTCATTCCACACCTAATAAATCTTATCTGCATGACCTGGGTGAAAACCCCAGCCTCCAAATAGGTTTCCTGACTCCCCTCCCAACCGCAGACAGGGGATATCTTCAAAACACAGCCCCAGTCCCTTCACACTGCGCTGAAAACTATTCCAGGTTCTCAGAGCTCTCAGGATGGATCACAATCCCCACAACTGCAGCTTGTGGGTTCAGCCCCAACTCACTGTTCCAGGGACCCCTTCATGACTCAGGGCCTTTGCAGAGTGGGTTCCCTCTACCTGGAGTCTTTCTCCCCATCACTGCCCTGACATGCAATGCAGGGGCATCCTTCAGCTCACAGTTGAAACATTCCTTCTTGAGGGAGGCCCACCTATCTCCCCACCCCTTTCTCAAACACCCTGATCCCCCATTTAACAACTTCATGGTACTTTGTACTGTGCCTGCTAAGTACTTATCAGATTTTTTCATCAAATATTTCTCAGGCACTATTTTATACTGTATATGTTACCTTATACATTATATGACATTTGATATGAACATGCTATATAGTATCTAATACACCATGTACAGTTATCGCTAGGATGAACCATATGAATTGCCATTTGTATAGGTCATAAGTTGGCGAACCACAGCCTGTGGGCCAAATTCAGCCTGCTGCCTGCTTTTGTACAGCACACAGGCTAAGAATGGATTTCCTTTTTTTTTTTTTTTTTTTTTGACAGCGTCTCACTCTGTTGCCCAGACTGGAGTGCAGTGGTGTGGTCATAGCTGACTGCAGTCTCAACCTCCTGGACTTAAGCAATCCTCCCATCTCAGCCTCATGAGTAGCTGGGATACAGGCATGAGCCACCACACCTGGCTTTTTTTTTTTTTTTGGTAGAGACAGTGATATGGCTTGGCTGTGTCCCCACCCAAATCTCATTTTGAACTGCAGTTCCCATAATCCTCACATGTCATGGAAGAAACCCAGTGGGAGGTAACTGAATCATGGGGGTGGTTACCTCCATGCTGTTCTTGTGACAGTGAATTCTCACAAGATCTGATTTTGCTCAACACTTCTCAGCAAAAGAAGCACTTTTGCTCAGCACTTCTCCTTCCTGCCGCCATGTGAAGAAGGACGTGTTTGCTTCCCCTTCTACCATGATTACAAGCTTCCTGAGGCCTCCCCAGCCCTGCAGAACTGTGGGCCAACTAAATCTCTTCCCTTTATAAACTACCCAGTCTTGGGCAGTTCTTTATAGCAGCGTGAGAACAAACTAATACAGTAAATTGGTACTGGGAGTGGGGTGCTACTGTAAAGATACCCAAAAATGTGGAAGCAACTTTGGAACTGAGTATCAGGCAGAGGCTGGAACAGTTTGGAGGGCTCAGAAGAGTATAGCAAGATGTAAGAAAGTTTGGAACTTCCTAGGGACTTATTGAATGACTTGGACCAAAACGCTGATAGTGATATGGACAATGAAGTCCAGGCTGAGGTGGTCTCAGATGGAGATGAGGAACTTCTTGGGAAATGGAGCCAAGGTGACTCTTGCTATGCTTAAGCAAAAAGAGTGGCAGCATTTTGCCTTTGCCCTAAAGAGCTGTGGAACTTAGAACTTGAGAGAGATGATTTAGATGATTGTCAGAAGAAATTTCTAAGCAACAAAGTGTTTAAGAGGAAGCAGAGCATAAAAGTTTGAAACATTGGAAGGGTGATGATGTGACGGAAAAGAAAAACCCATTTTCTGGGGAAAAATTCAAGCCTGCTGCAGAAATTTGCATAAGTAAAACGGAACCAAATGTTAATCACCAAGACAATGGGGAAAATGTCTCCAGGGCATGTCAGAGACCTTTGCAGTAGCCCCTCCCATCACAGGCCTAGAGGTCTAGGAGGAAAAAATGATTCCATAGGCCGGGCCCAGGGCCCCCCTGCTGTGTGCTGCCTAGGGAGTTGGTACACTTTGTTCCAGTTGCTTCAACTGTGGCTAAAAGGGGCCAAAA
Source organism: Homo sapiens (assembly GCF_000001405.40). Classification (NCBI taxonomy): domain Eukaryota; kingdom Metazoa; phylum Chordata; class Mammalia; order Primates; family Hominidae; genus Homo; species Homo sapiens. Next base: position 15,981,540 of record NC_000016.10, on the reverse strand, counting down.
TGCTGCTCGGGCTGTGCCATCAGAGGGTGCAAGCCTCAAAAGCCTTAGGAGATTCCATGTGGTATTGAGCCTGTGGACAAAAGTCAAGAATCAAGGTTTGGGAACCTCCACCTAGATTTCAGAGGATGCATGGAAATGCCTGGGTGTCCAGGCAGAAGTTTGCTGCAGCAGTGGAGCCCTCATGGAGAACCTCTGCTAGGGCAGTGCAGAAGGCAAATGTGGGGCCAGAGGCCCCATACAGTCCCCATTGGGACACTGCCTAGTGGAGCTGTGAGAAGAGGGCCACCATCCTCCAGACTGCAGAATGGTAGATCCATGGACAGCTTGCACCGTGCACCTGGAAAAGCCGCAGACTCACAACACAAACCCGTGAAAGCCCCTTGATGGGGGCTGTACCCTGCAAAGCCACAGGGGCAGAGCTGCCCAAGGCCATAGCTAGAGCCCACCTCTCGCATAAGCATGACCTGGATGTGAGACATGGAGTCAAAGGAGATCATTTCAGAGCTTTAAGAAATGACTGCCCCACTGGATTTCAGACTTGCATGGGGCCTGCAGCCCCTTCATTTTGGCCAAATTTTCCCATTTGGAATGGGTGTATTTACCCAATGCTTGTACTCCTATTGTATCTAGGAAGTAACTAACTTGCTTTCAGTTTTACAGGCTAATAGGCAGAAGGGACTTGCCTTGTCTCAGATGAGACTTTGGAATTGGACTTTTGGGTTAATGCTGGAATGAGCTAAGACTCTGGGTGACACTTGGAAAGGCATGATTGTGTTTTGAAATGTGAGGACATGAGATTTGGGAGGGGCAGAACGATATCATTTGGCCATGGAATTATATGGTTCAGCTGTATCCCCACCCAAATCTTATCTTGAATTGTAGTTCTCATAATCCCCATGTGTTGTGGGAGGAACCCAGTGAGAGACAATTCAATCATGGGGGCAGTTACCTCCATGCTGTTCTCATTATAGTGAGTTCTCACAAGATCTGATGGTTTGATAAACGGCTTTTCCCCTTTTGCTCAGCACTTCTCCTTCCTGCCACCATGTGAAGGAGGACATGTTTGCTTCCCTTTCTGCTGTGAGTATAAGTTTCCTGAGGTCTCCCCAGCCCTGTGGAATTGTGAGTCAATTAAACCTCTTTCCCTTATAAACTACCTAGTGTTGGGCAGTTCTTTATAGCAGCGTGAGAACAGACTAATACAAACAGAGTCTCACTTTGTTGCTGAGGCTGGTCTCGAACTCCTGGGCTCAAGCAATCTTCCCACCTTGGCCTCTCAAAGTGCTGAGATTACAGGCAGAAGCCACCATGCCTGGCCAATTTTTAAATACATATTATAAGAAAGACTATTTGCCCCTGGGCCTGAGAGACCTAAAATATGTACTACCTAACCCTTCACAGAAAAAGCATGCCAACCCCTGCTCCAAGTCAAACATTGTTGAAGGTTGGCATCTTCCTATGTCTCCATCAGATGTTTATTTTATATGTTATTTTTTCGATGTCTCACTCTCCCCAGACTGTTTCTTTAGCGCAGTGAATGTACTGATGCTGTCCCTCAAAATGTCACTCCCCACTCACTGTGCAGAATTCCTGGGGTGTGGCAAGTAATCAGGAAGTACCTAGGGCATCTATGAATGGACCTCAGAACGAGTCTCAGCAAAATGTCAATTCAGTGTAACTAGCATTTGTGATCACAAGGCCAGGCACACACCACACCAGGTCTTAAATAAAAACAAGTAAGCAGGGTGATAAAAATATCTAATGTTGACTACAGTCACTTTGAATATTGAATATAGTCACTCTGGAAGGCCAAGATGGGAGGAAGGCCAAGAAGTTCAAGACCAGCCTGGGCAACATAGTGAGACCCCCATCTCTAAAAAATAAAATCTAAGAAGGGCCGAGGTGCTAAGATTTGCCTACCTGGAGACAGGAGACATGCACAATTCTGAATGTACTAAACTGAGTTGCACACTTTATAGGTGCATCATATGGTATGTGAATTATATCTCAACAAAAAAGCTGTTTATTAAAAAAGAGAGAGAGAGAGAGAATAAGCCCCAGGGTCATTTTGGCTATACGCAATTTTCACCTTACACGTGCTGCCTTTAGCACCTAACACCCTCCTCAAAAGAATTAATAAATACACTTAGACCTCACTTTATCATCTCAGGAAGAGCGTATCTCATCTAGACTACTTCACATTTGTGGAAAAAAAATTTTGTTTTTTTTTTGTTTGTTTGTTTGTTTGTTTGAGACAGAGTCTTGCTCTGTCTCCAGGCTGGAGTGCAGTAGTGCAATCTCAGCTCACTGCAACCTCCGCCTCCCAGGTTAAAGTGATTTTCCTGCCTCAGCCTCCCAAGTAGCTGGGACTACAGGCACACACCACCACACCCAACTAATTTTTGTATTTTTAGTAGAGATGGGGTTTCACCATGTTCACCAGGATGGTCTCGATGTCTTGACCTCATGATCCGCCCACCTGGGCCCCCCGAAGTGCTGGGACTACGGGTGTGAGCCACCACGCCTGGCCAAAAAAAATTTAAATGCATGTTTTCTCCTGTTGCTATTAATATGTTGCTTGTTGCCTTAATAAGCCCAGGGTTTCTCACCCTCAACACTACTGACGTTTTAGGCTGGATACGTCTGTCCCGTGTATCACAGGATGTTTATAGCATTCCTGATCCTAACCCAACAGACACCAACTGCACCCCCATCCCAAACTGTGACAACAAAAATGTCTCTAGACATCAATGAACGTCCTCTGAGAGGCAGATCACTCCCCATTGAGATCCACTGCCTTAATATTTTTTTCTATGTGGTCCCACTCCTGCCACCAGTATTTAGTGACTCTGAAGACCCAACCACCGGCCCACCCATTCATTTAAAAAAATTACTGAGCTTTGCTTGTATCAGGACTTGAACCAGAAACAACCACATTTATATCCTGCCCTCAGAAAGCTTAGAATCTTGAATATAAGATACGATTTGTCCATAAATGGCCATTACAAAAGATTTTAAAAGCACAGAGTACCACCAAAGAGATACACATAAAAGGCAAGAAATATCCAGAAAAGAGTTTCACAAAGCAAAAAGGAAAACTCACTTTCCTCATTCATACAGCAAGGACAATACCTGTTTTTTGTTTATTTGTTTGTTTGTTTGTTTGTTTGTTTGAGATGGGGTTTCACTCTGTTGCCCAGGCTGGAAAGCAGTCGTGTGCAATCACAGCTCACTGCAGCCTCAACCTCCTGAGCTCAGGAGATCCTCCCTCCTCACCTGCTCCAAACTAGTTAGAACCACAAGTGCATGCCACCAAACCTAGCTAAATTTTTTTTAAGAGATGTGGTCTGGCCATGTTCCCCAGGCTGGTCTCAAGCTCCTGGCCTCAAGCAATCCTCCCTGCTCGGCCTCCCAAAGTGCTGGGATTACAGGCATGAGCACCATGTGCAACCAATACCTGCTTTTCATCAGAGACATTGTGAAGACGAGACTTATATATTATTTCATTTTCACCCCATTTGAAATGGGTAGTATTTTTTCCATTTTGCTGAGGAAGAGACTAAGGCACAGAGAAGTAAAGCAACTTGCCCAAGGTTGTACAGCCTGTAAAAAGAAGAAAACTTCAACACAGGCAGGTTAGCTCACTGCTGCATGTAATGCCTCCTTAATATGGATAAAATCATTCATGTGACAACAGATGGATGCCCAGTGATCACTCTATTCCTGGAAGTTGTTATTTCCACTTGAGAGGTCAAAGCAGGCTTCTTGAAGTAAGTAAAATCTAAGAAGGGTTGGCTGGACACAGTGGCTCACACCTGTAATCCCAGCACTCTGGAAGGCCAAGATGGGAGGATCACTTGAGACCAGGAGTTCAGGACCAGCCTAGGCAACACAGACCTCCATCTCGAAGGGCCAAGGTGCTAAGATTTGCCAACATGGAGACAGGAGGGAACCTCACTCCAAGAGGGACACACATAGAAGATAGTCACAAGCTTAGGGGGTATAAGCTGGCCACAGAGGCTCATGCCTATAATCCCAGTATTTTGGGAGACCGAGGCAGGAGGATCACTTGGGTCCAGGAGTTCCAGAACAGACGGCAACACAGTGAGACCCCATCTCTGTTAAAAATAAAAATAAATAATAATAAATGGGACAAAGAGCCAGAAGAGGACCAGATGGCCAATACAGCTGGGAAGACAGGCCAGAGCCAGAATGAGTTAAGTGAAGGAAAATGAAACTTCACTTAGGATTCAAACCAGGAAAATGCTGCATCACCCAGACTTTGCAAAAGCTCCCAGAAGTTGTGAAACTCAGAGGGAAATTTTCTGGCTTACCCTTTTCTTGAATATAGCTAAGAACAGGAAACTGGAAAAACCACCGTCATCTTCAAACACTCCTTCGGAGACACCCCAGTCTCCACCACTCCCTCTCCCCCGACCCCAGAGCCTTCCATCTCAAGGAGTGTCCTGCCTCACCCATCTCCCTGCCCTATGACAAACTGAAATCCTCACTCCCCATCCTGGCCAGCCGGCATCACAACACAGATGGCCCAGGGGCAGGCAGGGTTGAAAGGAGTGACCATGACTTGGTGGTCAAGGGCACAGGCTCTGGGGCAGCAGATCTGGGCTCGAGTCCCTGTCCTACTACTTCCAGGCTGTGTGGCCTGGGGGAAGCCACCCAATCTCTCTGGCTTTCAGTTCCCGTGTGTCAAATTAAAAGAATAACACCCATCTCTCATGGCTATTGCACACAATGTTGGGAAGATAGAATACTCGTTAGGGGTTGAGTTTGCTGCAGTTACTTCTACCATAGTATTATCACTACTATGGCTATTGTCATCATCACTGTTGGAGTAAACAGCTCATAAAGCCACGTGCCAAAATGCTGAAGCCCCCTTAGTAGACTGACTAATCCTCCAGCCTCCAAGATTAGCCAAAGTCATCTGGCACAGCCTGTTGGAAAAGACTCCTCTCTGGCCCACCCCAGGGTGTTTATGGGGCAAGATGGAGCATGGGGTACCGGCCAGGCCCTGGAGACAGACTGCCTGGGTTTCAGTCTAGTCCTGTCATTTACTAGCTGGGTGACTTCACCTCTCTCTGCCTCCTTTCCCCACCCATAAGGTAGAAACAATCACAGTCCCTGCTTCACAGGGAACTTGTCACCATTAAGTCATTATTAGCACTTCAAAGGCATTAACAACAGTCCCTGGCACTTAGGAAGTGCCAAAGAAGCCTTAACGATCCGCCTTTTCTCTGTTGAGTTTTTTCTTTTTTGAGACAGAGTTTTGCTCTTGCTGCCCAGGCTGGAGTGCAGTAGTGCAATCTCGGCTCACTGCAATGTCTGCCTCCCAGGTTCAAGCAATTCTCCTGCCTCAGCCTCCCGAGTAGCTGGGATCACAGGCATGTGCCATCACCACGCCTGATTGATTTTATATTTTAGTAGAGACGGGATTTCACCATTTTGGCCAGGCTGGTCTCGAACTCCTGATCTCAGGTGATCCGCCCACCTCAGCCTCCCAAAGTGCTGGGATAACAGGCGTAAGCCACCGCGTCTGGCCTCTGTTGAGTTCTAAGTGTCTCTTTCTCTCCTACCTGTCATTTCCCCCCAAAGCAAGACCATGTCCATTTAATTCTCCTGATGCATATAGGACATGCTTATTAAACACTCATTCAACAAATAAAAGGTGGCCAGGTGTGGCGGCTCACGCCTGTAATCCCAGCACCTTGGGAGGCTGAGGCGGGCAGATCACCTGAGGTTGGGAGTTCCAGACCAGCTTTACCAACATGGAGAAACCCCGTCTGTAATAAAAATTCAAAATTAGCCAGAGATGGTGGCGCATGCCTGTAATCCCAGCTACTCAGGAAGCTGAGGAAGGAGAATCGTTTGAACCCAGGAGGCAGAGGTTGCTGTGAGCCGAGACCCCACCATTGCACTCCAGCCTGCGCAACAAGACCAAAACTCAGTCTCAAAACAAAAAAAAACAAAAAAAACAAAAAAAACCACCACAAAACATAAATAAAAGGTGATTAAATCTATCTGAAGAGCAATCCAGAAAGCAGGCAGAGAAAAGCCTAACCACGCATACCCCATTTTCACCCAACAATCCTACTTTAGGGACAGGAGTCTAAAGGAAATAACTCCAGCAAGAAAAGGAACAACGTGTACAAGCTGGGCCATTTCACAACAGCAAAAAACCAGGAGAACTCCCAAGCACCTAAGAGCCAAGCAAACTGGGGCAGATGATCCGATTAAAAAATGACCCTGCTGTCACAAAACGAACTGTGCAACCTCCTGCACCCCAGGAGAGGCCACCCCTAAAGGTAGCAGGTAGCACTAGCCATGGGGCTTACATTCTTGGGCGAGGATTTTTAAACCATGTGTAAAAGCAGAACGAGAAATACAGCAGGCAACATCTCTGACTGCCGAAGAGCTGTGCTTAAGAGTGAGGGGGAGGCTGGGCATGGTGGCTCACACCTGTCATCCCAGTACTTTGGGAAGCCAAGGCTGGGGGGGATCACTTGAGGTCAGGCATTCAAGACCAACCTGGCCAACATGGTGAAACCCTGTCTCTATTAAAAATACAAAAATTAGCTGGGCATGGTGGCAAACAACTTGTAATCCCAGTGACTTGGAGGCTGAGATGGGAGGATCACTTGAACCCAGGAGACGGAGGCTACAGTGAGCCGAGATCATGCCACCGCAGTCCAGCCTGGGCGACAGAGTGAGACTCTGTATCATAAAAAGAAAAACAGAAAGAAACTAGAAGCTATTATTATACTGCATTGATTCTAAGACTCTGTTTCTTCCTATTTTGCTATCTTTGATATTTGTCTGTGTCTCTCGATTAGCCCATCCTGTAAACACTGCTGGCTACATTTTTATATCCTAACATCTCTGAAACTGGGAAGTATGTCATAAATACTGGCCTCTAGGATTCCATGAAACGCAGCATGTCCATATCAACAGCCTGGTCTCTCTAACTGAATGATTAAGGGATGGTGAGAGGCTTTTTTCTAAGTTTCCAGAATTAAGAAGGAAAAGTTAAAAAATTCCCTTACTTCTTAGCCACGCCAACTCAAGGAGACAGGCAGTCACCACACCCCCCACTCCCCACTCCCACTCTGTAACCGCTCAATTAACTTTAATGGGGGTCTGAGCATCATTGTCAAGCTACCTGACCAGGCCAGCTCAGGCAAACCCACCAGCAGCCTGATCTCTGATAATCTCAAGCTGCCTTCTTGTCTCCACAAGGCCCATGCCCAGGCCAGGTTTGTTTTTGCCAAACCGAGGCAGACAGGAGAAAATAAATAATAAAATCTCCCACTTGCCAAAGCACAGCCCTTTCCAAAGCATGTGGTCACCAAGAGGCCCTGATTCCTGCCAGGTCCCAGGAATACTCTCTGCAAGGTACAGTGTTCTTTTAGAAGCACTCACATAGGATTTGCCTGGCAAGAGGGCTATCATTTCAACCACTTCAGCTTCAGGGTCAATAAGCTGTGTCCTCACCAGTCTCTATAAGGGACATATCTTGAATTCATATGCACATTCTTTTTTTTGAGACAGGGTCTCACTCTGTCACCCAAGCTGGAATACGGTGGTGCAATCGTGGCTCACCGCAGCCTCAACCTCCCAGGCCCAGGTGATCATCCCACCTCTGCCTCCTGAGTAGCTGTGACCATGGCCATGCACCATCATACCGGGCTAATTTTTTTTTTTTTTTAATTTTGTGTAGAGACTGGGTCTCGCTATGTTGCCCAGGCTGGTTTCAAACTCCTGGGCTCAAGCCATTCTCCAGCCTTGGCCTCCCAAAGTGCTGGGATTATAGGCATGAGTCACCACGCCCAGCTCACATGAACATTTTAAACTGCATCACACGATTGCTGGAGATCTGATAGTATCTTGAGAATGGACCTTGAAAACCAACAAGCAGGCTACACCATTGCTGATAGTCACCCAGGAGAAAACACAATCACGATGGACATATTGCAGCATTACCCTAACATGGCTTGTATATAACTCCTGGCAGCAGGTGGATTGCGTCCATGCCAGGGTTTCTCAACTGCAGTACTACTGACATTTGGGACCAGAGGATTTTTCATTATGGAGCCCATCCTGTATTGTAGGATATTTAGCACACCCCCTGGCCTCTACCCACTAGACTCTAGGCGTGCGCTCCCTGCCCCATCGTGACAGCCAAAAATGTTTCCAGACATTGCCAAATGTCCCCTGGAGACAAAATCATCCAGAGTTAAGAACCACTGATAATAGGCGATTTAAAGAATATCTTTTTTTCTTAGTAGTGCTATATTTACTTTAATAGCTATTAAAGTAAGCACATAAATATAACCAACCTGTGACTTCAAAGACATTCTAAAGTGATATGAAACTTCCTTTTGCGATAACTTTGTTAAGGCTTAAAAAGTGAATTGATTGAAAGAAAAACATTAGCTGAGTGTGATGGCTCATGCCTGTCATCCCAGCACTTTGGGAGGCTGAGGTGGGCAGACGACTTGAACTCACAAGTTCAAGAGCAGCCTGGGCAACATGGTGAGACCCCATCTCTACAAATATAAAAATTAGCCAGGTATGGTGGTGCATGTGGTAGTCCCAGCTACTCTGGAGGCTAAGGTGGGAGGATAGCTTCAGCCTAGGAGGTAGAGGTTGCAGCGAGCTGAGATTGTGCCACCACACTCTAGCCTCGGCAACAGAGCCAGCCAGACCTTGCCTCAAAAAAAAAAAAAAAAAAAAAAAAAGTTAAAAAATAAGTACATGTTGGACAATATTGGCTGGCTTACTCAAAAGTTTCTCCCTTGCTGTTTCCTCCTAGAGAAGCATAAAACCAAATGCTCATTTTTCCTGCCTCCCTTGCAGCTAGAGGTGGTCATGTAATCCAGTTTCAGCCAAGGAGACATGACCAGAAGTCTGCAATGTGGACAGAAGAGCCTTTGAAGAAGGCTTGGACTTTCCTGAATAGAAAGGAACCCATGAGGCTGGTGCAATCCCTCCCTCTTCCTACCTTGAACCCAGATATATTGCCTAGGGCTGTAGCAGCCATTTAGGGGCCTTGAGGAAAAGACAAGAAAACAGCAGAGATGTCAGTCCTAACAACCCTGCATCACTAATCCAATGCCAGCAACTCCAAGAGGTACTGGAATTCCTGACATGTAAAAAATAAACAAATGAATACCTTTCTGCTTAGGCTGCTGAAGTAGGGCTGTTTCTTGAAGCCAGATGCAATCCTAACAGATACAAGGTAAGAGATAGATGTCAAAATCCTGAAGACTAGACTCAAATGACTGAGGGGCAAAACAGCTGGGGAAAGGGCAGGCTTTGAGTCAACCTGCTGGGTTTGAATACCGTGTCCACTCCTTGCTAGTGACATGATCCTGCGCATGTTTAACTGTGTCACAGATTCCCCATTTAAAATAAAAAGTCATTACAGCAACCACCCAGCATGACTGTGGGCCTGAAACAAGTTATGTGCAGAGAGGGCTGGGCATACCACACAACACAGAGTGACCTCAACGCATGTTATTTTATTTATAAAATCAACTCCTGGAGGTTCCGTCTCTCAGCTTTGGAGCCCCCCACCCTCTGTCTCTGTACAGGGGACCTTCTTCCTTCTCCCTTCCTTCTTGCCTATTAAACTCTCCACTCCTTAAAACCACTCCACGTGTGTCTGTGTCATTTTATCTAAACCGGCATGAGGACCAAGAACCCTGGTGTTCCCCCACTCATCGGAGCCGTATCATTTTGGTGTGTTGGCCAGGAAAGGAAATTATTTCATCAGACTGAAGCAATCAAACTCAAAATGGTGCTGTAACCTGAAGCACACATGGACACGCCATTCTTCCGAGGACCCTTAGATCCACCCCAGGAGGAGCCCTAGCTGCTGTTCCCCATTCAACGCCCCTTTTCACCAGGAAGTAGCCAGAAGAAGTCGTCGCCCAAAACCCCCTAACAGCAGTTAATGTGGCATCTCCACAGGGGGTAATGTAGGAGTTAAGCAATTATTTTAGGCAAATAGAGAGGAAAAGGGGTCCTTGGGAAATGTTTGGTTTTTAAAGCAACTCCGGAAAAGTTTCTTGTAAAGCCCCGGCTCTTAGAGCCAGGCCAGCAACCTTTGATATGCAAATGCAAGCCATTAGAAACTGGGTCCACCCAAACATGGCGATTCCCACAGCCTTCTTGCCCTTTCCCCACATGTTCCTAGCAACATGGCCGCCACCACACCTCCCCAAGTGTGCAGATCATGGTACCCTGCATTTGCATATTAAAAGGCTAGGTGGGAGGGCCAGCTTTTTCATGCGCTACGTGAAAGACATGCCTAGTCAAACCAATCCCCTGAGGCCTATGCAAATCAGACACTGCCTCTTCCAGCCTCTGTACATATACCTAGCTGCTATCTGTGGCAGCTGGGGTTCCCTCTCTCAGCTTTGGAGCCCTCCTCCGTCTCTATACAGGGGATCTTATTCTCCCTTCTTTCTTGCCCCTTCTTGCCTATTAAACTCTCTGCTCCTTTAAATAAACAAACAAACTCTTACCAAAGTCACACAAGCAAGATGGGGATAAGGCAGACTAGAAGTGATTAGTCATTGGTTCTTTCCAACACTTGAGAAGGAGTTGTCTTTAGGGACTGAGTTGAAGGCCAGGTATAATGGCTCACACCTGTAATCCCAACACTTTCGGAGGCCGAGGCAAGAAGATGGCTTGAGCTCAGGGGTTTGAAACCAACCTGGACAACACAGGGAGACCTCATCTGTACAAATTAAAATATATATATAATTTTAAAGAAATAATTGTGTTGTAAATATCCCTGTCTTAGAGCTAATGCCTAAGCAAGGAGGGGGGAAAGAAAGCTGCCAAGGCTTCCCACAGGATCCAAGTCCTACAGGCCCAATTCTCAGCCTCCTTCTGGTTCTTTTTCTCTTCCCTACTCTTTGACTCCAGCCACAGTGGCCTTCCTCATTAAGCCAGTGCTTCTGCACATGCATTTCCCACTGCCCAGAACATTCTTACCTTCTGCTTTTGCCTATACAGCAGAAACTGCTAGCTGCGCTCCAGTATCAACTCTCCCTCATCCCTGAGTAACATCTTCAGCTGGGTACATCCTGCTTAGAAAGGAAACTACATTTCCCAGCCTCCTTTGCAGCTAGAGGCACCACATGACTAGGTACAAGCCAATGGGATGTGACGAGGAGAGACGTAGGCAACCTCCAGGTTGTGCCCTTACTCTGCTTTCCTACTGGCTGCCATGTGGACATGGAGATGCATCATCTTGATCCATGCAGATGAGGACAGCAGAGCAACAAGATGGGAGGGGCCTGGGACCCTGATTATTTTGGGGACAGAGCTGCCACACCAGCTGGGATTTTTACATGAGAGAGAAATGAGCTTGTATCTTAACCCACTATATTTGGGGTCTTTGACACACATAGCCAAACCTGTATCATCAAACGGGTTCCCCACTTAAGGAGTCTCCTTTTTTCTCTCCAACCAGATGAAACCCCGCTATTGCACTCACCGGGCACCACGCAGCTCCCCTTCATAGCACTTCCTGATGATTATTCATTTATTTGGCCATTTCCCCAACAAGACTGGGGCTCAAGGAAGGCAGGGAACCATGCTCTGTATACCGCTCGATTCCCAGCATGGAGCCCAGGTAAGGGCTATGCAGGACCCTCAGAGACTGTCACCTGAATGGGACCAGTCAGGCCATGGGACCCATTCATGGGCACTGACCCTCGGAGATTCTACCTCCTGCAAAGAGCTCCTGAGAGGGTCTAAGATACCCACTCACCCAAGTCTTGCCTCGAATTTCCCCAGGACCTACCTGTACACAGAGGTTTAAAAAAAAAAAAGACTATGGGCTGGGAGCAGTGGCTCAAGCCTGTAATCTCAGCACTTTGGGAGGCAGAGGCAGGGGGGATCACCTGAGGTCAGGAGTTTGAGACCAGCCTGGCCAACATGGCAAAACCCGTCTCTACTAAAAATACAAAAAGTAGCCGGGCGTGGTGGCACATGCCTGTAATCCCAGCTACTCGGGGGGCTGAGGCAGGAGAATCACTCGAACCCTGGCAAAGGAGGTTGCAGTGAGCCGAGATCACGCTACTGCACTCCAGTCTGGGCAACAAGACAGAAACTCTCTTAAAAAGAAAAAAAAAAAAAAAAAAGACTGACCAGCTGCCTAAAGAGGAAACAATTATCAGCAATTACTCAGATCCATGTTACATTTCATCTGCAATTAAATATCAATTAACAAAAATGCATCATAATCAAGATGCACCAGCCCACGCAAACAAAAAAATAAAGACTATATGTTTTGTTTTGTTTTTCTGAGACAGAGTCTTGCTCTGTTGCCCAGGCTGGAGTGCAGTGCCATCATCTTGGCTCTCTACAACCTCCTCCTCCCAGGTTCAAGTGATCCTTATGCCTCCCCCTTCCCAGTAGCTGGGATTATAGGCAAGCGCCACCACAGTTAATTTTTGTATTTTTAGTAGAGATGGAGTTTCACCATGTTGGACAGCCTGGCCTTGAACTACTGACCTCAAGTGATCTGCCCACCTCGGCCTCTCAACGTACTGAGATTACAGGTGTGAGCCACCACACCTGGCTGACTGTTTTCAATACAAAAAAAAAAAAGAAAAAATATTAGCTGGGCATGGTGGTGGGCACCTGTGGTCCCAGCTACTCCAGAGGCTAAGGTGGGAGGATTGCTTGAGCCTGAGAGGTCATGGCTGCAGTGGGCCATGATCGTGCCCCTGCACTCCACCCTGAGCAACAGAGGAGATCCTGTCTCAAAATACACATATATATGTTTTTGTAGAATCCCGTTCTTGTTCTTAAAAAATACCATGTATTTATGGCTGGGCACGGTGGCTTAGACCTGTAATCCCAGCACTTTGGGAGGCTGCGGCAGGTGGATCACTTGAGGTCATGAGTTTGAGACCAGCCTGGCCAAAATGGTAAAACCCCATCTCTACTAAAAATACAAAAATTAGCTAGACATAGTGGTGCATGCCTGCAGTCCTAGCTACTCGGCAGGTGAAGGCTGCAGTGAGCAGAGATCACGCCACCTGCACTCCAGCCTGGGTAATAGAGCAAGACTCTGTCTCAAAAAAAAAAATTACTATATCTTTAGGATCTGTGGAGAAGAGAGGCTGAAAATTAAAAACATCAACCTGCCAATAAGATTGTCTCTAGAAGAGGCTGGCCATGGTGGCTCACCCCGGTAATCCCAGGACTTTGGGAGGCCGAGGTAGGCGGATCACCTGAGGTCAGGAATTCGAGACCAGCCTGGCTAACACAGCAAACCCTGTCTCTACTAAAAATACAAAAATTAGCCGGGCATGGTGGTGCATGGTACACACCTATAACCCCAGCTACTCGGGAGGCTGAGGCAGGAGAATCACTTGAACTTGGGAGGTGGAGGTTGCCGTGAGCCGAGATCACTGTACTCCAGACTGGGCAATGGAGCAAGACTCCGTCTCAAAAAAATAATAAAAGAAAATTATCTCTAGAAGGGATTTTCATGTTTCACTCATTTCTGCACTGTTTTCATTCTATACTGTACCCCTTATAACATCAGACAAGACAAAGAGTAGGAGAAAAGACGTCCCTTTAAGTAATTCAATCTCTACCATGTTTATAGTAACAGAAAACCTGGAACTTCCAAAATATGTATATGTCAGCAGTTCTCAGAGTTGTGATAGTCTGGCTTCACACAAATGCTATGATTTAGGTAGTTAAACAAGTTTTTTTTTTGTTGTTTTTTTTTTTTTTGGAGACAGTGCCATGCTGTTGTCCAGGCTGGAGTGCAGTGGTGCAATCATAGCTCACTGCAGCTCAACCTCCCAGGACCAAGCAAACCTCCCGCCTCAGCCTCCTGAGTAGCTGGGACTACAGGCATGTCCCATCATGCCCAGCTAATAATAATAATAATAATTATTATTATTATTATTTTGTAGAGATGGGGTCTTTCTGTTGCCCAGGCTGGTCTCAAACTCCTGGGCTCAAGTGATCCTCCCACTTCAGCATCACTAAGTGCTGGGATCAGACGACAGCAACAGTGCCCAGTCCAAGTTTTCTTAAACCTAAACTACAAATAAAACTGCAGAATGAATCTCCCCACATATCAGTCCAATTTCAGAGCTGAAACCTGATACCCATCTTGTCCAAGAGACTCACCCAGACCTGGCCACCCTACAGACAGATGCTCTATAACAACAGGGTGAATTAACCTGAATCGTCTATACTGATTTTCAAACCTAGGCTCCTGAACTTGGCCTCTTCACCCAGCATACACCTCCCTGGCTTTCTCTGGAGCTACAACATCTCTTCACCCCAGCCTCCTCCACCCCATCCCCATGGCCCTTTGGAGAATATAGAGGGTGTGACTCAGAGGTGAGCCTTTTCTCCAAACACTCCCCTACCAAGTATGCAGAGAACTGGACATAGGCCAGCTTTGTCCCAAGTACCAAGCGTCAAACGGCTCACTCCACGGATCTCAGGGGGCAGGGGACCAAAGTTAAAGATGAAAGAGCCCTATTAAACCACTGCAGGCCAGGCACAGTGGTGCCCACCTGTAATCCCAGCACTTTGGAAGGCTGAGGCAGGAGAACTGCTTGAGGCCAGAAGTTTAAGGCTGCAGTGAGCTATGTTCATGCCACTGCACTCCAGCCTGGGTGACAGGGCAAGACCTCATCTCTAAAAAAAATTAAAAATTAGCTGGGCATGTTGACAAGCATCTATAATCCAAGACACTCGGGAGGGTAAGGCAGGAAGATCGCTTGAGGCCAGGAGTTCAAGGCTGCAGTGAGCCATGATCATACCACTGCACTCCAGCCTGGGCAACAGAGTGAGTCTCTGTCTCTAAAAAAAAAAAAAAAAGAGAGAGAGAAAAGCAAACTACAATTGCAGCACTCAGAGAGATCCTGATCTAACATGCGATCCTGGGTTAGTAAATTAGTGAAGCCTTATCAAAGGGCTCGCAGATAAGCCAACCTAATTATAACTACTGGGTTACCCTTCCCAGTGCCAGACAGCTCCAATTTTCTTCCTGGCCACGGGTCTCCAGCCTTACAAGGCTGATGGAGGAACCCTAGAAAAGCCTGACTTTTTTTTTTTTTTTTAAGATAAAGTCTCTCTGTCACCCAGGCTGGAGTGCAGTGGCACAATCTCAGTTCACTGCAACCTCCGCCTCCTGGGTTCAAGCAATTCTCCCGCCTCAGCCTCCCGAGTAACTGAGATTACAGGTGCCTGCCACCACGCCAGCTAATTTTTGTATTTTTAGTAGAGATGGGGTTTCACCATGTTGGTCATGCTGGTCTCCAACTCCTGACCTCGTGATCCGCCCACCTCGGCCTCCCAAAGTGCTAGGATTACAGTCGTGAGCCACCGCGCCCTGCTGTGCCTGACATTAACATGCACCATCGTCCACTCTGAATAATAACCACAGCAGTAAGTAACCTTAGACCCTGCTAGAACGGTGAGCTGGGCCAGCTCACTTTTAGAAAATAAGACAATGGCTAGAGTGAAGCCTTTTCAGATGTTATTCATTCCACTCCTGAGAACATCATCTAAGGAAATAAGCCAATACGCACTCTACCCATGTGGTATTCAGGACAGTGTTTTCTTTAAAAGAAAAATAAAAATGACTGGGTATGGTGGCTCTCGCCTGTAATCCCAGCACGTTGGGAGGCAGATCACCTGAGGTCAGGAGTTCGAGACCAGCCTGGCCAACATGGTGAAACCCCATCTCTACTGAAAATACAAAAATTAATCAGGCATCATGGTACACATGTGTAATCCCAGCTACTCCAGCGGCTGAGGCAGGAGAATCACCTGAACCCAGGAGGCAGAGGTCACAGGGAGCCAAGATTGCGCAATGCACTCCAGCCTGGGTGATGGTATAAGATGCTGTCTCAAAAAAGTTAAAAAGGGAGAAAGGGGCTGGGCACAGTGGCTCATGCCTGTAATCCCAGCACTTTGGGAGGCCGAAGTGGGCAGATCACAAGGTCAGGAGATCAAGACCATCCTGGCTAACACGGTGAAACTCCGTCTCTACTAAAAACACAAAAAAATTAGCCAGGCGTGGTGGCAGGTGCCTGTAGTCCCAGCTACTTGGGAGGCTGAGGCAGGAGAATGGCGTGAACCTGGGAGGCGGAGCTTGCAGTGAGCCAAGGTCGCACCACTGCACTTCAGCCTGGGCGACAGAACAAGACTCCGTCTCAAAAATAATAATAAAAAAAAAAAAGGAGAAAGAAAACACAGCAACCCAAATGTCAAACCACAGATAATAATTATGTGATTATAGCCCACCAACACAGGGAACTATCGATTGGACATTTATAGGTTTAATTAAAAAGGTTACGTGGGTACATGGGAAAATACTTATTACAGTAAATAAAAACATAGGAGACAGTATGCAAGCTACAAATGCAACCTTGCAAAACTACATACTAGTAAGAACAAGACTCAAATGTTAATATGCCAATAGGAAAACAATAGCCTGTAACAAAATATTTATACAATACAGGTGATGGACAAAGAGGAAAGGTCCCACAATAACAAGAGCCCTTACAAACTAACAGGAAAAAGACAAACTAGTCCAGGCATACCCAAAAAGGACTCAGAAAGACACACTGAAAATACACAAATTGCTGGAAAATATGTTGCAGGATACATAGCTTCTAATTGTAATTGAAATGCAGATGAAAATATATTTTAGCTATCAAATTAACAAACTTTGATCCCAGCACTTTGGGAGGCCAAAGCCGGAGGATCGATTCAGTCCAGGGGTTCAAAACCAGCCTGGGTAACATAGGGAGATCCTGTCTCTACAAAAAATAAATTTAAAAATTAAAAAAAAAAAACTGGCAGAGTAATGATTACAACATAATCCATTTTGATTTAAATGTTATTTAAATTTATAAATATTTATAAAATTTCAAAGAAAAAATACAAGAATACATTGGTTATTGGTTAGCCCAAGAGATTACTGATATGGTCTGGCTCTGTGTCCCCACCTAAATCCCATCTTGAATTGTAATCTGAATTGGAATCCCCACATATTAGGGAAGGGACATCATGGGAGGTGATTAGATCATGGGGACGGTTCCCCCATGCTGTTCTCCTGATCCTTGCTATGCTTTAGCAAAGAGACTGGCAGCATTTTGACCCTGCCCTAGAGATCTGTGGAACTTTGAACTTGAGAGAGAAGATTTAGGGCATCTAGGGGAAGAAATTACTAAGCAGCAAAGCATTCAAGAGGAAGCAGAGCATAAAAGGGTGGAAATTGGCCGGGCGCAGTGGCTCACGCCTGTAATCCCAGCACTTTGGGAGGCCAAGGTGGGCAGATCACTTGAGGTCAGGAATTCGAGACCAGTCTAGCCAGCATGGTGAAATCCTGTCTCTACAAAAATACAAACATTAGCCAGGCATGATGGCGGGTGCCTGTAATCCCAGCTACTCGGGATGCTGAGGCAGGAGAATTGCTTGAACCCAGGAGGCAGAGGTTGCAATGAGCCGAGATCATGCCATTGCACTCTAGCCTGGGCAACAGAGAGAGACTCCATCTCAAAAAAAAAAAAAGTGTGGAAATTTGCAGTCTGACAATGTAAAAAGAAAAACCCATTTTCTGAAGAGAAATTCAAGCCGGCTGCAGAAACTTGCAAAAGTAACAAGGAGCCCAATTCCAAGACAATGGGGAAAATGTCTCCAGGGCATATCACAAACCTTCACAGCAGCCCCTCCCATCACAGGCCTAGGAGGGAAAAACGGTTTCCTGGGCTGGGTCCAGGGCCCCCCTGATGTGTGCAGCCTTAGGACTTGGTGCCCAGCCACTCCAGTCATGGCTAAGAGGAGCCAAGGTACACAGCTCAGGCTGTGCCTTCAGAGGGTGCAAGCCCCAAGCCTCGGCAGCTTCCATGTGGTATTGAGCCTGTGGGTACATAGAACTAAAGAACTGAGGTTTGGAAACCTCCACCTAGATTTCAGAGGATGTATGCAAATGCCTGGATGTCCAGCCAGAAGTTTGCTGCAGGGGTGGAGCCTTTATGGAGAACCTCTACCAATGCAGTAAAGAAGGGAAATATGGGGTCAGAGCCCCCACACAGAGTCCCCACTGGGGTACTGCCTAATGGAGCTGTGAGAAAAGGGCCACCATCCAGAACCCAGAATGGTAGATCCACCTGCAGCTACATCGTGTGCCTGGAAAAGACGGAGACACTCAACGCCAACCTGTGAAAGCAGCCAGGAGCGGGGCTATACCCTGCAAAGCCACAGGGGCAGAGCTGCCCAAGGCCGTGGAAGCCCACCTCTTGCAACAGTGTGACCTGGATGTGAGACACGGAGTCAAAGGAGATAACTATGGAACTTGAAAGTTTTATGACTGGCCTATTGGATTTCAGACTTGCATGGGGCCTGCAGCCCCTTTGTTTTGGCCAATTTCTCCCATTTCAAACGGGTGTATTTATCCAATGCCTGTACCCCCATTGTATCTAGGAACTAACTAACTTCTTTTGATTTTACAGGCTGATAGGTGAAAGAGACTAGATTTTGTCTCAGATGAGATTTTGGACATAGACTTTTGAGTTAATGCTGAAATGAGTTAAGACTTTGGGGAACTGTTGGGAAGGCATAATTGTGTTTTGAAATATGAGAAAGATGAGATTTGGGAGGGGCCAGGGGCAGAATGATATGGCACGGCTCTGTGTCCCCGCACAAATCTCATCTTGAATTGTAATCTTAATTGTAATCCCCACGTGTTGGTGGAGGGACCTCACTGGAGGTGATTAGATCATGGGAGCGGTTCCCCCATGCTGTTCTCCTGATAGTGAGTCCTCAGAAGATCTGATGGTTTTATACCGGCTTTTCTCCTCTTTACTCTGCACTTCTGTCTCCTGCCACCATGTGAAGAAGGACATGTTTGCTTTCCTTTCCACCATCATTTTAAGTTTCCTGAGGCCTCCCCAGCCATGCAGAACTGTGAGTCAATTAAACCTCTTTCCTTTATAAACTACGCAGTCTCAGGTATTTTTTCATAGCAGCATGAACAAACTAATATCAGTACCATGTTCAGGCTTTATTTAAATATCTTTGTATTGTTTGTTCTGTCATATGGAACACATGTCACTTGTGATCAGAAAACTCTGCAATTAAATTAGTTTAGGTGTAAAAATCAGAGTGACATTAGCATGGTGAGACTATCAGTAATGTTTTTACACATTGTTAAATTATTGATTTAAAAGCAATTTTTAAAATAAGTCCAAAGATGTTTAAAATTTAAACACATCTTTTAAAAAACTGAACAAAACCAAAGCACACTTCTGCTTTGATCTCCTGACCTCTGGAAAGTAAGGTTTAACTTAACTGGGCAAAGCCCTCTCACACACAGCCAAGCAACATGGGCCTGATCACTTCCCAGCTTGCTCAATTTTTCTGATATGGCAGGAAAACAACAGGTGCTTAATAAGTGCTGGTGGGCCCATTAGTGGGAGTATAAACTGCTGCAGTAACCTGACAATTAACTATCAAATTTCAAAATGCACATACTGTCAACCTAGCAATTTCCTGTGGGAAAATTTATTCTGCTGAATCATTTACATATATTTGCATACATGTGCCTTCAGTGCAGCACTGCTTATCACAGCAAGAAACCAGGAACTGGGAATGACCTTGATAGACACCAAGAGGGGAATGGGTGAATACATGGCTCAGCCATTTAACAGGCAAATGCGTGGCTTGTTTAAAAAAAAAAAAAAAAAAAAGTTGATTTGATTGGCTTTTACTTTCAATTTGCATGGGCTTAAAATGGCAAGAAAATCAACACTGGTTAAGTGAAGAGAACAAGAGACAAAACAGTATTTAAAATACCCAACTAGGGAGGGAAAAAATGAATATGTAAACATATACACACAAACGAACACGTTCTTGCACATACATTTGCATATACTTGAAACTTTTCTCGAAAAACACCCAAGAAACTATCATCAACAACCATCATCAATAACGGCTACTTCTGGGAACAAAGGGCAGGGTGGGAACATACTAAAACTTTTATTTTTCCCTTTATATTCTTCTAGAATATTCACCTTAAAGTATTAGCATCATCAACAAAGTTGCAGTACAAGATCTTCCTCCTGCAATCAGCCAGATCAATTCAACAACATCTTGTTTTAAAACAAGAGTTTTCTAGCAACCTATAGAAAGTCCTCTTAACCACAGGAAAAAAGTACCTCATCATCTTACGAACAAGCCTTTGGCGGAGAATCAAAGGCAACTGGGGAGTGGGGAAACCCAAGTTGGTCTTGATCACAAACGTTTCAGTTAAGGTTCTGAGAAAGAGAAGAGACTCATAAAACAAAATAAACTGAATTTTTAAGACCTGAGATTCAGCAGGGCGTAGTGCCTCATGCCTGTAATCCCAGCACATGGAAGGGCCAAGGTGGGTGGATTGCTTGAGCCCAGGAGTTCGAGACCAGCCTGAGCAGCATAGCAAGACCCCCATCTATTTTAAAAAAAAAAAAAAAAAAAAAAAACCTGCGTTTCATTCAAACATAAACAGATCAGAAGGTTCTTGCTTCTGCCAGGGACCATGCATTGTTCTACTTCCTTGCTGAGCTGGTAAGCGCCTTCCCTGGAAATTCCAGGACCACAAGCCATTGTGTTAGTGCTTTATGCATTTTGCCGAATGCTCCAGGCTAGATTTTTATGAGATGGGCTCTGCAGTTCCTTTGAGTTAAACTCCTCAATACTTTAACCACACCATGATCTTCCTCAAGGCCTATGCACATTCTCTTCCCACTCTGGGACTCCCTTCCCCCACATCCTTGCATGGCCAGCTTTGCCACTGAGCTCTGGGGTCAAACCTCACCGCCTCCGAAAGGCCTTCTGTGGACATCCCTCCGTAGTAGTTTGCACCTCACCCAGTTTTTCCCGGTTCAAGTCTTTGCAGCACTTGCCAGCATCTGAAATCATTTCCGTCACCCTCAGTGTAAACCCCATGAGAACATGGGCCTGGTCTGTCCTGTTCACTGTTGTATCCTCAGTGCCTAGAGCAGCAGCAGCACATAGTAGCTGCTCAATTAATAATGACTGAATAAATGAATGAATGAAAAGCAGTGTGGGAAGAACAATACAATGAACCCAGGGGTATCAAAGACCACACGAGGCTGGGCGTGGTGGCTCACACCTGTAATCCCAGCACTCTGGGAGACTGCTTGAGCTCAAGAGTTCAAGACCAAACTGGGCAACATAGTGAAACCCCATCTCTACAAAAAAAAATACAAAAATTAGCCGGGTGTGCTGGTGCATGCCTGTAGTCCCAGCTACTTGGGAGGGTGAGTTGGGAGGGTCACTTGGCCTGGGAGGTCGAGACTGCAGTGCAGTGGTACAATCAGCTAGGGCGACAGAACAAGACTCCATCCATCAATCAGTCAAACACCACACAAATTTCTTGTACTGGGAAGACTTAGACATCACACATATTCTCCAAACAAGTATTACCTAGGAGGCCAGTAAAAGGTACACTGAGGTTCCTCAGAGAGAAAACTCACAGAGAGGAAGATAAAAGCTCCATAAAAATCTCAATTACTACTTGAGGGTTACAGGATGCTAGCCTAGAGCCTCCCTCCCTAGACAGGTTTCTCAGAGAGAAAACTCACAGAGAGGAAGAGAAAACCTCCATAAAAATCTCAATTCCTGAGGGTTACAGGATGCTAGCCTAGGGGCACCCTCCCTGGTCATTAACACCCACTTTCCAGAACCTGGCAACCTCCCCAGGAGATGAATCCCACAGTTAAACTAAGGGGACACTTAAGTGGAATCTCAACTTTGTAATCGTCCACTTCTCCTGGGGCACTTTAAAATGAAGGAGTAGAGCTTCAAAGCTGATCTCTCAAGAAAGCCATTTTCGGCTGGGCATGGTGGCTCACGCCTGTAATCCCAGCACTTTGGGAGGCCGAGGCAGGAGGATCGCTTGAGCCCAGGAGTTTGAGACAAGCCTGGGCAACATGGTGAGACCCTGACTCTACAAAAAATACAAAAATTAGCCGGGTATGGTGGTGTGCACCTCTGGTCCCAGCTACCTGGGAGGCTAAGGTGGGAAGATAGCTTCAGCCCAGGAGGTCGAGGCTGCAGTGAGCTATGATTGTGCCACTGCACTCCAGCCTGGGTGACAGAGGGAGACCCTGTCTCAAAAGAAAAAAGAAAGAAAAAGAAAAAGAAAGCCATTTTTGTTTTCCCAGGGGAGAATGAACTGTCACAACTCCAACTGGGAAAATGGAAAAAGGTAAAAAGACACAGCCCTCAGTAAAAAAGAAACTGCCGCAAGTTTCTTCTCTAGCTAATTGGAGTTTAACCTCCTTAACGTCTCATTAAGCTTCTCCAAGGCAACCCCAGTAAGCCAATTACACTAGAATTTCGACAGCCCACAACCTCCTAGGGAAATGCAGGATGAGGAGGAAGGTCTTGCTCCATGTTTCTCCCCCATATTCCTCCACACCAGTGGCTGTGTGATTTCACACCCCAGGGAACATATGGAAACATCTAGAGGCATTTTCGGTTGTCACAACAAGAGGAGGTGCTACCAGCATCTACTAGGGGGTAGAGGCCAGGTTTGGGGCTAAGACTACGCTGCACAGAACAGCAACCAGGCCACAAAGAATGATGTGGCCTACATGTCAACGGGGCCGACACTGAGCAACTGTGCTCCATGTCCCCACCCGCAAAATACAGCTTCCTCAAAGGCCCCGTTCAACCATTCAGCCTCTAAGAGGTAAGTGCAGGTCCCCAGCACCACTCCACCCACAGGGATGCTGCCCTATCCCAGTTTTCTTGCTAAGCGGGGGGAAGCTTGCCTCAGGATGTCTGGCCATTAATTAATTTTGGCAAAATGTTTGGGCAAGTTTTCACGAGCTAGAGTTGTACTGACCACACTAAGAGCTGATCATCAAAGCTAGGCCTTACTTCGCCATGAAAATCTGAAGCCAACATACCAATCAGATGCTAACTTCAAGGTTGGCCTGCAAAGCAGGAGATGCCAACTCAGATACCAACAGGTGCCAAAGTGGGTTCCATCCATGCAAGAAGCAGACCAGGTGTGAGGAAGCACAATTTTAAAAAGGCAACAGGCCAGGCACGGTGGCTCATGCCTGTAATCCCAGCACTTTGGGAGGCTGAGGAACTCAAGTGATCCACTTGAGTTCAGGAATTCAAGACCAGCCTGGCCAATATGGAGAAACCCCATCTCTACTAAAAATACAAAAATAAGCCGAGTGTGGTGGTGCGGGCCTGTAATCCCAGCTACTCGGGAAGCTGAGGCAGCAGAATCACTGGAACCCGGGAGGCAGAGGTTGCAGTGAGCCGAGATTCCACTACTGCACTCCAGCCTGGGTGACAGAGCGAGACTTCGTCTCAAAAAAATAATATAAAATAAAACAAAGGCAACAAACATTTGGCCTTAAAATTAAAGCAACAACAGGGAGGGGTGGGGACTGCGGCAAACTGGAGCAACTCAGAAACGGACAGCCTCAGCGGACCGCTACCATGTATAAATGTGGGCCTGGGGCTAGCAGAACTTCTGATTTTTCAAGGGAAGCCAGAAATCCAGATGTTTCTGTGAAATCTGCCAATGAATAAACATTGTAGGGCGGGCCACAGTGGCTCATGCCTGTAATCCCAGCACTTTAGGAGGCCGAGGCGGGCGGATCACGAGGTCAAGAGATCGAGGCCATGCTGGCCAACATACTGGAAACCCCGTTTCTATCAAAAACACAAAAATTAGCTGGATGTGGTGGCGTGCCCCTGTAGTCCCAGCTACTGGGGAGGCTGAGGCAGAATTGCTTGAACCCAGGAGGCAGAGGTTGCAGTGAGCCAAGATCGTGCCACTGCACTCCAGCCTGGCAACAGAGCAAGACTCCGTCTCAAATAAATAAATAAATAAAATTGGAAATCACAGTCATTCCTATAATTAAAATCAAGCCAAACCAGCACAGTGGTGAGCTATATCTAACCCCTAGCTTGGAACTCATACCTCAAACACTCAAATTCTAATGTTGATTGAGCCCCCACTGTGTGTGAGACACTGAGTCCTGGGAAAAGAGGGGTGGACAAAACCCTGTTCTGACCTTTCCAAGATGAAATAGAAGCTGTTCTGCCAAGCACGGTGGCTCACACCTATAATCCCAGCACTTTGGGAGGCCAAGGCAGGCAGATCGCCTGAGTTCAGGAGTTCACCACCAACCTGAGCAACATGGCAAAACCCTATCTCTACAAAAAAAAAAAAAAAAAAAATTAGCTGGGCATGGTGGTGTGTGCCTGTAGTCCCAGCTACCTGGGGAGCTGAAGTGGGAGAATTGCTTGAGCTCAGGAGGTTGAGGCTGCAGTGAGCTGAGGTCGCGCCACTGCACTCCAGCCTGGGTGACAGAGCAAGACCCTGTCTCAAAAAAATAAAATAAAAAAACAAGCCATCTGATGAGAAAGCTGGAGGACTCAGTTTATCTGAGTGTTCATTCCAGACAGTTAAGTGATTATTTCATCCTTAAAATCCTTACAAAGAAGTTTCGACACCGCCCAAAAGCCACTGTAATACTTCATGTCATTCATTTATTCAACAAACAGCTGACCCTTGAACAACACACATTTAAACTGCACGGGTCCACTTATACTCAGATTATGCTTCTGCCTCTGCCATCCCTGAGATAGCAAGACCAACCCCTCCCCTTCCTCCTCCTCCTTAGCCTCCTCAACGTGAAGACAATGAAGATGAAGACCTTTATGATGATCCACTTCCACTTAATAAATAGTAAAAATCTCTCTTATGAATTAATCTTAACATTTTCTTTTCTCTACCTTGCTTCACTGTAAAAATACAGTATATAATATATATACAAGGTATGAGTTAGGCCAAGTGCAGTGGCTCACGCCTATAATCCCAGCACTTTAGGAGGCCGAGGCAGGTGAATAGCTTGAGGCCAGGAGTTTGAGACCAGCCTCGGCAACACAGCAAGCTCCCCATCTCTATCAAAAAACAACCAACAACAACAGAATTAGTGTTATCAACTGCTTATGTTCTCGGTAAGGCTTCCAGTCAACAGTAAGCTGTTAGTAGTTAAACTTTTAGGGAGTTGAAAGTTAGACCTGAATTTTCTTTCCTTTATTGTGTTTTTTTTTTTTTAGACAGAGTCTTACTCTGTCACCCAAGCTGGAGTGCAATGGCGCGATCTCGGCTCACTGCAGTGTCCGCCTACCAGGTTCAAGCAATGCTCATGCCTCAGCTTCTCAAGTAGCTGGGATTACAGGCACCCGCCACCACACCCAGCTAATTTTTGTAGAGACAGGGTTTTACCATGTTGGCCAGGCTGGTCTCAAACTCCTGACCTCAAGTGATCTGCCTGCCTTGGCCTCCCAAAGTGCTGAGATTACAGGCATGAGCCACCACACCTGGCTAATTTTTGTAGAGATGGGCTTTCACCATGTTGGCCAGACTAGTCTGGAACTCCTGACCTCAGGTAATCCACCTGCCTCGGCCTCCCAAAGTGCTGAGATTACAGGTGTAAGCCACCGCGCTGCATCCTAAATTTTCAACTACATGGGGCATCAGCACTCCTAACCCCTGAATTGTTCCAAGGTCAACTGTTATTTACTAAGCCCCAGGCACAGTTCTAGGTGCTGGGATTACAGCCGTAAACAAACACAGGCCAAAATCCCTGCCCCTATGGAGCCGATCTTTTGGTAGGAGTTTACAGAGTAGGCACAATACTTAAGCAAAATATTACGTGTATTAGAAGGCAGTAAGTGCTACTGGGGGTGTAGATGGGGGACAGAGATTTGCTAGTGGAGGGAAAGAACGGGATGCCTGAGGTGACACCTGAACAAAGTTTGAAGGTGAGGGACATAGTAGGTAGGAGAAACAGCAAGTGCAAAGGCCCTGAGGCAGGGACAGGCCTGGCCACAAGTGTGGCTGGAGGAGAGTGAGACAGAAAGCAGCCAGAGAAGAGGTCAGGGAGGCCAAGGGGACAGATGCTGCCCAGCCTTCGAGGCCACTGTAAGCCCTTTGGCTTGTACCCTCAAGGAACTACTGCAGGGTTTTAGTAGAAGAGGGACAGCTGGGCCAAGACTAGACTGTAGGGGTCAAGGGCAGAGTAGGCACAGCAGCGAACAGGTGGCTGTTTTCTTTTTTTTTGAGACAGAGTCTCACTGTCACCCAGGCTGGAGCGCAGTGGCGAACTCTCGGCTCACTGCAACCTCCAACCCCACTGGGCTCAAGCGATTCTCCTGCCTCAGCCTCCCAAGTAGCTGGGATTACAGGCGCCCACCACCAGGCTCGGCTAATTTTTGTATTTTTAGTTGAGACAGGTTTTCACCATTCTGCCCAGACTGGTCTCAAACTCCTGGCCTCAAATGATCCGTCTG
This sequence comes from Homo sapiens, assembly GCF_000001405.40. Taxonomy (NCBI): domain Eukaryota; kingdom Metazoa; phylum Chordata; class Mammalia; order Primates; family Hominidae; genus Homo; species Homo sapiens. The sequence continues at coordinate 15,955,125 of NC_000016.10, read as the reverse complement.
CCTTGGCCTCCCGAAGTGCCAGGATTACAGGCATGAGCCACGGCGCCTGGACTGAGGTGACTGTTCAAATCCAGAAACTGGCCAACGATGACTCGAGCCAGAGTGGAAGTCGGGGAAGCCATGAAAAGCAGCCCGTTTGAGGCAACGGGCAACACGATTTGCTGACAGATGTGATAGGAATGGGAGGAGAAAAAGAGAAGTCAAAGCTGGAGACTGACATGGGAAGAGGAAGCTCACGTTCTTTAGGAACATGGTCAGTGGGAGACACCCACATAGAGAGATCAGTTCCTAAAAGTTGTGTCCACAAACAGAAAAGGTTTTCTTCCCCCCCATCTACCACCAGGTCCCAAAGGCGAGGCACCCCCTCCAGGCTATCACAAATGGAACTTGTCCTCGGAGAAAGAGAACACGACCCTTCAGGAGAGTCTTGGCCAAAGGGACCGGCTGCAGCTGCCTTCTGCAGGGCCCCTGTGGCTGCAGTGGCTCCATTTGGCCAAGGAACCCTGAATCCGCTCCTGATTGGCCTGAATCACGAACCCATTTGGACCAGGAACCCCTGAGTCCACTCCTGCCCAGGCCTCTCCCGGGTCACCCTCATCTCCTCCCAAAGCCATTCACCTTGCCACCTTGCACCCTGTCATGTCACCATCCTGGACCTCAGTGTCCACATCCACGAAATGGGGTGGGTGGAGAGGAGGGCCCCCCAAGATCTGACATCCCTTTCCACTCTAACACTCCATAAGGAAGGGAGAGAGGAAGGGTCTGGAAGGAGGGGCAGCCAAAAAGGGGGAAAACAGGCTGAGCGCGGTGGCTCACGCTTGCAATCCCCAACACTTTGGGAGGCTGAGGCAGGTTGACCACTTGAGGTCAGGAGTTCAAGACCAGCCTGGCCAACATGATGAAACCCCGTCTCTATGGGGGTTTTGTAAAGTTTTGTAAAAATACAAAACTTAGCCAGGCATGGTGGCTGTGCGCCTGTAATCCCAGCTACTCGGGAGCCTGAGGCAGGGGAATCATGTGAACGCAGCAGGCAGAGGTTGTAGTGAACCGAGATCACACCACTGCACCCTAGCCTGGGCGACACAGCAAGACACCATCTCAAAAAAAAAAAAAAAAAAAGGGTGGGGAGGGGAAAACAGAGGAAGTAGGAGAAGGCTAAGGGATGGATTTGAAAACCAAAGCCACACTTGGAGGAGGGGAAAAATTGGCTCGTCGTACACTGCTGTTGAGCCAAGGGGAAGAATTAAACCAGGGATCAGACTGACTCCAAGGCCCAGACCTAGCCCCAAGAGGAATTCCTAATAGCTTCTAAGATATTCTTCCTTGGCGGCTAAGTCAGATATTCAGGGGGTTACTGAGTTGGTGGATGCCACAGAGCATCTCAGAGGTGCACATCAACCCTGGGACCAGCTCACTCCATCGACGGTGACACACACCTGCAGCTTCCTTCTGGTCTTCTCCAGTGGCAGTTGGTGCAACAGCAAAAATTAACTGGAGAATTCCAGGTGGCAACGACCACTGATCTTTACTGAGCGCTGTGTGCCAAGCAGCAACATTTTAAGTCCTTGCTAAGGATTAACTCACTTATTCCTCAAGTCACCGCTATTCACTAGGTACTACGTTATCCCACATAGGGAAACTGAGGCACGGAGAGATGACGTAACCTGCCTCAGCAGCAGAGGCGAATTTGCTCTGAGCCACCACACTATACTGCTTAATACCAAGTTGTTTCCTCTGCTTTTCCATAATTTCCAATTTTTCTACACAGGGCCTGAAGCACAATTTTTTTTTTCTTTTGAGACAGTCTCTCTGTCGCCCAGGTTGGAGTGCAGTGATGTGATCTCAGCTCACTGCAACCTCTTCCCAGGTTCAAGCAATTCTCCTGCCTCAGCCTCCCAAGTAGCTGGAATTACAGGCGTGAATCACCAGGCCCAGCTAATTTTTGTATTTTTAGTAGGGATGGGGTTTTGCCATGTTGGTCAGGCTGGTCTTGAACCCCTGACCTCAGGTGATCCGCCTGCCTTGGCCTCCCAAAGTGCTGGGATTACAGGCATGATCTACTACACCCGGCCCTCTTTTTTTTGAGACAGGGTCTCAGTCTGTGGCCCAGACTGGAGTGCAGTGACCGTGATCTCAGCTCATTGCAACCTCCACCCCCACAGCCTTCAAGTGATTCTAGTGCCTCAGCCTCCCTAGTAGCCGGGACCACAGGTGCCACACCACCATGCCAGGCTTTTTTTTTTTTTTTGGTATTATTAGTAGAGACGGGGGTCAATCCATGTTGCCTAGGCTGGTCTCGAACTCCTGACCTCAAGCAATCCGCCTGCCTCAGCCTCCCAAAGTGCTGGGATTACAGGCGTGAGCCACTGCACCCGGCCTGCTTTTTTTTTTTTTTTTTTTTTTTTTTTTAATGAACTCACAAAAAGTCCCAGGCCCATTTTTCCAACCATCATGCCAATATCAACCACAAAGCAGCGCCTCCTACCAGTCCCACCCCCATGAGAAAAGAAAGCCAAGGGCTGCTGTGACCTGTCCTCAGGCCCTATTTTCCGTTTTGATAGCAAAGTTCTCCTTTTCTCTTCCCAGAGCATCTGTCTGAGTAAAGGTCAACAGAACACTTATCATGGGCCATTTCCATCTTCTGGGTTTTCTGGACATTTCCTGCGGCTCAGAGGCAGACAGTAGCCCAGAAACAAAGCTCTGACAGAGTCACCCGAGGCCCACTGACCTTGACTTCTAAGCACATGACCTTGGTCACAACAGGAGCCAGGCACGGGTGCCTCACTGCCTTTTCACAGCCCAATCCCATCTCCACCAGCTGAAGAAAAGGGGAATCCAAAGGAAGAACAAGGAGCTTAAAACACACAACTTCATCTTTGGAAAAAATAATATTTAATACTAACCATTGTTTATCTCCGTGCAGGGCACAAGCTGAGCCACTTACAAGATTAACTCATTGACCCTTCGCAACAACCCAAGAAGGCTGCCACATTTTTGGCTCCTGTCCAATTTTAGAGATGAGGAAAGTGAGGCACACAGAGGGAAAGTGGCTTGCTCAAGGTCACACAGTTATCTGACTGCCTGGGAGGCCAGTCGCTCCTGGCCTCGGACACGCTACCTTGAAAAACACAAAAACAGCCGGGCACAGAGGCCCATGCCTGTAATCTCAACACTTTTGGAGGCCAAGGCAGGAGGATCGCTTGAGCCCAGGAGTAGGAGACCAGCCTGGGCAATATAGTGCGAATCTGTCTCTATAAAAAATACAAAAATTAGCTGGGCGTGGTGGCACACGCCTATAGTCCCAGGTACTTGGGAGGCTGAGTTAGGAGGACCACTTGAGCCGGGGAGGCAGAGATTGCAGTAAGCTGAGATCGTGCCACTGCACTCCAGCCTGGGTGACAGAGCAAGACTCTGTCTCAAAAAAGAAAAAGAAAAAAAAAAGAAAAGAAAAAAGCAACAACTACCTACTTTCTAGCTTTCAGTTAATTATATTTCAATTTTCCCACTCAGGCCCCAGTTGCCTCCTCTCAAATTCTGGTTCCAAGGCACCTCCAACAAGTCTTGGAATCCAGACAGCAGAAATACGCAAGGTCAAACACGGGGATGGGGTACCTACCAGAGGCAGAGATCAGCTACAATTACCCCCAAGCAAAACCCAACCACCTGGCAATTTCTGTGGCAGAAAGTCCTTAACGAAGGAAAAAATAAAAAGAAAAAAGAAAATAAAAATTTTAAAAAATATTACAACTGGACTTCGTGAATGAGTTTCTTAAGATAAACAAAGCGCACCCCAAACATACTCATTAGCCATCAACTACCAATTGCCATCAATAAAATACGTCCTGATACAAAACCTCATGGATGTTCACCCTGTTTTGCCCCCTCCTCAATTCAGAAGAAAATAAACAAGAGAATATTCTGGAATTCACAGCAACACAAACCCAGATCACCATGTGAATCTTTGCAAAAAATAATCTTGCTGTTACTACACCTGGCAACAAGGAAGCCACAGGTTTTCCCCTGCTAAAGAAAGTCCATCTGCAAAGAGGCTCCAATCACCCCCAGACCCTCAAGGCAAAGTCTGTGTTCTATTTCCACCCCTGGGGTTACTCTCCAACCCCACTGGCTTAAAATGGGAGATATATCAAAGTGTGGTAGGTTATTAAACACAATGATACCCTACTAAAAAAAACAAACAAACAAAACCAAACCCTCCAATGGGGCCCTGGAGGATGACTTTTCAACACTCCAAATGCAACCCTCGAGGAAAGGCCGGCAAAACAGGACAAGAAAGTATTTTTGGAAGCTGATCACCAGCTCCTAAGAACCAAGGCTGTTTCTCCTGATTCCTAAACAAAAGAGGAGAGAGAAACAGTCGTGTCCAGATTTGCCTACTGCGTTCACCAACAATCAAGACAGCACGAGACAGAAGTGCCTGCCTTCCTGGAACAAAGAGGCAAATCGCATTACGGAGAAGCTGAAGCCCAAAAGACTGGGGCTTAAACCACAGCAAGTGGACTCCAGACACCCAGTCAGGCTCCGCAGGCCACGTTACAGAAGAAAACTTGCCGGGGTTAAATCTAAGGGGCATCCCCAGAGAGGAGCTCCACGTGTTGCAGGGAAGGGAGGGCAGGACCACAGCTACCAGGGTCCTGGGCGTCCTCAGCTGCACCCCAAGTCTGCCCCGAGCCGAGGGTCAGGTAGGGCACATCAAGGGTGGACATCCCCCTTCTTCCCTGGTTCCCCCAAACTTCCCCCGCAGTATCTAAGTAGAAAGAACAAAAAAAACAAAGCTAGGTAACCACAGAAGAGTAATGTGGCTTGTACGACAACTTTGGGGAGACAATGAAAGTCCCTTTCTACAATCTAAGCCCCTCCCCAGCTCACCCCGTTGGTCACGGAGTATTTTTCGTGAAAAGGGGGGACCCTAACCACAAAAAAGATGGGAAAACAGAAGCAGAGAGACACCCCTCTTCCCGCCCCCCATCTCTAGCGTCCCCTTCCCTGGAAGGTTGTTTTTACAGACGGGAACCCCAAAACAGGAAGGCCTCCTCACGGCGGCTCTGACCCGACCCGACCCTCCAAAACCCCAGGGCTGGGCACGCGGCCCCCCACGCTCTGCTCCGCAGGAACTGAGTCACCCAAGTTTCCCCCATGCCTTGCACCCCCGAAAGGGGCTGGGCCGCGGGCGACGTGAGGGTCCCGGGCCCCCGAGGCCGGCAGCAGAGCGGGGAGCGGGGTGCCCCGGGCGGCTGCGGGCCCGGTGCTTTCCCTCCCCGCCGGCCTCCCTCCGTCCCGCCGGCCTCACGCGGCCCCCGGCACGTACCCAGAGCGGGTCGGAGCCATCGGCGCTGCAGAAGCCCCGGAGCGCCATGCCGGTGGCGCGGGCGGCGGCGGGCACCGGGCGGCGGGTGATCGGGCCCGGTTGCTGGCGCGGGCGGCGGCGGGCACCGGGCGGCGGGTGATCGGGCCCGGCTGCTGGCGCTAGCGCTGGCGGCGGCGGCGGCGGCGGCGCAGGGAGCCGGGGCCGGGGCCGCAACGCCGCCTGGTTGGCCCGCGCGTCACGGGGATGCGGCGGCCCCGCCCCACCCCGCCCCGCCCCGGCGCCCGCTCACCTCGCGCGTCTCGGCGTGGGCAGCCGGACCAGCCACCTCTCGGCGCCCCGGGCCTGGACCCCGCGCCACCCCCACCCCAGATCCTCCAAGGCTTAGGCCCACCCGCTCGCGGACGGGCCTGGGGAGCGTTGGCTCGCCTTCCGGAAGCGCCTGGGATCTTTGGGGCCACACACCCTGCGACCACTTTTCAAATGCTGTTTAAGGACAGTATCCGTCACCAGGGGAAAATAACGTGAACGGAGCCCCCTACCTGCCTGGAGTGTACCGGGCGCCTTAACTGTGCCCTCATTTCATCCTGTAAAGTCTCCACGTTCATGAAGGAAGAAACCCAGGTGCAGAGAGGTTGAGTGATTCCCTCTGCCCAGGGTCACCTGGCTAATCACTTGCAGGGCTGGGATTTGAACCCGGTCCGCTGACTCCAAAGCTGAGTCACACAGAAGGAGGTGAATACTGTTATTCACCTACCTTTTACAGATGGGGAAACTGAGGTTCAGAAAGGCGAAGTGACTTGCCCGAGGTCACACAGTTAATAAGGAGTGAAAGTGGAAGTGAGATTCAAACCCGTGAGCAGCCTGATTCCGGAGCACTGATGACCCAGACGGCGCCAGTCTCCATCACTAACAGCTGTTGACCTCACCTGTGTGCAGAGCGCCTTTGCTTCTTCTCAACCTCTTTAAGCATCACTTAGAAATAACCAGGTTATTGATCCTCACCTCAGAGGTAAGGAAACTGAAGCCTGGAGACATGATAATCGTAGGCCAGGCATGGTGGCTCGTGCTTGTAATCAAGCACTTTGGGAAGCCGAGGCGGGCCGATCACATAAGGTCAGGAGTTCAAGACCAGCCTAGCCAACATAGCAAAACCCTGTCTCTACTAAAAACACAAAAATTAGCCGGGCATGGTGGCGGGCACCTGTAGTCCCAGCTACTTGAGAAGCTGAAACAGGAGAATCACTTGAACCTGGGAGGCGGAGGTTGAAATGAGCTTAGATCACACCACTGCACTCCAGCCTGGGCAACAGAGCAAGACTCTGTCTCAAAAAATAATAATAAAAAAAATTAATATGCATTCACAGTGACAAGGCTTCCTAAGGCTGTGTTCTTAGCAATTTACACAAATTAACTTGTGCAATCCTCACAACCCCATGAGGTAAGAAGTAGTATTATCCCCATTTTGCAGATGAGGCCACTAAGGCCCAGAAAGACAGAGTACATTGTCAGGGATTATTTAGATGGTAAGTGATTAAGCCAAACTTTGAACCCAAGAAGTCTGGCCAGGGAGGTGGGAAGTCTATAATACCATCCATTGCGCCATATTAGTTTTGAACTGTTTCATAGGCAGACAGGTAGAGACAGAGGAGCTAGGGCGAGGCCGCAGAGTGTAAATTTCACTGTGATACCAGCGATGCCTTTCTTTTCTCCTCTCCTCCTTAATCTCCTGCCTGATGTGGGTTTCCATAACACATGCACACAACAGCTGCACCAAATAAAACAGAAACAGTGTGTGCATTTGAGACCTCCCCCCAATCAAAGGACCTAGCGAGGGAAGGAGGAAGGAGGAAGGTAGATAGGATTGTTTTCTGTGATTTTTTTATTGGCCCGGGTCCCCCAAGGGTGAATGAGTTTCTAAGGGATAATTACTTTCATGTAATAATGCCAGTTATGCTGTTGCTTGACCTTTATACTGTCAACAAATATTTATTGAGCATTTACTATATGCCAGATGTCTTGCTAGGAACAAGATAAAATTGCTACTCTTATATAGCTTAAAGGATTGGAATTTTTTTGGATTGGGATTTTTTTAAGTGTTTCTTATGGTAAGATGGCAGATGTTAATCAAATATTATATTTTTGAAAGGGTATTTACAGGCCAGAAGTAGTGACTCACGCATGTAATCTCAGTGCTTTGGGAGGCCGAGGTGGGAGGCTCATTTGGCCCAGGAGTTCAAGGCTACAGTGAGCTATGATTGCACCGCTGCACTGCAGCCTGGGTAACACAGCGAGATCCTGTCTCAGGAAAAAAAAAACAAAAAAAAAAGCCAGGGAAGGGGAGATATGTACAACTATGGTCACAGCTAGAAAAAAAAAGTGGTGGCCGGGCATGGTGGCTCACGCCTGTAATCCCAGCACTTTGGGAGGCCAAGGCAGGCAGATCACTTAAGGTCAGGAGTTCGAGACCAGTCTGACCGATGGTAAAACCCCATCTCTACTAAAAATACAAAAATTAGCTGGGTGTGGTGGCAGGCACCTGCAGGCTCAGCTACTCGGGAGGCTGAGGCAGGAGAATCACTTGAACCTGGGAGGCGGAGGTTGCAGTAAGCCAAGATCATGCCACTGCACTCCAGCCTGGGCGACAAAGCAATACTCTATCTCAAATAAATAAATAAATAAATGTAAAAATACAAAAATTAGCTGGACATGGTGGTGGGTGCCTGTAATCCCAGCTATTCAGGAAGCTAAGGCAGGAGAATCACTTGAACCCAGGAGATGGAGGTTGCAGTGAGCTGAGATGGCCCCACTGCACTCCAGCCTGGACGACAAAGTGTGACTCCATCTCAAAAACACAAACAAAAAAAGTGGGCAAAAGTGGGCCTAAGTTAGCAATTTATACCACCCTTGCTGGGGGGTGGAAGTCAGAGAAGGCTTCCTGGAGGAAGAGGCTTTCAAACTGAGATACAAGGAACGCGTCTGGGTTCCTTGGGCCTGGGTTGTGTTCTGGGCAGAAGAAAACAGTTTATAGCAAAGTTATGAAGCAGGGAGGGTCCTTGGAGGAAACTGAAGACAGCCTGGATGGCAGGAACCCAGAGAAGAAGCAAAAGAAATCCATCCGGAGCAGGTGGGGTCAGAAGGAGCCAGGGCAGGCAGGTACCCGTCGGCCAAAGGAGGGGCAGTGGGAACCACTGGTGGGTTTTAGGCAGGGCACAAGACAGAGTTGGATTTCTTTCCATGTTTTATTCATTCACTCTTTATTCATCCTTTCAACAAATATTTATTGAGCAAGCACATGAAAACATGCTCAACTTCATTAGTCATCAGGGAAATGCAAATAAAACCCCAGTGAAATACCATCATACACCCACCAGAGTGACTGGAAACAAAGACTGAAAATTACGAGTGCAGACAAAGACGTGGATTAACTGGAAAAGGCACGCTCTGTTGGGAGGTATATAAATTGGCTTAACTACTTTGGAAAACTAACAATTTGGCTGGGTGCAGTGGCTCATGCCTGTAATCCCAGCACTTTGGGTGGCCGAGGCAGGTGGATCTCTTGAGCTCAGGAGATTGAGACCAGCCTGAGCAACATGGTGAAACCCCATCTCTACAAAAAATACAAAAAGGTGGGCCAAGGTGGGTGGATTGCCTGAGCTCAGGAGTTCAAGACCAGCCTGGCTGACATGAGGAAACCCCATCTCTATTAACAATACAAAAAAATTAGCCAGGCATGGTGGCACATGCCTGTAATCCGAGCTACTCGGGAGGCTAAGGCAGGAGAACTGCTTGAACCTGGGAGGCGCAGGTTGCAGTGAGCTAAGATCGCGCCACCGCGCTCCAGCCTGGGCGACAGAGTGAGACTCTGTCTCAAAAGTAAAATAAAATAAAATAAAATTAGCTGGGCGTTGTGGCACATGCCTATAGTCTCAGCTACTTGGGGAGCTGAGGCACAACACTCACTTGAACCCAGGAGGCACAGGTTGCTCTGAGCCAAGATCGCACCACTTCACTCCAGCCTAGGTGACAGAGTGAGACTCCATCTCCAAAAAAGAAAGAAAACTAATAATTCGTGCTAAAGTGAAACATACAATTACATAGTGACACAGAAATTCCACTCGCCTCCAAAAGAAAGGTGAGCTTACATCCACCAAAACACATCTACAAAAAATGTTCATAATAGCAACAATATGTATGAATCCCACAAAACACAACAAGGAGCAAAACAAGGCAGACACAAAAGAGCATATTTGCCATGATCTCATTTACACGATGTTCAACAATAGGCAAAACTAATATACATTATTCAAGAGCCAGGCACTGTGGCTCATGTCTGTAATACCAGCAATCTGGGAGGCCCAGGCAGGCGGATTGCTCATCAGGCCAGAAGTTTGAGACCAGCCTGGGCAACATAGTGAGACCTCATTTCTACAAAACAAATTTCTTTTTTTTTTTTATTTTTTGAGACAGACTCTCTCCCTTTGGCCCAGGTTGGAGTGCGGAGGCATGATCTCAGCTCACTGCAACCTCTGCCTTCCGGGTTCAAGTGATTCTCCTGCCCCAGTTTCCCAAGTAGCTGGGATTACAGGTGCGTGCCACGGTGCCTGGCTAATTTTTTTGTATCTTTAGTAGAGACGGCGTTTCACCATGTTGGCCAGGCTGGTCTCAAACTCCTGACCTTGTGATCCACCTGCCTCGGCCTCCCAAAGTGCTGGGGTTACAGGCGTGAGCCACCATGCCTGCCTCAACAAAACAATTTTAAAGATTAGCTGGGCATATTGGCACACACCTGTGGTCCTAGCTACTCAGGAAACTGAGATAGGAGAATTGCTTGAGCCCCAGAGTTCCAGACTGCGGTGAATTGTGTACGATTGCAACACTGCACTCCAGCCTGGGCAACAGAGGTAGACCCTGTCTCTGAATAATAATAATAATAATAATAATAATAATAATAATAATAACAACAACATATGTTGATCAAAGTCAAGATAGGAAGAAATGTCCTAGGGAGATGTAAATGTTCTATAACTTGATTTGGTGGTAGTTATGTGGTTTTAAACATATATATATATATATATATATATACACACACACACACACACACACACACACGTACACACACATTTATATTTTAAAATTCATTGAGCTTGGCTAGGTGCAGTGGCTCATGCCTGTAATCCCACCCATCACTTTGGGAAGCCAAGGTGGGTGGATCACTTGAGGTCAGGAGTTCAAGACCAGCCTGGCCAACATGGCAGACCCGCATCTCTACTAAAAATACATAAATTAGGTGTCCTGGTGCATGCCTGTAATGCCAGCTACTCTGGAGGCTGCAGCAGGAGAATCACTTGAACCCAGGAGGCAGAGATTGCAGTGAGCCGAGATCGTGCCACGGCACTCCAGCCTGGGCAACAGAGTGAGACTCCGTCTCAAAAAAAAAAAAAAAACTTCATCAAGAGGACATTTAAAGTTGCTGTACTTTGCTCTATGAAAGTTAAACTCAATTAAAAAAATTTTTTTGAGCTATGATCTTGCTCTTGCTCTGTTCTTCAGGCTAGAGAGCAGTGGGTGCTCACTGTAGCCTCAAACTCTTGGACTCAAGCAATCTTCCTGCCTTAGCCCCCCAAGTAGCTGTGACTATGGGGGACACCACCACGCCTGACTAACATTTTTTGCAATATTTATGTAAAATGGGATCTCACTACGTTACCCAAGTTGGTCTTGAACTCCTGGCCGCAGGCGACCCTCCTGCCTTAGCCTCCCAAAGCGCTGGGATTACAGGCATGAGCCACTGTGCGCAGCCTCAATTAAAATTTTTAAAATAGAAAATAAATAAACGAGAGTCGGGCACGGTGGCTCACGCCTGTAATCCCAACACTCTGGGAGGCCGAAGCGGGTGGATCACCTGAGGTCAGGAGTTCAAGACCAGCCTGACCAATATGGTGAAACACCGTCTCTACTAAAAATACAAAAATTAGCCAGGCATGGTGGCGCATGCCTGTAATCCAAGCTACTCAGGAGGTGGAGGCAGGAGAATCACTTGAACCCAGGAGGCAGAGGTTGAGGTGAGCCGAGATGGCGCCACTGCACTCCAGTCTCAGAGACAGAGTGAGACTCCATCAAGAAAGGAAAGAAAGAGAGAGAGAGAAAGAAAGAAAAGAGAGAGAGAGAAAGAAAGAAAGAGAAAGAGCGAGAAAGACAGACAGCGAGAAAGAAAGAAGGGAGGGAGGGAAGGAGGGAAAGACAAGGAAAGAAAGAAAAGCAAGAAAGAAATTTATTGCGAGTCTCCTGTGTGCCGGATACTGTATTAGGTGCTGTAGACACAGGAGTGACCAAAACAAAGAAGGAAGTAATTATAGACCAAACCAATTAGTCTACCATTTTCCAAAAGCGGAAACTGGGTTTAGAGGGAAGAAGTAATTTGTTGCAGATCCAGCAGCTGGGATGTGGCAGAGATAAGGCTCAGCTCTGCTCCTAACCACCAAGCCTCTCTGTGCAACTCTTTCAGCCACAGGCTCAAACCACCCCCTTTGCCTTATTTCTAAGCCCCTTCCTCCCCATTAGGGGCTCTCACAATGTAACAAACCCTTAGACCAACAGACTCGGCCCTGCATCAAACCCACTCAACTGGCAGCAAAGTGATTCATGATTAAAATGCAAGATTTGAATTTTGGATTTCAAGCATCACTAAACTGATAGGTAGCACAGAGAATGCCAGAGTTCCTCTTTTTATTTCCTGTAATCACAGCACTCTGTTCTTGTTCATTTATTTAGGAGTACTTTTCACTATTTGTAATCATTCATTTATTTATTTGCTCCATATGGCCTCCCCTGCCAGACTGAGAGCATTTTTTTAATTTTATTTTTATTTTTTTTTAAGATAGAGTCTCGCTCTGTCGCCCAGGCTGGAGTGCAGTGGCAGGATCTTGGCTCGCCGCAACCTGCATCTCCCAGGTTCAAGCGATTCTCCTGCCTCAGTCTCTTAAGTAGCTGGGACTACAGGCACACACCACCACGCCCAGCCAATTTTTGTATTTTTGGTAGAGACGGGGTTTCACCATGTTGGCCAGGCTGGTCTTGAACTCCTGACCTCAAGTGATCCGCCCGCCTTGGCCTCCCAAAGTGCTAGGATTACAGGCGTGAGCGCCTGGCCCAGATTGGGACCTTGAAGCTGCTGCTACCTGTGACCTGAACTTCTGTACCTACCTCCTCCTTGGTCTCCCCACTTCCTTTCTTTCCCCACTACAATCAGAATGCCTCACAGCAGCCCCAGGGGACCTAGTAAAGCACCCTGCATGCAGCTTCCCATGGCCTCCCTTTGTCCTTGGTATAAAATCCTGCTGGAAAAAAATACAACAATTCTACTTCTAGGTATATAACCAAAATAAGAGAGGCCGGGCGCAGTGGCTCACGTCTGTAATCCCAGCACTTTGGGATCCCGAAGCAGGTGCATTACCTGAAGTCATGAGTTCGAGACCAACCTGACCAACAAGGAGAAATCCTCTCTCTACTAAAAATATAAAATTAGCCGGGCACAGTGGCGCGTGCCTGTAATCCCAGATACTCAGGAGGCTGAGGCAGGAGAATCGCTTGAACCCAGGAGGCAGAGGTTGTGGTGAGCCAAGATTGCACCATTGCACTCCAGCCTGGGCATCAAGAGTGAAACTCCGTCTCAAAAAAAAAAAAAAAGAAGTAGTGAAAGCAGGGGTTTGAACAGATATTTGTACACCCATGTTCACAACAGCATTATTCACAGTAGCCAAAAAGTGGAAGCAGGCCGGGCATGGTGCTTCCTCCCACCTTAGCTTCCCGAGCAGCTGGGATTACGGGTTGGCACCACCACGCCCAGCTAATTTTTGTATTTTTAGTAGAGATAGGGTTTTGCCATGTTGGCCAGGCTGGTCTTGAACTCCTGGCCTCAGGTGACCCGCCCACCTCGGCCCCCCAAAGTGCTGGGATTACAGGTGTGAGCCACCATGCCCGGCCACTTCTTTTCTTACCATTTAATTACCCTAAGTTATATACAAGTCATATACTAGATGTATTTATGGTGTCTTGTAAGTATGTAAATCCTTTTCTTTTTCCCACTAGAATTTCAGCTCCATGATGGAGGGATTTAGCTATGTTTTGCTCACTTATGTACTCAGAACATTTAGACCAGGGGTCAGCAAAGTTTTTCTGTAAAGAGCCAGATTGTAAATTTTTTAGGCTTTGCAGGCCCTGCAGTCTCTGCCACCATTTCTCACATCTATCATGGGAGTGCAAAGGCAGCCATAACAAATACATAAATGAGGCTGAGCGTGATGGCTCACACATATAATCCCAGCACTTTGAGAGGCCGAGGTGGGAGGATTGCTTGAGCCCAGGAGTTCGAGACCAGCCTGGCCACCAGGGACTAACCTTTAGTGAGAAAGTCAGGTTTATTCATTTATTGAAAACAAGGAAAGGCTGGATGGTGGCTCACGCCTATAATCCCAGCACTTTGGGAGGCCGAGGCTGGGGGATCACTTGAAGCTAGGAGTTCAAGACCAGCTGGGGCAACATGGCAAAACCCCATCTCCACAAACAATACAAAAATTAGCCAAGCATGGTGGTACATGCCTGTATTCCCAGCTACTCGGGAGGCTGAGGTGGGAGGATTGCTTGAGCCCAGGAGGTAGAGGTTCTACTGAGCTGTGATTGCACCACTGCACTGCAGCCTGGGCAACAGAGTGAGACCCTGTCTCAAAAAAAAAAAAAAAAAAAAAAGGAGGGAGAGGGACACCAGAGCAACTGAGCAGCTGTGGGTTGCTTCACCAAACAAAGGCAAAAATTAACTTCTAAAGTTTAGTAAATGTGGACCACTTTGTTCAGGGAACCCTTATCTGAATTGCTGTGCCTGGGTATCCAACTGCCCAGATCCTCCAAGCAAGAAGAAAAAATTTCATTTGTACTGACATATTTTCTTTTCTTTTCTTTTTTCTTTTCTTTTTTTTTTTTTTTTTTTTTTTTGAGACAGAGTTTTGGTCTTGTCGCCCAGACTGAAGTACAATGGCACGATCTCAGTTCACTGCAACCTCTACCTCCCAGGGTCAAGCAGTTCTGCCTCAGCCTCCCAAGTAGCTGCAATTACAGGCACCCGCCACCATGCCTGGCTAACTTAAGTGTTTTTAGTAGAGACGGGGGTTTCACCATGTTGGTCAGGCTGGTCTCGAACTCCTGACCTCAGGTGATCCACCTGCCTTGGCCTCCCAAAGTGCTGGGATTACAGGCGTGAGCCACTGCACCCGGCCTGCACTGATATATTTTCAAACTGCAAATTATCTATGATTTCCTGGAACAAAGTTTCTCAGCAAGTCAGAAAGCAGTGGTTCACAGTAGGAAGTCACCATGGCACTTGACAGCTGCAGTGTCCTTGGGAGAAATATTATTTCCTGTTATCTTTGCAGATATCTTTGTCTGGTTTTGAGGGGTTTTATTTTTTTCTGGAGAAGGTCTTGCTCTGTTGTTCATGCTGGAGTGCAGAGTGCAGTGGTGTGATCATAGCTCACTGCAGCCTCGAACTCCTGGGCTCAAGCAATCCTCCTGGCTCAAGCGATCTGCCTGCCTCAGGCTCCCAAAGTGCTGCGATTACAGGTGTGAGCCACCATGCTTGGCCTGTTTGTTTGTTTGTTTCTTTGAGACAGGGTTTCCCTCTGTCACCCAGGCTGGAGTGGCATGGCATGATCAGAGCTCACGACAGCCTCATACTCCTGGGATCAAGGGATCTTCTTGCCTCAACCTTCCTAGTAGCTGGGACCACAGGCACGTGCCACCATGCCTAGCTAATTTTTGTATTTTTCTTTGTAGATATGGTGTTTTGTCATTTTGCCCAGGCTGGTGTCAAACTCCTGGGCTCAAGCAATCCTCCTGCCGCGGCTTCCCAAAGCTCCGGAATTACAGGTTTGAGCCAACATACCTGACCCATTGCAGGATGTTTTAGCCTCATTCCTGGCCCCTACCCACCAAATGCCAGGAATGTACCTGCACACACACCCTGACGTTGTGACAACCAAAAATGCCTCCCTACGTTGCCAAATGTCCCCTGGGAGGGCAAACTCGACCTGGTTGAGAATCATTGCTGGATAGGACCTCAGACTGGAAAGGGACATGATTTGATGTACAGTTTTGAAAGGCCATTCCCTGTGCCCAAAATGTGTTCCCAGCCTTAGACAATGAGTGCATTGCATTCATCTGGACACAGTGATTGGTTCAAAGAGATCATGTGACCTAGTCACAGCCCAAGAGTCACAATGTAATTTGGGCTAAGAATCTGGGGAAAGAAGCCAGGTGCGGTGGCTCACGCCTGTAATCCCAGCACTTTGGGAGGCCAAGGCGAGCAGATCACCTGAGGTCAGGAGCTCCAGACCAGCCTGGCCAACATGATGAAACCCCGTCTCTATTAAAAATACAAAAATTAGCCGGACGTGCTAGCGCATGCCTGTAATCCCAGCTACTCGGGAGGCTGAGGCATGAGAATCGCTTGAACCCAGGAGGCAGAGGTTGCAGCGAGCCCAGATGGTGTCAATGCACTCCAGCCTGGGGCAACAGAGTGAGACTTCGTCTTTAAAAAAAAAAAAAGAATATGGGGAAAGAGAGTCTTGCTTCTGACTCCTCTCACTGGAAGTCTGAGGGGACCCAGGTACCTGAATGACATCCATCGTGTCCCTGCTACATGAAGCCTGAGGCTGGGGCCAACAAACGGCAAGCAGAAGTCAAGAAAGGGAGAAAAACAGACTCATGATGGCTTCATTTGCATCCTGGATTCAGCCCTACCCATGAACGTTTTATTTACAGGATCCCCAAATTCAGACTTTCAGATCTTTTACCAAAAATGGCCTAACTGTCATGAGAGACCTTGGGCTTGGGCTTCAGTCTTCCTCATAGCTCTGCTCTGCGTGGACTTTCCCTGCCAAGCCCAAATCCTCACCTTCAAATTCTGCCAGTTTCAGTGCCTCATGCCTGTAATCCCAGCACGTTGGGAGGGTGAGGGAGGCAGATCACTTGAGGTCAGGAGTTCCAGACCAGCCTGGGCAACATAAGGAGACCCCTGTCTTTATTTAAACAAAAAACAAAACGAATAGAAAAGAGACCAGGTGCAGTGGTGGCTCACTCTTGTAATCCCAACACTTTGGGAGGCCAAGGTGGGCAGATCACTTGAGGTCAGGCATTCGAGACCAGCCTGGCCAAAATGGCAAAACCCCATCTCTACTAAAAATACAAAAATTAGCTGCGCGTGGTGGTGCATGCCTGTAGTCCCAGCTACTCAACAGGCTGAGGCAGGATAATCACTTGAACCCGGGAGGCGGAGGTTGCAGTGAGCCAAGATCGTGCCACTGCACTCCAGCCTGGGCGACAGAGCGAGCCTTTGTCTCAAAAAAAAAAAAAACAAAAAAACAAAAAACAAAACAAAAAACCCTGAAAATGTCAATTATATATGGAATATCAGTAGCACAATGTATGGCTGTTGTAACATGGTACCGAAGTCCAAGATCAAAATGCTGGTAGATTCAAGTGTCTGGAGAGGACCTGCTTTTCTAGATAGCTGTCTTTTCACTGTGCCTTCCTATGATAAGTGGCAGGGGATCTCTCTGGGGTCCTTTTTATTTATTTATTATTATTTCAATTTTAAGTGGAGATGTCGTCTCACTATGTTGCCCAGGCTGGTCTCAAACCACTGGGCTCAAGCGATCTCAACACTTTGGGGGCCTTGGTAGCTGAACCATTACAAGCGTGAGCCACCACATCCAGCCTGGGGTCCCTTTTATAAGGGCACTAATCCCAGTCATGAGAACTCCACTGTCAAGACCTAATCATCTCTCAAAGGCTCACCTCCTAATACCATCACCTTAGGGGTTAGGATTTCAACATATGAATTTTGGGGGATATAAACATTCAGAATATAGCATGGAGACTGTAGTGAGTTAAAACTGAAAACTGCTTAGAATTCAGTTTAAAGAAAAGTTACACTCCTCCCACCCCATAAAGCAAGTGAACTGTATTGATCCCAACCACAAAAATTAGACATTCTAGATGAATGTCTTTGAGAAAATGAATGAGAGAGGGTCCAGATGTAGCAAGAGACAGAGTAGAAGAAGGAGTGAGAAATCAATGCAACTATCAACAGGAGAATTCAATGAGAGGCACTTAAGAATGGTGAGATCCCTGGCTGGTCGTGATGGCTCACACCTGGAATGCCAGCACTTTGAGAGGCTGAGGTGGGTGGATTACTTGAGCTCAGCAGTTGGAGACCAGCCTGAGCAACATGGCAAAACCCCGTCTCTACCAAAAATAGACAAAAAAAATTAGCCAGCTGTGGTGGTGCACACCTTTGGTCCCAGCTACTTTGGAAGCTGGGAGGATCACTTGAGCCTGGGAAGTTGACGCTGCAGTGAGCCACAATGGCATCACTGCACTCCAGTCTGGGTGACAGAGCAAAACCCTGTCTCAAAAAAATGAAAATAAAAATAAAAAAGGGTTGGGTGCGGTGGCTCACGCCTGTAACCCCAGCACTTTGGGAGGCTGAGGCTGGCGGATCACTTGAGATCAGGAGTTCGAGACCAGCCTGGCCAACATGGCGAAACCCAGTCTCTACTAAAAATACAAAAATTAGTTGGGCATAGTGGTGGGTGCCTGTAATCCCAGCTACTCAAGAGGCCGAAGCAGGAGAATCACTTGAACCCAGGAGGCAGAGGTTGCAGTGAGCCGAGATCACGTCACTGCCTGGGCCTGGGACAGCCTGGGCCTGGGTGACAAAGCAAGGCTGCGTCTCAAATAAAAAAGAAGAAAATTTGAGTTGCTCAACACACATGTTCCTATCTGAGGTTGAATGAGGCCACACCCTGACTTCTTGTTTCAGCTGTCCTATTGTAAATGTCCTTTTTTTTTTTTTCTTTTTTTGAGATGGAGTCTCACTCTGTCTTCCAGGTTGGAGTGCAGTGGCTCGATCTCAGCTCACTGCAACCTCTGCCTCCTGGGTTTGAGCAATCCTCCTGTCTCAGCCTCCCGAGTGGCTGGGATTACACGTGCCCACCACCACGCCCAGCTATTTTTTGTATTTTTTGTAGCGACGGGGTTTCACCATATTGGTCAGGCTGGTCTTGAACTCTTGACCTCAGGTGATCCACCCACCTCGGCCTCCCAATGTGCTGAGATTACAGGCGTGAGCCACTGCGCCAGGCCACAAATGTCCTTTTTGCAGCATTTGTGTGCCATAGGTTTCACATTTCTGTGGTATTTATTATTGATTTTGCTGTTTGAAATGGCCCCCAAGCATAGCACTGAAGTGCTATCTGGTGTTCCTAAGAAAATACATGTTTTGGGTCCGGCGCGGTGAATAGTGCCTCTGTCGACATGTGTGTATGTGCATCTATGTGAGTGCATGTTTTCATTTATTTTGTGAATATTCTAGGAGTAGAATTGCTGAGATATATGGTAATTCTGTGTTTAACTTTTTGACGAATCATTAAACAGTTTTTCTCAGCAGCTGAACCATTTTGCATTTCCACCAGCAATGCATGAGTGTTCCAATATCTCCACATTCCTGTCAGCATTTGTTATTTTCTGCATATTTACTTATTTATTTATTTATGTAATTTAGAGATAGGATCTCACCCTATTGCTCTGGCTAGAATGCAGTGGCATGATCATAGCTCACTACAACCTCAAACTCCTGGGTTCAATCCTCCCGACTCAGTTTCCCAAGTAGCTAGAACCACAGGGGTGTGCCACCACTCCCAGCTAATTTTTTAATTTTTTGGAGAGATGGCAGTCTTGCTATGTCGCCCAGGCTGGTCTCAAACTCCCGGACTTAAGTGATCCTCCTGCCTTGGCATCCCAGAGTGCTGGCATGAGTCACTGTTCCCAGCTGCACCCCCCAATACACACACTTTAAAAAAAAATTGTAGCTGTCCTAGTGTGTGTGAATTGAGACCTCACTGTGGTTTTTGTCTGTGTTTCTCTAAAGACTAATGATGTTGAACATCTTTTTATGTGCCTGTTGGTGATTTACGTATCTTCTAGGAATGTCTATTCAAGTCCTTTGTTCATATTTGTTTCCCTTTTTTATTGCTGCCGCACAAATTAACTTTGTTCATGTTTTAATTACATTAAAACATAGACTTTTATCAGATACATGGTGTGCACATATTTTCTCCCATTCTGTACATTGTCTTTTTACTTTCTTAATAATATCCTTCAATGCACAAAAGTTTTTAATTTGATGAAGTCTAATTTGTCTATTTTTCTTTTTTGGCTTGTACTTTTGGTGTCATATCTAAGAATTAATTGCCAAGTCCAAGATCATGAAAATTCATCCTTGTGTTTTCTTCTGAGAGTTTTATAGTTTTAGTTCTTATATTTATAATAATTTTTAAGGTAATTGCAAGGTTAGGGTCCAACTTCATCCTTTTGTACATGTTTATCCAGTGGTCCTAGGACAATTTTTTTAAAAGGCTATTCTTTCTCCCATTGAATTGTCTTAGCACACCTGTCAAAAATCAATTGACCATAATTGTATAGGTTTATTTGTGGACTCTCAATTCTATTTCATTGGTTTATATGTCTGTTCTTAAGCTAATACCACACTGTTTTGATTACTGTAGCTTTGTAGTAAGCTTTAAAATCAAGAAATATGAGCCCTCCAACTTTGTTCTTCTTTTTTTCAAGAATGTTGTGGCTGTTTGGAGTCTTTTACAATTCCATGTGAATTTGAGAATCAGCCTTTCCACTTCTGCAGAAAAGACCAATGAAATTGCATTAAATCTGTTGATTGCTTTGGGTAGTATTGACATCTTAACAATATTGAGTCTTCTAATCCATGCACATGGGATGTTTTTCTATTTGTTTAGGTCTTCCTTAATGTCTTTCAGCAATGTTTCATGGCTTTCAGTGTACAAATTTTGAACATCTTTTGTTAAATTTATTACCAAGTATTTTTATTGTTTTTGGTGCTATTGCAAGTGGATTGTCTTAATTTTCTTTCCTTAGTTTAATTTTCAGGTTGTTCGTTTACAGGTTGTTCACAGA
This sequence comes from Homo sapiens, assembly GCF_000001405.40. NCBI lineage: Eukaryota > Metazoa > Chordata > Mammalia > Primates > Hominidae > Homo > Homo sapiens. Next base: position 15,934,757 of record NC_000016.10, on the reverse strand, counting down.
ATAATTGTTCAATTATTCTCTGAATAATTCTAACCAGGCCAGGCATGTTGGCTCACGCCTGTAATCCCAGCACTTTGGGAGGCCAAGGCAGGTGGATAACCTGAGGTGAGGAGTCCAAGACAAGCCTGGCCAACATAGTGAAGCCCCATTTCTACTAAAAGTATAAAAAATTAACTGGGCATGATGGTGCATGCCTGTAATCCCAGCTACTTGGGAGGCTGAGACAGAAGAATCTCTTGATCCAGGGAGGCAGAGGCTGCAGTGAGCCGAGATCATAACACTGCACTCCAGCCTGGGCAACAGAGTGAGACTCTGTCTCAAATAATAATAATAATTCTAACCAATGAAGTATGATTGGCAAAGACGTGTGTCATTTTCAATCATACCTCATTGGTTAGAATTTTTTTATTTTTATTTTATTTTCTTTTTGAGATGGAATTTCACTTTTGTTGCCCAGTCTGGGGTGCAATGGCATGATCTCAGCTCCGGGTTCAAGCGATTCTCCTCCCTCAGCCTCCCAAGTAGCTGGGATTACAGGCATGCACTGCCATGCCCAGCTAATTTTTGTATTTTTAGTAGAAATGGGGTTTCGCCATGTTGGCCAGGCTGGTCTCAAACTCCTGACTTCAGGTGATCCACCTGCCTCAGCATCCCAAAGTGCTGGGGTTACAGGCATAAGCTACCATGCCCAGCCTTGGTTAGAATTATTCACAGGGTCAGGTATGACTACCACAACCTTCAATGAGGAGATTGCAGAATTCTTCTCTGAAATTCCTGGCTTCAAACGATCCTCCTATTGGCTTCCCAAAGTGCTGGTATTACGGGTGTAAGCCACTGCACCCGACCAGTATATCTTTTAAAAGAAACATTCAGGGAACAAAAAGGAGCTCTCAGAAATTAAGAAAGCAAGAAGTAAAAAAAGAAAAGGGAAGAAGAAAGAAATTGCTGAAATCTTGCAGAGATCAGAGAAAATGGAGAACATTAGAAGGTCACACAAAAAGATCCCACATCTAAATAATAAGCATTTCAGAAAAATAAAACTGACAAAACACAGGAAAAAAAGCTGTAGATGAAATAATAAGAGAAAAAATTTCGGAACTTACAGGTGTGATAATTTTGCACTCCAGCCTGGGTGACAGGGTGAGACTCTGTCAAAAAAACAAAACAAAACAAAACAATTGACCATAGATGTATGGGTTATTTCCAGACTCTCGATTCTATTCCACTAATCTATATGCCTATCTTCCTACCAATACCAAACTTTTCGATTATTGTTGCTTTGTAGTAAATTCTGAAGTCACCAAGTGTGAGTCTTCCAACTCTGCTCATTTTTCAAGATTGGCTGTTGGGTGCGATACCATGTGAATTTTAGGTTTGAATTTTCCAGGTCTGCAAACAAGGACATTGGGATTTTCATAGAGATTACATCAAGTCTATAGATCACTTTGGAGTAGTATCGCCATCTTAACAATATTGAGTCTTCCAATACATAAACGTGTATTTTTAGAGATATATGGCATGGCATTTAAAGTAATCTATCATGATCTGTGTAACTTCCTCTAAAGTATTTCAACAGACCACAATAAGATATTACTCTAATTGTGCTAGAATGGCTATAATGGAAAAGTAAACAACAGCGTCAAAAAGGAATGTGGGTTCTGGTTTGTCTTCCTCTCCCTAACTTGATGTCTAGCTTTTTTTTTTCTTTGAGATGGAGTCTCGCTCTGTTGCCAGGCTGGAGTGCAGTGGCACAATCTCGACTCACTGCAACCATTGCCTCCTGGGTTCAAGCGATTCTCTTCCCTCAGCCTCCCAAGTAGCTGGGACTACAGGCACCCACCACCATGCCCAGCTAATTTTTGTATTTTTATTAGAGACGGGGTTTCACCATGTTGGCCAGGCTGGTCTCAAACTCCTGATCTCAGATGATCCACCTGCCTCGGCCTCCCAAAGTGTTGGGATTACAGGCGTGAGCCACTGCGCCCAGCCCACAGTTCATTTTTGGTTTTGTTTTTTCCTCCCAAGAGTGTCTTGGGTAGTTTGACTCCCTTTTATTCCCCTATCAGTTTTGGAATCAGATTGTCAAGTTCTGCAAAAAAAAAAAAAAAAAAAAAAAGGCTGAGCTTTTCATTGGGATTAAATTTGATCTATGAATCAATACAAGAGTTGGCGCCTTCAAATCTAGGCTCTTCCAATCAATGAACATGTATATCTCTCCATTTATTTAGGTCTTCTTTACTGTCTCTCAACAAAATTTTTTAATAGTTTTTATAGAGGTTCTGTAAGTCCTGTATGAGATGTTATATCTTACCAGGTACTCCCTGGGTACAAGAGGGAGAGTTGCTTTTCACCCTTTTGAACTGTTTGAAGTTTTTTCTAACCACATGCATATATTTTTCAAAATAAAAATTATTAAGATTTTTGGCCCTTCTGTCTGGCGGCAGCAATCAGGTAAGCCAAGATGGGTGCATACAAGTACATCCACGAGCTGTGGAGGAAGAAGCAGTCTGATGTCATGAGCTTTCTTCTGAGGGTCCGCTGCTGGCAGTACCGCCAGCTCTCTGCTCTCCACAGGGCTCCCCGCCCCACCCGGCCCGATAAAGTGCACCAACTGGGCTACAAGATCAAGCAAGGTTATGTTATCTACGGGATTCGTATTCTCCGTGATGGCCGAAAATGCTCAGTTCCTAAGGGTGCAACTTACGGCAAGCCTGTCCATCATGGTATTAACTGAAGCCTACAGTTGATTGCAGAGGAGTGAGTTGGACGCCACTGTGGGGCTCTAAGAGTCCTGAATTCTTACTGGATGGGTGAAGATTCCACACACAAATTTTTTGAGGTTATCCTCATTGATCCATTCCATAAAGCTATTGGAAGAAATCCTGACACCCAGTGGATCACCAAACCAGTCCACAAGCACAAGGAGATGCGTGGGCTGGCATGTGCAGGCCAAAAGAGCCATGGCCTTGGAAAGGGCCGTAAGTTCCACCACACTATTGGTGGTTCTTGCCGGGCAGCTTGGAGAAGGCGCAATACTCTCAATCTCCACTGTTACCACTAATATAAGTAAAGTTTGTAAAACTCATACCTAATAAACAATTTAGGACAGTCAAAAAAATTACTAAGATTTTTGAGCCAGGTGCAGTGGCTCAAGCCTGTAATCCCAGCACTTTGGGAGGCCGAGGCTGGCAGATCACCGGAGGTCAGGAGTTCGAGACCAGCCTGGCCAACGTGGCGAAACCCTGTCTCTACTAAAAATACAAAAATTAGCTGGGTGTGGTGGTGCACAAGTGTTATTCCAGCTACTCAGGAGGTGGAGGCAGGAGAACCGCTTGAACCCGGGAGGCAGATGTTGAAGTGAGCTGAGATTGCGCCACTGCACTCCAGCATGGGTGATAGAGTGAGACTCCATCACAAAAAAAAAAAAAAAAAAAATTATTAACATTTTTGAATCAGCACTCTATTATCATTGTTTACACATCAAAACTATCAGTAGGCATACAGTGGAAAGTCTCTCTCCCACTCCTGGACCTATTCACAATATTCCCAATCCTTCCTTCTCAATAGGTAATGGCTATAAATTAATATCTTCTTTATCCTTCCAGAATTCTTCACGCACATGTCCTTAAATGTATACTTTCTCTCGTCTCAAGATAAATGCCATAGACTGTGTGTCTTTTTGCAGAATCTCTTGCAAGACTCTGTGAACACAGTGAGAAAACATGGACCCAGGAACTGTTCCTTACATTCAGCTGAAGCTGAGTCTGCAAGTCCCAATGCATGCCAATAAAGAAAGTTCTGCAGGCCAGGTGTGGTGGCCCATGCCTGTAATCCCACCATTTTGGGAGGTCAAGGTGGGCAGATCAACTGAGGTCAGGAGTTCAAGAGCAGCCTGGCCAATATGGTGAAACCATGTCTCTACTAAAAATACAAAAAATTAGCCGGGCATGGTGGCATGCACCTGTAATCCCCGCTACTCAGGAGGGTGAGGCAGGAGAATCACTTGAACCCGGGAGGCAGAGGTTTCAGTGAGTCGAGATTGTGCTAGCCTAGGCGACAGAGCGAGACTCCGTCTCAAAAAAAAAAAAAAAAAAGGAAAGCTCTGCAGAGTTCTCCAGGGTTACACTCTGTTCTCTGCACTACACCCCCAACTTTTTTTTTTTTTTTTTTTGAGACGGAGTTTCACTCTTGTTGCCCAGGCTGGAATGCAATGGTGTGATCTCGACTCACCGCAACCTCCACCTCCCAGGTTCAAGCAATTCTCCTGCCTCAGCCTTCCAAGTAGCTGGGATTACAGGTGTGTGCCACCATGCCTGGTTAATTTTGTGTTTTTTAGTACAGACAGGGTTTCACCATGTTGGCCAGGCTGGTCTCAAACCCCTGACCTCGTGATCCGCACACCTGGCCTCCCAAAGTGCTGGGATTACAAGCGTGAGCCACTGCACCCGGCCTGCATTGCACTTTTTAATTTTTGATCACCATTTATTAAGTTACAAAGAGCCAGGCCCAGTGCTGCGCTAAGCACTTTACATATTTGGCATGTTTTTTCTTTTTTACTCCTTCCAGCAGCCAGGGCCTATGAACTTACAGAAGGCATGATGCCTAAGGCCCACAATACTTTTAGGGCCCCATGAAAATGTTTTACTTCTTTTAAAATCAGAAGAAAAAATAAACATAACCCTGCCTTTATTACATATATATATTATTTTTAGTTTTTAGTTTTTGGTATTTTTGAGCAGGAGCTCTGGCGCCCAGGCTGGAGTGCAGTGGCACAATCATGGCTCACTGCAGCCTTGACCCCCTGGGCTCAGGCAGTCTTCCCACCTCAGCCTCCCGAGGAGCTGGGACCACAGGTACATGCCACCACTTCCGGCTAATTTTTATATTTTTTATTTTTTGTAGAGAAAGGGTCTTGCCATGTTGCCCAGGCTGTTCTTGAACTCTTGGGATGAAGTAATTCTCCCACTTTGGCCTCCCAAAGTGCTGGGATTTCAGGCATGAGCCACTGCACCAGGCCTTGTTATATTCATCCTTATACTAACACAGTCATAAAATATGATTTAAAACACTTTTTTTCTTATGGAGGAAGGAACCCACCAAAAAAATCCATGTGACTGAGTGTGGTGCCGGGTGTCTGTAGTCCTAGCTACCAGGAGGCTGAGGCAAGAGAATCACCTGAACCTGGGAAGCGGAGGTTGCAGTGAGCCGAGATCATGCCACTGCACTTCAGCCTGGGTGACAGAGTAAGACTCTGTCTCAAAAAAAAAAAAAAAAAAAAAAAAAAAAAAGGCCAGCAGTGGCGCACACTTGTAATCCCAGCACTTTGGGAGACCAAGGCGGGTGGACCACCTGAGGTCAGGAGTTCGAGACCAGCCTGGCCAACATGGTGAAACCCCGACTCTACTAAAAATACAAAAAATTAGCTGGGCATGGTGGCAGGTGCCTGTAATCCCAGCTACTCGGGAGGCTGAAGCAGGAAAAATCAGTTGAACCCAGGAGGCGGAGGTTGTAGTGAACCAAGACTGTGCCACTGTACTCCAGCCTGGGCAATAAGAGCAAAACTCTGTCTCAAAAAGAAAAAAAATCATAATGTGGCCAAACCAGCAACCCTATGACATGGGTATTATTGCTATGCAGTTTATCCAAGGGAGGAAACTAGTCTGAGAAGTGATTTAGCCCAGGTCAGGTGGCTGGAAGGGGTGGGAACATGGCCTTGAACCCAAGCCTAGTGACTCTAAAGCTCTTATGCTGGGCCACTCAGCTGAAGAGACTCCAGTCAGCACTTTCCTATGGAAGGGACGTGTTTGGTCACAACTGGGAAGTTGTACCCCACAAAAAGAAGGCTCTGGGGAAATGTGATACAGTCTTCAAATATTTTAAGGGCTGTCATGTGGAAAAGGATTAGCTCTTTTGTGTTACTTCCCAGAGCTGAGCTAGGATAGGTGGGGTGTGTTGCAGGAAAGGTAGGGTGTGTGTGTGTGTGTGCGCGCGCGCGTGTGCGTGTGCGTGTGCGTGTGTGTGTGTCTCGCTCTGTTACCCAGACTGGAGTGCAGTGCAGTGATCGCCACTCACTGCAACCTCCGCCTCCTGGGTTCAAGTGATTCTCCTGCCTCAGCCTTCCGAGTAGCTGGGACTACAGGCATGCACTACCACACCCAGCTAGTTTTTGTATTTATAGTAGAGATGGGGTTTCGCAATGTTGGCCAGGCTGGTCTCTGGCTCCTGACCTTAGGTGATCCACCCTACTCAGCCTCCCAAAGTCCTGGGATCACAGGCGTGAGCCACCGGGCCCCACCAGGAAAGTAGATTTTGGCCCAGTGATATAACAAACTTACTGGATGTGATAAGCCCACTGTCAGTGGTGGTTTATTCTTAAGATCAAAGATGTGGAGTTTGACCCCAGTCACAGACAACAGCGTTGTAAACAAGGCTGTATTGCAGGGGATTGCTGCCTTGGGAGGGGAGTTGGACAAGAATTCGATGGATTTTTATGTCCCTTTCAACTCTAAGATTCTATGTTTGCAGGGCCCAGCACGGTGGCTCACGCCTGTAATCCCAGCACTTTGGGAAGCCAAGGCGGGCAGATCACCTGAGGTCGGGAATTCGAGACCATCCTGGCCAACATGGTGAAACCCTGTCTCTACTAAAAATACAAAATTAGCTGGGCATGGTGGCGTACTCCTGTAATCCCAGCTAGTCGGGAAGCTGAGGCAGGAGGATCACTTAAAGCCGGGAAGCAAGGGTTGCAGTGAGCCTTGATAGCGCCATTGCACTCCAGTCTCGGTGACAAAGCGAGACTCTGTCTCAGAAGAAAAAAAAAAAAAAGATTCTATGGTTGCAAATAGCAGCAGCTCAGCAGTGTAGAGTTGAATTCCCCACCAAACCAATTTTACCAATTGTTATTGAGACTTTTTATGTACCATTGGTGGGAGTATGAATGGATACTCTTTTGAAAGTGTTATTTGGCAGTATTTATTAAAATTTAGACTATTTGGGCCGGGCGCAGTGGCTCACGCCTGTGATCCCAGTACTTTGGGAGGCTGAGGCGGGCAGATCGACTAAGGTCAGGAGTTCGAGACCAGCCTGACCAACATGGTGAAACTCTGTCTCTACTAAAAACTACAAAAAGTAGACCCAGGCGTGGTGGCTCACACCTGTAATTCCAGCACTTTGGGAGGCTGAGGCGGGCAGATCACCTGAGGTCGGTTGTTCAGCCTGACCAACATGGAGAAACCCCATCTCTACTAAAAACACAAAATTAGCTGGGCGTGGTGGCGCATACCTGTAATCCCAGCTATTCGGGAGGCTGAGGCAGGAGGATTACCTGAATCTGGGAAGCGGAGGTTGTGGTGAGCAGAGATGGCGCCATTGCACTACAGCCTGGGAAGCAAGAGCAAAACTCCGTCTCAAAAAGAAAAAAAAAAAAACTACAAAATGTAGCCAGGCATAGTGGTGGGTGCCTATAATCCCAGCTACTTGGGAGGCTTGAGGCAGGAGAATGGCTACAACCTGGGAGGCGGAGGTTGTAGTGGGCTGAGAATGTGCCATTGCATTCCAGCCTGGGCGACAGAGTGAAACTGTTTAAAAAAAAAAAAATTTCGACTCTTCAGGCAGGGCACGGTGGTTCTTGCCTGTAGTCCCAGCAATTTGGGAGGCCAAGGCGGGCGGATCACGAGGTCAGAAGTTCGAGACCAGCCTGGCCAATATGGTGAAACCCTATCTATACTAAAAATACAAAAAGTTAGCTGGGCATGGTGGTATATGCCTGTAATCCCAGCTACTCGGGAGGCTGAGGCAGGAGAATCGCTTGAACCCAGGAGGCAGAGGTTGCAATGAGCCGAAACCGTGCCATTGCATTCTAGCCTGGGCAACAGAGCGAGACTTTGTCTCAAAAAAAAAAAATTAGACTGTTTATACTTTTTGACTTAGCAATACTTTTTTTTTTTTGAAACAGAGTCTTGCTCTACCGCCCAGGCTGGAGTACGATGGTGCAATCTCAGCTCACTACAACCTTCCCTCCCAGGTTCAAGCAAATCCCCTGCCTCAGCCTCCCGAGTAGCTGGGCTACAGGCACGCACCACCACACCTGGCTAACTTTTTTGTATTTTTGTAAAGATGGGGTTTCGCCACGTTGGCCAGGCTGGTATTGAACTCCTGACCTCAGGTAATCCACCTGCTTCAGCCTCCCAAAGTGCTGGGATTATAGGCATGAGCCACTGCACACGGCCTAACAAACATACTTAATAAGTAAATCATGGAGTGGGTAGCAGGTGAGAAAGGCTGTGACGAGAACTTGCGATGCGGGGTGGAGGTGGTGGAGGGTTGCAATTTTAAGCAGAGTGGTCAGGGTAGGCCTCACAGAGAAGGTGATATTTGAGCAAAGCATTAAAGATCATGAATAGGACACCTCCCACTCTTGTTCTAAGGTGGAAATTCACCAGGAGTTACTTTTTCCTTTTTCTTTGTTTTAGAGGCAGAGTTCTCACTATATTGCCCAGGCTGGTCTTGATCTCCTGAGCTCAAGCGATCCACCCACCTCAGCCTCCCAAAGTGCTGGGATTACAGGTGTGAATCACTGCACCCAGCACTGGGAGACACTTGTGAGGTGCCTGGCATCCAGCAGGCTCTGAAGGACGGTCGCTATTATTGTTCATTTTAGTCCTGAAATGAACAGGAGCTCTCAAAGCGCTTACCTAAGGAAGATGTCTAAGAGCATTGCAGTTTGCAAATGAAGAGTGGGCAGGGTTTGGGTTATGGTAACTGTTTTATCTGCCTCCCCAGAAAGGAAACAAAGTATCTGGTCAGCGGGGAAGGTTTCCACCTGTGCGCTCTGTTTGCCAGCGAGCCTGCGGGCCCCTGTGGCAATCCACCCATTGTGTTTCCATCAGCGTAACTGCATGCGGGAGGCTCCTCTGCACTCTCAGTCCTTGAAACATCCCCCACAGGGCCTCCCCAATTAGGCAACGATAAAGCCATTGGTGTGGTCAGATCCCTCCTGGGACAGGATGTTAACCCTCAGCAGCTCCTGAACCATGGGAGCTGGTCCCTGTCAATGTCACGGAAACAGAACAAGAGGAGGCTTCAAAGAAATCAGTTGCCCGCACTCCCTGATTGCAACCAGGCCTTATCTAGTGCCTTTTAAAAATGGCCCTGACCCTTTCTTCTTATTTATTAAATTATTTATTTATTTATTTATTTTTGAGACAGGGTCTTGCTCTGCGGCCCAGGCTGGAGTGCAGTGACTCGATCTCTGCTCATTGCAACCTCCGCCTCCCAGATTCAAGCGATTCTCCTGCCTCAGCCTCCCAGTAGCTGCAATTACAGGTGCCTGCCACCACACCCGGCTAATTTCTGTATCTTTAGTAGAGACAGGGTTTTCCCATGTTGGCCAGGCTGGTCTCCAACTCTCTGGCCTCAAGTGATCTGGCCGCCTCAGCCTCCCAAAGTGCTGGGATTACAGGCCTGAGTTCCCGTGCTCGGTCTCTTATTACTTTTTAAAATGAGACAAGGCCCCACTCTGGTTTTGCCACGTTGCACAGGCTGGAGTGCAGTGGTGCGATCACGGCTCACTGCAGCTTCAACTTCCTGGGCTCAGCTGATTCTCCCAACTCAGCCTTTCAAGTAGCTGGTACTACAGGCACTCACCACCACGCCTGGCTAATTTTTGTATTTTTTGTAGAGTCGGGGGGCGGTGTCTTGCCATATTGCCCAAGCTGGGCTCGAACTCCTGGGCTCAAGCGATCCGCCCACCTCGACCTCCCCAAATGCTGGGATTACAGGCATGAGCCACCGTGCCTGGGCCCTGACCTCTTCTTCAGGGTAACAGATATCTGCTAGGATCTGCTGTGGCTTCTACGTTCCCTTAAGCAAAGAGACGTGCTTCTTCAAGGGAGAGGAGAAAAAATAGATTTCAACCCAAAGCCAGTATAAGCACCCCAAGAGAGGTCAATAAAATCTCAATTTGGAGGTGAGGAAAGCCTTTATTGGCACCCAGGACATTGGTGTTGGGATTAAGAGGACAGACTGGTGGGGTTTTGACACACACAAACGAAGGATGGTGTCTTAGGCACATGGCACAGCAAAGAAAAAGGCTTGCAGGCTGTAACTATGGGACATATTCAAGCTGTCCTAAGCAGTTCCTTTTGACTGAAGTATCATGATAAAGAAAATAATACATAATAGTAATAACAAACATTCTTTATATGCTTGAAACCACTTTTATAAAAATCATAGTAATAAGGGTAATTTAACATAATTGACTGGGCGCGGTGGCTCACGCCTGTAATCTCAACACTTTGGGAGGCTGAGGCGGGCAGATCACTTGAGGTCAGGGGTTCAAGACCAACCTGGCCAACATGGTGAAACCCTGTCTCTACTAAAAATAGAAAAATAAGCCAAGCATGTTGGTGCAAGCCTGTAGTCCCAGCTACTCCGGAGGCTGAGGCACTAGAATTGCTTGAACCAGGGGGGCAGAGGCTGCAGTGAGCTGAGATCAAGCCACTGCACTCAAGCCTGGGCAACAGAGTGAGACTCTGTCTCAAAAATACAAATTTAATATTATTGACTCTATCTTGTTTTCACTATGCTAAATTGTTTTTCTTTATTTTTGTATAGAGGCCACAGTACTCTTTTTTTTAGAAAATGAATTTTTTTGTTATTGTTTAATAATTAAAACCAGCCAGATGTGGTGGCTTAAGCCTGTAATTCCAACACTTTGGGAGGCTGAGGTATGAGGATCACTTGAGGCCAGGAGTTCAAGTCCTGCCTGGGCAACAAAGTGAGACACCATCTCTATAAAAAATTTTTAAAATTATCTGGGCATGGTGGTGCATGCCTGTAGTCCCAGCAACTCAGGAGGCTGAAGCGAGAGGATCAGTTAAGCCCAGGAATTTGAGGCTACAGTGAGCTATGATTATACCATTGCATTCCAGTCTGGGTGACAGAGTGAGACCTTGTCTCTAATAAATTAATTAATTAATAAAAATTTTAAAATTGACAGAAAGTCTTACAAGTCTATAAGATCTACTTCTGTCTGTTATGTCTATGTTTATATGTGCCATGAATATATAATATTTCACTACTGAAATATATTTTTAAAAGCTCTAATCAGTTGACTTAACCACTTAAATTGAATATTTCATCAAAAAATAAAAACTTTAAGTATCTTTTAGTTCACATGACTTTAATAATCTTTAGTAAATAAAGACAGTTTTTCAATTATTAGTAAAATAAAAACATCTTCAGAATGTGAACATTTGGTGTAAATTAGACAAGTCTGGTATTGTCTTTACTAAGACCTTTCAGGTCCTAAACTACTTTTATAAATTTTTTTCTTAGACTGGGACTCACTCTGTTGCCCAGGCTGGAGTACAGTGGCATGCTCACTGCAGCCTCAACCTCCCTGGGCTCAGGTGATCCTTCCACCTCAGCCTTCCAAGTAGTTGGGACTATAAGCACGTACCACCATGTCTAGCTCACTTGTGTATTTTTAGTGGAGATCGAGTTTTACCATGTTGGCCAGGCTGGTCTCTAACTCCTAGGTTCAAGGCGTCCACCAGCCTCTGCTCCCAAAGTGCTAGAATTATAAGCATGAGGCACCATGCCTGGCCCTTCTATAATATTTTAAATAATTGTTGGACTTGTCTATTTTAAAGCCCTTAGATTGTAGATAAGGCCTGGGGATGTGTAGAATTAACCATGTCCCCTGCCTATCCTAAAAAGCATCATATATTATTGACATATATTATTACTGTCCTAGACTCTGTACCTGGTACATAATTAAAATTGCCTACCTCCTTAGTTTTTCATTAAAAATAAAAGTCAGTAATGGCTGGATGCAGTGGCTCACGCCTGTAATCCCAGCACTTTGGGAGGCCAAGGCGGACAGATCACCTGATGTCAGCAGTTTGAGACCAGCCTGGCCAACATGGCGAAACCCTGTCTCTACTAAAAATACAGAAATTAGCTGGGCATGCATGGTGGTGCACACCTGTAGTCTGAGGTACTCGGGAGGCTGAGGCAAGAGAATTGCTTGAACCCGAGAGGCGGAGACTGCCTAAGAGTTAACATTATAATATATGTAATTAAAACTACTAAAGGAACAATTTTACATACAAAGGTAAAATTTAGTTTTTTAAACAAAATTTTCATGTAATATTAAAAAACAGTAAAAAAATGTTTCTTTGCAGGAGGGACAGATTCAGTTAGCCTCATACTGTCTTTATTGGGTCTTGTTTAAAACACTGAGTCTCACATCTGTTAAAAAATAAGTCTTTGCCTCTTGAAAATTTTTGAGTTATCGGCTGGGCGCGGTGGCTCACGCCTGTAATCCCAACACTTTGGGAGGCCAAGGCAGGTGGGTCCCTTGAGGTCGGGAGTTCGAGACCACCCTGGCCAACACAGTGAAACCCCATCTCTACTAAAAGTACAATAATTTGCTGGGCATGGTTGTGGGCACCTGTAATTCCAGCTACTCAGGAGGCTGAGGCAGGAGGATTGCTTGAACCCAGGAGGTGGAGGTTGCAGTGAGCTGAGATCACGCCACTGTACTCCAGACTGAGCGACAGAGAGAGACCCTGTCTCAAAAAAAAAAAAAAAAAAAAAAAAGTTGAAATCATACAAAGTACTTTTGGCCGGGTGCGGTGGCTCACACCTGTAATCCCAGCACTTTGGGAGGCCGAGGCAGGCGGATCACCTGAGGTCAGGAGTTTGAGACCAGCCTGGCCAACATGGTGAAACCGCATATCTATTAAAAATACAAAAAGTAGCTGGGTGTGGTGGCGGGTGCCTATAATCCCAGCTACTTGGGAGACTGAGGCAGGAGAATTGCTTGAACCCGGGAGGCGGAGGTTGCAGTGAGCTGAGATCAGGCCATTGCACTCCAGCCTGGGCGACAGAGTGAGACCCTGCCAAAAAAAAAAAAAAAAAGTAATTTCTTCAACCACAACAGAATAAAACTAGAAATCAACAAGAGAAAGAAAATTTTTAGATTCACAAATATACGATTATGTAGAAATTAACATAAACAATGAGTAAAATAAGACATCATAAAAAAATTTTTAAATATTTTGAGATGAATGAAAAAGCAGTACAACTTACCAAAACTTATGAGATGCAGCAAAGACAATGCTCAGAGGGAAATTTATAGCTGTAGTCACCTACATCAAAAATGAAAGAGGGTGGGCGCAGTGGCTCACGCCTGTAATCCCAGCACTTTGGGAGGCTGAGGCGGGTGGATCACCTGAGGTCAGGAGTTCAAGACCAGCCTGACCAACATGGAGAAACCCCATCTCCACTAAAAAGACAAAATTAGCTGGGCATGGTGGCACATGCCTGTAGTCCTTGCTACCTAGGAGGCTGAGGCAGGTGGATCACTCGAACCCATGAGGCGAAGGTTGTGGTGAGCTGAGATCGTGCCATTGCACTCCAGCCTAGGCAACAAGAGTGAAACTCCATCTCAAAAAAAAAAAAAAAAAAATGAACACTTGAGGCCAGGAGTTTGAGACCAGCCTCAGTAATATAGCGAGACCCTATCTGTATGAAAAATACAAATAAAAAATCTAGCCAGGCATCGTGGCACATGCCTGTGATCTCAGCTACTTGGGAGGCTGAGGCAGGAGGATCACTTGAGCCCAGGAGTTTGAGGCTGCAGTGAGCCATGATTGCACCACTACACTCCAGCTTGGACAACAGAGCAAGACCTTGTCTCAAGCAAAAAAAGAAAGACAGATCTCAAATAAATAATACATTCTTCCACCTTATGGGATTAGAAAAAGATCAAACTATGCCGAAAGCAAGCAGCAGCAAAAAAACAATAAAAATTACAGTGAAGATAAATAAAATATAGTATTCTATAAAAGCAATAGAGTCAACAAAACCAAAAACTGGTTCTTTAACAAATCAGCAAAATTGCTAAACTTTTGGAAATACTGATGCCCCCAGAAGAAGAATGGAGATGGCCCAAACCACTAAAATCAGGAACCAAAGATTACTACAACCCTTACAAAAATAAAAGATTATAAGAGAATACTATAAACAATGACATGTCAATTAATTGAATACACCTGGAAGAAATGTACAAATTTCTAGAAACACACAAATTACCAAGACTAACCCAAGAAAAACTAGGAAGTCGGAATAGATCTATAACAAGGAAAGAGATGGAATTGGTAACAATTTTTTAAAGTTCCGTAAGGAAAAGCTCAGGACCCGATGGCTCCATTGGTGAATTCTACCAGGTATTTGAATAATTAAGGCCAATTCTTATTAAAATCTTCCCAAAACTAGAAGAGGAGGCAACATTTCTGACCCACTCTATGAGGCCAGCATTACCCTGATACCAAAGCCACACAATGACATTACAGGAAAAGGAAACTATAGACCAATGTCCCTTATAAATATAGATGCAGAAATCCTAAAGAAAATACTAGCAAATCAAATCCAGCAGCATAGAAACATATTATACATATGTGTTAACAGATGAGACTTATCCCAAGAATGTAAGGGTGATTCATTATAAGAAAATCAGGGCAGGGCGCAGTGGCTCACAACTGTAGTCCCAGCTACTTGGCATGCTGAGGTGAGAGAATCACTTGAGCTGGGGAGGTTGAGGCTGCGGTGAACCATGTTTGTGCCACTGCACCCCACCCTGGGTGACAAAGTGAGACCCTGTCTCAAAAAAGAAAAAACTCAGCCAGGCACGGTAGTGCACGCCTGTATTCCCAGCACTTTTGGCAGACCGAGGCAGGTGGACCATTTGAGGTAAAGAGTTCAAGATCAGCCTGGCCAACACGGTGAAACCCCGTCTCTACTAAAAATACAAAAAATAAAAATAAATTAGCTGGGCGTGGTGACACACGCCTGTAATGCCAGGTGTTAGGGAGGCTGAGGTAGGAAAATTGCTTGAACCCAGGAGATGGAGGTTGCAGTGAGCCGAGATCATGCCACTGCACTCCAGCCTGGGAGACTGAGTGAGTCTCCATCTCAAAATAAGTAAATAAATAAATAAATAAATAAATAAATGTTATTCACAACATTAATAGAATTAAGGGATAATGTAGAAAACAGCCTTTGACAAAACCCAACACCTTTTCAGGATTTAAAACAAAACAAAACAAAACAACAACAACAACAACAAAGAATACTGAAATAATAAAGACCAGAAGAGAACTTCTTCAACAGGATAAAGGGCATATATAAAAAACTTACACCAGGCCAGGCAAGGTGACTCACTCCTGTAACCCCAGTACTTTGGGAAGATTGCTTGAGCCTAGAAGTTTGAGACCAGCCTGGGCAACATAGTGAGACGCTGGCTCTATTTATTTATTTATTTTTATTTATTTATTTTTTGAGACGGAGTCTCGCTCTGTCGCTCAGGCTGGAGTGCGGTGGCATGATCTCGTCTCACTGCAAGCTCCACCTCCTGGGTTCAGGCCATTCTCCTGCCTCAGCCTCCCGAGTATCTGGGACTACAGGCGCCCACCACCACGCCCGGCTAATTTTTTTTTTGTATTTTAGTAGAGATGGAGTTTCACTGTGTTAACCAGGATGGTCTCTATCTCCTGACCTCGTGATCCGCCTGCCTCGGCCTCCCAAAGTGCTGGGATTACAGGCTGAGCCAGCGTGCCCGGCCTGCTGTTTCTATTTATAGAAAGAAAGAAAAAGAAGGAAGAGAGAAAGAAGGAAGGAAGGAAGGAAGGAAAGAAGGAAGGAAGGAGAAAGAAAGAAAGGAAGAGACTTACACCATATGCAACAGTGAAAGGCTTACAAATTTAAAGATTTCCCCACAAAGACCAGGAACAACACAAGGATGCCTGCTTTTACCACCTCTTGTCGACATTGCACTTTAATGTTTTATTGATTGATTGATCTATTTTTTATTGATATATGAATGGATTTTTTTTCTTTTTTTATTATACTTTAACTTCTACAATACATTTGCACGACGTTGCACGACGTGCAGGTTTGTAACATAGGTATACATGTGCTATGTTGGTTTGCTGCACCCATCAACTCGACATTTACATTAGGTATTTGTCCTAATGCTCTCCCTCCCCGCCCCCACTACCCCCAACAGGCCCCAATATGTGAAGTTCCCTGCCCTGTGTCCATGTGTTTTCATTGTTCAATTCCCACCTATGAGTGAAACATGTGGTGGTTGGTTTTCTGACCTTGTGATAGTTTGCTAAGAATGACGGTTTCCAGCTGCATCCATGTCCTTGCAAAGGACATGAACTCATCCTTTTTTATGGCTGCATAGTATTCCGTGGTGTAGATGTGCCACATTCTCTTAATCCAGTCTATCATTAATGGACATTTGGGTGGCTCCAAGTCTTTGCTATTGTGAATAGTGGCACAATAAACATATGTGTGTATGTGTCTTTATAGTAGCATGATTTATAATCCTTTGGGTATATACCCAGTGAAGGGATTGCTGGGTCAAATGGTATTTCTGGTTCTAGATCCTTGAGGAATAGCCACACAGTGTGTGGCTATTAAGCAGAATGGTTGAACTAATTTACACTCCCACCAACAGTGTAAAAGCATTCCTATTTCTCCACACCCTCTCCAGCATCTGTCGTTTCCTCACTTTTTAATGATCACCGTTCGAACTGGCGTGAGATGGTATCTCATTGTGGTTTTGATTTGCATTTCTCTGATGACCAGTGATGATGAGCATTTTTTCATGTGTCTGTTGGCTGCATAAATGTCTTCTTTTGAGAAGTGTCTGTTCATATCCTTTGCCCACTTTTTGATGGGGTTGTTTGTTTTTTTCTTGTAAATTTGTTTAAGTTCTTTGTAGATTCTGAATACTAGCCCTTTGTCAAATGGGCAGATTGCAAAAGTTTTCTCCCAATCTGTAGATTGCCTGTTCAGTCTGATGATAGTTGCTGACCAGGCTGCAGCATCACAGGTTGATCTTGGACTGCTTCGCTAGCAGTGACCAAGGCTCTGTGGGCGTGCGACCTGCCGAGCCAGGAACGGGAGAGAATCTCCTGGTCTGCCAGTTGCTAAGACCGTGGGAAAAGCACAGTATTTGGATGGAAGTGTACCGTTCCTCCAGGTGCAGTCTGTCACGGCTTCCCTTGCCTAGGAAAGGGAAATCCCCTGAACCCTTGCACTTCCTGGGAAAGGCGACACCCTGCCCTGCTTCAGCTCACCTCTGTGGGCTGCACCCACTGTCCAACCAGTCCCAGTGAGATGAACCAGGTACCTCAGTTGGAAATGCAGAAATCACCTGTCTTCTGTGTTGATCTCGCTGGGAGCTACAGACCGGAGCTGCTCCTATTTGGCCATCTTGGAAGTGACTCATCTATTTTTATTTATTTATTTTTGGAGACCGCTTCTCTCTCTGTCACCCAAGCTAGAATGCAGTGGCACGATCTCGGCTCACTGTGGCCTCTGCCTCCTGGGTTCAAGCAATTCTCCTGCCTCAGCCTCCCAAGTAGCTGGGACTACAGGTGTCGGCCACCATGCCCAGGTAATTTTTGTATTTTTAGTAGACACAGGGTTTCACCATTTTGGCCAGGCTGGTCTCGAACTCCTCACCTCAGGTGATCTGTCCACCTCAGCTTCCCAAAGTGCTGAAATTACAGGCGTGAGCCACTGTGCCTGGCTGAACATTGCCCTTTAATGTTTTAAAATGTAGGTTTTATTATTATCTACCTATGCTGAGGCCAACAAATTAGGAGACAACTGTCATTGAAAAGGTAGTTTGCAGCTGGGCGTGGTTGCTCATGCCTGTAATCCCAGCACCTTGGGAGGCCGAGGTGGGTGGATCACTTGAGGTCATGAGTTCTAGACCAGCCTGGCCAACATGGTGAAAGCCTGTCTCTAGTAAAAAATACAAAAATTAGCTGGGCGTGGTGAGGGCACCTGTAGTTCCAGGTACTTGGGAGGCTGAGGCAGGAGAATCACTTGAACCCAGGAGGTAGAGGTTGCTGTGAGCCAAGAGCATGCCACTGCACTCCAGCCTGGGTGACAGAGCAAGACTCCATCTCAAAAAAAAAAAAAAAAAAAAGAAGATCAACGCACAAACATCAGCCACATTTCCATAAACTAGCAATAAACAATCAGAAAGTAAAATTAAGAAAACAATTTCACTTCCAATAGAATAAAAATAAATAAATTTAACCAAGTAGGAGTAACACTAGTGCCCTGAAAACTACAAAACGTGGCTGAAAGCAAATACGAAGACCTAAATAAATAGAAAGACGACGTCACATGTTGATATGGTTTGGCTCTTTGTCCCCACCCAAATCTCATCTTGAATTGTACTCCCATGATTCCCACGTGTTGTGGAAGGGACCCAGGGGGAGATAATTGAATCATGGGGGCAGTTTTTCCCGTACTGTTCTTGTGGTAGTGAATAAGTCTGACAAGATCTGATGGTTTTATAAGGAGAAACCCGTTTCACTTGGCTCTCATTCTCTCGCTTGCCACCGCCATGTAGAAAATGCCTTTCGCCTTCCACCATGATTGTGAGGCCTCCCTAGCCACATGGAACTGTAAGACCATTAAACCGATTTCTTTTGTAAACTCCCCAGCCTTGGGTATGTCTTTATCAGCAGCATGAAAACAGACTAATACACGTGTTTATGAATTAGAAGACTTAATATTGTTAAGATGATAATACTATCCCAAAGTGATCTATGGACTTGATATAATCCCTATGAAAATCCCAACGTCCTTGTTTGCAGACCTGGAAAATTCAAACCTAATATTCACATGGTATTGCACCCAAGAGCCAATCTTGAAAAATGAGCAGAGTTGGAAGACTCACACTTGGTGATTTCAGAATTTACTACAAAGCCACAATAATCAAAAGGTGTGATACTGGTATGAGGATAGGCATATAGATTAGTGGAATAGAATTGAAAGTCTGGAAATGACCCATACATCTATAGTCAATTGATTTTTTCTTTTGAGACAGCATTTTCTCTGTTGCCCTGGCTGGAGTGCAGTGGCGCAATCACAGTTCATTGTAACCACTACCTCCTGGGCTCAAGCAATCCTCCCACCTCAGCCTCCCACATAGCTAGTAGCTGGGAGTATAGGCACGTGCCACCACACCTGGCTAATGTTTTTTGTTTTTAGTACAAATGAAGTCTCGCCATATTGCTGAGGCTGGTCTCAAACTCCTGGGCTCAAGCAATCCTCTCACCTTGACCTCCCAAAGTGCTGGGATTACAGTCGTGACCCACTGCACCCAGTGTGGTCAGTTGGCTTTTTGTTGTTGTTTGTTCGTTTGTTTGTTTTCGAGATGGAGTCTTGCTCTGTCACCCAGGCTGGAGTGCAGTGTCGAATTCTTGACTCACTGTAACCTCCACTTCCTGGATTCAAGCAATTCTCCTGCTTCAGCCTCTCGAGTAGCTGGGACTACAGGCACCCACCACCACGCCTGGCTAAGTTTTGTATTTTTAGTACAGACGGGCTTTCACCCTGTTGGCCAGTCTGATCTTGAACTCCTGACCTCAGGTGATCCACCCACCTTGGCCTCTCAAAGTGCTGGGATTACAGGTGTGAGCCACCATGCCCAGCCAGTGAATCGGCTTTTGACAAGCGTGCCACGGCCATTCAATAGGCGAAAGAACAGTTTCCCTCTCTCTCTTTTTTTAAAAATTTCAATAGATTTTGGGGTACAAGTGGGTTTTGGTTACATAGATGAATTATATAGTGGTAAATTTTGAGATTTTAATGCACCCATCATCACCCAAGTAGTTACACATGTACCCAACATGTAGTCTTCATCCATACCCTCCTCTCATCCTCCCCCTTCTGAGACTCCAAAGTCCTTTATATCACTCTGTATGCCTTTGGGTACTCATAGCTTAGCTCCTACTTATAAGTGAGGACATACAATATTTGGTTTTCCATTCCTGAGTTACTTCACTTAGATTAATGGCCTCCAGCTCCATCCAAATTGCTGAAAAAGGCATATATTTTTTTTCTTTTTTTTGAGATGGAGTCTTGTTCTGTCATCCAGGCTGGAGTGCAGTGGCATAATCTCGGCACACGCAACCTCCACCTCCCGGGTTCAAGCAATTCTCCTGTCTCGGCCTCCCAAGTAGCTGGAACTACAGGTGCACACCACCATGCCTGGCTAATTTTTACACTTTTAGTAGAGACAGGGTCTCGCCATGTTGGCCAGGCTGGTCTTGAACTCCTGACTTCTGGTGATCCACCCACCTTGGCCTCCCAAAGTGCTAGGATTACAGGCATGAGCCACCGTGCCCAGCCTAAAAGACATAATTTAATAGAACAGTCTCTTCAACAAATGACCCTGGGACCATGAGATATCCACATGCAAAAGAATGAAATTGGACTTTGAACTCACGCCATAATATTAACATCTAAATTATAAAAGTTAAAACTATAAAATACTTAAAAGAGAGCCCAGAGGGAAATCTTCATTATCTTTGGCTTGGCAATGGTTTCTTAAATATGACACCAAAAACACAAGTGACAACAGCAAAGGTTGAGAAACTAGACTTCATCAAAATTAAAACCTTTTATGCATCAAAGAACAGTATCGAAGGACAGAAAAGGCAGTTCACAGAATGAGAGAAAATATTTGCAAATCACATATTTGATAAGGCTCTACTGTCTGGAATATGTAAAGAACTTTACAACTCAACAACAAAAAAAGCAAAGCACCCAGTTTTTAAAAATGGGCCCCGGATTTGAAGACATTTCTCCAAAGAAGATCTACAAATGGCCAACAAGCACGTGAACAGATGCTCAACATCATTCGTTATTAGGGAAATGCAAATAAAAACCACAAAGAGATGCCACTTCACACACAATAGAATGGTTATAATTTTTAAAAATGGAAAATTACAGCCAGGCGCCATGGCTCACGAGGTCAGGAGTTCAAGACAAGCCTGGCCAAGATGGTGAAACCCCATCTCTACTACAAATACAAAAAAATCATCCAGGCACAGTGGCAGGCCCCTGTAATCCCAGCTACTCAGGAGGCTGAGGCAGGAGAATCGCTTGAACCCAGGGGGCAGAGGTTGCAATGAGCCGAGATCACGCCCCTGCACTCCAGCCTGGGCGACAGAGTGAGACTCTGTGTCAAAAAAAAAAAAAAAAAAAAAAAAGGAAAATTACAAGCCTGATGGGGATATGGAGAAACTGGAAGCCTTGTACATTGCTGCTAGGAATGTAAAATGGTACAGCCTCTATGGAAAACAGTTTGGCAGTTCCTCAAAAAGTTGAACATAGAATTACAATATGACCCAGCAATTTAATGCCTGGGTGTATACTAGTATACAGGTGTTCAAACATTAACTGGCACACAAATGCTCATAGCAGCACTATTCGTAACGGTCCATAAAGTGGAAACAAATCAAATGCCCATCAATTAACGACTGGATAAATAATATTTAGTTTATCTATGCAGTGGAATATCATTCAGACATGAAAAGGAAGAAAATACTGATGCATGCTACAACTGGCATGAACCTTGAAAACATCATGCTACAAAAAAGAACCCCAGTCAGGCGCAGTGGCTCATACCGGTAATCCTAGCACTTTGGGAGGCCGAGTTGGGCAGATTGCTTGAGCTCAGGAGTTCCAGACCAGCCCAGGCACCATGGCAACAGCACGTTTCTACAAAAAAATACAAAAATTAGCCAGGGGTGCTGGTGCACACCTGTAGTCCCAGCTACTTGGGAGGCTGAGGTGGCAGGATCTCTTCAACCTGGGAGGTCAAGGCTGTAGTGAGCCATGATATGAAAGAAAAGAGGAAAGAAAAAGAAAAAGAAAGGAAGAAAGAAAGAAAGTGGAAAGAAAGAAAGAAAAAGGAAGAAAGAAAGAAAGAAAGAAAGAAAGAAAGAAAGAAAGAAAGAAAGAAAGGGAGAGGAAGGAAACAGACACAGACACAAAAGACCACATATTTTATGAATATATTTATATGGGATGAAACACACGGAATAAGCAAAGCCGGAGAGACAGGAAGTAGATTGTGGTTCTCAGGGCCTAGGAGGAGGGGCGGAATGGAGAATGTTTGCTTAATGGTTATGGTTTTTTGTTTTTTGTTTTGCTTTTTGTTTTTTTCTTTTGTTTTGCTGTGGTAAAAATGTTCTAGATAGTGATGATAGCTGTGGAACATTGTGAATGTGACAAAAAACAGTGAACTATTCACTTTAAATGGTGATTTTTTTTTTTTTTTTGAGACAGGGTATCACTCTGTCACCCACGCTGAAGTACAGTGGAGTGATCATAGCGCACTTCAGGCTCCTGGGCCCAAGTGATCCTCCTGCCTCAGCCTCCCTAGTGGCTGGAACTACAGGCACACACCACCATGCCTGGCCCCAAAGGGTGATTTTAAAAATGTTTTGTGAATCTTACCTCAAAAAAAGAAAGAAGGCCGGGCGCGGTGGCTCACACCTGTAATCCCAACACTTTCGGAGGCCGAGGTAGGCGGATCGCCTAAGGTCGGGGGTTCAAGACCAGCCTGGCCAAAATGGTAAAACCCCATCTCTACTAAAAAATACAAAAATCAGCCAGGCGTGGTGATGGGTGCCTGTAATCCCAGCTACTTAGGAGGCTGAGGCGGGGAGAATTGCTTGAACCCAGAGGCGGAGGTTGCAGTGAGCCAAGATCGTGCCACTGCACTCCAGCCTGAACGACAAAGCTGGACCATGTCTCAAAAAAAAGAAAAAAAAAAAGAAGGAAGGAAAGAAAAAAAGAGAGAGAGAGAGAGAAAGAAAGAAAGAAGGAAGGAAGGAAGGAAGGAAGGAAGGAAAGAAAGAAAGAAAGAAAGAAAGAAAGAAAGAAAGAAAGAAAGAAAGAAAGAAAGAAAGAAAAAGAAAAAAGAAAGAAAAGAAAGGAAATGTAACTCAAATCAGGCCAATGAGATACGAGGAGAGTTTTGTTAAATGTTTCCGAGGAAGTTCTTCCTGGCGCTCTGGCAGAGATCCTGGAAGTCGTTCTATTTTCTCCTCTGAACATTGTAATCCTTGAATATAAGGCCTCAAACAGTGGTGATCATCCCACCAACCCTTAAAAAAATGGTGCCTGTCTGTGGTCCTCACGAAATGAGCACTTGCCCAAAATTGTGCCCTGTGCTATGGAAGTGCCGAGTAGATGATTGGGGGCTGACATTCAGCCCGTATGTGTGGTTGTATCTTCCCGAAAAAGGAGATTTTGTTTGTTTGTTTTTAAGGAAATTGTCTGCTGCCCAGAGGAATCTCTCTCTCTCTCTCATCCATCTGTCCGTTCATCCGTCCATGGCCCATCCATCTGACCATCTATCCTTCCACCCATCACCCATCCACTTGTCAATCTATTCATTCATTCATTCATTCAGTTGTCCATCCATTCATCCACCACCCATCCATCCATTCATCCACCTGTCCATCCATCCATCCTTCCATCACCCATTCAACTCATCCATCTATCAATTCATTCATCTGTCCGTCCATCCATCCACCCATCCATCTCTTTATTCCTCATTCATTCAATACTAGAATATTCAAAGTCCCATGTCAGGTTTTTTGTTTTTTGTTTTTTAAGACAGGTTGGCTCTGTTGCCCAGGCTGGGGTGCAGTGGTCCCATCTTGGCTCACTACAACCTCTGCCTTCTGGGCTCCACCTCAGCCTCTCGAGTAGCTGTGACTACAGGCATGCACAATCATGCCCAGCTAATTTTTGTATTTTTTGTAGAGACGAGGTCTTGTTATGTTGCCCAGGCTGATCTCAAACTCCTGGGCTCAAGAGACCTACCCACCTTGGTCTCCCAAAGTGCTGGGACTACAGGCGTGAGCCACCACATCAACTGGAATACCTTTTTCTAATTTGGTTAAGATGACCATATATTACAAGTGGCCAGCCTGGGGTAAGCCATGAGAATATAAAGAAAGATAGCCACAGTCACAGGCATAAGTCAACCCTTAAACCTGCCAAACTGACCAGGCATGGTGGCCAACGCCTGTAATCCCAGAACTTTAGGAGGCCAGGTGCTGGATCACTTGAGGCCAGGAGTTCAAGACCAGCCTGGGCAACATGGTGAAACCTGGTCTCTACTAAAAATACAAAACTTAGCCAGGCAGGTAGTCCCAGCTACTCAGGAGGCTGAGATGGGAGGGTGTCTTGAACCCACAGGTGGAGGTTGCAGTGACCCAAGAGATCACGCCACTGCACTCCAGCCTGGGCAACAGAGCTAGACCTTGTCTCAATAAATAAATAAACCTGTCAAACATCTAGACTTCTGGTTATGTTTAAGATTAATCTTTTTTTTGGCCAGGCGTGGTGACTCATGCCTGTAGTCCCAGCGCTTTGGGAGGCCAAGGTGGGTGGATCACTTCAGGTCAGGAGTTCGAGACCAGCCTGGCCAACATAGTGAAACCCCCTCTGTAAAAAAATACAAAAATTAGCCAGGCGTGGTGGCGCGCGCCTATAGTCCTAGCTACTCAGGAGGCTGAGAATCGCTTGAACCCAGGAGGCAAAAGATGCAGTGAGCCAAGATCGTGCTACTGCACTCCAGCCTGTGCAACAGAGAGTGACTTCATCTTAAAAAAAGAAAAAGAAAAAGAAAAAAAATAGGATAGGCACGGTGGCTCACGCCTGTAATCCCAGCACTTTGGGAGGCCAAGGCGGGCAGATCACAAGATCAGAAGTTCGAGACCAGCCTGGCCAACATGATGAAACCCTGTCTCTACTAAAAATACAAAAATTAGCTAGGTGTGGTGGCACATGCCTCTAGTCCCAGCTACTCAGGAGCCTGAAGCAGGAGAATCGCTTGAACCCGGGAGGCGGAGGTGGCAGTGAGCCAAGACCATGCCATTGCACTCCAGCCTGGGTCACAGAGTGAGACTCCGCCTCAAAAAAAAAAAGAAACAGAAAAAGAAAAGAAATTGATATTTTAAAACCAGTAAGAGAGTTTGATTTGCAACCAAAAAAAAAAAAAAGTTTAACCAATAGGAGGTTATTTTGTTTTAAGAGCAGAAAAAATAGGATGAAAGTAAATCAGATAGGTAGCTACCTATTTGACACATTCCTCCAGCTTACCCTGAATAAACCTGCCCAAGTATGTCCACTATCCATCCATCCCCTGAAAGGGACTGAGGAAGATCTATTATCTAGACAAATTCTTCTGGGACATAATATTTGGACATTTTAAACTTCCCCATAATCTGTCACGCATTTTCTGTTTGATTCATCATTGATCGACAAGCCAATTACTGTTCTTACCTACCATTTTATATTCAGGGACATTTAGTTCTTTTTTTCTTTTTTTGTTTTTTTTTTTTGTTTGTTTGTTTTTTTTGGCGAGACGAAGTGTCAATCTGTCACCCAGGCTGGAGTGCAGTGGCGCGATCTCGGCTCACTGCAACCTCCACCTCCCAAGTTCTCATAAATGTTTTCTAGAGTTTTTTGGAACCCCAAATTTAATATGACATTCAGACCAAGATGCAATAAACAAACATTTATTGATCACAAAAAAAAGAGAGAAGGCTAGATGCAGTGGCTCACACCTGTAATCCCAGCACTTTGGGAGGCCGAGGTAGGTGGATCACTTGATCTGCCAGAAGTTTGGGGCCAGAAGTTTGGGACCAGCCTGGGCAACATGGCAAAAACCAGTCTCTACTAAAAATACAAAAAGTTAGCTTGGAGTGGTGGTGTGTGCCTGTAATCCCAGCTACTCAGGA
This sequence comes from Homo sapiens, assembly GCF_000001405.40. Taxonomy (NCBI): domain Eukaryota; kingdom Metazoa; phylum Chordata; class Mammalia; order Primates; family Hominidae; genus Homo; species Homo sapiens. Next base: position 15,909,102 of record NC_000016.10, on the reverse strand, counting down.
GGCTGAGGCTGGAGGATCACTTGAGCCTTGGAGGTGGAGGTTGCAGTGAGCCAAGATTGCGCCACTGCGCTCCAGCCTGGGTGACAGATCGAGACTCTGTCTCAAAAAAAATAAGAAATGAAAGAGAGAGAGAAGGAAGAGAGGCCAGATGAAGTGCTGGAGGCTTCTGAAGTGGTACGTAAGAACCAGGAATGGAGAATGTGTAGTTAGGGACAGGAAGAGAAAAATCCTAACCATAGTGTCTTTATTTATTTATTTGTTTGTTTGTTTGTTTTTTGAGATGGAGTCTCACTCTGTTGCCCAGGCTGGAGTGCAGTGGCACAATCATGGCTCACTGCAACCTCTGCCTCCCAGGTTCAAGCCATCCTCCTGCCTCAGACCCTCTAGTTGCTGGGATTACAGGCACGTGCCACCATGCCCGGCTATTTTCTGTATTTTTAGTAGAGATGGAGTTTCGCCATTTTGGCCAAGGTGGTCTCAAACTCCTGACCTCGGGTGATCCACCCGCCTCGGCCTCCCAAAGTGCTGGGATTACAGGCATGAGCCACTGCGCCCACCGATGGTGCCTTTAAACAGTACTCTTGATTCCAGGTGACAGAAATTCAAATTAGCCTAAACCATCATGTATTGGCCCATGAATCTAAAATGTCCAGTGGCAGAGCTGGCTTTGGTCATAGTCCAGGAGCTCAATGGTCTGTGTCACTTCGTTCTACTTTCTCTTTGTTGGTGTCATTTCAACAGGTTATTCTCTGGCAGAGGCAAAGGTGACACCCAACCACTCCTGCCTCTATCCTACCTAGCAACCCCAAGGCAATACACTCTGTCTTGTCCAATAGCTGCAGCAGATGTCTTGGGTTTGAGCCTCATTGGCCCTTCTGAGTGTCACATGACCACACCCGAACCAATCAGTGAGACTGGCGAGGCTGGGTGAACTGTCTTGAATGGCTAGACCTGGGTCTTAACACCCACCCCTGCAGCCAGCCCCACTGAGAGGGCTGAGGGCGGGTGAGTCAATGGTTCCCCAAAGGGAATTTAGGGTACTGTTTCTGAAAAAATGGACAATGAAGGCTGAGTGGAAACAGCAGTCATGGAAAGCACACAACAGACAAGTGCCTTTCTCTCTGCCTCTGCCACTCAAGGCCGCCTTAAGTTCCTCCAGTGTGCTAATTGTTCCCCCGGGTCTTTTGAACACGTTGTTCTGTGTTTTTTGAATGCTCTTCCATACCTGTGCCTAAGTAACACCTGCTTATCCTTCAGCTGTCAGCCCCAACATCATCTTCTCAGGGAAGCTGTAGCACTTGTATTTTCCAAAAGTGGCCACAATTATTCATTCATGAGTAGATGCTCAATAATATCTTTTGAATGAACGCATGCATGAATAAAAGGTTAAAATGTAAACAAAGTGATCTTACACTCTTATTGAGAAGGGTGGCCTGTGTTCCCTTCCGTTGAATCCAGATGAGCTTGAGGCTACTGTGGAACTGACATGGTGTGACTTTTTTTTTTTTTTTTTTTTTTTTGAGATGGATTTTCACTCTTGTCACCCAGGCTGGAATGCAATGACGCAATCTCGGCTCACTGCAACCTCCACTTCCCGGGTTCAAGCGATTTTCCTGCCTCAGCCTCCCAAGTAGCTGGGATTACAGGCGCATGCCACTACACCCAGCTAATTTTTGTATTTTTAGTAGAGACGGGGTTTCACCATGTTGGCCAGGCTGGTCTCTAACTCCAGACCTCAGGTGATCCATCCGCCTCAGCCTCCCAAGGTGCTGTGATTATAGGTTTGAGCCACTGCACCTGGCCAATAATATCTTTTGAATGAATGAATGCATTAATGAAAAGTTAAAACGCAAACAAGGTGACTTTGACACTCCTGTTGTGAAGGGTGGTCTGTGTTCCCTTCCCTTGAATCCAGACGAGCTTGAGGCTACTGTGGAAGTGACATGGTGTGACTTCTGAAACTGGTCATAAAAGGTGAAAAGCTGGCCGGACATCGTGGCTCACATCTGTAATCTCAGCACTTTGGAAGGATGAGGCAGGAGGATCATTTGAGACTAGGAGTTCAAGACCATGGAGGAGTGGAGTGGACTGGGCTGTGACCTGCCAAGGGCAACAAGCAAGACCCTGTCTCTCTCTCTCTCTCTTTTTTTTTTTTAATAAATATGCCAGCCTGGCCAACATGGCAAACCTAGCCTCTACTAAAAATACAATAATTAGCTGGGCGTGGTGGCGCTCACTTGTAGTCCCAGCTACTTAGGAGGCTGAGGCACAAGAATCACTTGAACCCAGGAAGTGGAGGTGGCAGTGAGCCAAGATCATGCCACTGCACACCAGCCTGGGTGACAGTGAGACTTTGTCTCAATTGAAAAAAAAAAAAAAGATATGAAAAGCTCCCACTTGGCTCTGTTAGGATGCTCCATCTTGGAACCCAACCACCATGCCATAAGGAAGCTCAAGCAGCCCGTGGAGGGGGCCCCCATAGAGAAGAAATGGGATCCCTGCCCACAGCCCTGGCTGAGTTCCCACCTGACAGCAAATACCAAATTGCCAGCCATGTGACTGAGCCATCCACAAAGTGGGTCTTCCAGAATCTTGATAACATTGTACTCAGTGACAGAAGCCAGACACAATAGGCCACGTAGTGTATATTCCATTTGAAGTGTCTAGAACAGACAGATCTATAAAGACAGAAGATAGATGAGTGTTTCCAGGGACTAGGGGAAGAGGGAATAGAAGAGACTGCTAATGGTATATATTCTGTTGTTGTTGTTCTTGTCATTGTTGTTTAGAAACAGGGTCTCATTCTGTCACCCAGGCTGGAGTGCAATGGTGCGATCATAGCTCACTGCAGCCTGGAACTCTTGGGCTCAATTGATCCCCCTGTCTCAGCCTCCCGAGTAGCTGGGACCACAGGTGTGCGCCACCACATCCAGATAAGTATAGGATTTCTTTTTAGGGAAAAGGAAATATCGTGGAATTAGATAGCAATAGTTGTACAATCCTGTGAATATACTAAAAAGCATTGAATTGTATGGTTTCACATGGTGAAATTTATGGCATGTAAATTATATCTCAGAGACAACCAAAAAAAAGTGGGTCCTCCAGCCCCTGTCAAGCTGCCCCATGTTGAGCATGGCATGTGGAACACAGACTTGCTGTCCAGGCCACATCCTGCCCAAATTGCAGATTTGGGGGTGAAATCAATGATTGTTGTTGTTTTAAGCCACTAAGTTTTAGGACAGTGTGTTGCATAGAAACTCGTGCTGTCCAACCTGGCTAACTTTGTGAAACCTCATCTCTACTAAAAACACAAAAATTAGCCAGGTGTGGTGGCACACGCCTGTAATCCCAGCTGCTTGGGAGGCCGAGGCATGAGAATCGCTTGAACCTGGGAGGCAGAAGTTGCAGTGAGCCGAGATGGTTCCACTGCACTCCACTAAAAATACAAAAATTAGCCAGGTGTGTTGGCACAAGCCTGTAACCCCAGCTACTTGGGAGGCTGAGGCATGAGAATTGCTTGAACCTGGGAGGTGGAAGTTGCAGTGAGATGAGACGGTGCCACTGCACTCCAACCTGGGCAACAGAGCAAGACGCCATCTCAAAAAAAAAAAAGAAAAAGAAAAAAAGAAAAGAAAAGAAAAAAGAAAAAGAAAGAAAGAAACACATGCTGATATGGAAGCCTTCCATAACCACCAACCTAGGCTAGGTTATGGCCCCTGACTGTCTCAGAATCTCTGCATTTTTCATTATAGTATTTATCTGAGTTTGTAATTAAATATTTGATGAATTGCTGCCCTTTCTCTTGGCCAGTGAGCTCTATGTGAGTAGAGACCGTGTTTACTTTTTTGAGACAAAGTCTTGCTCTGTTGCACAGGCTAGAGTGCAGTGGTGTGATCTCAGCTCACTGCAACCTCCACTTCCTGGGTTCAAGCGATTCTCCTGCCTCAGCCTCCCAAGTTGCTAGGATTACAGGCATGTGCCACCACCATGCCCAGATAATTTTTGTATTGTTACTAGAGACGGGTTTTGTCATGTTGGCCAGGCTGGTCTCGAACTCCTGACCTCAAGCGATCCACCCACCTTTACCTCCGAAAGTGCTGAGATTACAGGCATGAGCCACCTCACCCAGCCAGGATCCTGTTTATTATATTTACTCTAGTATCCTTAGTGCCTGGTACATAGTAGATGCTCAATAATATCTTTCGAATGAATGAATTCATGAATGAAAGGTTAAAATGCAAAGAGATTTAGGGTCCAAGTGGAGGGTTCCTAGGGTCTTCCTAGTTGAGTAGGAGACAGAGTGACCAAAGAGCAGGTGGAAGATGGAGGTGAGGTAGAGGATTTGCGGAGAATGGAGAACATCTGGGAAGGGGAGAGGAAGGATGAGGAATTTGACAAGAGAAAACTGGAGCATAAATATGTTCTTACACACCTAATCCAGGCCATCTGGTGTCGAGGCGACAAGAATGGAGACCATGGAGGAGTGGAGTGGACTGGGCTGTGACCTGCCAAGGGGGGAATGGTGAGGAAATAGCCACTTTTGTGTGTGTGTGTGTGTGTGACAGGGTCTAGCTTTGTCCACCAGGCTGGAGTGTAGTGGCATGATCTGGGCTCACAGCAACCTTAGTCTCCCGGGCTCAAGTGATCCTCCCACCTCAGCCTCCCAAGTAGCTGGAACTGCAGGTGGGTATCACCATGGTCAGCTAATTTTTGTAATTTTTGTACAGATGGGGTTTCGCCATGTTGCCCAGGGTGGTCTTGAACTCCTGAGCTCAGGTGATCTGCCCGCCTCAGCCTCCCAGAGTGCTCAGATTACAGGCATGAGCCACTACGCCCAGCCCACTTATCGAGTGCCTATTATGTCCTAGGCACTGTGCTAAGTTGTTGCATGCATTAGTTCATTTTATTTATTTATTTATTATTTAATTAATTTTATTTTTTAAAAATTTTATTTATTTATTTAATTTAACTAAGTGCTCTTCATGCATTAGTTCATTTTATTTATTTATTTACTTATTTATTTATTTAATTTTTTTGAGACAGAGTTTCACTCCTGTTTCCCAGGCTGGAGTGCAATGGCGCCATCTTGGCTCACTTCAACCTCCGCCTCCCAGGTTCAAGTGATTCTCCTGCCTCAGCCTCCCAAGTAGCTGGGATTACAGGCACCCGCCACCACACCTGGCTAATTTTTGTATTTTTAGTAGAGATTTAGTAGAGTAAAGTGCTGGGATTACAGGCGTGAGCCACCGCGCCAGGCCCATCTTATTATGATATTATTATTATTATTATTATTATTATTATTATTATTATTATTAGTTTTTGAGATGGAGTCTAGCTCTGTCACTCAGGCTGGAGTGCAGTGGCACAATCTCAGCTCACTGCAACCTCCACCTCCTGGGTTCAAGCGATTCTCTTGCCCCAGACTCCCGAGTAGCTGGGACTACAGGTGCAAGCCACCACACCTGGCTAATTTTTGTATTTTTAGTAGAGACGGGCTTTCGCCATGTTGGCCAGGCTGATCTCGAACTCCTGACCTCAGGTAATCCACCCGCCTCGGCCTCCGAAAGTACTGGGATTACAGATGTGAGCCACCGCACCTGGCCCATTAGCTCATTTTAGCCACGATAATATCCCAGGAGTTAGGTACTATTATGGCCTCCTTTTAATAGCTGTAGAAATGGAGGCCCAAGAACGTGTGTGGTGGCTCACACCTGTAATCCCAGCACTTTGGGAGGCCAAAATGGGCGTAATACTTGAGGTCAGAAGTTTGAGACCAGCCTGGCCAACATGGCAAAACCCCATCTCTACAAAAATACAAACATTAGCTGGCATGGTGGTGCATGCCTGTAATCCCAGCTCGTCAGGGGGGCCAAGGCAGGAGAATTGCTTGAAGCCAGGAGGCAGAGGTTGTAGCAAGCCAAGATTGCGCCACTGCACTCCAGCCTGCACAACAGACGGAGACTCCAACAAAGAAAGAGAGAGAGAGAGAGAGAGAGAGAGAGAGAGAAGGGGAGGGGAGGGGAGGGGAGGAGAGGGGAAAGGGAAAGAAAGAATGAAAGAAATGGAAGCTCAGAGAGGTGCTTTTTTTTTTTTTTTTTTTTTTGCCCAAGGCCACACAGGTACCCAGGATTCACCATCCAGTTCAGTGTAACAACAGAGCTTGCGCAGATAACCAGGATGCTGCAGTGGGGCTCTAGGTGGAAAATCAAAGCTTCAAGGAGATCAGGGACATGTGTGTAAGAATCTTCTCGCAAACCAGGGCAGCAGGGAGGGTCCAGTCATGGAACCAGGTGCCACCTCACCTGGCTGAGTTCAAGATTGGCTCTAACCCAAATCACCTGCAAGACCTTGAGCAACATACTTAACCCTTCTCTGCTTCAATTTTATTTTTGTTACATTGATCGAAAGTCAGAAAGGAAAGGAAGTCCTCATTGGTACAGAGGTTAGGAAAATTGGAAGAGATTTTGGAGAGGGTATCAGGTTTATCCTACATTCTTTATCAGCATGAAAAAGTCCTCCTTTGGGCTTTTTGTTTGTTTTGATTTTTGTTTTTTGTTTTTGGGGTTTTTTTTGAGACAGAGTCTTGCTCTGTCGTCCAGACTGGAGTGCAGTGGTGTGATCTCGGCTCACTGCAGCCTCCGCCTCCCAGGTTCCAGCAATTCTCCTGCCTCAGCCTCCTGAGTAGCTCGGACTACAGGCGCCCACCACCATGCCCAGCTAATTTTTGTATTTTTAGTAGAGACAGGGTTTTGCCATGTTGGCCGTGCTGGTGTTGAACTCCTGACCTCAGGTGATCCACCCACCTCGGCCTCCCAAAGTGCTGGAATTACAGGGTTGAGCTAGCCAAAAAAGTCTTCACTTGGTTAAGCACAGTGGCTCACACCTGTAATCTCAGAACTTTGGGAGGACAAGGTGGGAGGATCACTTGAGGCCAGGAGTTCAATACCACCTTGGGTAACATAACAAGAATTTGTCTCTACAAAATATTAAAAAATAAAAAAAAATTAGCCAGGTGTTGTAATGGTACGCACCTGTAGTCCCAGCCACTCAGGGAGGTTGAGGTGGGAGAATCGCTTGAGCCCAGGAATTCAAGGCTACAGTGAGCTATGATTGTACCACTGCACTCTAGCCTGGGCGACAGAGCAAGACCCTATCTAAAAAAAAAAAAAAAAAAAGGCCGGGCACAGTGGCTCACGCCTGTAATCCCAGCAATTTGAGAGGCTGAGGCGGGTGGATCACTTGAGGTCAGGAGTTTGAGACCAGCCTGGCCAACATAGTGAAACCCCATCTCTACTAAAAATACAAAAAATTAGCCGGGCGTGGTGGTGGGTGCCTGTAGTCCCAGCTACTCAGGAGGCTGAGGCAGGAGAATCACTTGTACCCGGAAGGTGGAGGTTGCAGTGAGCCAAGATCACGCCATTGCACTCCAGCGTAGGCAAGAAGAGCGAAACTGCATCTAAAAAAACCAAAACAAAACAAAACAAAAAACTCTTCACGCTAGGATCTGTGAGTTCACAGAACAATTACACATCATAGATTTGTCTAGTCCAGCCCAAGTATCAAATACTCTGTCTACTTACTGGACAGATGAAACTAAAGGACCTTGAACCGGGCATCAGACTGTTTTTGCGTCTGGCCAAGTCTCTTTCCAGCTGTTTGACCTTGGGCAGTTCCCTTTAACTCCCTAAGGCTTGCTTTCTTCATCTTAAAATCAGGATGACAGTAGCATCTACCTCTTGAGATCACGTGAGAAATAAATGCAATGACGCATGAATAATGTTTCATACTGTATCTAGTATAGGGTGAGTACTTCTTCAAAAATAACAGCCACACCTTTTCCTAGGATTGCATGCAATGCAATAATATTGCAAATAAAGGCGGTTGTTGTTTTCTTCCTTAATAAATCAGGAGAGAATTAGGATTCTTTTGGGATTCAGACTAATCTCTTTGAACCAGCAGTTTGGATTTGGTTGCCATAGTGTCCTGGGCCATGAATGGCTGATAGAGAGACATGTCATATTTTCAACAGTTGCCTTGACTTGTCTGATGAGATGCCGTTTCTATTAAGTAGCTGTCTCCAATTTGTAAAATTCCATCTGTGGCTTTCCCCAACCCTTATTTTCCAACAGCCTCTCACTCCAGATCCTAAGAAAAGGCATATCTACCTGGAAGAAAAGAACTAAATCTTGGTAAAAGACATTTACCTTTTCTGAACTCAACCTTTAGTTTTTGTTCAACTGAGTTCCCCTGACAAAATGCATTTCAGCAAGATTTACTTCCAGAATTTCTTTATCTCTAATGCTTTTAGTAAAGAAGGCATTGAATGAATTTATTGCTCATCCCTCTGAAAGTGACCTGAGAATGTCAATGTACCTGTAGGATTTATTTTACTTCCTCTAAAGGACTGACAGTAATATCCAGCACCTTCCCCCCACTAAAAACATTCCACTTTGAGGCCAGGTGCAGTGGCTCATGCCTGTAAGCCCAGCAATTTGGGATGCCAAGGCGGGAGGATCGCTTGAGCTCAGGAGTTTGAGACCAGTCTGGGCAACATAGTGAGACCCCATCTTGATTAAAGAAAAAAAGTTCACTTTGAAACCTCTGGGCAGAGTGCAGTGGTTCACACCTACAATCCCAACAATTTGGTAGGCTGAGGCAGGAGGATCGCTTGAGGTCAGGAGCTTGAGACCAGCCTGGACAACATAGTGAGACCTTGTCTCTACAAAAAAAAAAAAAAAAAAAAAAAATTTTAATGAAACTTCTCACGTGACAATTTTAATCATGAGAACTATGTACATGCCACAGTCTGGAACTTGGGATCTCAAATGGTCATGGATTCCGTGTTCTCAGTCCCCATACAGAAGGGAGGAGGGCTGGCCTTTGGACTCCCCCAAATCTGGGTTTGAATCCCAGCTCCACCACTTTAAGTCTGGTTGCTCTGGGCCAGTTATTTAATGTTCTCTAAACATCAGTTTCGTCTGTGAGATGAGCTACCTTGCAGGACTTCATTCGGTCCTTCTACAAATATTTGTTCTACCGGAGCAGAGCAGGATAACAAGGCATCTGTCCTGTAAAGCAGTCCATTGGGCACCCAATGTGAAACAGAGCCTCAGCCCCACATAGGCTGCAATGCCACAGTGTGGTCCAGGGTTAGGGAATTCTGGGGAGCTCTGAGGGTGCCTACATTCCTGCTGTGCTCCTGGCACACATTGAGGAGAACGCCCTCTGCTCTGAACTTACTGAGTGATGAGTCACCCTTGAGCACCTGAGGAAGTGGAGCAAGTAGACCACAGGCAGCCTGGACCTGCCCCTGGTTTCTAGGATTGAGTCACAGCCTCCCTGGAAGACTTGAAAGAGAGATCAATTCGATCAAGGCTCCAGGGCTGGATCAAAGCCTAGGAAGTGGGGGAAAGGGAGGAGGAAGTTGGGCTTCTCCACGGTCCCAGCAAAGGCCTCAGCCTACAAATATTCTACAGATATTTGAAGAAGGACTGAATGAAGTCCCGCGAGGTAGCTTATCTCACGGATGTAACTGACATTTAGAGAACGTTAAGTAACTGGTCCAGAGCAACCAGACTTGCAGTGGTGGAGCTGGGATTCGAACCCAGATTTGGGGGAGTCCAAAGGCCAGCCCTCCTCCCTTCTGTATGGGGACTGAGAACAAGGAATCCAAGATTATTTGAGATCCCAAGTTCCAGACTGTGGCATATACATAGTTCTCATGTTTAAAATTGTCATGGGGAAGCCGGGCGCTGTGGCTCATGGCTGTAATCCCAGCACTTTGGGAGGCAGAGATGAGCGGATCACTTGAAGTCAGGAGTTCAAGACCAGCCTGGCCAACATGGCGAGACCCCATCTCTACTAAAATATATAAAAATTAGCCAGGTGTGGTGGTGGGCACCTGTAATCTCAGCTACTTGAGAGGCTGAGATGAGAATCACTTGAACCTGGGAGGCGGAAGTGGCAGTGAGCTGAGATCGCACCATTGCACTCCAGCCTGGGTGACAGAGTGAGACTCCGTCTCAAAAAAAAAAATTGTCATGTGGGAAGTTTCATTTTTTAAAAAAATGTTTTCATAGAAACAAGGCCCTACTATGATGCTCAGGCTGGTCTCAACCTTGTGGCCTACAAAGGCCTCAGCTTACTCCCTCAGCAAGCTCTGCCAGTGAGGCGGTCCTACAGAATTGTCCCAAACTGGGGTGAGAGGGCTGGAACTTGATACCCCAGCATGGACCAGGCATCGGAAGCCGCCTCCCCTCGAGCCAGGGGTATGACCTCGGACCTGGGAGAAGGGCATTGGTGATGCACCTCTGTTGGAAGCTTCCTTTATCTCTATGCCCCTCCCTCTTCTCAGACCTTTCACCCCCCAAGATACATTTGAGAAGAAGAATCGAATTAGCCAGGAAAGCTTTAGGAAGAAATGACATTTAAACAGACCTGGAGACCAGGCACGGTGGCTCATGCCTGTAATCCCAGCACTTTGGGAGGCTGAGGCAAGTGGATCGCTTGAGCCCAGGAGTTTGAGACCAGCCTGGCCAACATGGTGAAACCGCATCTCTACTAAAAATACGAAAAATTAGCCAGGTGCAGTGGCGCACACCTGTAGTCCCAGCTACTCGGGAGGCTGAGGCAGGAGAATGGCGTGAACCTGGGAGGCGGGGCTTGCGGTGAGCCGAGATCGCACCACTGCACTCCAGCCTGGGCAACAGAACGAGACTCCGTCTCAACAACAACAACAACGACAACAAAAAGGTAGACTGAGACCTGGAGAATGAGCAGAAATTAACCAGAACAGGAGGAAGTTTCCAGGCTGGGGGATGGGCACATGCAAAGGCCCAGTAGAGAGGGGGTTGGGGGAGAGAAAAGAAGAGAGGAGGGCGAGGGAGAAGAAAGAGGAGGAGGGGGAGGAGATAGAAGGGGAGGAGGTTGAGGAGGAGGAGGAGGGCTGGGAGGAGGAAGGAGGAGGAGGAAGAAGATGAAAGAGGAGGAGGGGGATTGGGGAGCAGAAGAAGAGAAAGGAGGAGAAGGAAGAGAGAGAGTTTGGGGGAGAGAAGGAGGGCAGGGGGAGAACAGAGAAGTGTCTGCAGTGAAACTGAAACAACCGAAAACGGCTGAGCAACGTTGGGTGAGTGGAGCAGAACTGGGGTCAAGTTGCACTGACTCAGCCATTTACTCAGAAGCAACTTCAACCCTCCAAACCTCAGTTTCCATCTGTAAAACAGGCATGATCACATCTGTCTCTCAGCTGTCTTCAGGATGCCATGAAACGACACACACACAATAAGGGCACCATCAATGTGAGTTGCTCTTTTTTATTATTATTGGCTATAGCTGAAAAAAAAAATAATGGTTAATCTGTTAATAATATACCTGTGGCCTAGAAAAAGTATGAAAAAGAATTCAAGAGTGGACAAATGTTTTCTTCAAGTGCCGGGTAAAATATTTTAAGTGAGTTCTGTTGCAGCTTCTCAATTCCTCTGTTGCCGTGTAAAAGCGCCCATAGACAATGCATTAAGAAACAGGCAGGCGGCCAGATGCGGTGGCTCACGCCTGTAATTAATCCCAGCACTTTGGGAGGCTGAGGTGGGCAGAATGCTTGAATCTAGGAGTTCAAGACCAGTCTGAGCAACATGGCGAAACCCTATCTCTACAAAAAATACAAAAAATTAGCTGGGCATGGTGGCATGCACAAGTAGTCCCAGCTACTTGGGAGGATGAGATGGGAGGATTGCCTGAGCCAGGGGAGGTTGAAGCTGCAGTGACCCCTTATCATGCCACTGCACTCCAGCCTGGGTGAGAGTGAGAACCTCTCTCAAAAATAAAAAAAAAAAAAGTGGGGGGCATGGCTGTGTGCTAATAAGATTACAGGCTGGGCATAGTGCCTCATGCCTGTAATCCCAGCACTTTGGGAGGCTGAGGTGGGAGAATTTGTTTGAGACCAGGAGTTTAAGACTAGCCTGGGCAACATAGCGAGACTCTGCTTCTACAGAAAATAAAAGAAGTAGCCAGGTGTGATGACACACACCTGTAGTCCCAGCTACTCAGGAGGCTGAGGTGGGAGGATCCCTTAGACTGGGATGTTGAGGCTGCAGTGAGCTGTGACTGCACCACTGCAGCCCAACTTGGGTGACAGAGTTAACCCCTGTCTGGAAAAATAAAAAAAAAGAAAAACAAAAGATTTTACATTTCTACAAACATTTTATATTTCTATGGAAAAAAAAAAGAGAGAGAGAAAAAAATGTGCACCTCTCGCATGTCACACATGGATTACCACTCACTCCCACTATTTGTTGGTCCAGCCACATTTCCACAATTGTGTGGGTGCCTGAAGGGTCAAAAGGACTCCTATAGGCAGCCTATGGGGCATGGCGCTAGACGGGCCCTCAACAACGAGCAAGAGATACTCAAGACAGTGAAGAGGAGGGGCTATTGGGCTGTACTTGCCCACAGCTGGTTGTGCACAGTAATGCATGTACATAGTTAAAAGTTAAAATTAGGCTGGGCACGGTGGCTCACACCTGTAATCCCAGCACTTTGGGAGGCCGAGACAGGAGGATCACTTGAGGTCAGGAGTTCGAAACCAGCCTGGCCAACATGGTGAAACCCTGTCTCTACTAAAAATACAAAAATTAGCCAGGCATGATGGTGTGCACCTGTAATCCCAGCTGCTCGGGAGGCTGAGGCACTAGAATTGCTTGAACCTGGGAGGCGGAGGTTGCAGTGAGCCCAGATCGTGCCACTGCACTCCAGCCTGGGCAATAGAGCAAGACTCAGTCTCAAATAAATAAATTAATTAATAAATTAAAATAAGTCTATGGACAAAAGTAAGGCTGGGTGTGGTGTTTTATGCCTGCAACCCCAGGCCTTTGGGAGTTCGAGGCAGGAGGATTGCTTGAGCCCAAGAATTTGAGATCAGCTTGAGCAACATGGTGAGACCCCATCTCTACAAAAAATAAAAATAGCTGGGCGTGGCGGCACGTGCCTGTGGTCCCAGCTACTCGGGAGGCTGAAGGATCAGTTGAGCCTGGAGGTCGAGGCTGTAGTGAGCTATGATGGTGCTATTGCATTCCAGCCTGGGCAACAGAGACTGTCTCAAAAAGAAAAAAAAAAGTAAGTCTCCATCGAACACTGACCCTCAATCACCGAGTCCTCACCAGAGAACATTTTTTATTTTTTTGAAACACAGTTTCACTATGTTGCCCAGACTGGAGTGCAGTGGTGTGATCACGACTCACTGCAACCTGGACCTCCCAGGCTCTGCAGGTCTTCTCACCTTAGCCTCTGGAGTAGCTGGGACTACATGTTCACTCCTACACGCCTGTCTAATTTTTGTAATTTTTTTTTTTTTGTAGAGATGGGGTTTCACCATGTTGCCCAGGCCGGTCTCAAACTTCTAGATTCAAGCGTTCATCCCGCTTTGGCCTCATAAACTGTGGGGATTATAGGCATAAGCCACTGTGCCTGGCTACAAGTTCTTTTTTTTGTGTGTGTGAGGTGGACTTTAGCTCTTGTTGCCCAGGCTGGAGTGCAGTGAAACGATCTCGGCTCACTGCAACCTCTGCTGCCCGGGTTCAAGTGATTCTCCTGCCTCAGCCTCCTGGGTAGCTGGGATTACAGGCACCCTCCACCACACCTGGCTAATTTTCCTGGGTAGCTGGGATTATAGGCATGCTCCATCATGCCTGGCTAATTTTTATATTTTTAGTAGAGACGGGGTTTCACCATGTTGCTCAGGCTGATCTCAAACTCCTGACCTCAAATGATCCATGCGCCTTGGCCCCCCAAAGTGCTGGGATTACAGACGTGAGCCACCGCGCCCGGCCTACAAGTTTTTACTTCACTTGGGCAAACACTTAGTTTTGGGATTACTGGGCCAAGTGTACCTATGACTTAATAAGCAATTGCCAAACTGCTTTCCAAAGTGACTATACCACTTTGTCTTCCCACCAGTAGTACATGTGTGTTTGCCAACAGTATTGTCAGTAGTCTTTATTTTAGCCTTTCTGAAAGGTGTGCATAGTTTTTTCTACTATCAACAGTGAATGAATATTCTTATACTTATATCCTTTGTAAGTAGGTGTGATTATATCTGTAAGATACATTCTTAGAAGTAGATTTGATGAGTCAAAGGGTGTGAAAATCTGATGAGATATTGACAAACTGCCTTCTGGATGGTGGTGTTGATTGCCTACCTACCAACTATGTATGGCAGTGCCTGTTTCGACATATCCCCAGCAATTCAGTGTTACTCAATGTCAGTGCATGTTTTTAATGTATGTATAAAGGTATTTATTTTTTCAGAGATGGGGTCTTGCTCTGCTGCCCAGGCTGGAGTCCACTGGTACAGTCATAGCTCACTACAGCCTTGAACTCCTGGACTCAAGCAATCCACCTGCCTCAGCCTCCTGAGCAGCTAGGAATACAGGCATGTGCCACCATGCCCAGCTACTTTTTTTTTTTTTAAAGACATGGGTTCTTGATTTGTTGGCTTGGCTGGTCTCAAACTCCTGGCTTCAACTGATCCTCTCGCTTCAGCCTCTCAAAGTGCTGGGATTACAGGCATGAACTGCTGTGCCTGGTCATTAGTACATGTTTTTTGTTTGTTTGTGAGACAGAGTCTTTCTCTGTCGCCCAGGTTGGAGTGCAGTGGCGCATTCTCAGCTCACTGAAACCTCTGCCTCCCGGGTTCAAGTGATTCTCATGCCACAGCCTCCCAAGTAGCTGGGATTACAGGTGTGTGCCACCACACCCAAATAATTTTTTGTATTTTTAGTAGAGACAGGGTTTCACTATGTTGACCAAGCTCGTCTTGAACTCCTCCTGGCCTCAAGCAATCCGCCTGTCTCAGCCTCCCAAAGTGCTGGGATGACAGCCATGAGCCACCACACCTGGCCAGTATGTTTTTAAATACAATTTTACTTGAGACAATTGCATGTAAGTATCCATCTCATAGGGTTGTTGGTGAATACTTAATGTAAAGCTTTTAGAGCAGTCCTTGCCATACAGAGAGTATAATGAATGTTAGCTACTGTATGATTACCACTGCCAATCGGTCAATCACATTATTATTTGCCTCTCTCTCCGAGTTCCTCATCAACATATTCAGGAGTTTTTTGGATATAAACTTTCTCAAACCGTGTTTTTTCTCTGCTCACACATCAACACACCAATAATCAACACAGAATACTTCTGTGGACCCCAGAAATGTGTGGGGAAATCCCCCCACCAGCAAGCATACAATCTTTTTTTTTAGGTTTAGCCTCACTCTGTCACCCATAGCATGATCTCTGCTCACTGCAACCTCTGCTTCCCAGGTTCAAGCGATTCTCCTGGCTCAGCCTCTTGAGTAGCTGGGATTACAGGTGCATGCCACCACACCCAGCTATTTTTTGTATTTTTAGTGGAGACAAGGTTTCACCATGTCACCAGGCTAGTGTGGAACTCTTGACCTCAAGTGATCCACCCACCTCTGCCTCCCAAAATGCTGGGATTACAGACTTCAGCCATTGCGCCTGGCCAGCAAACAATCAGTTCTGCAGCTGACGCCAGCTGGGTGTCCTTCAGTTTAAATCTGACATCTTCGACCTGAAAATAGTGTCATTTCCCACAGGGTGATAGCTCAGTCCCCAAGACTGCCTTCCTTCAGACACCAGTCGCAAGTTTGGGCCTCTGAAACTTCTGATGGACCGCCTTCAAGTTGGAGCTTCCACAACCCCCATTTTGGGTTCCATTAATTTGCTGGAGTGGCTCAAAGAATTCAGGGAAACACTTAATTTTGTTTATACAGATGAAGTGACACATAGGGCAAAGTATAGGGGAAGGGGTGTGGAGCTTCCATGCTTTCCCTGAATGCAACACCCTTCAACAACCTCCACGTGTTCTGCTATCCAGAAGTTCTCCCAACCCAGTTCTCTTGGGTTTTTATGGGACACTTTATTACATAGGTGTGATTGAACACCGTGTAGAAATGTGATTGGACAGGCCAGACGTGGTGGCTCACGCCTGTAATCCCAGCACTTTGGGAGGCCGAGGTGGGCGGATCACCTGAGGTCGGGAGTTCGACACCAGCCTGACTAACATGGAGAAACCCCATCTCTACTAAAAATACAAAATTAGCCAGGTGTGGTTGTACATGCCTGTAATCCCAGCTACTTGGGAGGCTGAGGCAGGAGAATTGCTTGAGCCCGGGAAGCAGAGGTTGAGGTGAACCGAGATCGTGCCATTGCACTCCAACCTGGGCAACAAGAGCGGAACTCTGTCTGGAAAAAAAAAAAAATTAGCCAGGCATGGTGGTGCACACCTGTAATCCCAGCTACTTGGGTGGTTGAGACAGGAGAATCGCTTGAACCCAGGAGGGAGAGGTTGCAGTGAACGGAGACTGTACCACTGCACTCCAGCCTGGGCGACAGAGCAAGACTCCGTCTCAAAAAAAAAAAAAAAAAAGAAAGAAATCTGATTGGACAGAAAGTGCCTGATCTAAACCCAGCAAAGCCTGTCTGCTCAGACTTTTCTTGGGCTCTCTGTGCAGCATTTCTTCCTTGAGGGTAGCAGGCAGAACCCTTTCTGGAATGAGGGTCTTTTGACCCACAGTCAGATTAGAGTCCTGCTTGGGGCAGGTCAGAGGTGGACAGGAGAAGATCAGAGAGGGAGATTCTGTTTCCTGAGGCCTAAAGTGCCTCAACATTATAATGAGGTGAATGGGAGTTAGATGCCAGGAATCGTGGAGATGAAAATCAATACCTATATCATAACACCACAGGAGTGCTTTTTCTGAGGGACTTAAAAATACCACCTATGGAATTTAGTTAATCCCCAAAAATCTCTTGAAATGCTGGCCAGGTATTCAGTCACTGTGGTTTTACAGAGTAGAGAAACAAGATAGGACCTTTTCAAGGTTACAGAACAGATATGTGTCCCATAATCAAAAATTAATCCAGTCAAAAATTAATCCAGTTTGGAATAGGAAGAGATTCCTCTAGGTTACAATCACTTTCAAACTTTTCTGATGGCTGATCACTTTAAGAAATACAACAGGTACCAGAACACACATGTGTACCTGAAAGGAAAGTTCTAGAAAACCATACTTCTATGTTTTCTATTTGTTACATTCCATTTCACTGAAAATGTACTCATGGGGATCTACTAATAAATAGATTTCAAAACCTACTATTTGGTTAACCAGCAGTTTAAAGAGCATTATCCTAGACTCTAGGTCAAGATACTCTGCCTGGCCCCCCTTTTTTTTTAAGTCTCAAGAAAAAGTAAGAGAGAAAGAGGAAAGAGAGAGAGAAAGAAAGAAAGAAAAGAAAGAAAGAAAGAAAGAGAAAGAGAGAAAGAGGGAGGGAGGGAGGGAAGGAAGGAAGGAAAGGGAAAGGGCGGGGAGGAAGGAAGGAAGGAGAGAGAGAGGAGGGAGGAAAGGAAGGAAGGAAAGAAGGAAGGAAGGAAGGAAGGAAGGGAAAGAAAAGGCATCTCCCCTTGTCACCAGGCTAGAAATGCAGTGTTATGGTCATGGCTCACTGTAGCCTCCACCTCCTAGGCTCAAGCAATCCTCCTGCCTCAGCCTCCCGAGTAGCTCGGACTACAGGGACACATGCCAGGCTAATTTTTTGTTTTGTTTGCTCGGTTTTTTTGTTTGTTTGTTCGTTTTGGTTTTTTTTGACACGGAGTTTCACTCTTGTCGCCCAGGCTGGAGCACAGCGGCGTGATCTCGGCTCACTGCAACCTCCACCTCCCAGGTTCAAACGATTCTCCTGCCTCAGCCTCCCGAGTAGCTGGGATTACAGATGCCTGCCACCATGCCCAGCTAATTTTTGTATTTTTGGTAGAAATGGGGTTTCACCATGTCGGCCAGGCTGGTCTCAAACTCCTGACCTCAGGTGATCTGCCCTCCTCGGCCTCCCAAAGTGCTGGGATTACAAGCGTGAGCCACCGTGCCTGGCTGTTTGCTCTTTTGTTTTGTTTTGTTTTGTTTTGAGTCGGAGTCTTACTCTGTTCCCCAGGCTGGAGTGCAACCTCTGCACCCCTGGCTCACTGCAACCTCTGCCTCCTGGGTTCAAGCAATTTTCCTGCCTCAGCCTCCCGAATAGCTGGGATTACAGGCCTCTGCCACCACGCCCGGCTAATTTTTGTATTTTTAGTAGAGATGGGGTTTCACTGTGTTGGCCAGGCTGGTCTCGAATTCCTGACCTTGTGATCTGCCTGCCTCAGGCCTCCCAAAGTGCTGGGATTACAAGCGTGAACCACCGCACCCGGCCTTGTTTGCTCGTTTTTAAAGACAGGTTCTCCCTATGCTGCCCAGGCTGTTCCCCCTCCCTTTAAAAAAAATAGTTAACAATTATTGATTGTATATTTCAAAATAGCTAGAATACTTGTAATGCTTCCAACACAAAGAATGTTTGAGGTGATGTTTATCCCAATTGCCTTGACTTGATAATTACACATTGTATATGTGTATCAAAATATCACGTCCCTCCCCATAATTGTGATATATCAATTTTTCTTTCTCTCTTTTTCTTTTCTTTTTTTTTTTTTTTTTTTTTTTTTTTTGAGAAAGGGACTCACTCTGTCGCCCAGAGTGGAGTGCAGTGGTACAATCAGCCGTCCAGGCTCAAGTGATCCTCTCTCCTCAGCCTCTCGAGTAGCTGGCATGCACCATCATATCTGGCTAATTTTTTTTTTTTTTTGTAGAAATGCGTCTCATGTTGCCCAGCTTGGTCTAGAACTCCTGAGCTCAAGCAATCCTCTATCCTCGGCCTCTGGAGTAACTGGGACTACAGGCATGCACCACCATGCCCGGCTAATTTTTTGTATTTATTTTGGAGAGATGGGGTCTTGCATTGCCCAGGCTGATCTCAAACTCCCGAGCTTAAGCAATCCTCCCTCCTCGTCCTCCCAAAGTGCTGGGATTACAGGGATGAGCCACCGCACCTGGCCAATGTATCAGTTTTAAAAACAATAGGCATGGAACCAAAAGTATGCTGGAAGTTCCTCGGAAAGAGGTTTCCTTGCTCTTAGGTGGTTTTTTTTTTTTTTTTTTTTTGAGGCGGTGTCTCGCTCTGTCGTCCAGGTTGGAGTGCAGTAGCGCGATCTCATCTCACTGCAACCTCTGCCTCCCAGGTTCAAGCGATTCTTGTGCCTCAGCCTCCCAAGTAGCTGGGATTACAGGCTCCTGCTACCACGCCCGGCTAATTTTTGTACTTTTTTTTTAGTACAGAGGGGGTTTCACCAGGCTGGCCAGGCTGTTCTCGAACTCCTTACCTCAGTCTCCCAAAGTGCTGGGATTCCAGGCGTAAACCACCGTGCCCTGGCAGCTCTTAGGTGTACTTTTTTTTTTTTTTTTTTGAGACGGAGTCTCACTCTGTCGCCCAGGCTGGAGTGCAGTGGTGCCATCTCGGCTCACTGCAAGCTCCACCTCCCGGGTTCACGCCATTCTCCTGCCTCAGCCTCCCGAGTAGCTGGGAGTACAGGCGCCCGCCAGCACGCCCGGCTAATTTTTTGTATTTTTAGTAGAGACAGGGTTTCACCGTGTTAGCCAGGATGG
The DNA here is from genome assembly GCF_000001405.40 of Homo sapiens. Lineage (NCBI taxonomy): Eukaryota > Metazoa > Chordata > Mammalia > Primates > Hominidae > Homo > Homo sapiens. Next base: position 15,889,562 of record NC_000016.10, on the reverse strand, counting down.
TCTCGATCTCCTGACCTCGGGATCCGCCCGCCTCGGCCTCCCAAAGTGCTGGGATTACAGGCGTGAGCCACCGCGCCCGGCCACTCTTAGGTGTACGTCTAATCGATGTTTATTATTTAGCCAAGTGTTTGGATCTCACCGGCATTACAACTGGAATCATGCAACCTCACACTCAGTTTAGGGTACATTATTCCCCTGTTCCTTTTCCTTTACTTCCATGGGATGTTGGAGCTTATTCCTTCATTAGTTAGTTCCATAAAAAGCTCCTGGACTCCTTACATGCACTGTGTAAGTGCGAGTGGAAGAGGACAGGCTGGTGACCTTGGTTAAGTCTCTTCAGCGATGGAGGACTCTGTTTCCTTCATTGTAAAAACGGCGTGATCATAAGGAAATAATGCGCTAAGGCGTCACAGTAAGTGCTTAATACAGTGGTTCTCGAGGTGTGATCTCCAGACCGACCAGCAGTACCAGTACCACCTGGGAACTCGATAGAAATGCAAATCCTAGGGCCTCACCCCAGATTTACAGAATCAGAAACTCTATGGGGAGGACTAGCAAACAATCCGTTTAAACAAGTCTTGGAGGTGATGAGGATTCATGCTCAAGTTTGAGAACCGCAGGGTTAATAGGTGGTAACTACTAGCAGTTGGTACTTGAGGCTGCAGAGACAATGAAAAACTCAGCTGGCTAAAGTTAAGCACTAAGGTGCCAGCAGCACCCCACAGGGCTCTCCACTGCCTCAGTCCCCGCCCTCCCTGCCGTCTCACTCAACTGGGCCTTCCGAGAGCGCTCGCTGATTGGTGGAGTCTCTGGTCGACATTCACTACCCACTCAACCGCAGAGCTCATAAACTGAGAGGGGCGGAAGTGGGCGGGGCGAGAGCTGTGCGCCTATTGGCTACAGACCACGCCGCAGGGTGAGTGGGGCGGAGCTGCGCGTGCGCAGGGCCGCGGTGCGGCCCTGGCGGCCGTTGAAAAATGGCGACTGTGGCAGAGTTGAAGGCTGGTGAGTGCGAGCAGGGAGGCCTCCACATGGGAAGCGTCGGGCCTTCATCTTGTGGAAAGGATGGGATGGGAGGAGAGCGCGCGGAACACATGGGTTGGCTTTTACAGGCGTCATTCTTCGGTGTGAGGGCCTGCGGGGAGCGTCTGGCTGCTGTCTTGGCCCGTGCGCGGGGAGCTCTTATGGGGAAGAGGTTGCCCACTGGCGAGTTTTAAGCCAGTTTGGAGCTAAAGGAGGAGTTGCGTAATCTTCAGGCATCTAAGAGGCCTACAGGCCTGCATCTTGGGCCCCTGGCTCATCTTCTTGGACCCTGCCGGGGGCTGGAGGACTTGGACCAGGCTTGGCACTCAGGGCTGATGACTACAATTCCCACAACCCCTATTGGGTTAGGCACTGCCCTAAACAATTTGCTTGGTTGTCTCGTTGGGTCCTTACAACAACCTGTTAAGTAGCCCTCCCCTCCTTGCTTTTTTTTTTTTTTTTTAAAGAGAGGGTCTCTCTGTCGCCCAGGCTGGAGTGCAGTAGCGCGATCACAGCTCACTGCAGCTTCGAACTCCGGGACTCCAGCTATCCTCCCACCTCAGCTTCCAGAGCAGGTGGGAATACAGGGGCTCTTCACTACGCCCGGCTAATTTTTGTATTTTTTGTAGACACGGGGTCTTACTGTCGAACTCCTGGTCTCAAGCTATCCTCCTGCCTTGGCCCCCTCAAAGTGCTGGGATTACAGGTGTGAGCGCCTGGCCCCTTTTTCATCAGAAGAAACTAGAGGCAAAAAGTTTGCTGGCCTGGCCATTCTCCTGTCTTTTCAGGAAAAGATACTCTAAGCTAGTTATGTTTGAGTCATTAATGACATTTGTACGCTGTTTACTTTGAAGCAAATGTCCAGACAAGTAATAGTAATAATAGTTATCATTGAGCCTCATGTGTCAGGCACTACTCAACTCAGCCTGTGTGTTACCTGATTGTAACAACCCTATGCCCATTTCATAGACTGGGAAACGAGGTACTGAGAAGTGAAATAGCTCAAAGTGATTTCACTGGAAAGAGACACAGCATGGGAACCTAGTTGTGACGCACTGGAGCGCCAGGTCTTAATCACTGAGCAAGATTGCTGTCCAAAAAATAAAACCAGTTCCACTTTGCAGGGAACCCAGGGTTTAAACTAGTAATTCTTAGATATTTTAGGGAGGAGACGTGTATAAAAGTGTGTATTTGGGGACAGGGCTGGTGAACAATCATAAAACAGAACAGGCATGCATCTGTCCACAAGAACAGACTTCACGAGTCTACAGATGCTGTTCCCAGGGAAATACACATCACATGTAATATTGCATACATTTTCAGAGGATTTAAAGGTACACTTGGAATGGGCCAAGCACAGTGGCTCATGCCTGTAATCCTAACACTTTGGGAGGATCGCTTGAGCCCAGAAGTTTAAGACCAGCCTGGCCAACATGGTGAGACCCCATCTTTATTTAAAAAATAAAAATTAAAAAAAAGAGCCGGGCATAGTGGCCTGTGGTAGTTCCAGCTACCCCACAGGCTGAAACAGGAAGATAGCTTGAGCCCAGGAGATAGAGGTGACAATGAGCTACAGTGGTGCCACTGCACTCCAGCCTGGGCAACAAAATGAGACCTTGTCTCAAAAAAAAAAACAAATTAAAAAATAAAATAAAAAAGGTACTCTTGAAATATAAGCGAGGTTAAGACCTTTCCGAAGAAGTTTTGATGGCGCAGTGTTCTAAGCATAATAGAGGGAAAGGTAAAATGCTATGGACCTCCAAAAGAAACCCGGTGAAAACTTGTTTGCCAGCCAGTTACCTTACATTTTATGGGCATTTACCTTTTTTAAGCACGATCACGTTTTTCCTTCTTACTTGGTTCTATCTCTGAGAGGTAGAGCTCATTATTTTAGAGAAGGCAACTGAGGCATGGGTTGGTAATCCACCACTGAGGTGCTGATGAGACATGCTAGCTTTCCTCATTCCACTGTCACTAATTCTCGTTTCTCTGTCCAGTTTGAGGCTGTCCTGTGTGCAATACAGAGTAATTGGGACAGGATCCTTGCCAGTGACAAAATCTCTCCATCCAATTTCCAAAGATGGAATTAGAGAATAGGGGTTCAGTTATGATTCTAAGAGTACAATAAGGCTGTACCTTCCTTTTATGGACCTGTTACAAACTCTGATCTGGTGATAACTGTACTTAACCTATCTGCAAGAAGGTTGAAGGGATGCTTTAAAAATGAGGGGAAAGAAAGGTCAAAAGTCAGTGAAGATTCTATCTCTTTAGTCATATGATCCAGGGTTATTGTTGACGTTATTTATTGAAGCTTAGAAAGATCTTATGTCCATACTGACTTGGATAAGCTCCTGGGCTCTCTTTATGGATTTTTGTTATTGTGATGTACTTACTTGGTGCCTTTGGCAGGGTGCAGAACAGTGTTAAACTACATTGATTTCCCAGTAGTGTACAGCAATGTATTATAATCCTTCTAGGTGACACCTACTGAGCTCTTGCTCTGTTCTTGACTCTGTGGATGAGATGTGTTCATTCTCTGAAGTTGTCATTTAGCCAGTAGGAACTGTTTGAAAATAAAAGTTGCAGATCACTACAAGGGATGGTGCCAATTCAGTCCTAAGATCCCCATTATCTATACTAAGTATGTACAGCCAAATCCCATGATCATAACTGCTTTGTCATGGTGACTCTGGCTAATCAGTAAGTTAGATTTCCATTCTGCATACACATCCCTGACTCCTTAAGATGGCATTGATACAGTCACGTGGTAGATTTCTAACTAGGCTTAAAATTTCAGAATCCTACTGTTCTAAGGAATTAACTCATAGTTGTCTTTAAAACAACGAGGCCAGTGGGCGCAGTGGCTCATGCCTGTAATCCCAGTACTTTGGGAGGCTGAGGCGGGTGGATCACGAGGTCAGGAGATGGAGACCATCCTGGCCAACATAGTGAAACCCTGTCTCTACTAAAAATACAAAAATTAGCCAGTCGTGGTATCGCACACCTGTAATCCCAGCTATTTGGGAGGCTGAGGCAGGAGAATTGCTTGAACCAGGGAGCCTGGAGATTGCAGTGAGCCGAGATCGTGCCACTGCACTCCAACCTGGCGACAGAGCGAGATTGTTTCAAAATAACAACAATGAAAAACCCAACACCTTTTCACTCCCTAAAGCGTTGTGGATTATCAAAGGTTTGTGTTTTTTTTTTTGGTTGGTTGGTTGGTTGGTTGTTTTAAACAGAGTCTCACTCTTTCGCCCAGGCTAGAGTGCAGTGGCACCACCTCAGCTCACTGCACCCTCCACCTCCCAGGTTCAAGTAATTCTTGTGCCTCAGCCTCCCAAGTTGCTGGGACTACAGGTGCGTGCCACCACACCCGGCTAATTTTTTGTATTTTTTTAGTAGAGAGGGGGATTTCACCTTGTTAGCCAAGATGGTCTCAATTTGCTGATCTCGTGATCCGCCCGCCTGAGCCTCCCAAAGTGCTGGGTTACAGGCATGAGCCACCATGCCCTGCCATCAAGGTTTTTACACAGTAACCCAACAGACTTCTTTTATGGAATGTAGTTGTTTTCTTTAATCATCTTTCTAGACCAGAGGTTGTTAGTGACAAGCAGAACCTGTGTGCAGTGGCAGACACTCTTGAAAATATATGAGAGACTGGGGCTTAAGTTCAGGTCTCAGTAAGCAACTATAATCCTATCCCCCGCCTTTTCCCCTCACTAAAGAATTATGTATTGGCCGGGCACGGTGGCTGACACCTGTAATCCCAACACTTTGGGAGGCTGAGGTGGGTGGATCACGAGGTCAGGAGATTGAGACCATCCTGGCCAACACAGTGAAACCCCGTCTCTACTAAAAATACAAAAAAGAAATAGTTGGGCGTGGTGGCACGTGCCTGTAGTCCCAACTACCCTGGAGGCTGAGGCAGGAGAATTGCTTGAACCTGGGAGGCAGAGGTTGCAGTGAGCTGAGATCGTGCCACTGCACTCCAGCCTGGGTGAAAGAGCGAGACTGTGTCTCAAAAAAAATAATAAATAAAATAAAAAAGAATATGTATTAGACTACAGCCCCTGACAGTGCTGATGATGTAGGAATAAACTTGAATTTGCTCAAATATATTAAGACTAAATCACTGCAACATGAGAACTATATGTTTTAGTATAAACATGGCTGGTGGTAGTGTAATTGTTTAATAATTTGTCACAATGTTTAGATTAAGAGCTGCTTGAGAGCTGTTTTTGTACCATTTACCTTTTCAACATTTCTTTTCAAAGTATGCCTAAGAATGACAAATTTACTCTGTAACTGAAGCCTTAATATTTTATATCGAACAGTTTTAAAGGACACCTTGGAAAAAAAGGGGGTATTAGGGCATTTAAAAGCAAGGATCCGAGCTGAAGTTTTCAATGCCCTAGATGATGACCGTGAACCCCGACCATCATTGTCTCATGAAAACCTTCTAATTAATGAATTAATTCGAGAGTATTTAGAATTCAACAAATATAAGTATACAGCATCTGTCCTCATAGCAGGTAAGTGGTTATTATTTATCACATAAAATCTGTTTCTCCCCTTTCCCCAATTCTCAGAAACTGTTTATCCTAGAAATCTAATTCCCTTACCAGATAGTGCCATCTGGGTGACTGGGACACAAAAATCACATGGGTTCTTTCTGTAGCTTAAACAGATTCTTACAAGAGAAAATACATAACTAAATAATCACTTAAACTAGGCATATACTTGGAAAAATCATCTATAATTCCTGTAACCGAGAATAAACAATTGTTGACGTTTTGTCCTGTTTGCCACCAGTTTTTTCCTGTGTATTAAGCTTTAAAAATATACGCTGATTAAGTATATTATTTGTTAAAAAATAGGCTGGGTAGGTGGCTCACACCTGTAATCTCAGTGCTTTGGGAGGCCGAGGCAAGATTACTTGAGCCCAGGAGTTCGCGACCAGCCTGGGCAACACAGGGAGACCCCATCTCTGGAAAAGAGTTTTTAAAATTAGCCATGCATGGTGGCACGTGTCTGTTGTCCTAGCTGAGGCTGAGCAGGGGTCGGGGAGGGGGTGATCATGTGAGCCCATGTGCTCTGGGCTTTAGTGAGCCATGATCGCATCACTGCACTCCAGTCTGGGCAACAGAGAGAGACCCTGTCTCTTTTTTCTTTTTCCAGAGACAGAATCTCACTCTGTTGCAAAGGCTGGACTGCAGTGGTGCGATCATGGCTTATTGCAACTTTCACCTCCTGGGCTCAAGCAGTCTTCCTGCGTCAGTCTCCTGAGTAGCTGGGACCACAGGTGCATGCCTCCATGCCCAGCTAAATTTTTTTATTATTTATAGAGATGAGCTCTCACTATGTTGCCCAGCCTGGTATTGAACTCCTGGGCTCAGGTGATCCACCTATCTCACACTCCCCAAATGCTGGGATTACAGGCATGAGCCACTGCACCCAACCCCTGTCTTTTTTTTCTTTCTTTTTTTTTGAGACGGAGTCTCACTCTATTGTGATCTCAGCTCACTGCATCCTCCGCCTCCTGGGTTCAAGCAGTTCTCCTGCCTCAGCCTCCCGAGTACCTGGAACTACAGGTGTGTGCTGCCAGGCCCGGCGAATTTTTGTATTTTTTAGTAGAGACGGGGTTTCACTATATTGGACAGGCTGGTCCAACTCCTGTCTCTTAAAAGAAAAAAAACTGTCCCTGTCTATATATAGATATGTAGATATATGTCTATTTGTGTGTGTGTGTGTGTGTATCTAGATAGATAGATAGATAGATAGATAGATAGATAGATAGATAGATAGATATAATGGAGATAAAACTTTGAAATATTACTACTATGTAGTGCTTAGGTACATTTACAAATGTATGTATCTAAAAGCATGGTATTTATAAAGGACTAGGCTGGTATATTAGGTTGTTTTTGGATTGCTATAAATAAACACCTGAGACTGGGTAATTTATGAAGAGAAGAGGTTTTTTTGTATGTTTGTTTGTTTGTTTGTTTGTTTTGAGACAGAGTCTTGCTCTGTCACCCAGGCTGGAGTGTGGATTGATCTCGGCTCACTGCAACGTCTACCTCCTGGGTTCAAGTGATTCTCCTGCCTCAGCCTCCCAAGTAGCTGGGACTACAGGCCATGCCCAGCTAATTTTTTGTATTTTTAGTAGAGACAGGGTTTCACCGTTAGCCAGGATGGTCTCAGTCTCCTGACCTCGTGATCCGCCCTCCTCGGCCTCCCAAAATGTTGGGATTACAGGCGTGAGCCACCGCACCCGGTTGAAGAAAAGAGGTTTACTTGGCTCACGGTTCTGCAGACTGTACAAGCATGGCACTGGCATCTGCTTAGCTTCTGGGAGGCCTCAGGGAGCTTTTGCTCACTGCAGCAAGCACGTTACATGGTGAAGGCAGGGGCCAAGGGTGGGGAAGGTTAGTGCCACACACTTATAAATGACCTGTTCTCATGAGAACCCACTCACTGTGGTAAGGACAGCACCAGGCCATGAGGGATCCACCCCCATGACCCAAACAACTCCCGCCAGGTCCCACTTCCAACACTGGGGAGTGCGTTGCAACATGAGATTTGGGCGGAGACAAATATCCAGACTCTAGCAGCGGGAAACTCCAAACTCATCCTAGTGATAGGAGGCAGAGAATGATATTGGGGGTTGGGGGTGGGGAGATAAAGATAAATTCCCTTTATCTGTTGAATTTTATTTCTTGAGAAATAAATTTGCTCTTCAAGTGTAACAGTTATTGAGTGGTGAGAATATTTTTAATATCTTCTGCTGACTTTTAAATGTCTTCTTTCAAAAAAGTGAGGAGAGACTGGATGGATATAAATAAGTCAGAATCCTGGTTACCCCTGGACTTGGTGGGGTGGGGGATGCAGCTGGGGGTTGGTCTGAGGCACCCTGAATGTGTGTCATCGGATTCCCTCGTTTCAGGTTCCATCTCTGCTTTGACTACTTCATGCCTCAGCAAAGAAGCGAGGCCAGGAAGTAGATTTTGCAAGAGAGAATGAATTCTTTGTGAAGTTAGAATTTTTCGTTACAGATCCTTTATTTAATATTAAACATACGTCTGAACTACATAAAGACTCATGATTTTTATGGTTTAAGGATCTTTGATATCAGCATCTCTGCTTTCCTTTGTTTGTTATAGATGGCTGTATGATACCAGTTACACCCAGAAAAGAAGAAATTATGAAAATAGTGGGGACTTGGGATTCACTAGAATGAAATATAGTGACAGTAGTCAAGTTTTCATATTAAATGGTTTGGCTTTTTTTAAAAAACTGGGATATAATTTACATACAATAAAATTTACCTTTTAAACTGTACAGTTCTGTACTTTAGTCAAATGCCTGCAGTTGTGTAATTACTACCAGATCACAATCAAGATATCACCAGCCTTTTTGGCACCAGGGACTGGTTTCATGGAAGACAATTTTTCCATGGACCTGGGAGGATGGTTCGGGATGATTCAAGCATACTCCATTTATTGTGCATTTTATTTCTATGATTGTGTTGTAATATATAATGAAATAATTATAACTCACCATAATGTAGAATCAGTGGGAGCCCTAAGCCTGTTTTCCTGCAACTAGATGGTCCCATCTGGGGGTGATGGGAGGCAGTGAGAGATCATCAGGCCTTAGATTCTCATAAGGAGTGCACAGCCCAGATCCCTCGCATGTGCAGTTCACAATAGGGTTCACGCTTCTATGAGAATCTAATTCTGCCAACAGGAGGCTGAGCTCAGGCAGTGATGCTAGTGATGGGCAGCAGCTGTAAACACAGATCAAGCTTCCCTCACTTGCTTGCCCACTCCTCACCTCCTGCTGTGTGGCCCAGTTTCTAATCTGTGGCTCGGGGGTTGGGGACCCTTGCTGTAGATGGAACCGTACATGATGTAGCCTTTTGAGTCTGCCTTTTTTCACTTAGTGTAATACATTCAAGATTCAGCCATGTTTGTTTTTCCTTTGAACACTGTTCTATTGTGTGGCTGTGCTAGTTTGCTCATCTATGACCAGTTGATGGGCATTGAGTTGTTTCTAGTTTTAGCAGTTAGGAATCAAGCTGCCATAAACATTTACATACAGGTTTTTGTGAGAACATAAGTTTTCATTAATCTTGGGTAGAAAGCTAAGAGTGAGATTGCTGGGTTGTGTGGTTAAGTGCACGCTCACCTTTATAAGAAAACTGCTCAACTGTTTTCCAAAGTGCCTGTACCATTGTGCTTTCCCACCAGCAAAGTGTGAAAGTTCCAGCTGCCCCACACTTCAGGTTAACTTTAATTTTTATTTATAAGTATTGTCACCAAGTGGATATTCTTTTCAAAAATAAGTTATTGATAAACAGACTTCCAAAATTTAGTATTATAATTTGGATATAGAAATGGTATTTTTCCAACCAAACACTGGGGAATTTAAAAAGTGAATTTATGTTAAACTGTATTAAGACATGCATTTAACAAAAGAGATATTTTGAAAGTCATAAAATCACAGGCAATTTGATCTGTCTTGGTGTGTGTTGTCATCATTCTTCCAAAATCTAAAAAGTGTATGTCTGGTAAATGTGATTCTTTTCAAAATCTTATTTGCTTTTTAGTTTAATAGACTGAGTGTTCTCATGAATTTATTTCTCCCAGAATCTGGTCAACCTGTAGTTCCGTTGGACAGACAGTTTCTCATCCATGAACTAAATGCATTTGAAGAATCAAAGGATAATACAATGTAAGACATTTTTTTAAAGAAGTTTCCACATATTGTATTGAGTCATAATTGCACCATGGTGGTTTTACTTCATTTTAATTCAAGTATTTATTCAGATCTAGTGTGTGTCAAGCATTGTCCTAAATCCAGGGTGTGCAGCAGTGAATAAGTCAGATGAGATCTGTGTTTGCTGAAGCTACAATTACATGGCTTCAGAGTGACTCAGCATCTTCTTTCTGGAGTTAGCTCCTTTTGACTTCTTGATCCTTTGTCCTTCTAAGGCTTTGTTTGTTTTTTAATTTATAATTTCAACTTTTATTTGTATTTTCAAATTATTTTTGTAGAGGCAAGGCCTCGCTTTTTTGCCCAGGCTGGTCTCGAACTCCTGACCTCAAGTGATCTTCCTGCCTTGGCCTCCCAAAGTGCTAGGGTTGCAGGTGTGAGCCCTCCATGCCTGGCCTCTGAGACTTTGCCTTGTCAGTTGTTTTCTTCATATTTAACTCTTCCTTCACTCCAACTTAGGAATGTACTCAGATCTCTCCTCTCCTAAAACAAAAACAAAAACAAAAACAAAAACTATGAACTTCCAACCCCAAGCTTCTGCTCGAATACCTTTTTCTACCAAGATTACTGAATCAGCCCACTGCTTTCGTTACTATTACTCTGTCCTTTGCCCTCTGTGTACCTCCTCTCACCAACTATGCTCTTGAAAAGGAGGATGACCACTTTCTAGTTTTCTTAGTTTTTTTCTATTTCAGTGTTTCTTAAACTTTTTCTGGAGAGTCCCTGTATAGCCAAAAAAAAAAAAAAAAGTACATAGGAGACCTGAGAACATAGCTTAAAGCAGCCTTTTTTTAAATCTAGAACTTTCTTTGAAGCCTTACGTTTTCTCATCCTAAAAGTTCTTAAGGCCAAGTGAGGTATCTCGTGCCTGTAATGCCAGCACTTTGGAAGGCTGAAGTGGAAGGATCACTTGAGCTCAGGAGTTCAAGACTAGCCTGGACAACATGGGGAAACCCCATCTCTAGCCAGACGTGGTGGCTCATGCCTGTAGTCCCAGCACTTCAGAGGCTGAGGCAAGTGGATCACCTGAGGTCAGGAGTTTGAGACCAGCCTGGTCAACATGGCGAAACCCCATCTCTACTAAAAATAACAAAAAGATTAGCAAGGCATGGTGGCGTGTGCCTGTAGTCCCAGCTGCTAGGGAGGCTCAGGCATGAGAATCGCTTTAACCTGGGCAGCGGAGGTTGCAGTGAGCCAAGATCACACCACTGCACTCTAGCCTAGGTGACAGAATCAGACCCTGTCTCAAAAAAAAAAAAAAAAGTTCTGAAAGTTGTTTGCTTTACTATATAAATGTTTTAAATGACATTCCAGTTAAATCTAACTCTCCCACAAATCCTTGTGTAAAATTAATGTTCCAGGATCATATACTACCTTTGTCATTGTGTGTATAGTGAAGTCCCTGTTGCTTAGCGTAGCACTTTACACCTCTTTCTACCCGTCTGTTGTTCTATCTGCTCACACCTGATTTCTGATTATGCCTGGAAGACACTTTGCAACTTTATGCTGCTTTGCCTTGTAAACCATTCCCTTATCCTAGAAGCCCTACATCACCTTTCTCCCTCTTCTATTGGAGCATCTTAACTTCTATTGGAGCATCTTTCCTTTCTGTTGGCCCTGTTCAGATAGTAACTCCTTTATGGCATTTTCCTCTTTCTCTTCCTCTCATCTTCCCTTGTTTCTTTTTTTTTTCTTTTTTCCTTTTTGTGAGATAGGGTCTCGCTCTGTCGCCCATGCTGGAGTGCAGTGGCCCCATCTCAGCTCACCGCAATCTCCTCCTGGGTTCAACTGATTCTGCCTCAGCCTCCTGAGTAGCTGGGATTACAGGTGTGCACCACCATGCCCAGCTAATTTTTTTTCATATTTTTTTGTAGAGATGGGGTTTCACCATGTTGGCCAGGCCGGTCTCGAACTCCTGGCCTCAAGTGATCTGCCCACCTCCACCTCCCAAAGTGCTGTGAGGTTTTTTTGTTTGTTTTTTCAAGGCAGGGTTTCACTCTGTTGCCCAGGTCTCTAGAGTGCAGCGGCTTGATCATGGCTCACTGCAGCCTCGAACTCCTGGGCTCAAGCGATTCTCCCACCTCAGCCTCCCATGTAGCTGGAATTACAGGCATACGCTGGCATGCACCATCATGCCTGGCCAATTTTTGTATTTTTTTTAGAAATGGTGTTTTACCATGTTAGCCAGGCTGGTCTCCAATTCCTCAGCTCAAGTTATCCACCTACCTTGGCCTTCCAAAGTGTTGGGATTACAGGCATGAGCCACTGCACCTGGTAACAAGTGTTTTGAAAAGTATAAAAATTGTATAATTGAGAACAGTGGGAAAAATAATTGGGGGAATCTAAGCGTGACTTAGGATGAGCAGTGAGTTATTACATCATTTAATACAAGACATCATTTTACATTTAGCAGTTGATGGAAATAAGCAATGACTATTACTGGCTTCTTGGTAGCTTTTGAGATACCTACTTCAGATGAAAGTATTAAGAAGTTTGTGCTCACTTTAACAGCACATAAACTAAAATTGGAGCGGTACAGAGATTAGCATGGCCCCGGCAAAGGGATGACACGCAAATTCGTGAAATGTTTGATATTTTTTTAAAAAAGAAGGCCGGGCGCATTGGCTCACGCCTGTAATCTCAGCACTTTGGGAGGCCGAGGCGGGCAGATCACGAGGTTAGGAAATGGAGACCATCCTGGCTAACACGGTGAAACCCCGTCTCTGCTAAACATACAAAAAATTAGCCGGGCAAGGTGGCGGATGCCTGTAGTCCCAGCTACTTGGGAGGCCGAGGCAGGAAAATGGGCGTCAAACGGGGAGGTGGAGCTTGCAGTGAGCCGAGATCGTGCCACTGCACTCAGCCTGGGCGACAGAAGCGAGACTCCGTTTCCAAAAAAAAAAAAAAAAGTAAGTTTGAGAGAGGATGAGGAAGCAAAAAAAAAAGTTGCTAAAACGGCTTTATTTTTTAAAAGTTAGGTAACTTCTTTAAGCCCTTGTTTCTCACACTTCAGTGATTGGCATTCACAGAGTTTGCCATAGTCACATATTACTCATATTATTTACTTACAGATCTGCAGTGCTGCATCTGAAACCACTGAGGCCAGATACATGTTTGAAAATCCAAATGCTGTCGGGTTTTAAAATGACATGCCTGTAGTCCTAGCTACTTAGGAGGGTGAGGCAAGAAGATTACTTAAATCCAGGAGATTGAGGCTGCAGTGAGCCATGATCTTGCTGCTGCACTCCAGTGTGGGCCACACAGCGAGAGTTCTTTTTTTTTTTTTCGAGACAGAGTCTCACTCTGTCGTCCAGGCTGGAGTGCAGTGGCGTGATCTCGGCTCACGGCAACTGCCGCCTCCCAGGTTCAAGCGATTCTCCTGCCTCAGCCTCCCAAGTAGCTGGGACTATAGACGCATGCCACCACGCCTGGCTAATTTTTTGTATTTTTAGTAGAGACGGTTTCACCGTGTTAGCCAGGATGGTCTCGATCTCCTGACCTCATGATCCTCCTGCCTCGGCCTCCCAAAGTGCTAGGATTACAGGTGTGAGCCATCGGCCCAAGACTTCAATTCTTTAAAAAAAAAAAAAAAGTAATATGGTACATCTACCAAATACTACATGTATGTGCCAGGGAGTCCTAAAGTAGTATTCCACAATCACATTAATATTTTCTTTCTCTTTTTTTTTTTTTTTGAGTGCAATGACATGATCTCAGCTCACTGCAACCTCTGCCTCTTGGGTTCAAGTGACTCTTCTGCCTCAGCCTCCTGAGTAGCTGGGATTACAGGAGCATGCCACCACACCCGGCTAATTTTGTATTTTTAGTAGATACGGGGTTTCTCCATGTTGGTCAGGCTGGTCTTGAACTCCCGACCTCAGGTGATCCTCCTGCCTTGGCCTCCCAAAGTGCTGGGATTACAGGCTTGAGCCACCACACCCAGCACATTAATGTTTTCACACAAAGTAAGATAAAGTCTGTAATAGCCTTGTTAATAGCCTTGTTAGGTCAACCCTTGCCATCTGATGATTTTTTGCCAGATATATGAAGAGAATCCAGTTTTCAGAATTTTGCATTTCAGAATTACAGGCAAGTTATTGTGAGGCCGCACTTTTCTTTATCTTTTTGAAACTTATTTTAAAAGATAAACCTTAATCCATGAATTTGCAAGTTGCCTCTCCCTTCTGCACTCAAGCGATCCTCTCACCTCAGCCTCCCAAGTAGCTGGGACCACAGGTGCATATTACCTTCTGTGGCTAATTTAAAATAAAATTGCTGTAGAGCTAGGGGACTCGCTATGTTGTTCAGGCTGTCTCAAACTCCTGTTTGAGGCCAGGCTGGCCCCCCAAAGTCCTGGGATTACAGGCCTGAGCCCCCATGTCCAACCCAAAATTTTAATCACAAGTACATTTTTTTGAATATTTATTTAAAAAATAAAACTTTTAACATTTAAAAATCATCTTGAACCAGTTAACACTTTGGGGAAGATTAAAGTAAACAAAGAGACCTGTTTTATATTACTAGGTGACGCTTTCATAAGAGTTGCGGCATCTTATTAAATAAAGAAACTTACTTTCCTGGTTTCCCTGTGGCATGGAAAAATTAGTGTGATATTATTCCAGAATTTGGTAGCTTAGAACAACAACATAGATTATTTGTGGAATATTCGGGGATTTGGGATTGGCTTAGTCACGTAAGTCTAGCTCAGGCTCCCCCTTGAGGTTGGAGTCAAGATGCCAGCCAGGGTTGTAGTCGGAAGCCTTGAATGTGGCTGAACTATCTGCTTCCAAACTCATAATGATATTGACAGGCGGCCTCAATTCCTTACTGCATGTAACTTTCCAGGGCTGCTGAAGTGTCCTGAGGCATCTGACTTCTCCCAAAGGCAGCAATCCAAGAGAGAAAGCAAGGAGGAAGCTGCAGGGCCATTACCACGTGGCCTCTGAAGTCAGCTTTGTGCCAGTTAGAAGTGAGTTCAGCTCACACTCAGAGGGCAATGAGATTCCATCTTTGGAAGGGAGCGTCGTACTGTAAACCATTATACCAGCTAGTAAATAGATACATATCTCAAAAAATAAATCCTCCCCACAAATATATACACCTACTATGTACCCACAAAAATTAAAAATAAAGATTAAATCCTTTTAATTGTGTTTTCAAATTTGAGATTGGAAACAAAGGAAAACATTTCCATTGTACCACTCTTGATTGTCAGCAGAGCAGCTTTCCTTGATGCAAGAGTACTAATATAAATTCCCAGGCAGCACACTGTAAGGAAAACAATATGGGATTTGGGGTTCAAGTGTAAACTTTGTTTACTATCTGGGGGAATCTCTAGCAAATCTCCTGGCTGTGGTTTTCTCCTTTATAAATTGCAGTTGATGATCTTGACATTACACGATGAGGATTAGATGAGAAGAGGTATACGTTCTGTAAACTATAAAGAAGATTTTAAAATAATAGGTAATGTAAATATTAATCTAAATAAATGTTAGCTACACAGGAGCTAACATTTATATACCATTTCATATGTGCCAGGCACAGTAAAAAACACTTGACATTTATTAACTCATTTAGTGCATAACAGCCCTATAAGGGAGGGACGGTGCTTATCCTAATTTATAAAGGAAGAAACATTTATGAGGCTGGAGAGGTTAAGAATCTTACACAGAGTCCCACAGCTAGCAAATGGCAAAGCCAGAATTTGAACTCAGGTCACCTGGCTCTCAGGACCTAAGACTTTTTCAGGGCAAGGACTTATTAATCAAGAGGTGTTTATTGAATACCTGTTGTGTATTAGATGGGGTTAGGTATTGGGAAATACTCTACTGGACTTTGGAGTTTAAAAGAGATTCCTGTGGATTGATAGAAATGATATTTCAGTGTAGATGAGGTTTAAGTTGTTAACATGTTTTCTCTGGGTTTTAAAATTGTCATGAAATTAAGTGGTACTCTTAAATTTAAAAGTATGAACAATTTGCATTTTGGATAATCATGCCGCTTTTTAAAGTCTAGTGAATCACTTGGTCTTTTTGATGTCAGAGGTTACCTTTTAAAGAATAAATGTTTTAAGCTTTTCCCGTTTATGCAGATTTATTAGCTTTTGGTTTTGTTTTGTTTTCTTCCTGCTATAGACCTCTTTTATATGGGATTTTAGCCCATTTCTTGCGTGGAACTAAGGATGGCATCCAGAATGCATTTCTGAAAGGGCCTTCACTTCAGCCTTCAGACCCAAGTCTTGGCAGACAACCTAGTAGAAGAAAGCCAATGGGTATGAGTTTTCCAAGATTCATCATTTAGCTGTCAGCAAATATGTTTTCTTCCTATATATTTTTCTTTTGGAGTCTTTACTGAGCTTTTGAGTCATAGTTTAATTCTGCTTATATCTAATATGTCTAGCCTATGTTACTCCAAGAAACAGAATGCTTTTTGTAAAGAATCTTGGACAGGGAAGGGTGGGAGGCATAACTGGGCAGAATTCTTAGATGTAATTTCTTTATAGAAGTATTTAAAACTCTGGGCTAGGCACAATGGCTCATGCCTGTAATCCCAGCAGTTTGGGAGGCCGAGGCAGGTGGATCGCTTGAGGCCAGGAGTTTGAGACTAGCCTAAGTGACATGGTGAAACCCCATCTCTATTTTTTTAATTAAAAAATTATATTAATTAAATTTAAAAAAAAACAAAAAAATACTGAAAACTCCAATTTTCATGTAAATTGTAAGTATTTGGAGCAGCTTAGATCCTTGGTATACTGAATAAATAGCTTTTTATCAAGTGATTATTTTTTTTCCTCTCCATGACTGCAAAATAAAAGGTAAGATTGCTAAATACAGATAGAGAAGTCATTTGCATTTTTAGGATACTGTTTATGTTACAGTGGAAGTTACCTACAAGTTACAGATTGTTAGGAGAATCGCCCACATTTCTTTCAGATTGCCTGTTTTTTAAATGAGCTTTTGGTAGCTTTTAAATTTTTATGTATTTTTTTGAGACATAAAAATACATAAATTTTTATGTATTTTTTTGAGACATAAAAATACATAAATTTTTATGTATTTTTTCTAGTCACTCTGTCGCCTGACTAGAGTGCAGTGGTGCTATTATAGCTCACCGTAACCTTGAACTGCCGGGCTCAAGCAATCCTCTCACCTTCTTGCCTCAGCTTCCCAAGTAGCTAGGACTTCAGGCACCACACCCAGCTAATTTTTTAATTTTTGTGGACATGGAAGTCTCAACCGTGTTCACTAGGCTGGTCTTGAACTCGGTCTTAAGTGATTTCCCACCTCAGCCTCTCAGAGTGTGGGGGTTACAGGCACGAGCCTGTACCTGGCCCTGACTTATTTTGATTATCCCAGCAATGGGATCCCATTTTCACCATTTGAATTGAGTGGGTTATAGCTCAGTGTTTTCAGTTGTGGTAGAGAGCTGATCAATTTTTTTTTTTTTTTGAGACAGAGTCTCGCTCTGTCGCCCAGGCTAGAGTGTAGTGGTGTGATCTCGTCTCACTGTAAGCTCTGCCTCCTGGGTTCATGCCATTCCCCTGCCTCAGCCTCCCAAGTAGCTGGGACTACAGGCGCCCATCACCACACTCGGCTAATTTTTTGTATCTTTAGTGGAGACAGGGTTTCCCTGTGTTAGCCAGGATGGTCTTGATCTCCTGACCTCATGATCCGCCCACCTTGGCCTCCCAAAGTGCTGGGATTACAGGCTTGAGCCACCGCGCCCAACCAAGAGCTGGTCAATTTTTAAGGACAGTTAAAGGTGGGGTTTAGGCTGCCAATTATCAGAACAAATGTAAATCTTGAATGTTGACACGAACTTTTAGGAAACTTTTAGGAAACGCCTAAAATGTGGATTGCCTTTGTAGTTTCCTAAACTGCTATGACCAGTAGTGACCGTGTTAGATGCTTGGTGTCTCTTGAGGTCTGAAAGTAAACAGTGAATCAGGATAACCTATTTTGGAGGTGGTTTCTGACTGCACTAGGAGATATCTTTCTATATATATTAGAATGCTGAACTGGATGGAACGTTGGAAAATAAGTCATTCCCATCTACTTATTTCATAGTTGAGAAAACTTTAAGAAGGTTCCAATACTAAGAGGTTAAGTAACTCAACTAAGACCTGTAGCAGATAATTAGTAGCAGAATCAGCACATTTGATTGCTGTTCCCGTATACCTTTCCACATATAGATTATGGAGAAGTTTTCCAAATTCTCTTTTTAGGGATTGGTAAGGAACTGACATTACTGCCTACTAATTGGCAAGTACTTAACGAGCAAAATAAAACATTAATAGTGCAAGTACATGAGTAAATCTCTAAATTTTTTAAATAGTAAAAAGTTCCCTTTAACTTTCCTTTCTTCCTTCTTGCCTCTCCCTAACTCCTCAATTCTTCTCCCTTTTTATAGAAGGTGTCCCTGTTAGCAGTTTGCAGGGTATTCTTTGGGACTCATTTCTATTTTATTTTATTTATTTTATTTTATTTTATTATTATTATTTAAATTTTAGATGGACTGTCACTCTGTCACCCAGGCTGGAGTGCAATGGCACAATCTCACCTCACTGCAACCTCCGCCTCCCAGGTTCAAGTGATTCTCCTGCCTCCCAAGTAGCTGGGGCTGCAGGCATGTGCTACCACACCCGCCTAATTTTTGTATTTTTAGTAGAGATGAGGTTCACTGTGTTGGCCAGGCTGGTCTCCAACTCATGACCTCAGGCAATCCACCCCCCTTGGCCTCCCAAAGTGCTGGGATTACAGGTGTGAGCCACTGCATCTGGCCATGCCCAGCCCCTTCGGGACTCATTTCTGTGTATTTAAATATATATACATTGTTATGGTGCACGTTATCCTGCAATTTGCTTTTTTTTACTTGTTGATACGTGTAGATCTCGTTTTTAACTTTGTTTCATATTCCAGAGTATTATTACAATCATCCTTTTTTTAATTTTAGAGATGAGGTCTTACTCTGTCATCCAGGTTGGAGTGCAGTGGCACAATCATAGCTCACTGTAGCCTCAAACTCCTGGGATCAGTCTTTCCACATCAGCATCCCAAGTAGCCGGGACTATAGGGGTGCACCACTGCACCTCGCTTATTTTTTAATTTTTTGCAGTCAGGGTCTTGTCCTGTTGCCCAGGCTACTCTCCCACCTTATAATCACTCTTATTTAGTTTTAAATATTTTGCTTTTACGGTATTGTGATGTAACATTGTATCTTTGTCCACACATTACAGTATTGTGATGTAACATTGTATCTTTGTCTACACGTTTCTCTTGTGTGGATGCCTAAAGTAGAGTTGTTGGTTCAAAGGATATGCATATTTAAAAATGTAGTAGATATTGTCTAATTCCCCTCCAAAAAGGCTTTATCAGTCTATACACTTACCAAGAATATATGACAATATGAGTTTCTGAGTTCAGTTGTCACCAGTGGATATTGTACACCTTAACACTTCTTAACACAGCAACCCCAAGTCATTGATACTATCAGTCCCATAAAGAAAAATAACCGCTTGAGAAATAACTTTCTGGTTTGTAAGTTTCATAATCAGCCTTGTTAATACTCACGGCTCATGACTAGTAAGAAAGTTATAAGGAACACTATTTCCTAACCAATTTCTGTTCTTCTGAGATGAAAGCGGTAGATTACGCATACACCATAGAGAGAAAGGTATTTATGGAGGGAGGGAGGGAAAGAGACACCTAGACACACGACCTGTACACCACTAAAGTGCCAGGAACATCAGAATCGAGTTCAAGTCAGTAAAGCCACCTTGGGTGCCTGTTCTGTGGAAAGCTCTGCAGACAGCTCAGAAATGAGGATGACTGCTGAATGAATCGGGGAAGAACAGTGATTTTGCAAATTATTTTCTTGGTCATCAAAAATTTTATTGACACAACCTCTTTGTGTAGTGCCTTGAAAGTTGTCAGCCAGAACTGCATCATGTTTCAGTAACACACTTAAGCTTTCCATTTACTTCCTCAACTCTAGCTTACTGTCTCCGTAACTCTTATTTGACAGCATTGAAAAGGTTATGAAGATACTAAAATCCTTATTCTACATCACAGCACCTTGTCTCCACAGAAGCTCATTCAACAGAAATATCAAACCCTGAAACTAAATTGGCTTTTACTTGAAAATAAGTTCAGGCCAGGCCACGGCAGCTCACCCCTGTAATCCCAGCACCTTGGGAGGCCTAGGTGGGCAGATCACTTGAGGTCAGGAGTTCGAGACCAGCCTAGCCAACATGGTGAAACCCTGTCTCTACTGAAAATACAAAAATTAGCTGGACGTGGTGGTGTACGCCTGTAGTCCCAGCTACTCGGGAGGCCGAGGCAGGAAAATCGCTTGAACCCAGGAGGTGGAGGTTGCAGTGAGCCGAGATTGCGCCACTACACTCCAGCCTGGGCGACAGAGCGAGACTCTGTCTCAAAAAAAAAAAAAAAAAAGGAAAGAAAGAAGTAAGTCCAAAGCATGCCAAGATGAAAAAGTGCTTCTCTCATCCAAGTTTTCAGTGCTGAAAAAAAATGAAGAGGGTTTATGTAGGCACACCCACCTTTGAAATGACAGCCAGTGCATTTGTACTGCTGCTGTTAGTGCTTGTAATCTTGAAGGCAAAGTAGTTTTTGCTATTCAACTTTATATATATATACACACACACACATTTTTTTTCTTTTTTTTTTTGTTTTTAAGAGATAGGGTCTCACTCTGTCTCCCAGGCTGGAGTGCAGTGACACAATCATGGCTCTCTGCAGCCTTGACCTCACAGGCCCAGGTGATCCTCCCACCTCAGCCTCCCAAGTAGCTGGGACTACAGCTGGGACTACATTCCTGGCGAAGATTTTTATTGTAAATGAAAGACCAGATTTTTATAATAGGGACAGTCATCAGCTTAACTTTATTGCACATCTATCAAGCATAGTAGACTTCATTTTTTATAACACTTTTCTAGAAGACCTAAAATTGTTACCTTCTGAGGAAATTGTTAATTTTTTTTCTGTCCAGCAAAGTTACCTAAAATAAAGGGAGAGAGATTTCCATCTGTTTTCCAGACCCTTAAAGTAGTATTGGCACTGAGAATAAGCAGCTGAGAACTAATAAAGCGTGTGTATAATCACATTGTAGAATTAGAAAACCCAGTGATAAAATTGCATTTTCTAGCAGCTTATCTAAATTTATGTATATATTTTTTCCTATTATCAAAGTTGTTGCAAGAAAGATGTTTTATCAGTTGTAGAAAGTGTTTGGGGTTCATATATTCTCAAGAATCTAGTTTTTGCATTACATTTTTGTTGCATTAGGATATTAAGTCTCTAGGTTCTTTTTTTTTCTTCTCGAGACAAGAGTCTTGCTCTGTCGCCCAGGCTGGAGTGCAGTGGCACGATCTCGGCTCACTGCAACCTCCACTTCTGAGTTCAAGCGATTCTCCTGCCCTCAGCCTCCCAAGTAGCTGGGATTGTAGGTGCCCGCCACCACGCCTGGCTAATTTTTATATTTTTAGTAGAGACAGGGTCTCTATCTCCTGACCTCAGGTGATCTATTTGAAGTGGTTTTCATTGTGTTGTAATTGAAGAGCTTTGGCAACCCTCAAAATGCTGATTGAACACCTTGTCCTTTCTTGCAAATTTCATTCCTTACATGTAAGAGAGAGGTTTGTAACTACTTATGCATGGGTTTACTGCAGGTTGTACTCTACTCAAAAAAAAAGTCAAGAAACTCTTTTGAATAATTAGAGTCCCTAATGCCAGACATTTCTGATTTCTTTCTTTTTTTTTTTTTTTTTTTTGAGACCGAGTTTCACTCTTGTTGCCCAGGCTGGAGTGAAATGGCACGATCTTGGCTCACTGCAACTTCTGCCTCCCAGGTTCAAGCAATTCTCCTGCCTCAGCCTCCCGAGTAGCTGGGATTACAGGCGCCTGCCACCACGCCCGGGTAATTTTTGTATTTTGAGGAGACACGGGGTTTCACCATGTTGGCCAGACTAGTCTATAACTCTTGACCTCAGGTGATCCACCCACCTCGGCCTCCCAAAGTACTGGGATTACAGGCGTGAGCCACCACGCTTGGCCTCTGATTTCTTCAATAGTGTTTAAAAAATAATGGGTTTTTTTCATTGTCCTAAACCATCTAAAGTACTCATAGAATATTAAATATGTAACATCCTAAGATATTTGTAGCTATGTCTACCTATCTGTGTGTTTTGACTTGGGATAAGTATTAACATTGGTTTCTGTGCATTTCAGATGACCACCTAAGAAAGGAGGAACAGAAAAGTACTAACATTGAAGATCTTCATGTTTCTCAGGCAGTCAACAGATAATGCTTTGTTTGGGGTATCTTTTGTCTTAAAATTGTATTATTAATTAAATAACTTATTTATTGTCCCAATGTTACCAAAATGCACCACTAATGTTTGTAGAAATTGGAGTTTCTACAAAACACCCCTCATGTTTAACTACATTTGTGAATAAAAGCTAACTCTTGTCATCTAGCTTATTGGATTTGACTTGAAAAAAAAAGTATTGTTTTTACGAAGTATTTTTTGTTTTTTTGAGATGGAGTCTCGCTCTGTCACCCAGACTGGAGTGCAGTGGCACGATCTCGGCTCACTGCAATCTCTGCCTCCCGGATTCAAGTGATTCTCCTGCCTCAGCCTCCCAAGTAGCTGGGAAAACAGGCCTGTGCCACCACACCGGAGTAGTTTTTGTATTTTTAGTAGAGATGGGGTTTCACCATGCTGGCCAGGCTGGTCTTGAACTCCTGACCTCAGGTGATCTGTGTGCCCCAGCCTCCCAAAGCGCTGGGATTACAGGTGTGAGCCACTGAGCCCAGCCATTTAGGAAGTATTATAAAGGCCCTTAAAGTTTGTAAGGAAATGAAAGGGCTTTGTATTACCTTTTCAATAGGCAACAATGTACTTTTTCTTTCCTTAGACTTTGGCTTACTGGAAGATTTAATTAAAAGGTAGAGGAGAAGTAAATTTGCTGTAATAATTTTGCTGTAAATAAAACAAAGAGTTTATTTTATTAGATAAAGAATGTGAAGTAAGCATGAAGAGACAGGCTTTGGGAGAAATACCAGAAAGGGATTTTTCAAAGATGGCATTGTTTAATCTCCGTGTGGCCCTCGGTTGTGCAATCACAGATGAGCCAGAAGAGGGCCAGCCCCCTACTTGTTTGGGCTCCGAAACTCTTACCAAACATCAATTTTTATTCTTGGGATAGAAAAATAGTATGTGCTATCTCTAATACGCTACTTCGATATTTATTAAAGAAGTATTTTTAATGTAGTGTCCACAGGCTCATTTCATTGAAAACAACTGACTATGATGATAGACAGCTCCTGATTGGCAAAAGTTCGATGGTATATTCAGAATTAAATTTTGCCTGCACACCTAAACACTGACAACATTTAGCTTAAAGGTTTTCCATGGAGAAGAGTGGTAAGAGCTGTAGTTAGCAAAATTGGCATCCTCTTTAGGGTGTCAATTCTGTGCTGCTTTGCAAATTGTTGAAACTTTTGATTTTCTGTTTGGCAATGCTAGTCAGTGTTCACTTCTTACAGATTAGCCAAGAATTTTTATCTAAATGCAGAAACTTATTAATGAAATCCATTTAAACTATACTTACACAACATTTTGGGAGGCCCTGCTGGTAAAATTATATATGGATGCAGAAGTATTGCAAGAGTCCATTTTCCATTTTTAAATCTGCAATATCTGATTACATTGATGAATTCCGTTGTATTGTATGTGTGAATATAAATATCTGAATTCTCCCGGGGGACTTGGTTTTCGTCCAAGGATGTTGGCAGTGGACACTTAGTTTACCTCAGGAATTGCAATCATGTAAGACTATATTCGGAAAAAATGCTGGAGTATATAATTTTGGATACTGATATAAAATCATCAAGATGGAAGTTAAGCAGAATTGTCACGTGTAGTCCATAGCGCTTTTATATGCATTATTCTGTAATTTGTTTGTACTGCGGCAACTTTTTATACTTTCAATGTATCATTTAATAAAAAAAATAAGCAAGTCACTTTGGTGCAAAGGGTGTTCATATCACTGTTCTCTCATCAAAAGCCACACATCAAAAACAGAAGAATGATTGGAGATGGCTGCCATGCCTTCCGTCGGGATCTTCAGAAGCTTCGCTGTTGAGGGGTGGAGGCGGGGGTACTTTCCTGCCGTCTGCACATGTTTATAGGAAGGAAGGAAAAGCACAGAGGACAAGCCAACCCTTCTCATAAATGTGTTATATTTAAGTACCTTACTCGTGGGTTTCTTGGAATTGTCGGGAGAACTTATCTTCTAGAGATGCTCCAGAAGTTTTAGGAGAAAACTTGGATTTACACAAAAACAGGATGGGAATGGGAACTGAAGAGGGATTTAGGAAATGTACAACTTGGGTGATCTAAAACCTCATAGCAGGAGCAGAGGTGGCTTTTGAAGAAGATAAATTTAAGCTTAGTGTATATGCTTGCACAGAACAAACTAATAGCCTTATAATGATGTGCAAGAACACATTTGTGTATCACTCACATACCTTTATGTTGATGTAAAATTTGATGTGTTCTTTTAAAGCCAAGTGTACATGAAAGATGAACATTTGTGAGAATATGCCTTTAAAGGCATTTGGGACAATGCTTCCCGGCCACTTGGTACTTGATTTTTTGGTAACAACCACGATTCGAGGATTGTGTGGTGTTCAGGAATCTTATTAAAATAAAAGTGAAATAAAACTGCTGGCCAGGCTTGGTGACTCAGGCCTGTAATCCCAGCACTTTGGGAGGCCGAAGCGGGTGGATCACCTGAGGTCAGGAGTTTGAGACCAGCCTGACCAATATGATGAAACCCCATCTCTACTAAAAATTAAAAAATTAGGCGCGGTGGCATGCGCCTGTAATCCCAGTTACTCAGGAGGCTGAGACAGGAGAATCACTTGAACTGTGGAGGTGGGGGTTGCAGTGAGCTAAGATCGAGCCATCGCACTCCAGCCTGGGCAACGAGTGAAATTCCGTCTCAAAAAATAAAAAATAAAAAAAAAAAAGCTACCTTTAGGCTGGGCATGGTGGCTCACGCCTGTAATCCCGGCACTTTGGGAGGCCAAGGCGGGCGTATCACCTGAGGTCAGGAGTTCGAGAGCAGCCTGGCAAACATCGCAAAACCCTATTTCTACAAAAAATACAAAATTAGCCAGGCGTGGTGGCATGTGCCTGTAATCCCAGCTACTGGGGAGGCTGAGGCAGGAGAATCGCTTGAACCCAGGAGGCGGAGGTTGCAGTGCGCTGAGATCACGCCATTGCACTCCAGCCTGGGCGACAGAGTGAGACTATTCTCTGGAAAAAAAAAACAAAACAAAACTACTTTTATAAAAGTAGACTCGTTTTTTAGAGCAGTTTTAGGTTCATGGCTAAATGGACTGGAAGCACAGAGCTCCTGACTGCCCCCTGCACCCATGCATGTCTAGCTTCTCCCACTGTCAAGATCCGGCATCGAGTGGCACATGTATTCCAATGGGTGGATCTATTTTGACACATTATTATCACAAAAAGTCCATAGTTACATTAGGGTTCACTCTTGGTATTGTACAGATGCTCTTTGACTCATGGGATTACATCTCAAAACTATCACAAGTTGAAAATAAGTCAAAATGCATTTATTTATTTATTGGATAGGGTCTCACTCTAGCACCCAGGCTGCAGTGCAGTTGTGCGATCTGGGCTCACTGCAACCTCCGCCTCCAAGGCTCAAGTGGTCCTTTGCCTCAGTCTCCTGAATAGCTGGGACTATAGGCACATGCCACCACACCTGGTGAATTTTTGTATTTTTTGTAGAGACAGGATCTCACTATGTTGCCCAGGCTGGTCTCGAACTCCTGAATCCAAGTGATCTGCCCATCTTAGCCTCACAAAGTACTGGGATTACAGATGTGAGCCACCATGCCCAGCCCAAAATGTATTTAATACACCTCACCTACCGAGCATCTTAGCTTAGCCTAGCCTACTTAACATGTTCAGGTCACTTAGATTAGCCTACCATTGGGCAAAATTATCAAACACAAATCCTATTTTATAATAAAGTGTTGACCATCTCATGTAATTTATTGAATACTGTATTGAAAGTGAAAAAACATGGTTTTGTCGGTATTCAAAGTACGGTTTCACTGAATGCACCATTTTCCCACCTTCATAAAGTTGAAAAATCGTTAAGTTTAACCATTATAAGTTGGGGACTGCCTGCACATTCCATGGTTTTGGACAGATGTCTAGTGACATGTATTCACCATTTTAGTATCATGCAGAGGAGTGTCACTGCCCTAGAAAATCTTCTCTACTCCACCTATTCCTGTCTCTTCCAGAATGTTGTATAGTTGGAATCGTACAGTACGTGGCCTTTTCAGATTAGCATCTTTCATTTAGTAACAAGCATTTAAGTTTTCTTCCTGCCTTTTTTTTTTTTTAGACAGAGTCTCGCTCTGTCACCCAGGCTGGAGTGCAGTGGTACGATCTCGGCTCACAGCAAACTCCATCTCCCTGATTCAAGCGATTCTCCTGCTTCAGCCTCCTGAGTAGCTCAGATTACAGGTGTCCACCATCACACCTGGTTAATTTTTGTATTTTTAGCAGAGACAGGGTTTCACCATGTTGGCCAGGCTGAACTCGAACTCCTGACCTCAGCTGATCCATCTGCCTTGACCTCCCAAAGTGCTGGGATTACAGGCATGAGCCACAATGCCCAGCTGTAATTTTCCTTCGTCTTTTCATGCCTTGATAGCTCATTTGTTTTTAGCACTGAATAATATTCCATTGTTATGTATCCATTCACCTACTGAGGGACATCTTGGCTGCTTCCAAGTTTTGGCGATAGTGAGTAAAGCTGTTATAAACTTCATGTGCGTGCAGGGTTTTGTATGGACAGAAGTTTTCAACTCTTTTGGGCAAATCCTAAGAAGAATTTTCTGGATTATATGGTAAGAGCGTGTTTGTTTTTGTTTCTGTTTGTTTGTTTGTTTTTGTTTTTTTATTGAGACGGAGTTTCACTTTTGTCGCCCAGGCTAGAGTGCAATGGCATGATCTTGGCTCACTGCAACCTCTGCCTCTCAGGTTCAAGCGATTCTCCCACCTCAGCCTCCTGAGTAGCTGGGATTACAGGCGCCCGCCACCATGCCTGGCTAATTTTTGTGCTTTTAGTACAGATGGGGTTTCACCATGTTGGCCAGGCTGGTCTCGAACTCCTGACCTCAGGAGATCCACCTGCCTCAGCCTCCCAAAGTGCTGGGATTACAGGCGTGAGCAACCGTGCCCTGTGTGTTTCATTTTTAAAAAACTGTAGAACTACTTTTATTGAGAGTTTTAGGACCCTTCCTGATAGACATAGAGAATCTATCAGGAATGTCATGAACCAAATCGTGACATCAGAATTGGAAACTGATGATGAAGGAAAGAGCATTGCAGGTTACTATGCAATGCAGTCTAGTATCGGGAGAAGTGTGAGGTCCATCATGGGGGCCACCATGAGTGAAACAAAAGTGCTTTTGTGCAAGAGTTGGAGCATGGCCCTGCTTGTGGTCAGGAACGATGTTCCTTTATTCACAGATCTTGGGCCAGATCTACCTGACTCTATATGAGTCAAGTAGATCAAGGCTGATAACACTTTAAAATTATTAAATCTTCTTTTTTTTTTTTTTGAGATGGAGCCTCTCTCTCTAGCCTAGGCTAGAGTGCAATGGTGTGATCTTGGCTCACTGCAACCTCCACCTCCCAGGTTCAAGGGATTCTCCTGTCTCAGCCTCCCAAGTAGCTGGGACTACAGGCGTGCACAACCACACCCGACTAGTTTTTGTATTTTTAGTAGTGATAGGGTTTTACCATGTTGGCCAGGCTGGTCTCGAACTCCTGACCTCAAGTGTTCCCTCCACCTTGGCCTCCCAAAGTGCTGGGATTACAGGTGTGAGCCACTGTGCCCGGCCAAAAAATATTAAATCTTGAGGCACATGCAGGAGTAAGCCATGCTCAGACCCAATCTTCGATGTTACTAAAAATTGGAGGGGATCACACTTCATGGTTTTGTTTTGTTTTGTTTTTTTGAGACAGGGTCTTGCTCTGTTGCCCAGGCTGGAGTGCACTGGTACGATCACAGTTCACTGCAGCCTCAAACTCTGGGGCTCAAACAATCCTCCTACTTCACTCTCTAGTTGGGACTACAGGCACACACTGCTGTGCTCGACTAATTATTATTATTATTATTATTATTATTATTATTATTATTATTATTATTTTGTAGAGACAGGGATCTTGCTATGTTACCTAGGCTGTTCTTGAACTCCTGGGCTCAAGCGATCCTTCCGCTGCAGCCTCTCAAAGTGCTAGGATTACAGGCATGCCCAGCCACTTTGGGGCTTTTTTAAGCCAACAGCAAAAAAAGACTATAAGAGAGAAATTTCCCCTTGGCTGTCTTGTTTCATGGATTCGTGGAAACTCCCATTAAACAGCCGGTCACAGAAAAAGATATGCCAAGGAAAATTACTTGACAGCACTCAGTCAAAGTGACATTTTAAAAAGAGACTATTGCCTCCTCCATCTTAAAAGAACTGACCTTTTGAGCCATGAGAAATGAAACAGAGGCATCTGATCGAATGATAACAATGCACTTCTGAAGATTCAAACATCGGAACTTCATGCATTGGACACATATCTATTGAATGACTCTTAAGTGAACATACTGTCCCTGCCTGCTTCCAGAGGGTACTAGAGAGGTCGGAGATGGTTCATAAAGGCCTTCACATGTGCTGTCATATTTAACAATCAGAAAGGTACTTGAGGCAAAGAATCTGATCATCTTTGTTTTTCCTTGAGAAAATGCGCTCAGAGAGGTTTACTGACAATCCCAAAGGTGCTTGGTTGGTGCTTAAGAGATCTGGGTTTAAAACCTCAGACTGCTGTCTACTATGGCCTGTGTCAGAAAGACTGGGGTTGGAATTCCTGTTCCACCACTGCTGTGTTATTTAACCCCTCCAAACCTAGATTCTCAACAATAAAATGGGGGTAGGGAGGGAATTAAAGTATGTACCTTATTTTTTAGAGACAACATCTTGCTCTGTCGCCCAGGCTAGAGTGCAGTGGTGCAATCATAGTTCACTGTAGTCTCAACCTTCCAAGCTCAAGAGATCCTCCTACCTCAGCCTCCCTAGTAGCTGGAACTTCAGGCTACACTACGCCCAGCTGCTATTTATTATTTATTTATTTATTGAGATTGCATCTCACCATGTTGCCCAGGCTGGCTACTTAAAAAAAATTTTTTTTTTCAAGACAGGGTCTCACTCTGCCACCCAGGCTGGAGTACAGTGACAGAGTCTCAGCTCACTGCAACCTCTGCCTCCCAGGCTCAAGTGATCTTCCCACCTCAGCCTCCCAAGGAGCTGGGATTACAGGTACCCACCACCACACATGGCTAACTTTTTATTTTTTGTAGAGACAGGGTCTTGCTATGTTGCCCAGGCTGGTCTCAAACTCCTGAGCTCAAGCAATCCTCCTGCTTTGGCCTCCCAAAGTGCTAGGATTACAGTTGTGAGCCACCATGCCTGGCCTTGGCCACTTTAGTTTTGCTTTTTTTTTTTTTTTTTGAGTTGGAGTCTTGCTCTGTCATCCAGGCTCCCAGGCTGGAGTGCAGTGACACAATCTCAGCTCACTGCAACCTCTGCCTCCTGGGTTCAAGCAATTATCCTGCCTCAGCCTCCCAAGTAGCTGGGACCACAGGTGTGCACCACCATGCCCAGCTAATTTTTATATTTTTAGTAGAAATGGGGGTTTCACCATGTTGGCTAGGCTGGTCTTGAACTTCTGACTTCAAGTGATCCGCCTACTTTGGCCTCCCAAAGTGCTGGGATTACAGGCAAGAGCCACCGTGCCCGGCTGCCTACTTTAATTTTTAATAAAGGGTTGTTATATAAGGGGTAGGTGAGAGAATGAAGTAAAATTGAGTGTTACAGTCTCCAGTTGTTAATCACATTATAATTATTCTCTTTTAAAAGTTACCAACAAGTTATTTAAAGAATCGAATGGAACCCTTTGGAAATACAGTGTTCATGCCTCTAGTATTAATGCCAGTTTTTACTTCGAGGCCAGCAAGCTAGATTCCGATGGCCTTCCCTTTCCAGGATGGGAAGCGGATGATTGACTTCAATTTTCCCCCTTCCGTTACTTCTCTGCTCCACATCATTTCTGTGCTGATGCAGGGACGATTTCCACTCCTTTTACAGCGTAGATGTTAAAAGCCTGTGCGGAGCAGCTCATTCATCATTTTCCGCAGAGCTTTACCCCTCACTTCCCCAGCCAGCTAAATGCAGGCTGTTCTTGACTCTCTGATCTAGGCCCATTGCAGGGTGAGGGCCAGGCTCAGGAGTTTCCAGGGTGAAAACCAGGTAAGCTTGATGTTGGAAGGATGAAGAAGGACCCAAAAGGGTCTGAGATGCAGAGCTCTCCAGATGGGCCTGGGAGCCTGCAGGGGAAGAGGCCTCTCTTTATATCCCGGAGGCCTGGTGCAACTCTAGTTGGTTTCATGTTTGTTGCGAGTAACAGCAGCTCACATGAAGCGGTGCACCATGTTCATTTTACATGGATCATCTCAAGGACTGCTTACAAAAAGGCCAGGAAGTAGCTGATGTTCTTCCCATCTTACAGGTAGGGAAATTGAGGCATGGAGAGGCAAAGTTACTTGCCCATGGTCATATAGGTAGAAAGCAGCACTGGCAGATTCAAAGCCAGACATCTACTCTCAGATACACGCCCTGGGCCTCAAGGCCAGTTTGCCTGGGCATTTCCCTTTAATGTCTCCTCTCTGGAAGTGAATGGTGTCATCAGAAAGGTTCCAGTGCCAGCACCAATCAATGACTGTCCCAGTGAGAGCTTGGTCAAATCCCTTTACCCCTGCAGGGACTCAATTTTCTCACCTGCAAAATGGGGGTATTAATAAAGCCACCCCCCGCACCCCCGGCCCCCAGCCCCTCCACCTGGTTGCAAGAGGAGTGGTTGTAGACTAAGGGCCTGCGTCAAGTACAGAACCCAGGAGGGGTCTGCCCAACTTTAACCCTCTCTCCAAATCCTCTAGCCTGAAGCAGCAGAAACCCACGTGGGACTGGGGGCTGCCCCCTTCCGGGCCTTCCCCAAGCAGAGGGGTCCCCATCTAGCCCCGCGGGGCAACGGCGGCCGGTGGCTGCGTGAAGGGCCCCCTCCCCCGACGCCGGGGAGCAGGAAGGCCACTCGGCACCATATTTAGTCAGGGGGAGCCGGCAGCCCAGAGCTGGTATGCGGCGCTGGGAATTCCTGCAGGAAGGAGTCCGCGCCTGCCCTTTTTGGGTTGTCTCCCGCCCGCCGCTCCCGCCGCTCCCGGGGAGGGGGACCGGCCCGGCCCGGCCCGGCCCGGGAACCTCGGAGGAGCTGGTGCCGCGCGGGGAGCGGAGCGCCCGGGCTGCCCGCGGGTCCCCGGCCTGGCGCGGGGCCAGCCCACCGCCTCGACTTCCTTTTATGGCCTGTGTGTGCGTGCGTGGACAGGAGCGGGGAGGGAGGGACGGGGAGAAGACGGAGAGCCTGGGGAAGAGAGAGAGAGAAAGCGCAGAGATAGGAGTGAGACACGCGGGAGAGATGGAGAGCAAGAGACACAGAGACCAGAGACAAAGTGAGACAGGAGGGAGAGACAGATACATCGACAGATCTAGAGAAGCGAGAGGGACAGAGACAAAAGATAGAGCGAGAGACAGCAATGATCAGAGTGACAGACATGCAGAGACAGTGGCAGAGACAGAGCGAGAGAGCCTGTGATGGAGAGAGACAGGGAATGCAATTTTAGGCGAGGAATCCTTGGGGAAGGGAAGTTGTTGAAGGGAACTCGCAGACTCTGGGGGCACACCCACTTTCTCCTTGGATCTTGACACTTGCATCTTGTAAATAACGTAATTATCACCGCCACCGCCTTCCCCCATTTTGTAGCTATGGACACCAAGTCTCAGAGAAGTGAAGTGACTTGCCCAAGGTCACGCAGCTGGCGAGTGGCGCACAGGGGAGGGGGACAGCTGAAATAATCACAGTGGGCTTATTTTTAATTTTTATTTGTATTTTGGTCGTGGTGATGTGGGTGGAGGTGGAGATGGCAAGTTGGGAAAAGTAAAAACTTCCCCTTCCTGCACGGTTCCCAGCAAGGGTGGGGGCCTCCTGTCTTGCACTTTGCAAAGTTCAAGAAATCCCCTTTCCCTACCCTTCACGCTGCACAGCCGGCCCTCTTTCCAGACAGTGCGATGCCAATAAAATGGGAAGTGGGGTGGGAGATGTCAAGTCAGATCCACCACAGCCCCGACACGGGGAGGAAGAGGTTAAAGCCTTTGCGGCCGGAACCGACTCAGGGAAGACGTTCTCAAGCATCCCGCACAGACACTGCCTGCTCGACCCCCTTTCTCTAGGGATCCGGAGCGTCTGCGACCGCCTGGGGCCGGGGCTGAGACTCCCGTCCCTGTGCGCACCTGTTCCGTGCGCCCTTGTGCGGTGCGCACCTGTTCCGTGCACCCTTGTCCCGAGCGCCCCAGCTCCTTGCGCTCCCGCCGGGGGTGCGCCCTGCAGGGGGCGCGGCGAGGGGGCCGCGAGGGACCCTCCCCAACTCCACCCCTTCGGCCTCCTCCCCTTTCCCAGCCGCGGGCAGCTCCGGGTCTATAAAGAGAGGCGTCCGAGGACGCGCAGGGAGATTTGGACGCTCCGGCCTGGGAGGTGCGTCAGATCCGAGCTCGCCATCCAGTTTCCTCTCCACTAGTCCCCCCAGTTGGAGATCTGTAAGTAGTAGTTGTCATTCTGGGGGCAGATTGCAGGGCAGGGGGGTGTTAAAAGTCCTATAGGGTATTCTATAGGGGCTGGGGTGCACTTAGGGGTCCCTGTTGTCAACCTCGTAAGGGCCATGGTGGGGGCAGAGTTGTGATTTGGATCTCTCTCTGCCTTATCGTCTTAGATTATCCTAGACTTTCCCCAAACAGCATTTCTTAAGATTGCCAGTGAGAAGTACCATTTTGGGGGTGCTTATTAACGATATCAATGCCTGGACCCAACTCCATTTCCCAACTCTAGAATCCCCAGAAAAACTGCCTTAAAAAAAAAAAAATTAGTCCCGAGTGATTCTTGTTAAGAGGCTAATCCAGGAGATATGCTCCCTTGGAAATCTCAGAGGTCCGGTGCAGACAATCAAGGCATCTCACTTTTATTCTAGGCACCAAAAAATTTACAGCTGAACTTCACTGAAAAGTCACTTGCTATCACACAGAAGGGCAAAGTGAGGCTCCTTGTGGATTTGACCGTATTGCACAGTTGTGTTGATAATGCATTAAATCAGTTAAAAACACATGGGCATAGGCTTAGCAGAAAGGAGTGTTGTTGTTTTTTTTTTTTAATCAGTTTAGGGGAGGTTCTTCTATGTTGAGAACCCCTGGGAGATAAGGCTGGTTGTGATCTAGTTTGTTACAGCCCACTTTTTCCTCTTCTCCAAATTAAAAAAAAAAAAAACAACTCACCCAGGTTGACCCCAAAGGGCCCCCAGATACCCAGGTGGGCTCCAAAGTCTCCATTTGCTTCCACGATCTGCAGGTGCGTTAGGTAAGATTACACTAGAATTTCCCGCAGAGCCACCTGTGTCAATGCCACTCTCGTGCCCAACCAAATGGGTAAAACGAGAGAAAGTGTGGCTACTGCCTGTTGTAAGTTTTCTTCCAGCACAGGGTCTGGTAGGGATTTTGCCACTTGAGAAAAGGTACCATCCAAAGCCATGCTTGTCAAGAAGTAAAAGAAAATATTTAGAAACCCAAGGTGGGAGTGTTTAGTTGCAGTATGAAGAACTGAGAGATTAAATGGTGAACTGTCCGTCCGGGGTTTGGCAAAAAGAATGCAGGCTATTAATAAACTGCTTTGCATAGTTTTTTGTTTCTTTGATTTACTCAACGATACTATTTTAGAATTGTTCAGAGACGGAACTTGACGCTGAACTGAAAGTCATTAGGTGGCAGGGTGTGAAATAAGATAGAGAATTTTGTTTGAAGGAAATTGATGTTTTCCCTTTGAGATAGCTACCGTTGATGGAACACTTCAGTGCCACATGCTGTTGCAACATTTAACTTAATTTATCTCATTTAATCTTTGCAACAACTTCATAAGAAAGGCTTTATGATGCCTGTTTAGTATACAAGGCAGCTGAGGCTCAGAGAGGTAAAGTGTCACACAGCCAGCAAGTGGTAGAACCCATTCCCGGGTCAGTTTGAGTCCAAGTTCATACCCTTGACCCCACTATCTTTCTTCTTTACCATGGACACAAACTTGTTGGGGTCAGGTTTCTGGTGGGACTAAATGCTTCCAACAAAGTAAATGTTTATCACCGTGTCCTTTGAAGAAAACATAAACTGACTTTTTGCACATTTAAAATAAAAGGCACTGTTTGTCCCCTGATTGAGGGGGTGACCTAGCTGAAACCAGTGACCCTAGGTGGGCTGCCATGCCGAGAGTCCAGAACGTGAACTAGCTGGGTCTTTTCCGAGAAGCCGCCAGGCTTGCCTTGTAAACACCATGTTTTTTTATTATCATGTCCGAAATAGATGTGTTATTCCGTACAAGGTATCTGTTATGGATTTGTTATCATTACTTTTCCGTGGGAGGGCAGAGATTGAGGCAAACATGCCCATTTATGGAAGCGTTTTCCATGAGGCCATCCCCGGCCCCCTCGTCAGTTACCCAGCCTTGCACCGCAGCCCGGTTGGTCCTGGCCCTGGGGATTTGTCTACCATGTCCCTCACCCATTGAAGAACTAGTGGAGAAACCCTAAGGAGAAGAGATTTGGGAGGAAAGTGGGATTCTTTTTTCCTACCCCCTCTTATTCAGAGGTTTGATTTTTTTGGGTGGGGGGTGGGAGGGAATTGTCTCCTTTCCACAGGTCTTGAATCCAAACAGGTGGGTCTTCCACGTTAGGCACAAGCGTGTAATTCCAAGAGCAGATATATAGTAGATTTTTCTTGAAAACCAAGTTCAATATTCAATCCAGTAGAATCATAGAAGGCCATAAGCAAATTTAAAAATCATCTCCCGCACCTCCCCAAACCTCACTTTCTCATCCGGGAAATGGGGCTAATGAGAATAACTCATGTTTTTTGGGCACTTTTGCCTGGCGAGATGCTAAACGCTTTGTGGACATTATCTTACGTCTTCATAACAACCCTTTAGAGTAGATACTGTTATTCTAACTGGCTTTATTTTACACATATGGAGTCTGAATAACTTGCTTAAGATAGCTCAGCTAACCAGTAAGGAAAAGAAGATTCTACAAATCTAGGTCTTTCTAACTCCAGAGTTTCACAGATTACCCTCATGGGAGGATTTGATGAGCTAATGTGTATGAAGGGTTTAGCACAGTGCCTGGCCCCTGGTAAGCTTCAGTGATGGTTATTTATAGCAAACACAACCAGAGAGTTCAAGATGTTTGCTCAGTATGGCATGGCTCATCTTTGGCAGAACCGGGAAGCCTAAACTATGTGGCCGTTAAAGGAGAAGCTTCTCTTAATTTTCTTCCCTTTGATCTCATAAACCTCGTTTCTATTTGGGCTGAAAGTGGTGATTAGAATCTTTAATATATTAAGCTACCATTCCTTACCTGGATTGGGAATGTTACAAATTCCAATTACATTTGTTTAGGGTTTTGTTTGTTTGTTTTTGAGACAGAGTCTTGCTCTGTCGCCCAGGCTGGAGTGCAGTGGTGCGATCTTGGCTCACTGCAACCTCCGCCTCCTAGGTTCAGGCACTTCTCCAGCCTCAGCCTCCTGAGTAGAGAGTAGCTGGGTTTATAGGCGCCCACCACCATGCCTGGCTAATTTTTTGTATTTTTAGTAGAGATGGGGTTTCACCATATTGGCCAGGCTGGTCTCGAACCGCTGACCTCAAGTGATTCGCCTGGCTTGGTCTCCCAAAGTGCTCAGATTACAGGCGTGAGCCACCGCGCCTGGCTTATTTAGGGTCTTGATGGCATACTTTAAGGGATGGCCTTTTTGCTCTCTAGGTCTTCTCCTTCCACTCCTGACCTTTCAACTTTTAACCCTGGCCACACAATGGAGGAAAGACTGAATTTAGAGAAAGGCAGGCAAGAATTTGAAAGAAACCTTGTATGTGATCCAAGGACAGAGGAAGAAGCTGCTCACAGTGGCTGAAAGGGGAGGTCGGACATCTGTGACTTGTATCAGGGTTTCAGGGGCTAAGGAGGAACAACCTCATCAAAGTTGCTAGGAAAGGGCCATAGAGGCCAGGTATGGCAGGTCATACCTGTAATCCCAGCAATTTGGGAGGCTGAGGTGGGGGGATGGCTTGAAGTCAGGAGTTTGAGACCAGAGTGGGCAACATAGCGAGGCACCATCTCTACAAAAAAATTTTTAAAATGAGCTGGGCATGGTGGCATGCATCTGTAGTCCTAGTTATTCAGGAGGTTGAGTGAGGCAGGAGGATTGCTTGAGCCCAGGAGTTCAAGGCTGCCGTGGGCCCTGATTGCATCACTGTTCTCTAGCCTGGGCAACAGAGTGAGACTCTGTCTCAAAAAAAAGGTGAGGGGCATAGAACTTTACTGTACCAGGCTGAAAAATACAAGGCCCAGAGAGGGCAAGTGACTTGCCTAGCATCACCCAGCGAGTTTTGGGCAGAGCTGAGACTTGTAACTCGAAGACCTAAGGATCTTCCACAGGCTAATGAATAGCTTGTTTGTGCTCAAGGGATGAAGCAGTGAGTTGTTAGGACAGGACTGTGAATAGGGCTGACATATTCAGATGTGTCAAACATCGCTAATGCCATCTCTGAGTAAATTAGGCTTCAAACAGATCGGGATTCTAATCCTGGTTCCCCAACTTTTGCAAGGGAGGGCCTTGCATTTACCTTTCAAGACCCCGATAGGCTTAGCAGGAAAATGGGAATAATAGATAATGCCACTCTTTCATCCTTGGACTTTTTGTCTAATTATATGAATTTATCTGTAGGATAAATTCCCAGAAATGCGCTTGCTGAGTTAAAGGGCATGCGTATCTAAAATTAATAGATATTGCAAATGACTGGCTAAAGACATTGCAGACCAGGTGCAGTGGCTCACGCCTGTAATCCCAGCACTTTGGGAGGCCGCAGCAGGTGGGTCACCTGAGGTCAGGAGTTCAAGACCAGCCTGGCCAACATGGTCTCTGCTAAACCCTATCTCTACTAAAAATACAAAAATTATCTGGGCATGGTCGTGGGCACCTGTAATCCCAGCTACTCGGGAGGCTGAGGCACGAGAATCGCTTGAGCCTCAGAGGCAGAGGTTGCATTGAGCCGAGATCACACCACTGCACTCCAGCCTGGGCAAAGAGTGAGACTCGGTCTCAAAAAAAAAAAAAAAAAGGCATTGCAAATTGCAACTTGTTGCAGTCACATATGACAGCAGTCCCCATCCTCTTGGCACCAGAGACTGGTTTCGTGGAAGACAATATTTTCCAGGGTGGAGTGGGGAGGATGGTTTTGGGATGAAACTGTCCCACCTCATCATCAGGCATTGGTTAGATTCTCATAAGGAACGTACAACCTAGATCCCTTGCAGGTGGAGTTGGCAATAGGGTTTGTGCTTCTGTGAAAATCTAATGCTGCTTATCTGACAGGAGGCGGAGCTTAGGCAGTGATGGTCACTCACCCACCGTCCCCTCCTGCTATGTGGCCTGGTTCCTAACAGGCCATTGACTGATACTGCAGCACAAGGGTTGGGGACCCCTGACATAGGAGACTATACATTTATTTTAAGCTGTGGTATGCCAGAATTGTAAAATATAAAACACAGTGGGGCTTTTAGGGCCAGAAATAATCAGTTCTTGCTCGCTTCCAGAAGCATCCTTCACAGGGGCTACCGTAACTCTTGCCAACCAAGTTCTCTTGGTTGGGAGGAAAAAATAGTGTTATGCATTAAGAGAACTTCTTTCTGGAGTTACTTGAAACCATTGGTATTCAGATGATTAGGCAGATGTCACAAGGCAATAAGAATGTGACAGGTTCACCATTCACTTTTTTTCCTGTAAAAGTGAAGTAGGGCTTTCTTGGGAACAAGCCCTTGGGAGGTGGGGGGATGTGAATGGTGAGGGGAGGGTAGAAATGGTGGAGTAGGGTCAGGGGCAAGAAAGGGACTTTCTGCTAAGAATTAATCGGGTGTCCATTTACTCTTAGCAGAAAACTAGGATTAGATTCTGGATTGTACTCCTGACTCCAAATTTTACAAGTGGGGGTCTTGCATTTACCTTCCAGGACCTCGGTCATCTTAGCAGGAAAATAGCAATAGCAGGTGATGCCACCTTACAGAGCGCTTAGGAGACAGTGAGATGGTCTATATAGGAAGCTGTCTGGCCTGATACCTGATGAATACAAGGGGCCCAATAAATACAGTGGCTGTTATGAATAATAGATCTAAACTGCCTTTTTGGTACTACTGGGGACCTGCCAAGCAGGTGCATTTAGAGTGCCCAGTGCCTCTCCCTGCGACACATTTGATGCCTCCCTACACCTGGACCAGGCCTTGAGCGAGGATTTCCACTGCAGAGGTCCTTCCAGCTGGCGAATTGTGTTGCAGATCAGGTTCAGAGAACTTCTGTTTTGCCTGTGTGGCATTCATTCATTCGTTTATTTGAAATAGAGATGGGATCTCACTGTGCTGCCCAGGCTAGTCTAGAGCTCCTAATTCAAGCAATCCTCTTGGCTTGGCCTCCCATAGTTCTTGGATTACAGGTGTGAACCACTGTATCCAGCCCTTTATGACATTTAGAATATGAGCAATTTTTCTTTTTTCTTTTTTTTCTTTTTGAGATGGAGTCTCACTCTGTCACCCAGGCTAGAGTGCAGTGGCATGATCTTGGCTCACTGCAACCTCTACCTCCCAGGCTCAAGCGATCTTCCCACCTCAGCCTCCCGAGTAGCTGGGACTACCGGCATGTGCTGCCATGCCTGGCTAATTTTTGTATTTTCTGTAGAGATGGGGTTTCACCATGTTGCGCAGGCTGGTGTCAAACTCCTAAGCTCAAGCGAACTGCCTGCCTTGGCCTCCCAGTGTTGGGATTACAGACGTGAGCCACAGTGCTGAACCCTGCATGGTATTTAGAATATAAGCAATACTCTAACATCTGGTCTGGGTCACTCTGTATTACTTACCT
This sequence comes from Homo sapiens, assembly GCF_000001405.40. Taxonomy (NCBI): domain Eukaryota; kingdom Metazoa; phylum Chordata; class Mammalia; order Primates; family Hominidae; genus Homo; species Homo sapiens. Next base: position 15,850,547 of record NC_000016.10, on the reverse strand, counting down.
GATCTCCAAAAACATTTGGGTTTTTGTCTCTGGTCCAAAATCTTTAGCCAATGGCTTGGCAGTAAAATCCTGAGGGAAGCTGTTGACCAGGTGAGGTGATGTGCAAATCCTATACTCTCTGGGCTCTGGGATATTTAATTTACTATTTATTTATTTATTTTCAAGACAGAGTTTTGCTCTTGTCGCCCAGGCTGGAGTGCAGTGATGGGATCTCAGCTCACTGCACCCTCCACCTCCTGGGTTCAAGCGATTCTCCTTCCTCAGCCTCCTGAGTAGCTGGTATTACAGGCGCCCACCACCACACCTGGCTATTTTTTGTATTTTTAGTAGAGACGGGGTTTCACCATGTTGGCCAGGCTGGTCTTGAACTACTGACCTCAGGTTATCCGCCTGCCTCGGCCTCCCGAAGTACTGGGATTACAGGCATCAGCCACCATGCCCGGCCTAATTTACTTTTTATTAATGCTGAAGCAGAGAGGGCAAGATCTTTTGCCCCTGAGTTCTTCTGGGAAAAATGAAACTGATGGTAAAACAAACTAAAGCAACCTGACATTCTCAGTTGGTCCAGTTTCAGCCCTTTGACTGGGAGTCACAGACGGGTCCCATAAAATGGTAGAGCTGGGCCAGCCTACCATTGATTTATTTTCCCTAAATGAAAAATACAAGGCCCAGAGAGGGCAAGTGACTTGTCCAGAGTCACCCAGCAGGTTTGGGGCAAAGCTGAGACTCGTTACTTGACATCCTAAGGTCTTCCAGAGGCTAATGATTAGCTTGTTTGTGCTCAAAAAATGAAGCAGCCTGGGCGCGGTGGCTCATGCTTGTAATCCTAGCACTTTGGGAGGCTGAGGCAGGCAGATCGCTTGAGCTCAGGAGTTTGAGACCAGCCTGGGCCACAAAGTGAGACCCCTGTCTCTACAAAAAAATGCAAGAATTAAAAAATTAGCTGGGTGTTCTGGTGCGTGCCTGTGATCCCAGCTACTTGGGAGGCTGAGGTGGGAGAATGGCTTGAGCCTGGGAGGCAGAGTTTGCAGAAAGCAGAGATCGCGCCACTTCACTCTAGCCTGGGCAACAGAGCCAGACCCTGTCTCAAAAAAAAAGAATGAAGCAGTTGTTGGTCAGGACAGGACTGTAAACAAGGCTGACACACTCAGATGTGTCAAACATCGCTAATGCCAAAGGTGACAGAGTCATTTGTTTTCATCCAAACATTCGAGAAAGTTGGACGAGGTGACTCACGCCTGTCATCCTAGAGCTTTGGGAAGCCAAGGCAGGAGGATCATTTGAGATCAGGAGTTTGAGACCAGCCTAGGCAAAATAGCAAGACCCCCATCTCTACAAAAAATAAGCCGGGCATAGTGGCCCACACCTGAGGTGGGAGGATCCCTTGAGCCCATGAGTTTGAGCCTGCAGTAAGCTATGATTGCACCACTGCACTCCACCCTGGGCATATAGTGAGACCCTTCCCCCAACCAAAAACATTGAGAGCAGCTCTTGATGAGTGAACTGTACTTCGTGGTCAGCAGTTCTGGGTAGTAATTTCAGAGATGTCCTTTCAGCCCTTGGAGCTGATGCAGGACCTTAAACATGAGCGATGGTGGAGGAGGGAGGGTTGGGAAGGTGCATCAAGGTAGATGAAGAGTGTCCCTGGGGTTGGGCCAACTGGCGGTCCGTCTCTGGTCCAGTGTGTTCACCTTGCCCCCGTCTGATCTTCTGCAGTTGGTATTCCGAGTTGAGTTTGACTAAGTGAGAGCTGCTCTCAGCTTTAACTGCCTTTCCCAAGACAGCCCTTGTTTTTATTCTAAAGCTGTGGTTCTCAACTGGAAGCAGTTTTGCCACCCCAGGGGACATCTAGCAGTGTCTGGAGACATTTTTGATTGTCATGAGTGGAGGAAGGGGTGCTACTGGCATCAGGTGGGCAGAGACCAGGGATGCTGCGGAACATCCCACAATGCACGGAAGAGCTCCCCTCACGACACAGAATGACGCAGCCCAAGAGTCACAGTGCAGAGTTTGTGGCCAGCTGCGGTGGCTCACGCCTGTAATCCCAGCACTTTGGGGGGCCAAGGTGGGAGGATTGCTTGAGGCCTGGAGTTCAAGACCAGCCTGGCCAATATGGTGAAACCTCATCTCTACTAAAAATACAAAAATTAGCCAGGCATGGTAGCGCATGCCTGTAGTCCCAGCTACTTGGGAGGCTGAGGCACGAGAATCACTTGAACCCAGAAACGTGGAGGTTGCAGTGAGCTGAGATTGCGTCACTGCACTCCAGCCTGGGTAACAGAGCGAGACTCTGTGTCAAAAAAAAAAAAAAAAAAAAAAGACTTAGCAACTATTATTACTAGTATTAGTATTATTAATTTGTCAGGCTCACTGAATTTTCTCAAAAATTTGGCAAATTTTTAGGAAAACATTCTCAAAACATTTGGCAAATCTGTGGCTAAATGTTGTTTTGGGGACCCAAGGCTCGTAGGAGCAAAACAGCTTTCAGGTTTCCGGATCTGCCAGAGACTCAAGTGTCCTGTTGTGTGTTTTGTGTCTCAATGAGGGAAAGGGGAATATGTAGCACCTTCCAGATGGATTTGACCTTGACTGCGCCACTGTTTGAAGAGCTTCTCAACCTCCGCAGCTCCACCCCAGCCCAGATATTTCAGGGAATTAGGGTTCCAAGGGGCATGCTATGGAAAACACCATTCTAGCATGAGTCGAAGCTTCTCATCCCCCATCTTGCTGTCTTTTGACCAAAGCAGATTTTGCACGTCGTAACTGTCAGAGACATCAAAGCCAGAGGGAATCCAGCCTGCTCCAAGCTCTCCTTTTTTGTACAGAGACTGAATCTTTGCACTTGATCTTGTTTGTGTTTTTAAGTCTGAGGTTAGACAGGGTCCCAGGCAATGGAGGCGTGCGTGTCCTTTTATTTTTCTGTTGTAGCTTTTGCTATTTTTTCTGACTTTTAAGGCAACTCATCCACATGGCAATTAGGAAGAGCCCACTTAGGGCTGGGCACAGCGGCTCATGCCTGTAATCCCAGCACTTTGGGAGACCGAGGCAGGCAGATCACTTGAGGTCAGGAGTTCAAGACCTCAGCCTGGACAACATGGTGAAACCCCGTCTCTACAAAGAATACAGGAAAATAGCTGGGCATGGTGGCAGGTGCCTGTGGTCCCAACTATTTGGGAGGCTGGGGTGGGAGGATCACTTGAGCCTGGGAGGCGGAGGTTGCCGTGAGCTGAGGTCATGCCACTGCACTCCAGCCTGGGCGACAGAGCAAGACCCTGTCTCAGAAAAAAAAAAAAAAAAAAAAGAAGTCCACTTTACTTGTCATAGTGCTTAGAACAAATGAAACACTCTCCTAGCCCTCTTGGGATGTAATTGGCTACCATCTGCACAAACTCTTCATTATTGCACAAGAATATCAATATACTTAATGCTACTGAACTGTGTTTAAGTGGCCGAGGTGGTGAATGTTAGCTGTATTTTACCACAATTAAAGATAAGAGGGAAGGAAAATGAAGTGTACTTTACAACCAAAAAAGTACGCTTGATGTGCAAAAAAGTGTGCAGCTTGATGAATTTTCAAGAGGATATATTTTTTATAGATGGGGGTCTCACTCTGTCACCCAGGCTGCAGTGCAGTGGCATGATCATGGCTCACTGCATCCCCGACCTCCTGAGCTTAAGTGATCCTCCCACCTCAGCCTCCTGAGTAGCTGGGACTGCAGGTGCACACTATCACAACCGGTTAATTTTTGTATGTTTGCTAGAGACAAGGTTTCACCATGTTGACCAGGCCGGTCTCAGCCTCCTGGGCTCAGGTTATCCTCCTACCTCAGTCTTCCACACAGGTAATTAAAAAACATTTTTTCTTAGAGATGGGTCTTGCTGTGTTGGCCAGGCTGGTCTCAAACTCCTGGGCTCAAGTGGTCCTCCCATCTTGGCTTCTCAAAGTGCTGGGATTACAGGCGTGAGCCATGTCACCTGGCCCAACAGTTTGATGAATTTTCAGAAAGTGAACACTCATAGGGCTGGCATTCAGATGAAGATCTAGAGGTCAACCCTCACAAGCCCCCCTCACGTTCTGTCCTTGCAATCATTGCACACCGGAGACTCATTCATTCCTTATCTGAGTTCTATCACCGTAGATTAATTCTGCCTGGTTTTGGACCTCAGTTCAATAGTCACAGAACCTGTGCTTTTTGTGACCACCTTCTTTTGCTCAAGGATGTGTTGTGAGATGTCCTTTTTTGTGGTGTGGAGCTGTAGTTTACTTCACCTGATTCGAGTCCTATTTTGGGTGTTTGTAATGTGTCAGGTACTGTGCCAGGTGCCTTACAGGATTGATTCCTTTATGGGCATCTGACAAGCCCACCCACCTTATGTGAAAGGCAGAACCAAATAGACTCCAGAATGAGACCCAGGTTTGGGTCCCAGCTCTGACACTTCTTTTTTTTTGAGATGGAGGCTGACTCTGTCGCCAAGGCTGGAGTGTAGTGGTATGATGTCGGCTTACGGCAACCTCCACCTCCCGGGTTCAAGTGATTCTCCTGACTCAGCCTCCCAAGTAGCTGGGGCTACAGGCACGTACCACCAATCCTGGCTAATTTTTAATTTTTGTATTTTTAGTAGAGACAGGGTTTCACAATGTTGGCCAAGCTGGTCTCAAACTCCTGACCTCAAGTTATCCTCCCACCTCAGCCTCCCAAAGTTCTGGGATTATAGGCATGAGCCATCACACTCGGCCTACTTGTGATCAATCTTACTTCATCTTCACACCCTCCCATTTCTCTTACGCATCCTCCAGTTTCTCTCTCTCTCTCTCCTTCTTTTTCTCTCTCTCTCTCTCACACACACACACACGATCTGCTGCGACACCTTAAGAAACAAGAGATTATCAGGGAATGATTGAATATTTTGCCGCATTTCCTATTTTGCTGCCTGTTTAAACTAACCTTGGTTATACTATTAAAAGAAGACGCGTCGTATCAAGCCACTTCTGTGACTATGGCTGTCCAGAAATAAACATAATTAAAACATCCAACAGTAGTAAATGCTATTGGTTAGGAATGAGCGAAGTGGCTTAGAGTCACCGGAAGTGAGAAAGGGTATAGAAACAGAAGGTACTTGGTGTAGATCAGGGGTGTCCTATCTTTTGGCTTCCCTGGGCCACCCCAGAAAAAGAAGAATTGTCTTGGGCCACACGTAAAATACACTAGCACTAATGATAGCTGATGAGCTAAAAAAAAAAAAAAAAATCGCGAAAAAATATCATACTGTTTTAAGAAAGTTTATGAATTTGTATCGGGCCACATTCAAAGCCGTCCTGGGCCCCATGCAGCCTGTGGGCTGCAGGTTAGACAAGCTTGGTGTAGAGAGTTTCATCTAAACTTCATGGCAGCTCTGCAGGGCACCCGTTAGGTCCCCAGTATTAATATACAGTAAATCTGAGTCTCAGATCTACGTAAGTCACCCAGAAGCACGCATTCTGCAGTGGCAGAGTCACGTTTGAATTAGCATCTGATTGCAAAGTCTGGGTGTCTTTACATGACTACAGGTTATCTTACCTCTCAAGAGGAGGCAACCAATCAAATGTTGCCAGCACCAATGAACTTGTACTTTATTTAGGCTCAGAAAGATCTTTTAGGCTAATGAAAATGCCCTATATTTATGAAATGTTCTCGTTCTCTGTGGCTTTCTCTTTTTTGAGACAGGGTCTCACCCTGACACCCAGGCTGGAGTGCAGTGATGTAATCATAGCTCACTGCAGCCTCAAACTCCTGGGCTCAAGCAACCCTCCTGCCTCAGCCTCCTAGTAGCTGGGACTACAAGCACGCATCATCATGCCTGGCTGATATTTTTTTTAAGGGATGGGGTCTTGCTATAATGCCCAGTCTGGTCTCGAACTCCTGGGCTCAAGCAATCCTCCTGCCTTGGCCTCCCAAAATATGGGATTATACATGTGGGCTACTGCCAGCCTCTTTTCTTTCAATTATTTTTTAATCTATGGGTTCCCCTCCTTTTTGTTTGTATTTTATTTGTTAAAGAAAGAGAGTACTGGCCGAGCGTGGTGGCTCACACCTGTAATGTCAGCACTTTGAGAGGCCAAGGCCGGTAGATCACCTGAGGTCAGGAGTTTGAGACCAGCCTGGACAATATGGTGAAACCCCGTCTCTACTAAAAATACAAAAATCAGCCAGGCGTGGTGGCATGCACCTGTAATCCTAGCTCCTCGGGAGGCTGAGGCAGGAGAATCACTTGAACCTAGGAGGTGGAGGTTGCAGTGAGCCAAGATCCCGCCATTGCACTCTAGCTGGGCGACAGAGCATAGTCTCTCACCTTTGGGAGTTTACTGCATTGTTTAGCATGCTCTCCTGTGCCTTGCATTTTCCATAGACAGGCGTCAGATCTGGAGGCTTCATCACCTTCATCCCCCATCTCCATCCCCTTTTCTTTTGAGCAAGAATATGTCATTAGTGGTAACGGCACTTCCTGTAGTGGCCCATCTGCAGGCATGTAATGTTTATAATGTCTAGTCAGCTCTCTCTTTTTGTGATGTTAGGGTTAATTAGTAGATTTAGGTGATGGCAGGCGGACCCATCCCTTAAAAATTCCACAAGAGCTCTTCATCTGATATAGTCAGTCTTGTGGTGGGGACCCTAGACCAGCATCATCATCATCACCCGGAAGCTGGTTAGGAATGCATATTCTTGGGCCCCATCCCAGTCCTACTGACTCAGAAGCTAATGCACCAGGAAATGTGAGCCCCATTGGCCTAATGGTTTTAGCAATTACTGGTAGAACTTGCCAACTTGCCAAGACCCTTTCTTTCTTCCTTTCTTTCTTTTTTTTTTTTTGAGACGGAGTCTCACTCTGTCGTCCAGGCTGGAGTGCAGCGGCGCATCTCCACTCACCCACTCACTGCAAGCTCCGCCTCCCAGGTTCACACCATTCTCCTGCCTCAGCCTCCAGAGTAGCTGGGACTACACGCGGCCGCCACCACGCCCGGCTAATTTTTTTTTTTTTTTTTAGTAGAGACAGGGTTTTGCCGTGTTAGCCAGGATGGTCTCGATCTCTTGACTTCGTGATCTGCCCGCCTCAGCCTCCCAAAGTGCTGGGATTACAGGTGTGAGCCACTGTGCCCGGCCTCTTCCTTCCTTTCTTCTTTCTTTCCTTCCTTCCTTCCTTGGCAAAGTCTTGCTCTGTTGTCCAGGCTGGAGTACAGTGGCATGATCTCGGCTCATTGCAACCTCCACCTTTGGAGTTCAAGTAATTCTCCTGCCTCAGCCTCCTGAGTAGCTGGAATTACAGGCACATGCCACTATGCCCAGCTAATTTTTGTATTTTTTAGTAGAGACAGGGTTTTCCCATGTTGACCAGGCTGGCCTCAAACTCTTGACCTCAGGTGGTCCGCCCACCTGGGCCTCTCAAAGTGCTGGGATTACAGGTGTGAACCACCGTGCCCAGCTTGAGACCCACTATTAGCTTTATAAACAGTTACATCCTAGTTTTATTGTTCTGCATGTATTCGCTGGAATTCTTCCATGTAGAAGGGAGTCTTTTTTAAGATAGGGTAACTGGAGTCAGGGGCAGGACACTGTTGGTCTTACTATGAGCTAAGCCAAATTCAATAACAATTTTAAAATGCAGAAAGGAGGATTGTTAAACTTAGGACAATACATGTTGTCTACCAGATCTTTATTTCTCTTTCTGGATATCTGAAGTGATTATTCAGATTTAGATGGGATTTCCTCATTTCTCTGCCCTTTTTTTTTTTTTTTTTTTTTTTTTTTTGGATGAAGTCTTGCTCTGTTGCCTGGGCCAGAGTGCAGTGGCACCATCTCAGCTCACTGCAACCTCTGCTTCCTGGGTTCAAGCAATTCTCGTGCCTCAGCCTCCCGAGTAGCTAGGATTACAGGTGCCTGCCACCAAGCCCAGCTAATATTTTTGTGTTTTTAGTAGAGATCAGGTTTCGCCACGTTGGCCAGCTGGTCTTGAACTCCGGACCTCAAGCAATCCTCCTACCTCAGCCCCAACAAAGTGCTAGGATTACAGGTGTGAGCCACCGCACCTAGCCGCCACTTTTTTTTCATCAGCTACGATATCAGGTCTCCCAGCAGAAAATCTCTGAGCAAATCAACTTCCAGGTTTGTTTTTCGTTTTTTTGAGACTGAGTTTCGCTCTTACTGCCCAGGCTGGAGTGCGGTGAGAGGCACAATCTTGGCTCACTGCAACCTCCACCTCCCGGGTTCAAGTGATTCTCCTGCCTCAGCCTCCCGAGTAGCTGGGATTGTAGGCGCATGCTACCACGCCCAGCAACTTTTCGTATTTTTAGTAGAGATGGGGTTTCACATGTTGGCCAGGCTGGTCTCGAACTCCTGACCTCAGGTGTTCCACCGGCCTTGGCCTCCCAAAGTGCTGGGATTACAGGCATGAGCCACTGCACCCAGCAGCAGGTTCTTAAAATTAGTTTTTTAATTATTATTTTCAGCCCTGAAAGGAAAAAAATAGGTATTGGAATATCTGCCACTCCCATTCTGTCTTGCAAAATCTGCATCACCCAAAAGGTTGGGTTTCAGGAGTTGGCTGCTCAGCTCTAGGGATCCAGGAGTGGGACATGGGTCTTTATTCTGTCGCTGTGGGATTTGGGGCCCAAGCGTGGGGATTATCAGTGAATTCAAAGGAGTTGTGAATTCCCTGCTGAAGGAGGGATGTCAACCACGCATAGATCCTGGTGGCCATATGTCCTCACTTAGCCAGCAACTCAGTTCTTTGGAGCCCAGCAGCAAGAGGTAGAAGGGGCTGTAAGCCAGTGTTTCCAGGACAGCCCCTGCAGCTATGGTCAGAGAGTCAGGAACGGGGGGCCGGACAGGCCTATAGAGTGTGTTGTCTCTGTCCCTCTCCTCATAAACACATCTGGATAACGACAGATAACGTGAATCTACCATCCATGGGCTTCCCATGTAGACAGGACATTTAATGACCTAATCTTCCATCAAGAGAGACTTCCCCTTCTTAATTTAGTTACCCTAAGGAACAATTTGTATAGAAAACGCAGAATCAAGATTTTCACATTTCCACCCCACTTTCTGTACCCATTTAAAAAATAATGCATTTGGGGCTGGGCACAGTGGCTCATGCCTGTAATCCCTTCACTTTGAGAGCCCGAGGCTGGTGGATCACTTGAGGTCAGGAGTTTGAGACCAGCCTGGCCAACTTGGCGAAGCCCCGTCTCTACTAAAAATACAAAAATTAGCTGGGTGTGATGGTGCACGCCTGTAATCCTAGTTACTCGGGAAGCTAAGGCAGGAGAATCGCTTGAACCCAGAGGCAGAGGTTGCAGTGAGCCAAGATTGCACCACTGCCCTCCAGCATAGACAACAGAGCAAGACTCCATCTCAAACAACAACAACAAAAATCATTTTGAACAAATGCATTTAAATATATTTGTCTTTCCACCCTTTTTGGGGTGTTAGGGTGATGGACATATAATTATTTTTCTTATTGATATTCACACTGTCTCGTATTTGACCAGATAGAACCCTAGTATAATATTTTGGTATGCAGTTTTCTAGACTTTTAGAAATGTACACACAAACATATAAAATGAAGACAAATACTTTATGACAAATATTTTAATCAGCTTTATTGAGGTATAATCTATATAAAGTAAAACTCACCGATTTAAAACAAATTCAAGTTTTTTTAAGTGTACAGCTTGAGTGAGTTTTTTCAACTTAAAAAATTTATTTCTTAATTGACAAATAATCATACATGTTCATGGGGTCCATAATGATTTTTTTAGTTGTTTGGTTGGATGGTTTTGAGACAGGGTCTCGCTCTGTGGCCCAGGCTGGAGTGCAGTGGCATGATTACAACTCACTGCAGCCTTGACCTCCTGGGCTCTAGCCATCTTCCCGTCTTAGCCTCCTGAGTAGCTGGAACCGTAGGCATGCACCACCGTGCCAGGCTAATTTTTAATTTTTTTACAGAGACAGGGGCTTCTTATGTTGCCCAGGTTGGTCTTGAACTCCTGGCCTCAAGGGATCCTCCTGTCTCAGCTTCCCACAGTGCTGGGATTACAGGTGTGAGCCACTGAGTCCAGCTCTTAGTAATGTTTTGATATTAATACATATAATGTGTGGGGAGATAAGATCAGGATAATTAGCATATCCATCATCTCAAGCATTTGCCATTACTTTTATTTTGCTACTTCCTATATAATGACATTTATCATCTCTTTGTGTTGGGAACATTCAATGTCCTTCTTCTAGCTCTTGGAAACGATGTAATATTTTATTGTTCACTTTACTCATCCTATAGTGGATAGAACATTCTTAATGAGTTTTGACAAATGTATACAGTCTTGTAAGCACCACCATGACCACAGGGAATACTTTTATCACCCCGAAAGGTGGTGCCTCTTACCTCTTATGTACCTCTTCTGTGCCTCTTACTAATCCATTCCTTTCCTTGCCACTGGCAACTCTTTTTTTTAATTTTTTTGAGACAGCGTCTCACTCTGTCACTCAGGCTGGAGTGCAATGGTGCAGTCTCGGCTCACTGCAGCCTCTGCCTCCCAGGTTCAAGTGATTCTCCTGCCTCAGCTTTTTGAGTAACTGGGATTACAGGTGTGCACCACCATGCCCGGCTAATTTTTGTATTTTTAGTAGAGATGGGGTTTTACCACATTGGGCAGGCTGGTTTCAAACTCCTGACCTCAAGTGATCCCCCCTGCCTTGGCCTCCCAAAGTGCTGGGATTACAGGTGTGAGCCACCGTGCATGGCCTCCTCTGGCAACTCTTGATTGCCTGTCACCATAGATATGCCTTTTCTATTTTGCCATTACTTTTTTTTTTTTTCGAGACAGAGTCTCGCTCTGTCGCCGAGGCTGGAGTGCAGTGGCGCGATCTCAGCTCACTGCAACCTCCGCCTCCTGGGTTCAAGCAATCCTCTTGCCTCAGCCTCCTGAGTAGCTGGGACTACAGGTGTGTGCCACCACACTCCATTAATATTTGTATTTTTAGTAGAGACAGGGGTCTCACCATGTTGCCCAGGCTGGTCTTGAACTCCTGACCTCAGGTGATCCACTCACCTCAGCCTCCCAAGGTGCTGAGATTACAGGCGTGAGCCACCGCGCCCGGCCGCCATTACCTTCTATCTCAATAACCACACTTACGTTTGCACCAGCCTAATAGTTTTTCGTATTGAAGGAGTAATAGAGCGTGTGGCCTTTCTGATTTGTTTCACTGAGCATGATGCTTTTGAGACTCATTTATTTTATTGCATAATTTCTTTCCTTTTACTGAGTTTCCAGTTATATACCTTGGGTTGTTTGTTTGTTTTTAAGGCAGAGTCTCACTCTGTCACCCAGGCTGGAGTGCAGTGGCTTGATCTTGGCTCACTGCAATCTTGACCTCCCAGGCTCAGGTGATTCTCCCACCTCAGCCTCCCAAGTAGCTGAGACTACAGGTGTGCGCTACCATGCCTGGCTAATTTTTTGTATTTTTTGTAGAGACAAGGTTTTGCCATGTTGCTTAGGCTGGTCTCCAACTCCTGGGCTCAAGGAATCTGGGTAATTCTATGTTTAATCGTATGAGGACTCTTATTTTGCAGCGCACAGTTAGACTTGACCATCTTCCCATATTAGCACGTGTACACTTACTTCCGGCTTCTTCTTCTTTTTTTTTTTTTTTTTTTGAGATGGAGTCTGGCTCTGTCACCCAGGCTGGAGTGCAGTGGCACTATCTTGGCTCACTGCAACCTCTGCCTCCTGGGTTTGAGCAATTCTGCCTGAGCCTCCCAAGTGGCTGGGATTACAGGTGCACACCATCACACCTGGCTAATTTTTGTATTTTCAGTAGAGACGGGGTTTCACCATGTTGGCCAGGCTGGTCTTGAACTCCTGGCCTCAAGTGATTTGCCCACCTCGGCCTCCCACAGTGTTGGGTTTACAGGTGTGAGCCACCTTGTCCAGCCCTACTTCCTGCCTCCTGAGCACTGGGTAGTATTTCACAGTGTGGAAATAGCATGGCTTATGTATCCAGCTGTATGTTGGTGGACATTTGGGTTGTCTGACTTTTGGTATTTTAGGCGATGACACACATCCCTTTCTGAAGGGCCTTTGGGTGGTCTCTGTTCTTTGACCACATACACAATACTGCAGGTCTTTGTACTTGGTGGGATGTCTCTGCAGACCGAGTTCCTAGACAGGGCAAGGTGAGTGGTTGGTCTGTCTTCCGGGCTTGGTTGTGGTCTGATTCTGACCCTGTTACCTTATTCCACAGGGGACCAACAAGGCACCATGGCGCAGAAGGGCCAACTCAGTGACGATGAGAAGTTCCTCTTTGTGGACAAAAACTTCATCAACAGCCCAGTGGCCCAGGCTGACTGGGCCGCCAAGAGACTCGTCTGGGTCCCCTCGGAGAAGCAGGGCTTCGAGGCAGCCAGCATTAAGGAGGAGAAGGGGGATGAGGTGGTTGTGGAGCTGGTGGAGAATGGCAAGAAGGTCACGGTTGGGAAAGATGACATCCAGAAGATGAACCCACCCAAGTTCTCCAAGGTGGAGGACATGGCGGAGCTGACGTGCCTCAACGAAGCCTCCGTGCTACACAACCTGAGGGAGCGGTACTTCTCAGGGCTAATATATGTGAGTATTGCAGGCAGCCAGGTACCTACTCCTGGCCTCATAAGGAAAGTAGGCATTAGAAATGTGTTGGGAGGGCTGGGCACAGTGGCTCATGCCTGTACTCCCAGCACTTTGGGAGGCCGAGGTGGGCAGATCACCTGAGGTCAGAAGTTCGAGACCACGCTGGCCAACATGATGAAATGCCGTCTCTACTAAAAATACAAAAAGTAGCCAAGGGTGGTGGTGCGCATCTGTAATCCCAGCTACTGGGGAGGCTGGGGCAGAGGAATTGCTTGAATCCAGGAGGTGGAGGTGCAGTGAGCCAAGACTGTACCACTGCACTCCAGCCTGGGTGACAGAATAAGACTCTGTCTCAAAAAAAAAAAAAAAGGAAATGGGAGGCTGAAGGTTTGATCGAGGGAGATTGCAAGATGAGGTGGAATCATTCCAAGGTGGGTTCACATCTCAGCCCTTGAAGAGGTTATTTCCTCTCTCGAAGCCTTGGTTTTCCTATCCGTAAAATGGGAATAATCACCCTCATTACAGACAGGAGGTGTGACAATCCCATGTCATCACATGTGCCAAGTGCCAAGACGTATGATAAACTCTCAACAGATTTCATTGGCATCGTTCTCTGTCCTTCCTTCCTCTTGAAAGTAAAGAAGAGCTCATAACCACTTTGGAAAGGCTGGTTTGTCTTGGCAGCCAGGTGGGTAGGAGACATGAGGATGTGGCTAGGTTTTAGGGAGGCCTTCCTTGTCACAGAGGGGAATGTTCAGGTTGGTCGTAGGACTATTTTAGGTAGACTTGCAGAACAGAGTGGACTAGAGATGGCACAATATGGTAGCCACTGGCCACTCGTGGCTAACTAAATTTAGATTTAAATTAATTAAAAGAAACATTAGACCAGGTTTGGCGACTCATGCCTGTAATCCCAGCACGCTGGGAGGCCAAGGCGGGTAGATCACTTGAGGTCAGGAGTTTGAGACCAGCCTGGCCAACGTGATGAAACCCTGTCTCTACTAAAAATGCCAAAATTAGCCAGGCATGGTAGTGCACATCTGTAATCCCAGCTACTTGAGAGGCTGAGGCAGGAGAATTGCTTGAACCCGGGAGGCAGAGGTTGCAGTGAGCCGAGATGGTGCCGTTGCACTCCAGCCTGGGCAATAAGAGCGAAACTCCATCTCAAAAAAAAAAAAAAAAAAAAAAGAAACATTAAAAAATTTATTAGCTGGGTGCGTGGGCTCACACCTGTAATCCCAGCACTTTGGGAGGCCAAGGTGGGTGGATCACCTGAGGTCAGGAGTTCTAGACAAGCCTGGCCAACATGGTAAAACCCCGTCTCTACTAAAAATACAAAAATTAGCTGGGCATGATGGTGTGCGCCTGTAATCCCAGCTACTTGGGAGGCCGAGGCAGGAGAATCGCTTGAACCTGGGAGATGGAGGTTGCAGTGAGCCAAAATCGCGTTATTGTACTCCAGCTTGGGCAATAAGAGCAAAACTTCATCTCTAAATAAATACATAAGTAAAAGACAATAAAAAATAACAAATTTATTTCTTTTGTTGTGTTGGCCCTAGGTCAAGTAGTCAATAGCCACCTGTGGCTAGTGGCTGGTGTACTGGGTAGCATAAGTGCAGAATGTTCCCATTATCATAGAAAGTTCTGTTGGACTGCTTGGACTAGATGATTGGGGCTTGGAGTGTGATGTTGTGGGGCACGGGTCGCCAGACTGATGTGCAGAGGTCACCCAACCCGGCCTATGTCTATGTCTTCTCTCTGAAAGGCCTTGCTCACCCTCGAGCAGGTTACCTCATGCCTCTGAAGCTTTGTTTCCTTTTCTGTAAAATGGATGCAAGAATAGTGCCAGCCTCTTGGGAGCCGGGCATAGTGGCTCATGCCTGTAATCCCAGCACTTTGAGAAACTGAGGCAGGTGGCTCACTTGAGCCCAGGAGTTTGAGACCAGCCTGGGCAACACAACGAGACCCCATCTCTGCAAAAATAAATTAGCCAGGTGCAGTGGTGCGTACTCATAATCCCAGCTACTCAGGGAGGCTGAGGCAGGAGGATCACTTGAGCCCAGGAGTTCAAGGCTGCAGTGAGCTATGATTGTGCCACTGCACTCTAGCCTGGGTGACAGAGCAAGACCTTGTCTGTTTCAAAAAAAAAAAAAAAAAAAAATAGTACCAGCTTCATGGAGTGGGTTACTCTAAATAGAAAGCACTTAATACACTTCCTGCTACATGTTAAGTGCAGGCACTGAAAATGTTAAGTGTTACTAGATTGGTTTTTGCTGTGGTCATGATCACTTTTGATTTTACTAGTAAGATGTTCTTCTTCCATCACTTGGCATCCTTGTGTCTCTTTGGTTCTGGTCTGTACATTTTGCCAAATGAAAATTACAAAAAGCCCCTTGTCATCTCTAAAAATGTCCTGCACATTTTTTTCCTAATTAGGAAACTAAGACACGTTCACTATGGAACACTTGGAGAGTTCAGAAAGCATAGTGAACACAAAACAGAAAAATTAGTCCTTAACCAGAGATGCGGTGCATTCTTTGTCTCTTTGTGAGCATGGTATCTGTTTACATATTTAAAAGCCTATTGGGCACACAGTTTAGTGACTTGCTCTTTTTTCCATTTGGAAATGCTCAGTGTTGACTTGTGTAATATATCTCAGGAAGCCCCAAAGATACCCCTTGTAAGGGGTAGTATAGAATCTGTCATGGGGATAGGCCATTTTTCCACTGTTCTTATAGATATTTCAGAAGGAGTTAGAGTGGCTTTTTAAAGAGCCAAATGGTAAGAGTGAGCAACTTAGCAACTCATAACTTTTTTTTTTTTTTTTGAGATGGGGGCTTACTCTGTCTTTGAGGCTGGAGTGCAGTGGTTCTATCGTAGCTCAGTACAGCTTCCAAGTCCTGGATTCAAACGATCCTCTCACCTCAGCCTCCTGAGTAGCTGTGGACCACAGGTGTGCACCACCACACCTGGCTAATTAAAAAAAAAAAAAAAAACTTCTGTAGAGACTGGGATCTCACTATATTGCCCAGGCTGGTCTCAAACTCCTGGCCTCAAGCCATCTCCTGCCTTGACTTTTCACGGCGCTGGGATTACGGGTGTGAGCCACTGTGCCTGGCCGTAACTATTAAATATGTCCTCCAATCCAAGTGCTGTACATTGACACATTGTATTTTATTTAACACAGCATCCCCTGAGTTAAAAATGTTTGCCCCTTTTAGGGAAGGAAGCTGAGGTGCAGTGTTGCAAAATGTATCTTTACTTTCTTAAGTAGGGGAAGTCTCTTGTCTGTGGCACTGTTTGTATGGAAAAATTATTGATCTGGGGCTGTTTGTATGGTGGACATTTTCTTTTTCTTTCTTTCTTCTTTTTTTTTTTTTTGAGATGGAATTTCACTTTTGTTGCTCAGGCTGGAGTGAAGTGGAGCGATCTTGGCTCATTGCAACCTCCACCTCCCGGGTTGAAGTGATTCTCCTGCTTCAGCCTCCCGAGTAGCTGGGATTGCAGGGATGTGCCACCATGCCTGGCTGATTTTTGTATTTTTAGTAGAGACGGGTTTCACCATGTTGGCTAGGCTGGTCTCCAACTCCTGACCTCAGGTGATCCACTTGCCTCGGCCTCCCAAAGTGCTAGGATCACAGGCCTGAACCACCACGCCCAGCCAGTATGTTGGATATTTCTAAAGAGGCCCGTCTGTAGGGAGCTAGAGGGAAAATTGGACTCTTTGGGGCCCAGGTCTTTCATCTAAGACGTATCATCACCATCTAGGGAGTTTCAGGACAGGCCTGTGTATTCATCTCACCTGCTGTCCTCAAATAGAAATCAGAAAAAAAAAGGGCATATGAAGGTCCTGAGACCCAAAATATCTTCTGACAGCAGATTAAAAATAAATGAATCAAAGCTTCAAATTCCTGCTATGCTTCTCTGGACAGATTAGATTAAAATCCTTTCAGCCTTGTGATGATGGTCCCGCTCTTCTCTTGTTCCTTTCTGGTCAGTTTAATTGCTTAATAGAAACCGTCGTCCATGACGGAGAAGATAAAGAAGGAAAGGGGTTGGGGTGGGGGAGCACAGTAACTTACTCTCCCAGCCCATAATAGCAGCATGCATGAGTCTTGTTAATAGGCGGGTAGTGAGGTGATACCAGGTCCGTGGTCTGGCATGCATGACTTTGCCCTCTGTGATGAAGATAAACTTTCTCCTCCGTTCTGCAAGGCTCGCCTCAAACGATGTGCCCTTGAGAAGGTTCTGGCAGACCTCTTGTGCTCTTGGATCTAGAAGAGTCTATAGAAGCCAGAGGAGCTTTCCTCCTAATCTTAGAGATGCAGGTTCTGGGCTCAGCAATGTCCAGCAGTCTACCTAAACTGCTGAAGACCGTTTGTGGCATACCTGGCGGGGAGCATGGCTTTGACGCCTGGTCCTAAGGGTCCCTTGGTCTTCTGAATGCTGTCTTTTGGCTGAGTTCGTCTGCCTCGAGTTAGTTAGTTCGTTCCTCCCTTCCTTCCTTCCTTCCTTCCTTCCTCCCTCCCTCCCTCCCTCTCTCTTTCTTCCTTTCTTTCTCTGTCTTTCTGTCTTCTTTTTTCTTTCTTCTTTTTTCTTTTTCTTTCTTTTGAGATGGGGTCTTACTCTGTTGCCCAGGCTGGAGTACAGTGGCATGATCTCAGCTCACTGCAACCTCTGCCTCCTGGAACTCAAGGGATCCTATCTCAGTCTCCTTAGTAGCTGGGACTACAGGCATGTAGCACGATGCCCAGCTAATTTTTTTGTGTTTTTGGTAGAGGTGGGGTCACACCGTATTGCCCAAACAGATCTCGAACTCCTGAGCTCAAGCAATCTTCACCACTTCGGCCTCCCAAAGTGTTAGGATTACAGGCATGATATTGTGCCACTGCACTCCAGCCTGGGTGACAGAGTGAGACTACATCTCAAAAAAAAAAAAAAAAAAAAAAAAAAAAAAAAAAAAAGATGAGGTTGCTGAAGCTCAGATGTGCTTAGTCCCACCACTGGAAGGTGGGCAGAGCTGGGATTCAGACAAGGTCTGTGTGAGTCCAGGGCCAGGGTGACTACCTATGATTAGTAGCAAAGGGCTCTTGGGGTAATAGGCTTAGAGCAGGAGGTGATGGTCGTGGGCTGGAGCAGGAGGGGACAGTGCCAGAGGCCTTGTTAGCTTTGAGGTAGACAAGCTTTAAGTGCAGAGCAAGAAGGAATTGAACCTTTTATTATGATTCCTTGAGCACCTAACTAGGTGCTAGACTAATGATTACAACCTGCTAACACAGAGGAGTGATTTTTGTTTTTAAATTGAGTTAACTTAATATATCAAAAAAAGAAATCTGTTTCTGGCATTGCTCGAAAAAGCAGAGGACCTGACACTGCAGAATGCAGAGTGCGAGTAGCAGTCCCTGTGAGATGGGCTTTTTGCTCTGCTTTTCCGCAGACCTCACCACTCCCTGTCGTCTCCCAGGCCATGGTAACCATTGACCGTGGCACCTCTTTTGTTCACTCACACACGCCCTGCTTCACTCATGCCTTACCTGCTTTGTCTCTGTAGACAGTGGGACCCTCCACCCTATACCAAACCTCTGGGGTTGGGAAAATCATGATCCAGAGCCAAGGTGGATGGGCCCCCCTGCTCATTGGAACTCCAAGCCCAAGTCCCTGAACCATGAACCCCAAAGGACATTTTTCCAGTTCTGGTTCTGCTTCTGGAATGCCCAGGGGGTCAGGAGAAGCCCTCCTTCCAAACTTTAGCAGGTGACAATTTTTCCGCCTTAGAGACCTGGCCCAGCAATCTTAGCCTACTCTGGAAGCAGTGTCCACCCGGGGACACAAGGAACAAGCAGATTGTGAACAGAGGCCTCCTGGGTGCCAGCCACTGCACTGGTCCCTAGAGGGTAGAAAGACACTGTAACTGGAAGCTGCCCTTTGTCAAGCCCCAAGCATTAGCCCTTCTGATCTTTTTTTTTTTTTAACATGGAGTCTCGCTCTGTCACGCAGGCTGGAGAGCAGTGGTGTGATCCTGGCTCACTGCAACCTCCATTTCCTGAGTTCAAGCGATTCTTGTGCCTCAGCCTCCCAGTAGCTGGGATTACAGGCACATGCCACCACGCCCAGCTAATTTTTGTATTTTTAGTAGAGAAGTGGTTTCACCATGTTGGCCAGGTTGGTCTTGAACTCCTGAACTCAGATGATCCTCCCACCTCCGCCTCCCAACGTGCTGGGATTACAGGCATGAGCCACTGCACCCAGCCTTCTGATCTTTCAAGTCATTATTGCTTCAAAGAACCTCCTCCAGTAATACAAGGATAATCTATGCAAAGACCTCAGGAGAATATTTAAAAATAAGTATGTATCACAAAAAGCAGCCCTCTTCCCTGGAGGCAAACATGATTCACAGGTTCATGTATGTACACACACACACACACACACACACACACACACACCCCAAACATAAGAAAAAGTCACTCCTTGTATGTTTTGCAGTATGATTTTTTTTCCACTTAACCCTACCTTATAGTTTTTTCTGTCTGTTCATAACTATCTAGTCAGACTTCAAATATGTTTTTGAATAGGTAAGACATGCAAATATGAAATAAAATAGTGTATAAGGGAATATAGAACTTCCCCCTTCGTTCCTATTTCTCGCCCTTCCAGTTCCCCTTCTTAGAGACACTGTGGTTGCTGGTTACATATGTAGCCCTCCAGTCATGTTATTTATTTATTTATATTATTTTTCGAGATGGAGTCTCACTCTCTCACCCAGACTGGAGTGAAGTGGCATGATCTTGGCTCACTGCAACAGCCCCCTCCCAGGTTCAAGCAATTCTCCTCCCTCAGCCTCCCAAGTAGCTGAGACTACAGGCGTGTACTACCACACCCAGCTGATTTTTGTATTTTTAGTAGAGAGGGGGTTTTGCCATGTTGGCCAGGCTGGTCTCGATCTCCTGACCTCAGGTGATCCACCTGCCTCGGCCTGCCAAGGTGCTGGGATTACAGGCTTAAGCCACTGTGCCCAGCCTATTGCTTTTTTTGTGATAAAGTCTCACTCTGTCACCCAGGCTGGAGTGCAATGGTGCGATCTCGGCTCCTGCAACCTATGCCTTCTGGATTCAAGCGATCATCCCGCCCCAGCCTCCTGAGTAGCTGGGATTACAGGTGTGCATCACCACACCCAGATAATTTTTGTATTTTTTGTAAAGATGGGTTTTTGCCATGTTAGCCAGGCTGGTCTTGAACTCCTGACCTCAAGTGATCCACCCACCTCAGCCTCCCAAAG
Organism: Homo sapiens; assembly: GCF_000001405.40. Classification (NCBI taxonomy): domain Eukaryota; kingdom Metazoa; phylum Chordata; class Mammalia; order Primates; family Hominidae; genus Homo; species Homo sapiens. The sequence goes on along the minus strand of NC_000016.10, from coordinate 15,830,631 downwards.
TGCTACAATTACAGGTGTGAGCTGCTCCATCCAGCCTCCAGTGATGTTTTATACACATGCAGCCACATAGAGAGCCCCTCCTGCACCCCTCCAAAATGGCAGCACAGGCCCCGGCTGTTGTGCGTCTCAATCTTTGCATCTAACTGTGTATTTTGGCCATTCATCCATGGTAGTAGAGAGAGGGCCACTGCACAGTCTTCTGCTATAGGGATGAACCATAATGATTAAGCCTGTCTGCTATTGACAGGTATTTAGGTTGTTTCTAGTCTTTTTGCTCTTAAAAGCAAGGCTGCAGCAAAAGCACGTGCTTGGTGGACCACGTCTGTCTCTAGGTTGGGTATTTAGAAAGCCGTGATATTGCACTGCAGCTTCATAAAGAAGCCGTGATTATCCATCACTTTACTGAGGAAGCTCAGGGGTAGGTCTGTATGCACAAGTCAGGCAGGTGATAAGGCAAAGCCAACACTCTGCCCAGGCCTGTGTGTCTTTTTTTTTTTGAGACCAAGTCTCGCTGTATCACCCAGGCTGGAGTGGAGTGGCACAATCTCAGCTCACTGCAACCTCTGCCACCTGAGTTCAAGCAGTTCTCCTGCCTCAGCTTCCCGAGTAGCTGGGATTACAGGCACGCGCCACCACACCTTGCTAATTTTTGTATTTTTAGTAGAGATGAGGTTTCACTGTGTTGGCCGGGCTGGTCTCGAACTCTTGACCTCAGGTGATCCACCCACCTTGGCCTCCCAAAGTGCCGGGATTACAGGTGTGAGCCACTGCGCCCGGCCATCCCTGTGTGTCTGAAAGCCAGTGTTCCTTCCACTTCCCTCCCTTCCCTCCCTGTTCCTCATTTCTGCTGCAGGCCCCGGGAGCACCCCCTGCTCAGGGCTCTGTGGCTGACCATATAAAGCGTCAGAGAAAAACTGGAGCTGCTTCCTAATACGGTCACAAGAGGGAAATCCTGGGCCTGCAGCTGGGACTTGCTGGTGGCACAGGGCCCATGAGATGCCGGCTGGGACACAGGAGGCTGGGATGTTGAAACCTCTGAATTTAACCAGCTGGAGAGGGGCTCGTGGGGCCAGAGAGGCAGAAACACAGCCAACTATGGTTGGGCTGGGTCGAGGTGAAGGAGAAGTGGCTGAATAATGTGGGAGGAAGAGCCCGATGCTGAAGCCCCACGACCCTGCCGTGAGATGTGCGGCTGCCTGCACCAGTCTTACCTTCACTCCATCGTCATACCCTGGCTTGCTTAGAAAGCTTTTACAGAACTCAGCAGAGATTCAGATCTACCTGGAAGTATGGATTAAGTGCTTGTTGTGTGCACGGCACTGGGAGAGATGTCCCAAACAAAGAGGATGGAAGTCATATTCCTCTTTCAGAAGCTAGTGATGGAGTTGAAAAGGCAGTGTGGTCCTTCCTTCTTTTTAAAAATTCATTTTATTCTTTTTTTTTTTTTCTTTGAGACAGTCTCACTTTGTCACCCAGGCTGGAGTGTGGTGGCATGATCTCGGCTCACATAACCTCTGCCTCCTTGGTTCAGGTGACTCTCCTGCCTCAGACTCCTGAGTAGCTGGGATTACAGGCATGCGCCACCACACCCAGCTAATTTTTGTATTTTTAGTAAAGACGGGGTTTTGCCATGTTAGCCAGGCTGTTCTCAAACTCCTGACCTCAAGTGATCTGACCTCCTCGATTTCCCAAAGTGCTGGCATTAAAGGTGTGAGCCACCATGCCCGGCCTCTTCCTTCTTTTTAAAAATTCCTTTTATTCTTTTCTTTTCTCTATCTCTCATCTCTCTTTCTTCCTTTCTTTCTTACTTTCCTTCCTTCCTTCCTTCTTTTTTTTTTTTTTTTAGAGTCTCACTCTGTTGCCCAGGCTGGAGTGCAGCACCATGATCTCAGCTCACTATAACCTCCACCTCCTGGGTTCAAGTGATTCTCCTACCTCGGCCTCCCGACTAGCTGGGATTACAGGCGCCTGCCATCATGCCTGGCTAATTTTTGTATTTTTAGTAGAGACGGGGTTTTGCCATGTTGGCCAGGCTGGTCTCGAACTCCTGACCTCAAGTGATCTGACCTCCTTGGCCACCCGAAGTGCTGGGATTACAGCTGACTGAGTGTCTACCCTGTCCCTGGCACTGTGCGGGGTGCAGGAGATACAGTAGTGTGTGGGTCACAGTCCAGGAGGTAACATTTAGGCAGAGCTCTAAAAGAGGAGAGGGAACCAGCTGTGGGAAGATGAGGGGAAAAGTGTTCCAAGTGGAGAGAACAGCATATTGAAGGCTCTAAGGTGGCAAGACTTCCCTCTCGTGAAATGAAGGGAGCATAGTAAGAGTCACTAAATAACATTGATTGAGCACCTACTACATACCAGCCGCCATGCTAAATGCTTTTCGAGCATTATCTCGCAGCACATCTATGAAGGGCTTGTTCGTATGCCTCCCTGTTTTGTAGATGAGGATAAGTGAGACTCAGAGAGGTTAAGGGACTTGCCCAGGGTCACACAGCGAAGAAGTAGCAAAGTGAAGGTTCAAATTCAAGTACCCCATACCCAGTTCTGAGCCCTTAGCCACTGCCCTTTACTGCCTCCAGGTCAAGGGCTTGAGTGAGGACAGGTTGGGCTGTAAATGATACCTACATTCAAAAGGGGCGTGGCAGTGGACATGGCCCCAGAGGAGCTGGAGATGGAGTCGAGGCCTGAAGGAGGGTGGGGCTTGATTGACCTTTGTTCAGGTGACCACAGACTGGGCTCTTCTCTTTGGGAGGCTTGTCCTGGGGACAGGGGACACTGATTGAACAGGAAATAGCCCCTGGCCTGGCTCAGTGTAGTCCACTGAGTACCTACTGCCGCCGTGCAAGGCCCCCAGGTCACGGAGGTGAAGTCAGGCTGTCCCTGCTCCCAGGAAGCTGTATCATTAATTTATTCCCCTGGCATGCATTTAGCAAGCATTTAGTTAGCACCTATTCTATACCAAGGCCTGTGCTGGGACTGAAGAGGAGAAAGGGGGTTCCCCGGACTCAAGGCACTTGCAGCTGGTGTTTGCAGGATGGGTGGGAGGGTCCTGGGTGATGGAATGGGGAAGAGGGGTGTCCAGGCAGGCAGCCCCCCACTCCCAGCCCCACCAGGCTGGATGTTGCTCCTGGGCCCCGCTTACCTCTAACCCTTGCTTTGCTTCTCCATTTCGGTCCGATGGAGCCGCTTATACCAAGCTGCTTATAGTTCACCCCCACGGACCCCGTGTCCTGTTTTTCTGCCCATGTCCCTGCTTTGTCTTGAGCTGGTTAACACCTTGTTGTCCTTTAAGACTCAGTGCAGGGAATACCTCCCCACCTGGAGGTTTCCCTGACCACCCCCAATGTGGGTTAGGGCCTTCCCTTCCTTGTTCCTATCATTCTCTGTTCTTACGACGTGTTTTAATGTACTTGTCTCCCCCTCTGATTTAAGTTCTTTAAGGGCAGGAGCTATCATTGATTTCTTTATCTCCAGCCTCTGACACAGATGTGGTATATAGTAGGTGCTCAGTAAATGGTTGATGGCTATTTAGACAGGCATATGTTGACTCATTCATTCTCCTTTTAGGGGATGGTGAGAACCTCCGTCTCCATCAATCCTGTTTCCTTTTTTTTTTTTTTTTTTTTTTTTTTGAGATGGGTTCTCCCTCTGTCACCCAGGCTGGAGTGCAATGGCACCACCTTGGCTCACTACAACCTCCCTCCACCTCCCAGGTTCAAGTGATTCTCCTGCCTCAGCCTGCCGAGTAGCTGGGACTACAGGCATGTGCCACCATGCCCTGCTAATTTTTTGTATTTTTGGTAGAAACAGGGTCTCACTGTGTTGCCTAGGTTGGTCTTGAACTCCTGAGTGTGAGCAATCTGCCCTCCTTGGTCTCCCAAAGTACTGGGATCATAGGTGTGAACCACTGCGCCCAACAATCCTGTACCTTCAAAGAATATTCCTCTGCAGCACCCCCAGACATTACATACCATTGTCCCTGAGTGGACTGAGCCCTGGAAGGACCTTCCCACTCTCTCTTTTTCTTTCTTTTTCTTTTTTGAGACAAGGTCTCACCGTGTCACACAGGCTGGAGTGCATGGCACAATCACGGCTTACTGCAACCTCAACCTCCCAGGCTTAAGCAAACCTCCCACCTCAGCCTCCCAAGTGGCTGGGACTACAGGTGAATGCCACCATGCCCAGCTAATTTTTAAATTTCTTATAGAGATGGGGGTCTCACTGTGCTGCCCAAGCTGGTCTCAGACTTCTGGGCTCAAGCAATCTTCCTGCCTTGACCTCCCAAAGTGCTGGGATTACAGTTGTGAGCCACCACACCCAGCCAGACTTTCCCACTCTCTAATTGGCTCCAGCCCTTGACTAAAAGGCCCTTGAGGGCTGGGATCCTGTGTTTTTTTAATGTTCTAATGTAGTCCCAGCACCTTTTGCATGGCATCTGGGACGTACAGAATGAATGAATGAATGAATGAATGAATGAATGAATGAACGAACGATCAGTAGTTTCTGTTTCTGTTGGATGGGCCTAGGCTGGATAGCATAATGGACCATGCTCATACCTGGGGGCGGGCCAGGCTGGGCTTGGTGCTGCCAGGATCTTCTTTGGTGACCTCGGTCAAGTCACTTAACCCTCTGTTGCTTGGTTCACCCTAGCTGTAACTGAGAGATGGATCTGTGGTTCTCCCTAAGTCACTTGCAGGGAAGAGGATACGCTTTATGGCCATCAGAGTCTTGGGCAGTACTGATGTTTATCGTTTGGGGAAAGCAGTTCCTGTGAGACGGGTTGGAGCCTGTCTCCTGAACTGTGACCTCAACCATGGGAAAATCTAGTATCCAGTAAGGAAAAATCATGACAATAGTGCCTTACCACGTACAGCATGGCGGGACTCGCCTTGTGCCTTGACTCCTCCGTCCCTGATCTGATTATTTTCAGATGCTCCTATTCACCCAGTAGGAGAGGACTGCTATTTTTTAAATGGTAAAGTGCATATGACATAAAATTTACCATTTTAAACATTTTAAAGAAAACAGTGCCATTAAGTGCATTCACAATGTTGTACAGCTATCAATTTCAAGACAGGGTCTTGCTCTGTCACCCAGGGGCTAGAGTGCAATGGTACAATCATAGCTCACTATTACCTTGAGCTCCTGGGATCAAGCAATCCTCCTGACTCAGCCTCCCAAGTAGCTGGGACTACAGGTGATCACCACCATGGCCAGCTATTTTTTTTTTTTTTTTTTTTTTGTAGAGAGGGGGTCCGGCTGTTGTTGCCTGAGCTGGTCTCAAACACTTAGCCTGAAGCAATCCTCCCACCTTGGCCTCCCAAAGTGCTGGGATTACAGGCATGAGCCACTACACTTGGCCCCAGAGCATTTTTATAGCCTCAAAAGGAAACCTTATACCCATGAGCAGTTCCTCCTCATTTCCCACCTCTTTCCAGCCTCTGGGAACCACAAGTCTGTTTTCTGTCTCCATGGCTTTGCCTACTCTAGACACTTCACATAAATGAGATGATAGAGTACGTGACTTTTCGTGCCTGGCTTCTTTCACTAGGCATATTTTCAAGCTTCATCCACATTGGAGAGCTCATGTCAGTGTTGGTCTCTGTTTTGCAGATGGGGAAGGTATTAATGATCAGGAGCAGGCGCTGTGGGGTAAACAGGAGTTCTAGTTCCCAACTTCCCTCCAGCTGTGTAACCTGGTGACAACCTCACCATGCCTCACTTTGCCCTCCTGTCAAACAGGCGGTGGGGAAATCACTGTTACTGAGTAGTTGTGAAGATGCCACGAGGAGATGCCTCTGCCATCTTCTAGAGACTGAGTCACTGGGGTTTCTTCTTAGATATGGACATTGGGAGGTCCCAGAAAGAGATCAGAGGGTGGTGGGAGGAGAGAGAGCTTGGAGGATTATTACCTTTTCCTCCCTCCCTCCTGGACCACAGTTTTGGCAGCTGTGTTTCTGTATGACTGCGGATCCCTCTGGACAGCCCCTTTTTAGGGGTGTGTGGCTTTCTATGCCTCCAATGTTCAGTTAACGACATTCCCTCTCTGGCTGAGTGCGGTGGTTCCCACCTGTAATCCCAGCACTTTGGGAGGCTGAGACTGGCGCATCACCTCAGCTCAGGAGTTCGAGACCAGCCTGGGCAATATGGTGAAACCCTGTCTCTACAAAAAACAAAATAAAAATTACCTGGGCATGGTTGTGCACACCTGTGGTACCACCTACTTGGGAGGCTGAGGCGAGAGGATCACTTAAGCCCAGAAACTCAAGGTTGTAGTGAGCCAAGATCACCCCACTACACTGCAGCCTGGGCGACAGAGCAAGACCCTGTCTCAAAAAAAAAAAAAAGTAAACAACATTCTCTTCTGTTCTTGCTCTTCAGACTTAACTGCTCCCGTCACTGGTTGGGTTTCTTTAATTCTGCACACATATCTGTAAACACTTTCTTTATTAAATGTTCCTGAGTTAATATCTTAAGCACACTGTTCATTTTCTGTGCCACCTGTTAAATGATGAGCATTTAATATGATTGTCAGCATCCAAAAAAGATCCTGCGTAGTGCTTAGTTCGGTGCCCAACACATAGTAAGTGCTCAATGAACGGTGGCTGTTATTTAAGCCAGTGAGGTCCGGGGAGGTAAAGTGGCAGGTCGGAGGAGTGGAGCTGAGATTTGAACCCAGAGCTCTTCAAAACTCCACAGTTTGGCCAGGTGCAATGGCTCACAACTATAATCCCAGTGCTTTGGGAGGCTGAAATGAGAGAATTGCTTGAGCCCAGGAATTTGAGACCAGCCTGAGCAACACAGTGAAACCCATGTCTCTACAGAAAATATAAACATCAGCCAGGCCTGGTGGCGCCCGCCTGTAGTCCTGGCTACTCAGGAGGCTGAGGTAGGAGGATCACCTGAGTCCAGAAAGGTCAAGGTTTCAGTGAGTCACGTTCACACCACCGCACTCCAGCCTAGGTGACAGAGTGAGACCCCATCTCAAAACAAACACAAAACCCCCCACAGTTGCAAAATAAAACATAGGCAGCTTGGAAACCCACTCTCGCCCTTTCTCCTCTTCCCACGTACCTGGAATATCAGTGAGGCCCAGGGTTTCCACTAAGACTCCAAGCTCCAGTTTCCCCATCTCTAACATGAGAATATTGAGTGCTTCTGTGCAATCTGTCTACCCTGGAGGAGGTCTGGAAGTAAGCTGGGTTCTCTGTCTGCAGACGTACTCTGGCCTCTTCTGCGTGGTGGTCAACCCCTATAAACACCTGCCCATCTACTCGGAGAAGATCGTCGACATGTACAAGGGCAAGAAGAGGCACGAGATGCCGCCTCACATCTACGCCATCGCAGACACGGCCTACCGGAGCATGCTTCAAGGTGAGTGAACTCAGGGCTGCACGGGGCCAGCTCCAGGGAGCCCCTCCTGTCCTGCTTGTCTGCAGTTCTTGCCAGGAATGTGGAGTTTGGCAGGCACTGCGAGGGACCAGGAGTTACTGTGGCTGAAAAAGGGAAAAAGCAAAAGGAACATCTGTGTTTGCAGCCTGGGAGGGTGAGGGAGAGCCAAGAGCTTGGGCAAATACGGGCATGGGCCCGCTCCAGCTCCAGCTCCGGGGCTCGCTGCCCAAGGTCCCCGTCGGGCCAGCTGTCTGCAAAGGATGGAAAGAGGGTGGGGAACAGCCCTGGGGCTGAGCCATTGTGGTCTGTGTTGACACCTACCTGTCCCTCAACCCCTGTGGGACTGTGGGTAAATATCTTTTCCTCTTCAGCCTCAGTTTCCTCATTTGTCAAAAGGGGTGATAGTCTCTATCTTGTAGCTTCTTGTGAAGATTGTTAATGCTGGTTTTTCCAAACTTAAGACTTGTGCCTATTACTTTCATGTTTATACGTTATTATTTTTACTATTGTTTTATTATTTTTGAGACAGGGTCTCACTTTCTCGCCCAGGCTGAAGTGCAGTGGTGCCATCTCGGCTCCCTGCAACCTCCGCCTCCTGGGCTCAAGCAATTCTCCTGCCTCAGCCTCCCAAGTAGCTGGGACTATAGGTGTGGACTGTCATGTCAAGCTAATTTTAAAAAGGTGGGTTTTTTTGTTTTGTTTTTGTTTTGTTTTGTTTTGTTTTTGGAAGTGACAGGATCTTGCTATACTGGTTGGTCTCAAACTCTTGGCCTCAGGCGATCCTCCCACTTTGGCCTCCCAAAGTTCTGGGATTATAGGCATGAGCCACTGCACCCAGGCCTTCTCACCTTCTATTTAGAACACTTTGGAGCCCCTGAAATAGCCACCCCCAAGTCAAACAGAGGGACTAGGCAGTTAATGCAAACAAGTGTACCAGGTCAGGCGAAGAGTACAAGAAACTCGAAAACTCACACCCCCTCTGAAAGGGCACCAACAGGTGGGAACCCAGGGATCTGAGTTGGGAGTTGAGAGGAGCCCAATTCTGGAAGTTCTTGAGGCCGGAATCCAGGTGTGCCTGAGAGATGCCACGACCCCGCCCCCAAGATAGAGGGACTCAGGTATAAGTGCCCCAACTTTCTGACAGTGAGCCAGACTCCACAGGTAGGACCAGAATCTTGGCCCTTCTAGGCAGGGCCTGCCATTACCTCCAAAGACCAGCAGGTGGAGCCTTGCAAAGGCAATCTTGGAGCTGTAATCTCAGGTTGTAAAGTGATGGCTCCTGGAGTCAGGTATCTGTCTTTTTTTTTTTTTTGAGACGGAGTCTCGCTCTGTCGCCCAGGCCGGACTGCGGACTGCAGTGGCGCAATCTCGGCTCACTGCAAGCTCCGCTTCCCGGGTTCACGCCATTCTCCTGCCTCAGCCTCCCGAGTAGCTGGGACTACAGGCGCCCGCCACCGCGCCCGGCTAATTTTTTGTATTTTTAGTAGAGACGGGGTTTCACCTTGTTAGCCAGGATGGTCTCGATCTCCTGACCTCATGATCCACCCGCCTCGGCCTCCCAAAGTGCTGGGATTACAGGCATAAGCCACCATACCCAGCAATTCCTGGTTCTTTTCTGGAGCTGAGGTCCCACTAAGCACATTTTAATCTAAATACCAAAAAGAAAGAAAATTCTGTTAGCAAAGGAGAAGGAGGGGGAGCGACAGATGGGTAAGCATTTCTACAGTGCTCTGAAAAAATTTATTTGTAACTTGAAAAAGTCTTTAATATTGTATATTCATTCTAGAAAAACTTAAACATATATTTAAGTAAAAGAGAACTTGCTGGCACCTATGATTCTATCATCCAAAACTCATCACCATTAACATTTTGTTACGTGACCTTTCATTACACTAACTGAACTAAATGGCATGAAATGAAGGAAATTTTTACTATCTGAAGATAATTCGTTCCAGAAAAAGATCACTTAAAACAGAGACCAAAGTTTCACTGTAGATAGTATGTGTGTGGAGGAGGGAAAGAGAGTGGGCAAAATATTTGACTGAGCTTGAAAAATGACATTGCAGGCCAGGCACAGTGGCTCACGCCTGTAATCCTGGCACTTTGGGAAGCCCAGATGGGTGGATTGCTCGAGGTCATGAGTTCGAGACCAGCCTGGGCAATATGGCGAAACCCTGTCTCTACAAAAAATACAAAAATTACTTTGGTGTGGTAGCACATACCTGTAGTCCCACTTCTTGGGAGGCTGAGGTGGGAGGATCGCTTGAGACCAGGAAGTGGAGGTTGCAGTGAGCCGAGATCACGCCACTGCATTCCAGCCTGGGTGAGAGAGCCAGACCTTGTCTCAAAAGAAAAGAAAAGAAAACCAACATTGCAAATTATAAAAATAGGTTAATTTCAGCTTACATGTAATAAGAATTTTATTTTAATTACAAGTAGGTGCTAATTTGTAGATTCAGTATAAAATGAATTAAGAGTGGGTGTGGGGTTTTTTTCTGTAACTTTTTCTGGGCTGAGGGATGAAATCATGTGAGCATAAAACGACATCTTCATGTCATGCTTGACTTCTGCAGCCCGAGCTAAAAAGGATCATTCTTACAGATTTATTTGATGGGTCACCAGTTTTCCTAAGGGCTTCTTTTACTTCTTTAGTGTTTAAGTCTCTCAAAGCCCCTGTGGTCTTAGCGTTCATTCAGCTGTGAATTGCCCTGAATCTTTTTCTTTCTTTTGTCTTTCTTTCTTTCTTTTTTTTTTTTTTTTTCCGGATGGAGTTTCCCTCTTGGTGCCCAGGTTGGAGTGCAATGGTGTGATCTCAGCTCACTGCAACCTCCACCTCCTGGGTTCAAGCGATTCTACTGCCTCAGCCTCCCAAGTAACTGGGATTATAGGCATGTGCCACCACACCCGGCTAATTTTGTATTTTTAGTAGAGATGGGGTTTCACCATGTTACCCAGGATGGTCTCGATCTCCTGACATTGTGATCTGCCCGCCTCAGCCTCCCATAGTGCTGGGATTACAGGCATGCACCATCACACCAGGCTAATTTTGTATTTTTAGTAGAGATGGGGCTTTACCATGTTGGTCAGACTGGTCTTGAACTCCTGGCCTCAGGTGATCCTCCCACCTCGGCCTCCCAAAGTGGTGGGATTACAGGTGTGCACCACCACACTTGGCCCCTGAATCTTTTTTTTGGCCTTTCCAAGGCCACTGACTTTGCCAGTCACTGCACCTTGTTTTCCAGAACTGCCACTTTGTTTTGTGTTCATATCATGATGGTGGCTATTGATACCCAATAATTGGCAAGGTGAAGCCACTGAATCGTCGGAGAAGGAGGTTTCGGTGGAGTTTGATCGCTCTTGTAGTCATTGAAGAATACTTTTGTGTTGTGGGGACTTTTGCTTTCCTAGACCAGCAGTCCCCAACCTTTTTGACACCAGGGACCAGTTTCATAGAAGTCAGTTTTTCCATGGACCGCAGGGGAGAGATGGTTCGGGATGATTCGAGCGCATTACATTTATTGTGCACTTTATTTCTATGATTACATTGTCATATATAATGAAATCATTATACAACTCACCATCATGTAGAATCAGTGGGAGCCCTGAGCTTGTTTTCCTGCAACTAGACGGTCCCATCTGGGGGTGATGGGAGACAGTGACAGATCATCAGGCATTAGATTCTCATAAGGAGCACACAGCCTGGATCCCTCTTATGTGCAGTTCACAGTAGGGTTGGTGGTTCTATAAGAGTCTAATGCCGCCTCTGATCTGAGAGGAAGCAGAGCTCAGGCAGTAATTGGAGTGATAGGGAGTGGCTGTAAATACAGATGAAGCCCACTACTCACCTCCTGCTGTGCAGTACCAGTCGGTGGTTTGAGATGCCTGCGCTAGACCACCTCTTAACTGTGAGGCAATGTTGTAATTGACAAGGACACCCTGTGTTCATATATTTGATTCCTCATGGTCTCTAGGTTTTAACACAAAATTGCATAGTCAGCTCTCTTGAAACTACTTAGAAATGCTCACTTGACACATAGTAAGCTCCAATAGGAAATGACTATCATGATTGAGCACAGCAGCATGTCTTCAGTCCTAGCACTTTGGGAGGCCAAGGCAGGAGGATCACTTGAGGCCAGGAGTTAGAGACCAGCCTGGCCAACATAGTGAGCTCTTGTCTCTACAAAAAAATAATTAGCTGGCCACAGTGCGTGAGTCTGTAGTCCTAGCTACTCTGGAGGCTGAGGCAGGAGGATGGCTTGAGCCCAGGACTTCAAGAATGCAGTGTGCTATGATCGTGCTATGGTACTCCAGCCTTGGCAACAGAGTAAGACCCTGTCACGAAAGAAAGAAAGAAAATGAAAACCGTGAATATGCACATCCATAAAAGATAAACTCTTTACTTAATTTAAATGTTAACCAACACCTGCTATGCCCTCGTCTATTTTGGCATGACCTGGTGCTTTCTGGCAAATCATTGATGGCGGACTCCAAAAATAAAAAGAATCGGGCACGGTGGCTAACGCCTGTAATCCCAGCACTTTGGGAGGCCAAGGTGGGGGGATCATGAGATCAGGAGATCGAGACCATCCTGGCTAACGTGGTGAATCTCCGTCTCTACTAAAAATACAAAAAAAACTAGCCAGGCACAGTGGCAGGCGCCTGTAGTCCCAGCTACTCAGGGGGTGCTGAGGCAGGAGAATGGTGTGAACCCAAGAGGCGGAGCTTGCAGTGAGCCGAGATCACGCCACTGCACTCTAGCCTGGGCAACAAAGCGAGACTCCATCTCAAAATAAATAAATAAATAAAAAATAAAAAGAATGTCAAAAATAATGGAGAAAAATTTAAGCTTGGGAAGAATTCCGTTCACCTGCTTAATTTTTTCTCCATTCCCAAGTAGGAAATTGGTTTTTGTGAAGAAACACGTAGGCCCAGTGTGTTGACTCCATTGATAAATGGCACGATCTCATTCTGTTAAGTCACTGGGCTGCGATCCACACTAAGCTTACCATGAAGGTGGAGAGAGAAAGCTAGCACATGTGGCTTCTTCCTTGAGTTCTTCATGGAAAAGATGGGGTGTGAAAAGGCGGGATTGAGGAGGGATGGGTAACACACATGCACTGAATATAAGATGAAGCATTGCAGTTGTGTCACATAGACAGTAAGTTCCTGAGGACCTATAAACTCCATCCTTCTTGCATGTGCATCATTGTATCTCCAGCACATTTTCTGGTGCCTGGCACATAGTAGCTGCTCAGTATTTGTTGAATCAATGAATTATTAGAGTTATTTATAGAAAAGAACCTACCAGGGTCAGGATGGATGGGGTGGGTTATTTGAGAGAGGTGGGGCTTTATAAGCCTCGAAGAATGGTTTGCTAAGGTGAGAGAAGGGGGCAGGGATGGCTTTCTAGCCAAGAATAATAAAAGCATAAATGTAGGGGTGAGAATGGGTATGATGAGTGTGGCAGGAGCTGGTTTAGAGGGGTTGACTAGTATACTGTGGCAGGGAGCTCAGAGCCAGAGCTCAGCCCTTTGCTGCCTCACAGGAGTTGGGAAAATGGGAGGGACTTTCTAAGAGATACTTCACAACATGGCACCCTCCCAAGTGGAAGCCAAGCCCCTTGAGGGTATGGGAAGAGAAGCTGATATTTAAAATATGTATCTTATATCTGCATATGCATAAATTATGTCATGTTTATTTTTTAAATTCTCCCCCCCTTTTTTTTTGAGGCAGAGTCTCGCCCTGCCACCCAGGCTGGAGTGCAGCAGCACGATCTCAGCTCAGTGGTATGATTTCTGCTCACTGCAACCTCTGTCTCCTGGGTTCAAGCAATTCTTGTGCCTCAGCCTCCTGAGTAGCTGGGACTACAGGCACACACCACCATGCCTGGCTAATTTTTGTATTTTTAGTAGAGATGGGGTTTTGCCATGTTGGCCAGGCTGGTTTCAAACTCCTGACCTCAGGTGATCTGCCCGCCTCAACCTCCCAAAGTGCTGAGATTACAGGCATGAGCCACTGCGCCCGGCCGTGGTTTGTTTTTGGAAAGATGTTACATACAAATTCAAAAGGTGAACTTCTCCCTTCAACCCTTGTGCATTAGACCCTTAGCTTCCCTCCCAAGAGACAATTATGGTTTCTAGTGTATGAGGTTTTCTCCTAGAGATATTTTTGCAAGTATAAGCAAATAGGTATCTATTTTCTTCCCTAAGATTTCCCTACAAATACTAGCATTCCATATATATACAGTCCTATATTTTGCCAGAGGATGTTACATATCAGTGCATGTAGGAATTCCTTGTTCCCTTTTTTAAAAAATTGGTTTTTATTTTTGTTAAAAGTATTCATGCAGACGGCTTAGAGTCAAGTAATTTTTGAAGGCTTATTAAGAAAAATAGCCATCCTCTGCTACTTCTCAACTCCTTTAATTGATTTTTTTTTTTTTTGGTATTTACCACCATATCTCTGAAAACAACACTTGATCATTGTGCTGCTATCTTAATTTTGTTTTCAATTTTAGGTATCATCTATTGACTTTCCTCCATGAAAGATGAAATTTAGCTCATTCACCCTCTGGATTTGCCCCTATTTCCTCGTTCCAACACACATGCCTCATATCAGAGTCCCAGTATAATTTTATCTTAGTTTTGACAAACTCAGTGTTCAGAGTTTCCATTATTATGACTATGTAATGCTATCTAGAGTTTACATTATTATGATTATGTAGATGTTATTCAAAGCTGAGCTTTGCACTGCTTTGTGACTATTTTTCTTCTTTCTGTATGACTTTTCTTTTTCCTGGAGTTAGCAATTGCCTTTTTTTTCCCCAATCTTGTTTTCCATGTATTTAACCACCAATTCTGCCCCAAAATCTCTTTCTAAATGTGTTAATCTCCTTTTAATATGTCCAGACATGTATTGGATATCATATTGATATCATCTCCTTGAATGTGATCTCTACTATAGCCTTCTGATCTGCCCTGGCTTTCTCTATAGCTAGTAACTGTCATATAGGATCTTTTTCACCATCCTTGAAATTCCCCTTAGTGCTTTCATAGTGGATTCCTTGTTTCCCAGTTTTCATGTCTTCCTCTTTCTTGCTTTACTCTCCTGCTTAAATCAAGCACTTTGTCCAGTAGCTTCCCAAGAAAGAATGTACGTGATCTTGAGGCATTGAGAACTTCCATATCTGAGAGGCTTGATGCTTCTCTAACACTTAAAGGATAGTTTAGTTGGGTTTAAAATTTCAGGCAAGAAAGTTGTTTTCAGAAAGTTATAAATAACTTTTTTTGCCTGAGCTTTTTAAGGCATTTGTGTTGTTGCCTTCTAGTTTCAGTTTTGAGAAGATGAAACCCAATCTGATTCGTATGTGTGTATGTTTGTGAGTGTGTGTGTGTGTGATTATATTCACCTTCCTGGCTGGGAATATTCTTGATCCTTTGTACATGACCAGTTTTTGTTTTTCCTCCTTCTCTAGAAGCTTTTAGACTGTCTTTGTACCCCTATTCAGGATGATGGGACTTGCTATGAGTCCATTTTTATTTGTTATCCTGGACACTTAGTGGCCCAATTAATCTATAAACGTGTGTCCACAAATTCTGGGAAATGTTGCAAATTATTTCATTGATGCTGTCTTTCTCCCTGTGTTCTCTGTTTCTTTTTCTTAGAAGTCTTTTTATTTCCATAATGGAATTCCTAGACCAATCCTATAATTTAAATCTCTTTCTTTTGTCATTTTCATCACTTTAATGTTTTTAATGGTATTTTCTGGGCACTTACCTCAACTTTTTTCCCTAACCCTTCCATTGCGTTTTAAATTTCTGGTATATATTTTATTAAATTCCAAAAATTCTATTTTATTTTTAAATGTTTCTTTCATATGACATTCTTTTTCTGTGGTTGCAATATCCTGTTTCTCAGAGGATATTTAATGCAGAGTCTATTTCCTCCAAGATACATATTTTCCTAATTGTTTTAACTTCTGTCTGTCATATTAGTGGATTTCTTCAGATGTCTTGGGATTCTTGGCTATCCATTCATCTTGGATGCTTTAGTACACAGGATACCAAATTGTTGATGGAAGCTCAGTGCTTATAGGATGGGCTTGCTGATGTGCTTGGCTATAATATGAAAGCACTGGGCTACCCCATTAGGACACTTCTGTTTCGTCTTTCAGTCTTTTGTTCATGGGCTAATCTGATTCTTCAGAGAAGGTTTGTAGAAAAATCTTCTGCCTGGAGGTTAAAGATTTGTCTAGCATCATTTTGAGGGTCTAGTTGAAAAGAAGCTGAGGGTTTCAAAATGTGCAGTGAAATTTGTACATTATACCTTCCTTCTTTCAGTATGGTTCCTGGTGTCCCCCCAGGACGGAGACCCTCTGTTTAACCCTCACCAGAGACTAAACCCACCACCTTCTGTGGGGTGTGAGAAGGGCAGTCACTTGGCTTCAGGGAGTGTAGAAGATATGGGAGGGGTCTAACAGTGCCTTATATTTGACCCAGTCCTTATGTTTTTGTCTCCTCCTTGATCTTTTCTTCCAGAGGCCCCTGGCATTGCCAGTTTCTGAGGTTTGGGGCAGAAATGGGGAATTCGGTGTTGAAATTAGGTCGTTTCCCACCTTTCCTCACTGCTCACCTAGACTTTTTTCTTGGTACCTTTTTTTTTTTTTTTTTTTTTTTTTTTTTTTGAGATGGAGTTTCACTCTCGTTGTCCAGGCTGGAGTGCAATGGCATGATCTTGGCTCACTGCAACCTCCACCTCCCGGGTTCAAGTGATTCTCCTGCCTCAGCCTCCCAAGTAGCTGGGATTACAGGCATCCGCCACCACACCCGGCTAATTTTTGTATTTTAAATAGAGATGGGGTTCAACCATGTTGGTCAGGCTGGTCTTGAACTCCCGACCTTAGGTGATCCACCCAACTCGGCCTCCCAAAGTGCTGGGATTACAGGCGTGAGCCACGGTGTCTGGACTTTTTCTTGGTACTTTTCAACGCTTATCCCATTTTCTGTCTTCCAAGATGGCTTTGCTGTTCTCCCCTCTCTAGTTCTTTTTAAACTGCCTCATGTATTTTTACACTTTTTGGTTTGTTTGTTTTTTTTTGGGGGATGGAGTTTCCCTCTTGTCGCGCAAGCTGGAGTGCACGATCTCTGCTCACTGCAGCCTCCACCTCCCAGGATCAAGCGATTCTGCAGCCTCAGCCTCCTGAGTAGCTGGGATTACAGGTGCATGCCACCATGCCCAGCTAATTTCTGTATTTTTAGTAGAGACGGGTTGGCCAGGCTCGTCTCGAGCTCCTGACCTCAGGTGATCCACTCACCTCAGCCTCCCAAAGTGCTGGGATTACAGGCGTGAACCACCACGCCCGGCCTTTTTACACTTTTTTTTTTTTGCCTTTTCCCCCCTCTTTTGTGTGGAGAATGGGGTCTTGTTATATTTTCCAGGCAGGTCTTGAACTCCTGGGCTCCAGCTTTCCTCATGCCTGTGCCTTCCTAAGAGCTGGGATTCCAGGCATGAGCCACCATGCCCGGCTAAACTGGTTCATGTATTTTTGGAAAGTCTTTTACAGTTATTTTAGTAAGGTTTAGGAAGGAAGAGAGCTAAATGCATGCACTCAGCCTACCATCTTCTCATGGGAATTCTCTCATGCCTTCTTTTACAAAGAAGTGATAATAATAATCATGGATTTTTATTATATGCTTCCTATAAAGCTCAGGGCTTTACAGAAATATTCTCAGTTAATCTTTACCACAAACCTACAAGGTGGACAGGACCAGATTAGGAATTTTAAAATTAAGCCCTGAAACTATTAAGGTGCAGGCATATGTCATAAAAAAAAATTAAATTATAAAGTAAAGAAGGCTGACAAAATTGTTTTTGTTTTTGCTTTTTTTAGAGACAGGGTCTTGCTCTGTTGCCCAGGCTGGAGTGTAATGGTGCGATTGTAACTCACTGCAGCCTCAAACTCCTGGGTTCAGCAATCCTGCCTCAGCTTCCCAAGTAGCTGAGACTACAGAGATGTACCACCATGCTCAGCTAATTAAAAAAAAACAACTGTTTTTTGTTTGTTTGTTTTGAGACAGAGTTTCACCCCTGTCACCCAGGCTGGAGTGCAATGGCACGATCTCAGCTCACTGCAACCTCCACCTCCTGGGTTCAAGTGATTCTCCTGCCTCAGCCTCCTGAGTAGCTGGGATTACAGGCACATGCCACCATGCCCAGCTAATTTTTGTACTTTTAGTAGAGATGGTGTTTCACCGTGTTGACCAGACTGGTCTTGAACTCCTGACCTCAGGTGATCCACCCACCTTGGCCTTCCAAAGTGCTGGGATTACAGGCATGAGCCACCGTGCCCAGTCTTTTTTATTTTTGAGACAGGTTCTCACTTTGTCACCCAGGCTAGAGTGCAGTGGCACAAACACGGCTCACTGCAGGCTTGACCTCCTAGGCTCCAGTGATCTTCTCACCTCAGCTCCCCAAGTAGCTGGGACTGCAGCCATGCACCACCACACCCGGCTAATTTTTGTATTTTTTGTGGAGACGGGATTTCACCATGTTGCCCAGGCTGGTCTTGAACTCCTGAGCTCAAGTGATCCACCTGCCTAGGCTTCTCAAAGTGCTGGGATTACAGGTGTGAGCCCACTGTGCCTAGTGAAAAAACTTTTTTTTTTTTTTTTTTTTTTTTTTTTTTTAGAGATAAGATCTTACTGTGTTGCCCAGGCTGGTCTCTCATTCCTGGCCTCAAGTGATCCTCCTGCCTTGACCTCCCAAAGTGCTGGGATTATGGGTATGAGCCACCGTGCCCAGCCTAAAGTTGCTATTTTTCCCATGATGTTTATCTTCGTGGTGCTTATGAAATGGCAACTATGGCATTCTTCCTTCTCGTGCATGCCTGTGTGGGTGTGCCCTCAGCATATGCTTACAAGGTTTATTGGGTGATCCAACGCTAGCCGCAAGAGCTATTATTAGCTCCCTTTTACAGCTGGGAAAACAGACTCAGAGGAGTGGAGAACTTGCTGCAGATTTGTTAAGTGTCAGAGCCAAATATACACTTGGATTATCCTGACTCCAAAGCCGGAGCCCTGCTGGTCAGTCGGTGACACCGGGCAACCACAGGGATCCCCCTCAATCCCACGGAAGGCTGTCTACTGTCTTCATCTCAGAGTGTTGACAGCTCAAAGCTTAGGAGGCTGGAGCTAAGTTCAATAAATGAACGTGATGAATAGGAGAAAAGCGCCATTAAAGCCCTCCAGACAAGAACCACTTTGGAGCCCCTCCATGGGTCCCTGGGGTGTAGGAGGGGCAGGAAAGCAGATAAGATTCCATTCTGAGCCTCTGCACTTGCCCTATGCAAGATAGCCACAAGTAATGTTTTGTCCTCACCTCATTAGCAACAAATGGCCACACTCAGGGGATTAAAAAAAGAAATAACAGCCAGCCTTTATCAGCTTGGGGCTCTTGGCTAATTCCTCTTTAAGCTTAAGACAACTCTGCGGGTGGAGTGATCCAAACGACTTTCTCCACTTTGCAAGTTCCCACACTCGGCTGTATCCTTCTGCTTGAGATTGGCAGCCCCCTGGGGATGGTTCCTGCTCACCCAACTCCCCTGAGGCTGCTCCCCAGTAGAGGCAGAGAGAGGAAGGGCACTGATGTCCTCAGGGCCCCTGCAATAGGTCAGGACCTGGGTTCACTGCTCCATCAATCCCACATTGCTCGGCCCTCACTAGCACCACACAGGGTGGGTGGCAGCCTCCCCATTTGATCAATGGGGAAAACTCAGCACACCTACTTGGCCCCAGAACTGAGAGTCAAACCTGGGGACCCAGCTTCGCTGCCCTCAGAATGTTACTCTTCCCTCCTGGGTAGCGTGGTATAGATAGTGTAGTATTCTTGTCCCCATATAACGGAAGAGGAAACTGAGGCCCCCAGAAGGCTAAGGGACTAGCATAGGCCTTGTGTCTTAGCCTGTTAAGGCTGCTATATCAAAATACCATAGACTGGGTGGCTTTTAAACAGATATTTGTTTCTCGTGGTTCTGGAGGCTGGGAAGTCCAAGATCAAGCTTGGTATCTGGTGAGGGCCTAGTGCTGCCTTCTCGCTGTGTCTCACATGGTGGAAGGGACCTGCTAGCTCTCTGGGTCTCTCCCCCAATGAGGATTGAACCCCCATGATCTCATCACCTCCCAAAGGCCCCACCTCCTAATATCATCACTTTAGGGGTAAGGATTCCAGCATATGAATTTGAGGGAGACATGAGCATTCAGACCATGACACCTTGTAATCAGAAAGGGGTTAAATATCTTTGGTTGAATATCCTGTCCTGCCGATTCAGAATCACTGCTGTCTATAACCTCTTCCCTAGATCACTGTTTTAGATGATGATGATAAAGATGATATTAACGGCAATTACCAAGCTCTTAAATGTGCTGTGGGTAAAACAATTTTAAGCTCTTTCTGAATCCAGTCTCTTTCAATCATCTTCATGCCCTTGAAAGGTCTGGATTTTTGTCGATTTCCCTGGTGAGGAAACGGGCCCTGGGGGCAGAGGTGATAGGGTGGAGCCAAGAAGTAATTCCCAGCTGTTTCTCTGCAGAGGCAGTGCTGCTACAAACACATCTCCAGGAAGGGGTACAGCCAAATGCTTCTCTGTCTCTTGTGGGTTTTGCAGTGGCTGTCAGCTATGTGTCTGGCCCGGTTGGGAATGATGGGGGACTGTGTGTGGGAATGAATGGCTCTGTCTGGCTGGCTCAGTCTTTACAGAGGTGCTAGGAGTGTCTGTTTGGTGCTCTGACTAATCATGAAAAGTTCACGTTTTTATCTTTATTTTATTTTTATTTTTGGTACCCATGGTGCATTACAGGGAAGGGAGACAGCAAAGGAGAATTATTTGTTATAAAATAGTAAATATTGGCCAGGCACAGTGGTTCACACCTGTAATCTCAGCACTTTGGGAGGCAGAGGCAGGCAGATCATCTGAGGTCAGGAGTTCGAGACCAGCCTGGCCAATGTAGTGAAACCCCATCTCTACTAAAAATACAAAAAATTAGCCAGGCATGGTGGTGGGCGACTATAATCCCAGCTACTCGGGAGGCTGAGGCAGGAGAATCGCTTGAACCTGGGAGGTAGAGGTTGCAGTGAGCCGAGATTGCCCCACTGCACTCCAGCCTGGGCAACAAGAGCAAAACTCCGTCTCAAAAAAAAACAAAAACAAAAACAAAAACCGTAAATATTAAATTGAAAAAGGGACATACTTAAGGGAGTGAACCTGAAAAGCCCCAGCTGACACTTGGCAACACCTTCCTTGTTTGTTTTGGGCTTTTTTGAGACAGAGTCTCACTCTGTTGCCCAGGCTGGAGTGTAGTGGTGTGATCTCGGCTCACCTGAGCCTCAGCCTCTCCAGGCTCAGGTGATCCTCCCACCTCAGCCTCCAGAGTAGCTGCATACAGGCATGCACCAGTACAACTGGCTAATTTTTGTATTTTTTGTAGAGATGAGGTTTTGCTATGTTGTTCAGGCTGGCCTTGAACTCCTGAGCCCAAGCAATCCACCTACCTCGGCCTCCCAAAGTGCTGGGATTATAGGCGTGACCCACAGTGCCTGGCCAGCACCTTCCTTGTTAAATTGCATGTGTCAGCCACCTCCCTCGGTGTCCTCCCAGCCTCTGGGCAGTCTGGCTCCCCATTCCTTTCTTTATCCAACAGCATTTTTTTGTGAGACAAGGCCTTGCCCTGTTGCCCAGGCTGGAGTGGAGTGGCACACTCATAGCTCACTCCAGCCTCCAACTCCTGGGCTCAAGTGATCCTCCCCTCTCAGCCTCCCAAGTAGCTGGGACCACAGGCACAGATCATCACGCCTGGCTAATTTTTTGATTTTTTGTAGAGATGAGGTCTCATTATGTTGCCCAGGCTGGTCTCGAACTCCTGGCCTCAAGCAATCCTCCCGCCTCGGTCTCCCAAAGTGCTGGAATTACAGATGTGATCCACCACGCCCGGTCATTCTAACAATATTGATTATTAGATGTTGCCCTAGACACAGCCTACTGTGCGTATGTGTAAATACGAATTGAATCATCCCACAAGTAGCTGCTAAGTAGAGGAGGTCCAGAGAGTGGGGAAGTGTAGCCCTGGGGACCTTGGGAGGACAGGGGAGGCTTCCTTGGAAGGTGAAGTGTAGGCTTGGCTAGGGAACTTGATATAGGTTCTATGAGGCTGCTGGGGCTGGAGCAGAGAGAAGGGGGAGAATGTAGGAGGTAGGAGTGGAGGCCCAAGAGGGAGAGCGTTGGTTTTCCTGTCTCCTACACCCCTTCACTGGCCAGTTCTGCTTTCATGTTTTTATTTATTATATATTTTTTGAGACAGAGTTTCACTCTTTCACCCAAGCTAGAGCGCAGTGGCACAATAATAGCTCCCTGTAACCTCGAACTCCTAGGCTCAAGCAATTTTCCTGCCTCAGCCTTCCAAATAGCTGGGGCTACAGGCACACACCTCTGTCCACAGCTAATTAAAAAAAATTTTTTTTTCATAGAGATAGGGGTCTCGCTTTGAGTCTCAAACTCCTCGCCTCAAGCAATCCTTCTGCCTCAGCCTCCCAAAGCACTGGGATTACAGGCATGAGCTCCTATGCCCAGCCCAGTTCTGCTTTTACAATACCAGGGCTTCCTGTAGGTTTGGAAAACACCTGTTGGGTTGCAGCAAAGGCTCTCAAAGTATCTCTTCTTACTCAGCATGTCATCCTAACCAACTCTGCCGGGAGAGTAGAGTGGGGAGATGAAGGCTGGAGAAAGAGAAGGGCCCTCACTTACAGAATGGCTTAGGTCATGGGCTCTGGAGCTGGGTTCACCTCCCAGCTCTGCCCCGGCTATTACTTTGTGCCTCAGTTTCCTCACTTGTCCCGTGAGGATGATGACTGTGCTTACTCCAGTTGTTACAAGGGTGATTCGGTCAGTGTGTAGGGACACGGTGCATGGACAGGACAAGTTCAACAGGCATTAGCAGTCAGCTGCCGAGGACCCACCGTCAAGGGCCATGCAGTGGCCACCTTCACAGTCACACCACAGAAGATCCAGAACCTCTGGCATCTGCCTCCGTGCGGGGCATTAGGTAGAGAGCCACTTTTCTGCAGGCAATGGAGGCTGAGACCTTTCTTCTTTACTAGCCCAGGGGTATTGATGGCCCTGCAGAGACGGGTTTTGATTACCTCTCACTGGATCCCCCAGCAGCCTGTTACCAGAAAGAAGGGCAGACGCAGGGAGCCTGGGTCTGTGCTCAGTCCCCGCTGGGTTTTCTCCTTTTATGGTCAGCCTACAGTGCTCTGGCTTCCCAGACAGAATCCACCAGCTTGTGTTTGGGCTTGGGCCGAAATAGCTGGTCTGTGGGGAGCTGGGTACCTCCTGGGAGTCCTCAGGCCCACAGCGGGGGAGGAACCGCTGAAGCCCTTTATCTTCTCAGGAAACGTGCCTGGGGCCTTACACATCCGAGGCTGGGTGGGGAGTCTGGGGAGGAGGAAGGGAGAGAGGCATGTTTAAGGATGGGGTGTGAGGTGACATGAGCCCCAGGGATCTGGGCTGGGAAGCTCAGCCCCAGGCGGGTCCTGATGATGGCCGGCCGCCCCCAGCTCCAGCCTTCCCAGACTCCACGGAGGCTCGGTACTGTGTCCCCGCCCACTTTGGAGCTTCTGTCCCAGGCCCTCTGCTTGGGATGCTCTGCCTCGACCTCTCCCCAGGAGATTCTTTCACATTTTTCTTAATGCTGTTCAGTGGTCACCTCTGCCGTGAAGGCTTCCTGTCTTGCTCAGGTCAGTGTGAAAAAACAAACAAACAAAAAACCTGACGTCTATAGCACTTGGGTTCACATCCATCGTAGCACTGCTCATCTCTTACGGTCATTTCTTTGCCCATCTGACTCCCACCCTGGGTCATGAACTTCTCAAAAGCAAGGATAAGCAAGTCATGAAGCTCGGTGCATTGGCTTGAGCCTGTGATTTCAGTTACTTGGGAGGCCAAGGCGGGAGGATCACTTGAGGCCAGGAGTTTGGGACCAGCCTGGGTAATATTACTAAGTTACCTTACTAGGCCCTGTCTCTACAAAAAAAATGAAAACAAAAAACAAAAAAACCATTAGCCAGGCGTAGTGGCATGCACCTGTAGTCCCAGCTGCTCAGGAGGCTGAGATGGAAGGATCTGTTAGCCCAGGAGTTCCAGACTGCAGTTAGCTATGATCGTGCTACTGCACTTCAGCCTGGGCATCAGAGTGACACCTCATCTCTTAAAAAAGAAAAGAAAAAAAAAAGCAGATCTTATTGACTTTTGTGCTTTCGGTACCTGGCTCAGGACTCGTTTGTTGAATGAATATGTGAACACGTGAATATGCATTTTCCATTGCTTCTACCTTGGTTGCCTCTCTGAGCCAGAGAGCAATTCAAAATAACAAGCATTTCCTGAGCACCTACTGTGTGTCAGGCATTGTTCCTTGTACCTTCAGGAGCTCATTGGTTCAGGGGAAAAGCATTGAAAATGAACAATTTTGTAATTGTTGGAAACCTAATAGAGCTGCATGAAGTGGAAGAAGTCAGATTTATAATCATTCAGAGGTGGTATAAAATGAACATCATTTTTAAAAAAGGTTTATGCGGTATAATTTAAATAAATTCATTTTAAGGATACAGTTCACACCTAAAATTGCAGCTATGTCTGCATAACTGTCTAAATTCACTCATAATTTACATGGTTATGCAGCCATTGCTGCAATATAATTTTATATTTCTATCATCCCCCAAAGAAATCTTGTGCACATTTTTTTGTCACTCCATATTCCTACCCGCAGCTCCTGGCAGCCACGAATTCACAAATCTACTTTCTGTCTCTATGGATTTGCCTATTCTGGACATTTCATATAAATGGAATCATATGTGACCTTTTGTGGCTGGCTTCTTTTTTTTTTTTTTTTTTTTTTTTTTTTTTTTTTTTGAGACAGAGTGTCTCACTGCACTCGCCCGGGCTGGAGTGCAGTGATGTGGTCTCGGCTCACCACAAACTCTGCCTCCTGGGTTCAAGTGATTCTCCTGCCTCAGCCTCCCGAGTAGCTGGGACTATAGGCACGTGCCACCACACCTGGCTAATTTTTGTATTTTTAGTAGAGACGGGGTTTCACTGTATTGGCCAGGCTGGTCTTGAACTCCTGACCTCGTGATCTGCCCACCTCAGCCTCCCAAAGTGCTGGGATTACAGGTGTGAGCCACCGTGCCCAGCCGGCTAGCTTCTTTCACTTAGTATAATGTTGTCAAGGTTCATCCACGTTGTATCATGGATTCATACTATTTATATATTTTTTAAGACAGGGTCTGTCTCTGTCACCCCAGCTGGAGTACCGTGGTGCAGTCGTGGCTTACTACAACCTCCACCTCCTGGGCTCAAGCCATTGTCCCACCTCAGCCTCTTGAGTAGCTGAGACCACAGGGATTGTGCCACTATGCCCAGCTAATGTTTGCATTTTTTTTTGTAGAGATAGGGTTTCACCATGTTGCCCAGGCTGGTTTCGGACTCCCGGGCTCAAGCAATCCACCTGCCTCAGCTTCCCAAAGTGCTGGAATTTCAGGCATGAGCCATGGCCGCCGGCCATAACATCCTTTCTTTTCATGGCTGAATACTATCCCACTGTCTGGGTAGACCACATTTTGTTTATCCATCTACCCATTGATGAACATTTGGTTGTTTCTATTTTTTGGATATTATGAATAAAGTCCATAATTTTTACCAATATGGAAAAGAAAAACAAGAAAAACTCTGAATGCCATATCATGGATAGATGGCCTATTATCATTCCATATCATCTGTACCTTTTTCCGCCAGAATGTTTTGAGACATTTATTAAGTAAGGATCACAATGATGATAATTACTAAAATGGAGAGAACCTGTGGACCATGGGAACCACTAGGCCATGTGACACTCATGTTTATATTAGAGAAAGGCACCGTTTTCTCAAAGCACTTTTCCTCCATCTGCTGAAAGATTATTACAATAAATACACAATGCAATACAATAAATGACCAATGCAAATAGTTTCTCCATAGAGTTATGCAGTGTACAACATGCACCACGGTCCATGGCCATCCTGCAGGTAGGAGGTCAAGTGGAAAGGTCTCCAACTCAGCTCTAGAAAAGTGCAGAGTTAGAGAAGGTATCATAGAAGAGTTGACTCCCAAGACGATGTTTCAGATACAGATTAGGGTATGTACCCGAAGAATTGAAAAGGTACTCAAACTAAAACTTGTACAGGAATGTTCATAGCAGCACTATGCAGAATAGCCAAAAGGTGGAAATAACCCAAATGTCCGTCAACTGTTGAATGGATAAACAAAATATGATCCATCCGTACAATGTGATATGACTCAGCCACAAATAGGCATAAAGTCTGGGACCTGCTACAACATGGATGAACTTCAGCCACATGCTGAGTGAAAGAAGTCAGACATGAAAGGCCGCACATGTTATAATTCCATTTATGCAAAAATATCTAGAATAGGTAAGACCATAGAGACAGAAAGCAAATTGGCGGTTGCAAGGGCTTATGGGGGAGTGGCTGCTTAACGGGTAGAGGGTTTCATTTGGGGGTGACAGAATATTTTAGAACTAGATAAAGGTGGTAGTTACGTAACATTGTGAATGTACTAAATGCTCCTGAATTATGCACTTTAGTTATTTTTTTATCTTTATTACTATTTTTTGAGATGGAGTCTCCCTCTGTCACCCAGGCTGGAGTGCAGTGGCGCGATCTCAGCTCACTGCAAACTCCACCTCCCTGGTTCACGCGATTCTCCTGCCTCAGCCTCCTGAGTAGCTGGGATTACAGGTGTGCACCACCGCGCCCAGCTAATTTTTGTATTTTTGGTAGAGACGGGGTTTTGCCGTGTTGGTCTCAAACTCCCGACTTTAGGAGATCCAGCTGTGTCGGCCTCCCAAAGTGCTGGGATTACAGGCATAAGCCACCGCACCTGGCTTGAATTATTCACTTTAAAATGGTTCTTTTTATGTAGTGTAAATTTTACCTCAATGGAAGGAAAAAAGAGAGAGAGAGAGAGAATGGATTAGGCCAGAGAAGAAGTGGTGGTGGGTGCACTGGGCAGAAGAAATCACTTGTGCAAAGCAAGGAGGGAGTGAAACTGCTTTGTACGGTGGAGAACACTGCTTTTGAGTCCAACACAAGCTCAGGCTTGGGGAAGGAATCAGATAAAAATTTCCAGGATCTCAGAGTTCCCTGTGCTCCACACGGGTTGGCAGACAGCACCCACATGGAGTCCTTCTGCTCGTAACCAGCACCCTGCAAGCTTCCCACGCCTGGAAGTGGTGTGTTTTTGATGGGAACGTCAGGCCAGAGGTCTCCCAGCAGCCCCCAGCTCGGAGCCGCGCTGGCAGCTCCCAGGCCTTCTCCTGGAGCCCGCTCCCTCTCCTGGGGGCCCTGTGAGCATCTGAGCCTATAAATCTCTCCTGCTCTGGGCCTAGGATTCACAAGGCTGCCAGGAAAGCCTGCCTCTCTCCCTGAAGTAGTGGATCAACACAGCCCATCTGTCTGTCCATCTCAAAATCTTTCCTTAAGATAGTGGAGGTTGTCTGGGCCGGTCCCAGGAGGTTCTCTCTGTCTGGGTTCTAATCACAGGGTACCTGGTTCTTCTATCCTTCACCCTCTTTTAAAAAATCACTTTTTAGTACTTTGGGAGGCTGAGGCGGGCGGATCACCTGAGGTCAGGAGTTCGAGACCAGCCTGGCCAACATGGTGAAACCCCGTCTCTACAAAAAATAGAAAAATTAGCCAGGCGTGGTGGCACGCACCTGTAGTCCCAGCTACTCGGGGGGCCGAGGTGGAAGAATTGCTTGAAACCAGGAGGCAGAGGTTGCAGTGAGCCAAGATCGAGCCACTGCACTCCAGCCTGGGTGACAGAGCGAGACTCCATTTCAGAAAAAAAAAAAAAATTAAACTGGTTTCCCATTTTGCTCTGTCCTCGAGTGAATTTCTCCCCCTGGGTGGAAGCTAAAGGCACGGGTATCTGTCTGTCTCCAGAGTATAATGGAGAGATTAAAGTTTGATTGCTTTTTTCCTGCTTTTTTTTTCTTTGAGATGGGGTCTTGCTCTGTTGCCCAGGCTGGAGTGCAGTGGCAAAATCTCAACTCACTGCAACCTCCACCTCCTGGGTTCAAGTGATTCTCCTGCCTTAGCCTCCCGAGTAGCTGGGACTACAGGTGCCTGCCGCCATGCCTGGCTAATTTTTTGTATTTTTAGTAGAGATGGGTTTCACCATGTTGCCCAGGCTGGTCTCGAACTCCTGACCTCAGGTGATCCACCCACGTGCTGGGATTACAGGTGTGAGCCACCACGCCCGGCCTCCTTTCTCTTATAAATAGGGACACCATTGATTTAGGTCTCACTCCAAGCCAGGATGACCTCATCTCAACATCCTTCCCTTAATTACATCTGCAAGACCCTTATTCTAAATAAAATCACAGGTGGGATACAGTGGCTCACGCCTGTAATCCCAGCACTTTGGGAGGCTGAGGCAGGTGGGTCACTTGAGCCCAAGAGTGTGAAACCAGCCTGGGCAACATAGCAAGACCCAATCTCTACAAAAAATACAAAAATTAGCCGGGCATGCTGGCATGTGCCTATAGTCCCAGCTACAGGGGAGGCCGAAGAGGGAGGATTGCTTGAGCCTGGGAGGTTGAGGTTGCAGTGAGCTGAGATCACGCCACTGTACACCCACCTGGGCGACAAAGTGAGACCCCATCTCAATCAATTGGTTAGTCAATAACATCGCAGTCTGAGGTTCTGAGTGAACATAGCTTTTGGGAGTCACAGTTCAACCCACCCTAGTGACCTTGGGCAAGTTGCCTCACTTCTGAACCTCACTCTCCTTATTTGTAAAATGGAGGCAATGCCAGTGCCCACCCCAGGAGCTGCTGAGAGAATTCAGTGGGTCACTTCAACACAGAAGTTCAGCATACGCCTGCAGTGCAGTGAGTGCTCGGGAGATCGGAGCTGTTAGTGGGATCCTAATGCGGTGGCTCTTTCTTTTCTGTCTTTTTTTAGCTTTGTGGTCATGATGGTTTCATAAAGAACAATACCGACTCTTTTTCTATTGACCATTTTTGGTGGGATGAGGAAAAGATTGTATGTGTTCATAGCACAAACATAACCAGGATAGAAGTAGAATGGGTGAAAGTAGGTCTTCCTCCTGTCCCTTTTCTCAATACTTCAGGCTCAGGCCTGTTTGTTGGTTTTTTTTGTTTGTTTTGTTTTGTTTTTGGAGTCTCGCTCTGTTGCCCAGGCTGGAGTGTAGTGGCATGATCTCACCTCACTGCAACCTCCACCTCCTGGGTTGAAGTGATTCTCCTGCCTCAGCCTCCGGAGTACCTTGGATTACAGGTGCATGCTACCATGCCCAGCTAATTTTTGTATTTTTAGTAGAGACAGCGTTTCACCATGTTGGCCAGGCTGGTCTTGAACTCCTGACCTCAAGTGATCTGCCCGCCTCAGCCTTCCGAAGTGCTGGGATTACAAGTGTGAGCCACCGCACCCATCCCAGGTCTGTTTTTAGAGATAGGGTCTCACTCCATTGCCCAGGCTGGAGTGCAGTGGTGTAATCACAGCTCACTGCAACCTTGAACTCCTTGGCTCAAGGGATCCTACTGTCTCAGCCTCCCAAGTAGCTGGGACAAGGGGTATGTCTATCACACATAGCTAATTAAAAAAAAATTTTTTTTTGTAGAGACTGGGTCTTGCTATGTTGTCCAGGCTGGTCTGGAACTCCTGGCCTCAAGTGATCCTCCCATCTCAGCCTCCCAAAGTGTTGAGATTACAGGCATGAACCACTGCATCCTACCTATATATCTGTCTTTTTAAAACACAAAAGGTATAACACTATGCTACCTCATCTTTTATTTTTAGCTTAATATATTTTGGATATTTTTCTGTGTCCATCCACAAAGCTCTGCCTGGTTCTTTTCAATGGCTGCCTATTTTATTTATGTATTTATATCTTATTTGTTTTTGAAACAGAGTCTTGCTCTGTTGCCCAGCCTGGCATGCAGTGGCACGATCTCGGCTCACTGCAACGTCCGCCTCCTGAGTTCAAGCAATTTTCCTGCCTCAGCCTTCTGAGTAGCTGGGATTACAAGCGTGTGCCATGACACCCAACTAATTTTTGTATTTTTAGTGGAGATGGGGTTTCACCATGTTAGCCAGGCTGGTCTGGAACTCCTGAACTCAAGTGATCCACCCTCCTTGGCCTCCCAAAGTGGTGAGATTACAGGCATGAGCCACTGCGCCCGGCCTGCCTATTTTTAAATGTGCCATTATATAAACACACCAGAATTGAAACCCCAGAGCTGACTAGTCTTTAGGCCTTTTGTCTTGAGGATTTCGTTCAACCAGGCCACCCAAACATCCATCTATAATCCGAGGGAAGAGAGAGAGAACTGATTGGAGTTGGGCATAGAATCTGAGGAACGTGCCCACATCCAATCAGTTCTCTCTTAAGATTACAGATGGAAGAAAGAGTCATCTCTTTCACCTTGCCTTCTTCAGTCCCATCCATCCTCCCATTCATATTCCCATCCATCCATCCATCCATCCATCCATCCATCCATCCATCCATCCAACTCATTTACCGGCCTATACACTCTGTCCTCCCTCCCATTCACCCACCCATCCACTCTCTCATCCACTCACTCATCCTTCCCTCCTCCGTCCAACCATCCGTCCAACCAGCTATATACCCACCCATCTACCCATCTACACACCCTTCCCTCCTTTCTTCTTTCTTTCTTCCTATCTATCCATCCATCCTTCCTTCTTTCCATCCATCTATTCGTCCACCTACCCACCCACCCACTCATCCATTTGTCTTCCTGTCTCTCTACCTGTCCATCTATCCATCCTTCCATCCAGCCATCTGTCTGCCTATTCACCCAGCCTCCCATCCATTTATCCTCCCGTCCATTTACCTATCCATCCATTCTTCCATCCACCCATCCTTTCTTCCTTCCTTCTTTCCTTTCTTCCTTCCTTCCACTCACTTGCCCATCCACCTCTTCTTCCATCCTCCCATCCATCTACTCATCTATCCATCCATTTTCCCACCCATCTGCCCATCCACCCACCCACCTACTCACCTACTCATCTGCTTATCCACCCTCCCGTCCATCTGTCTATTCATCCACCCACCCACCCATCCATCTACCTACCCATCTACCCACCCTTCCATTCACCCATCTACCCTTCCTTCCTTTCTTCCTTCCTTCCGTCCACTCATCTTCCCATCCATCTACTCATCCATCCCTCAATCCATCCATCTAACAAGCATAATTCAGCACCTACCATCTATGTGCCAGTACTAGAGATACAATGTAAAACCAAGCCTAGGAGATTTTTGATGAAATGAAGCTTGTGAGAGCTGAGCACTGAACTAGTAGGACTGAAGCCAGGGAGTGGATTTAAGAAATGCTTGCCACTGTGGCATTGTCTACCAGCAGATATGATGCTGGGATTTCTACATTGTTAGGTGACCATTGAACGTATTGGTAACTGTTCTCAGATCTCTCTTTGGGAAGGAAATGGGTCTTCAGAGCCTGGCTCCACCTCAGAGGCCTCTTTAAGAGTAGAAGGTGATGGATAATGTCTGCTTAATCACATCTAGTTCTTTGATGACCTCTGTATCTTTTGGGTTTCTCTGGTGGTAAACAAGAGAGACTGACTCTGTCATCTAGTAGAGGAAAGGGATTTGTAGGGGAGTATGGAGGAGCTCACAGTTGCAGTGGGAACACTAGGAATCAGGCTAGGTAAATGACAGAAACTGGGCTGCTTGGGCCCAGGGGCAGAAAGGAAGTCTGCCTCAGGGCTCTGTCCACCTGCTGTGCTTCCCTGTCCTTGACTGAGCTTGGAGTTTTAGGCCAGAGAGTCTGACCAATGCAGCCTGGAACACATTCTTACCTCTTTGTTGAAGGTACTTATGAGGCAGTCCCACTAAGACTGTACATGACGGTAGGGGTGATGGGGGAAACCTCAAGGACCACAGGATGCTTCTGGAAGAAGAGGAAATGGATGCTGGATTTACAAAAAAACACAAATGTGCACAATACTATATTACAGATGAAGGAACTGAGGCATGGAGTTTAAGAATATTTGCCCAAGGCCACAGAGCGGAGAAGTGGCTAAGGGGGACCCCAATCTGTATAGATCCAACATCTGCGTTTGGTCCCTAACCTAATCTGGGTGGGGTGGGCCTCCCGGGACACCTCCAGAGCTGATGTGGCTGGATGCTAATGACTCCTGGATCAGTCAGGCTCCAGCATCTTTCTGGGGCTGCCTCTGGGACTTTGGGGCTGCCCTTTTGGCTTTGGTCGTGGCCCCTGTAGCCTGGGCAATGAGCCCAGCTGACCTGTTGTCACTTCCAATGAGGCCAGCATGGAGAAGCTTTAGAATGGGAGGGCCCTGGGAGGAGCCAAGTCCAGACCCTTAGCTCAGAGCTCATTTTAATTCATGGCTCTTTTTTCTTCTTTCTGTTTGCAGATCGGGAGGACCAGTCCATTCTATGCACGTAAGTGGAACTGCTTTTTCTTCTGTTTTTTTTTTGTTTTTTTTTTTTTTTAATCTGTAGTCGAGATCCAACCTATGAAAGAAAAGATCCATGAGTGCAGAGATCTTTGATTTGTTCATGGTTCCAAGTGCCTCTCTTTATACCTGGCACCATGTAGATGCTCACTAAACATTTGTGATATATGGTCTTCTGCGGAGGCAGGCAAACTTAAACTCTTAATGACACCTGCTATCATTTGGTTCCATACCTCTCCTCCTTCTAAAAAACTAGCATTTATTGAACATGTACTCTGTGCCAGGACTTGAACTAAAGATTTTATATGCAGAATCTTATCTAATTGCATAACAGCCATCTGTGTTGATAGGGAAGATGTTAAACTGTCACTTTAGTATTTCACATTTATCAAGCCACAAACACATCAGTGCCATATTTGGTGATTGGTATCACTGTTTCTTTGAAGACCTAGGTACATAGGCAGAAGATAGTAACTCAATTTTAGAATCATTGAGAGAGTTTTCACTATTGTATTTATATGCAAGTAACATATATTAATATATATTGTTGATTCATTGACATTGAACTCACAGCCAGCAGCTCTGTGGCTGATGCCTGGATGAAGTTTATCTGATGTGTATTTATTACATAATGGGTATCACAACTTTATTGTGCTTGGAAACATGAGCCAACACTTGAGCACTATGCTGGGGACATTTTTGTATGTGTGCTGCCGAAGGGAGCACATCTGAGGGGACATTTTAAACTGCAAAATAACTAACAAAAAGCCACAAAAATACAAAAAAAGGTGGCACTAAATACACTACAGAAAGGACACTTGTTTACAGTATGAGAGTTGAAACTAGAAGGTAGAGCATTCCCCTGTTCAACCTGAGCTGGGAACGTGTGCATTGGGGGAATCGAATTTTCCTTACTCTGCACATGTTCACAAATGACTACAAAAGTGCCATGAATATTGATTTTGGGGTTACAAATAACTTTCAGCAGGTCGGTGAATTTGAAAATATAGAATATATAAATAATGAGGATAGACTGTGCATATATATATTTACATAATATATAATATGTATTATATTTAATATATTTATATTTATATATATATATATTTGAAGGTCTGGAAGCAACTAAAGCTATAATCAACAGAGGTTATTTAAATAAAATATAGCATTTCCAGGTAGCCACTACAAAGAGTGAGGCTGATCTATTTATGCTGAGAGAGAACGCTCTTTATAGATAATACCGTTGAGTGGAAAACACAGGGGCAAACCAGCATATGCATAATGTAACCGTGTGTGTCTTTAAAAAGAGCAGGATTGCATGGACGTGCATATGTTTCCTATTTGCATGAAATTATCTGGAAGGACAATTAAAAACTAGTAATTAGAATTTCAGATGGTGATGGATGGTAGGATGGCAATGAACTGTATTGAGAGAAGATTGAAACAATTAATAAGTTTGGGGTTGATATAGATAGAAAACCTGGAAACAATAAAACAAAGGCAATTATAAACTCCAGGAAAAAACAAAAGTTGGGATGGAAGGAGAAGTAATCACATTGGACTAAGGAGCCCAGCTGTGCAAGTTTGGAGTATTTATCTAACCAGAATAACTCCCTGTGATGGACTTGGCTCTGTGGGGAAAGGGAAGAGGATTAGATGGGAACTGAATTCTCATATTCCATGGTAGGATGTACACATTTGATGTTTGACAATGAATAGTCTGGATCTAGAGATATAATGCTACCTAGCTATGAGGATATAAATGCTAAAACAACCTGCCGACTTGGTTTCCTAGTTTTCTGGCTTCTAGGGGTCACCTGCATTCCTTGGCTCATGGTCTCTTCCTCCATCTTTAAATCCTGCAGCATGGTATCTTCAAATCTCTTTCTCTGGTCCCCCTACCTCTCTCTTATAAGGCCCAGTACCTTTGTGGTTATATTAGCCCCACCTAGATGATCCAAGACAGTCTCCTCATCTCAAGCAAACATATTCACAGATTCTGAGGATAGGCCATGGACATTCTTGTGGGGGCTGTTTTTCAGCTAGCCACAGAGGCATTTGATCCCCTAGGAGCCAAACCCATGTGTGAGCCACATGTCATCTCCCCAGGAACCAAAATAGTGTAGCTCAACTGCCCTCTGTTGAGTGAATGAATTAAGTGTGGTAACAGAGAGGTGCAGGAAAGAGTAGGACTTTCAGATGGCTTCCTAGCTATGTAGCTATGCACGGGTCACTTGACCTCTCTGAGCTGAGCTTATGGAGAGGCTGTGAAGATGAAGAAGAGGCCACCCTGCTCTCATTTCCAGCACCCATGCCATCAGCAGGTGCTGTTTCATCTAAAACGGTGCTATCCAAAAGAACTTTGTGATGAGCACAAAGTTCACTTAAAAGTTCACTTAATTGAGCTCTTAAAAAGTGGCAAGTATATTGCAGAACTGAATTTTTAAGATTTTAGTTAATTTAGATAGCGGTTCCTGCCTTGGACGGTATGATGCTGAAATATTTCTCATCTCTGTCCATTCCTCTGACTCCACCGCCTCTTCCTAGTTCAGGGTCCCGTCACCTCTCACCAGGGCCTCTGTAGCAGTCTCTTAAGCTCCCTGCTCCCATTGCTTGCTTGCTTCCTTCCTTTAATAAATATACATTATAAGAATATTCACTCATTATTCATTGAATAAATATTCATTAGCATGCTGTCATAAAGTGTGGATTCCAGAACCTAACCCCTTGGGTTTGAATTCTGGCCCCATCATCGTCTAGTTAGTTGTATGCTCCAGGAAATAAGTCAGTTCACTTCTCTGAGCCTCAGTTTCCCCATCTGTAAAATGGGAACAA
The DNA here is from genome assembly GCF_000001405.40 of Homo sapiens. Classification (NCBI taxonomy): domain Eukaryota; kingdom Metazoa; phylum Chordata; class Mammalia; order Primates; family Hominidae; genus Homo; species Homo sapiens. Next base: position 15,795,810 of record NC_000016.10, on the reverse strand, counting down.
TAAGCACCCCATTGGGTTGTTGGAAGGATGAAATGAGTCACTACATGTGAAGAACTGAGAAACAGGCCACTGCCCCATGGTGAGCACTTTGTAAGGATCAGCTGCTATTGTAGTGAAAGTGCTCACTATTTTTTAAAAATCCTTCCTGCAATCCAGTATCCATCTTGCAGTTTGTTTGTTTGTTTGTTTGTTTGTTTTTGAGATGGAGTTTTGCTCTCATTGCCCAGGCTAGAGTGCAATGGCGTGATCTTGGCTCACAGCAACCTCCACCTCCCAGGTTCAAGTGATTCTCCTGCCTCAGCCTCCCGAGTAGCTGGGATAACAGGCATGTACCACCATGCCTGGCTAATTTTGTATTTTTAGTAGAGACAGGGTTTTGTCATGTTGGTCAGGCTGGTCTCGAACTCCTGACCTCAGGTGACCCGGGGAGCCTCGGCCTCCCAAGTGCTGGGATTACAGGCATGAGCCGCTGAGCCTGGCCCATCCTGCAGTTTGTTGTTGTTGTTGATTTTTTTGTTGAGACAGAGTCTCACTCTGTTGCCCAGGCTGGAGTGCAGTGGTGCGATCTTGGCTCACTGCAACCCCCGCCTCCTGGGTTCAAGCAATTCTCCTGCCTCAGCTTCCCGAGTATTATGCCATCATGCCCAGCTAATTTTTGTATTGTTAATAGAGATGGGTTTTCTCCATGTTGGCCAGCCTGGTCTCAAACTCCTGATCTCAGGTGATCCACCCACCTCAGTCAGCCTCCCAAAGTGCTGGGATTACAGGCATGAGCCACTTCGCCCAGCCCATCCTGCAGTTCTGATTCTCCCCACACTGGTTCTAAAGTCCCGTTCCCCTCGTGAAATGGTTTCCTGCACCCATGAGAATAAAACTCAGATTCCTTACTGTGACTTGGAAGACTGAGTGTGATCTGCTCTTCCCTCTTCACTTCCTGCTGTCCTCCTCTGTTGTGGCCCTCCAGCCATGCTGGGAGCCATTCTGTCTCATACCTGGGCCCAGCATTTCCCTCCCTTGGACCTCTGTCCATACTGTTTGCCCTGCCTGGCCCACCCTTCCCTCCATCCTTCCCACAGGGCTCTCTTGTAACTTTCAAGGCTCAGCAACTCCCTGGCTTCCCCATCCACAGCCTCCCCTCTCCTCCCTTCCCCTCGATCTTCTCAGTCACATCACCCAGATGTAGCAATGATATCTCCACCACGAACTATCTTGATTATTTGTTTACTTGGCTATTGTGTATCTCCATCTCCTGGAATGCAGCGTTAGCAAGGACTTGGCACACTGCCCACACACAGCCAGTGCTGGAGAAGGAGGCCTTAGCCATTGTTAGGAAGGAAATCCCAAAACGATCAGACTTTTATTTGCAAATGCATCCAGTCAGCCCAGAACCACCAACATCTTCAGTCTCTGTATTCAATTTTATTTTGCTTGTTGTGAAATTCAGCCAAAGTGACTTGAAGGACCTACAAGTTGACAGCAGGGCTGAGCTTTTACGCGTAGTTGGTGCTTAAGAGAAGCCAGGCTGGAGCCAACTGTTTGGTTATGCAGTTAAGAAACTGAAAATTGGCCGCGCACTGTGGCTCAGGCCTGTAATCCCAGCACTTTGGGAGGCCGAGGCGGGCGGATCACGAGGTCAGGAGTTCGAGACCATCCTGGCTAACACGGTGAAACCCCATCTCTACTAAAAAAATACAAAAAAATTAGCTGGGCATGGTGGCGGGTGCCTGTAGTCCCAGCTATTCAGGAGGCTGAGGCAGGAGAATGGTGTGAACCTGGGGGGCGGGGCTTGCAGTTAGCAGAGATCGCACCACTGCACTCCAGCCTGGGTGACAGAGCGAGACTCTGTCTCAAAAAAAAAAAAAAAAGAAAAGAAAAGAAACTGAAAATTGGCCACGCACCGTGGCTCACGCCTGTAATCCCAGCACTTTGGGAGGCCGAGGCGGGTGGATCACGAGGTCAGGAGTTCGAGACCATCCTGGCTAACACGGTGAAACCCCATCTCTACTAAAAAAAATACAAAAAAATTAGCCGGGCATGGTGGCGGGTGCCTGTAGTCCCAGCTATTCAGGAGGCTGAGGCAGGAGAATGGCGTGAACCTGGGGGGCGGAGCTTGCAGTGAGCTGAGATCACGCCAGTGCACTCCAGCCTGGGTGACAGAGCGAGACTCTGTCTCAAAAAAAAAAAAAAAAAAAAAAGAAAAGAAAAGAAACTGAAAATTGGCTGGGTGTGGTGGCTTATGCCTGGAAACTCAGGGCCTTGAGAGGCCGAGGCGGGAGGGTGGCTGGAAGCCAGAAGTTTGAGACCAAACTGAGGAACACAGTAAGACCCCATTACTACAAAAAATTTAAAAATTAGCTAGGTGGGATGGTGCATGCCTGTAGTCCCAGCTACTCAGGAGGTTGGGGAGGGAGGATCACTTGAGCTTGGGAGTTAGAGGCTAAGTGAGCTATGATGGCACCACTGCACCTCAGCCTGGGCAACAGAGCAAGACCCAGAGACAGGAAGGAAGGAAAGGAAGGGAAGGAAGACAAGAAAGGAAGGAAACTGAAAGCTGAATAAATGTAATTTTTAGGCCTGAGTTGTATTTTGTCTAGCATGTAATCCATCCAGTATAATCAGTTTAATTAGAGGCCATGGGCCTGGCTGGAGATAGAGCTGTGTGATCAGGGGGCTAAAGTAAGAGGAGGAGGGTGGTTTCACATAAAATTAGAGAGAGGTAAGGGGGTGCTTCCAGGCCCTGGGGAGGAGTTTAAACTTTCGTCTAAAATGGATGACAGGCTGGGCATGGTGGCTCATGCCTGTAATCCTAGCACTTCGGGAGGCCAAGGCAGGCTGATCGCTTGAGCTCAGGAGTTCAAGACCAGCCTGGCCAACATGGCCAAACCCCCTCTCTACAAAAACAAAAATTAGCTGAGCGTGATGGCATGTGCCTGTAGTCCCAGCTACTTAGGAGGATGAGGCAGGAGGATCTCGGTTCACTGAGCCTGGGAGGCAGAAAGTTGGCACTGAGCCAAGACTGCACCACTGCACTTCAGCCTGGGTGACACAGTGAGACCCCATCTCAAAAAATATATATAACAATAAAATAAATAAATGAAATGGATGAGAACGTGCTAAGGGACTCAAGCCAAGGAAGGACAAAGTTTAACCAGTGGGTCAAATCAGGCCCTTGTCTGTCTGTTCCAGATAAAGTTTTATTGAAACACAGCCGCACCCACTTGTTTACGTATTTGCTTTTGTGCTGCAGTGGAGAGCTGAGCAGATGTGACAAAGAATGCGTGACCCTCAAAGTCTAAAATATTTACTGTCTGACCTTTTACAAAAAGAGTTTGCTAACTCCTAGCTTAAACAGTGGGAAAATGTGAATATTATTTATATTGTAATGATAGGATGAATGCTGAAAATCATTATACAAACAATATATAACTTCTGTGGAAGCAGTGGTTATAAAAGTAATAATAGGTGGGCACAGTGGCTCACACCTGTAATCCCAACACTTTAGGGGGCCGAGGCAGGAGGATTGCCTGAGGCCTGGAGTTCAAGACTATCCTGGGCAACTTAGCGAGACCCCACAAAATCAAAAAATTAGCTAGGTGTAGTGGCACATGCCTGTCATCCCAGCTACTCAGGAGGCTGAGGTGGGAGGGTCACTTGAACCCAGGAGTTCGAGATTGCAGTGAGTCAAGATTGTGCCACTGCACTCCGGCCTGAGCAAGAAGCAAAACTCTGTCTCAAAAAACAAAAGTAATAATAACTAACATTTTGGCATACCAGGCATTGTTCTAAGCATTTTATATAAATGTTCACTCATTTAATCCTCATAAGAATCATATAAAAGGTCAGGCATGGTGGCTCATGCCTGTAGTCCCAGCACTTTGGGAGGCTGAGGCTAGAGATCACTTGAGACCAGGAGTTCGAGACCAGCTTGAGCAACATAGCGAGACCCCTGTCTCTACAGAAAATTTAAAAATCAGCCAGCTGTGGTGGTGTGCACCTGTAGTCCCAGCTACCTGGGAGATTGGGGCAGGAGTATCACTTGAGCCTAGGAATTCTCAGCTGCAGTGAGCTATGATTGCATCACTGCACTCCAGCCTGGGCCACAGAGTGAGATCTTGTCTCAAAAAAAAAAAAAAAAAAATCATACAAGGTAAGTGTTTTTATTATACCCATTTTATAATGGGGTAAAGAAACTGAGGTATGGAGAGGCTAAATGACTTGCCTAAGGTCACCCAGGTAACTGGCAGAGGAGGGATTTGAACTTGAGCAACCTGGTCCTGGAGCCCATTATGCTATTCTGCCAATTGATGCTATAGGGGAGAGAGGCGTTGCTTCTGCCTGGGGTTTTGCAGGACGTGTAGGAGTTGTACAGTACAAAATGCCAGGGTGCTTTGCCAGTCACATAAAGACCAGGGACTGAATAGCTGTGAGGTTCATCAGAGACAATTTGGCTTTCCTACCAGTGGCAAACCACAGGCTGCAATGGACTTGGCAATATTCGACCCTGGGAGCCAGGACCAGCTGCAGAATTTGTAGAATTTTGCAAAATGAAAATGCTGGCTGAGTGCAGTGACTCACACCTGGAATCCCAGCACTTTGGGAGGCTGAGGCGGGCAGATCACATGAGGTCAGGAGTTCGAGGCCAGCCTCGCCAACATGGTGAAATCCCATCTCTACTAAAAATATAAAAATTACCCAGGCATAGTGGCGGGCACCTGTAGTTCCAGCTACTTGGGAGGTTGAGGCAGGAGAATCACTTGAACCTGGGAGGTAGAGGTTGCAGTGAGCCGCCATCACACACTGCACTCCAGCCTGGGCAATAGAGCAAGAGTCAGTCTCAAAAAAAAAAAAAAAAAAAGAAAAGAAAAAAAATGCAGAGCGTTTATAAAGAATTAGGAAGAATTTCCAGATGGCAACATTAGAGTATGAAGCACAGGGTGGTCCCTGTGAGACGGTACAGGTCACACTCATGAAGCCAGCCTGGCTGGGGGATTAAGTGGCCATTGGGTGGTTCTTCCCAGCTGCTGGGGCTGGACTGATTAAAAGGACTTGGCACTGGGGTAGTTACAAGGCCAGGAGGCCATAACGTGGTCATGAGTCTGGTCCTTCTCCGGGAAGAGGGAGCTCAGTACCAAATTCCCCAAGAAATAAGAAAGGAGTTTAGGGTGCTCAGACCAGGAAGGCATCTTCACCCCTAGAGGTCAGGGGTCAGAAAAGCCAAGCTATGAATGTTTCTAGAACCAGCTCTAAGCACATCAACCTTCAGACGCCCACGAGCCTGGAGCTTGGGATGTTTTCTTTGGCAGAACCTCCCAGGGCAATTTATTTTTCTCAACAGAACTTGGAAACAGTGGAGCCCAGCAGCAACATGGGAAGGGGTAGATGCCCAGAGTTTATGTCCCACTCCCCATCCCAGGCAAAGTGGGAGACCATAGCCACGGATAGGGCACATTGATGTCTTTGTTTTTTTTTTTGTCTGTCTGTTTGTTTGTTTGTTTGTTTGTTTTTTGAGATGGAGTCTCATTCTATTGCCCAGGCTGGAGTGCAGTGGCACGAGCTCAGCTCACTGTAATCTCCGCCTCCTGGGTTCAAGGGATTCTCCTGCCTCAGCTCCCCAAGTAGCTGGGACTACAGGCACCCACCACCATGCCCAGCTACTTTTTGTATTTTTAGTAGAGACAGGGTTTCACCATGTTGGCCAGGCTGGTCTTGAACTCCTGACCTCAAGTGATCCACCCGCCTCAGCCTCCCAAAGTACCGGGATGACAGGCGTGAGCCACCACACCCGGTGATGTCTTTGTTGTAAAAGGGAGGAGGTGAGAGAGGTTCAAGGCCAGGGTGGAAAGGAAGGAACTATTGTGGGAAAGGAGAAGTGAGCAGCAGCAGTCTAGGAGCACTGGTTTGTCAGCATGAAGAGTGTGATCCACACATGTTGTTTGTGCACACTGCTGTCCTGATTCTTGTCTTGGATCTGAATAGGTTCATGACCACCTACGCAAGTGGTTTCCTACATCCAAAAATTTCTCTCCTTTCTCTTGCTTTAATCAGAATCCAACCCCTTCACTTTAGAATGAAGTCAAGCAAGGTTCTGACGTTAGCCTGATTGAAGTAATTCATACTTAGGTGTGAATGACTGAGTGGCTTGGTTCATTGATTGGGGCAAGTAAAGCCTCCTGGAATATATGGCAGAATTCCAGTGGAGTGGGGCTGGGACTTCACTCTGTCTTTTCTCTTTGCTGATTTGTTAAAATAAAAGGGTAGGAGGCAGAACATGGGCCCTGGTGTCAAGTGGACCTACGTTCAAATCCTGCTTCTCCTCCATTTCCTATCTGTGTGAAAGCAGGAGCAATTGTGGGCTGGAGCAATTTACTTCAAACCTCTCTTTGCCTCAGTTTCCCCGGATGGGTGATGGGGATAATTAATAACTCTCTCATTAGATTGCTGGGTAGAGTAAATGAAAAGATCTGTGAGCCCAAAGCCTAGTACTGTGCAGGCCTTCAACAAATATCAATTCCCCTTCCCCTGCCCTTCTTCTGGCCTTAGAAAGCAAGTCCCTAGAGGGTTGGGCCTGTGTCATGGAACAACTTGGTGAAATGTAGTAAAAGGAATTCTGACTGCATTAGAATCAGAGACCTGACTTTCCATTCTGACTGTATCCCTTCTTTGCTGTGTGACCTAGGGAAAATTGCTTACCCACTCTGGGCAAGACTCTTCCTTCTATAATAACATGGAAGCAGGAAGAGGATAAAGGAAATAATTCATGTAGAGCATTTAGCAAAGGGACCCTTCCCCCTATATCCCCCCAATGACAAACGCCAATTCTTCTCTGTCTTAAGAGATGGGATCTTGCTATGTTGCCCAGGCTTCTCTCAAACTCCTGGCCTCAAGGCATCCTCCCAACTCAGCCTCCTGAGTAGCTGCTATTATAAACGTGGCCAGTTCTCTGCTGCACCTGGCCAGTTCTCCTCTTTTACACACACACACACACACACACACACACACACACACACACACATATATTCTGGTCTTAGTTTCCCCTTCTGGGGAAATGGGGTAATGCCTTCATGGTCCCCATTTCATAAACTGCCTCTGAGGCCATGTGAAATAATGTGGCCATTGGGAAGGAAGGCCTCTAGGAAGGGAAGGGACCACACAAAGTCACCGCAAGATGTTTCATCATTCTTGGCCATCAGACACTTGATTTCTGGACAGTGGGACCTGTAGGATTAGGCACAGCAATTTGGGGCACTTTTTTTTTCTTTCTCTTTCTTTTTTCTTTTCTTCTATTTCTTTTTTAAGCCATGAGCCAAGTTATTAATGGGCCTTTGGCAGAGAAAATTAATTTCTTTATTTCCTAATTAGGAAGAAGAGCAGAGACTGTACTAGCTTTGGTGGCACTGGTTCAGCACAGAGAACCTTGGGCTGACCTCGGGGTGAACAAATTCTTTTTTCAACTTAAAAAAAAAACTCTCTTATATTTTAGAGTATTAAGTGAGCTCAGAAAATAAAAGAGATAAGGCAAAGAAAGGAAACACAAAAAACAAAAGTAAACTGAAAAATAGAAGAAGACGATAAACAAGTGAAGTTTTGGTCAAGGCACTGTCCTTATCTTTCACTAGGAGTGGTGGAACATAGAGGCAGTATCTGGATGGAGCGGTTCCATTGTGATGATTTCTGGTGGCCAAAACAGGCAGCTAGTGCACGAAAGCCATCTTGGTAAAAAAAAAAAAAAAAAAGATCTACCTTCATATTCCAGGAGGACATACTTTTTTGATACGACAAACCATGTCGTGCTGATCTAAACATATCAGTCATTTACACTTTAGTGTGAATTACTTCAACTGGGTTTATTCTTAGATACTTGGCTGAGATCATCAGCCAGCTTCCTGATACATGGGGTGGGATTCCTCAGAGGATAAAGGGGCTTGCATCTGCCCAGTGACCAATGGGATAACCGGTTTTTTGGTAAATTTTTCTTTCCATAAGGGAGCTTCTTAAACTTTAGGTCCTGGTACTCCAGAGGCACTTACATCCTTTCTTGAAGGCTGCCTTGTGCCTGGTCTTTCCATTTCTAGCAATGCTAATGATGTCTGCAGGCGGATCACGAGGTCAGGAGATCGAGACCATCCTGGCTAACATGGTGAAACCCCGTCTCTACTAAAAATACAAAAAATTAGCCGAGTGTGCTGGTGGGTGCCTGTAGTCCCAGCTACTTGGGAGGCTGAGGCAGGAGAACCAGGGAGGTGGAGCTTGCAGTGAGCTGAAATTGTGCCACTGTACTCCAGCCTGGGGACAGAGTGAGACTCCATCTCAAAAAAAAAAAAAAAAAAAAGTAGATAATTCCAAATAAACCTGTTTGGACCTATGTAAGAAAACTAAGGTTTTCTTGTTCACTCTATTTTTTTAGAGATGAGGTCTTGCTCTGTCACCCAGGCTGGAGTGCAGTGGTGTGATCATGGCTCACTGTGGCCTCAAACTCCTGGGCTCAAGCCATCCTCCCACCTCAGCCTCCTGAGTAGCTGGGACTACAGGCATGCACCACCAAGCCTGGTTAATTTTTCTTATTTTTTATAGAGTCAGGGTTGTGCTGTGTTGCTCAGGCTGGTCTTGAACTCCTGGACTCGAGTGATCCTCCTGCCTCAACTTCCCAAATAGCTGGGACTACAGGCATGTGCCACCATGCCTGGCTAATTTTTAAATCTTTTTCTAGAGGCAGTGTCTCTCTGTGTTGCTGAGCTGGTCTCACACTCCTGGGCTCAAATGATCCTCCCACCTCAGCCTCCCCAAGTGCTGGGATCACAGGCATGAGCCACCACATCCGGCCCACCTTTTCACTCTTTGTATCTGAATTCTTTTCTATGTCCTCTTGGAAGGAATAGATTGGGCATTGGACCTAGGCTGGGGACCCAGTTCCGCTCACTACCAGAGATGTGGCCTTGGGCAAGTTACTTCCCCTCTGGGAGCCTCTGTTTCACCCTCTGGGAAATGGTGGTGATGATCATTATTGTCCTGCCTGGCTCATGGAACTGCGGAAAGGTCACCATGGAACGTGTGCATAGATGATGTTCCCGTGTCTTTCAGAGGCGAGTCTGGAGCCGGGAAAACCGAAAACACCAAGAAGGTCATTCAGTACCTGGCCGTGGTGGCCTCCTCCCACAAGGGCAAGAAAGACACAAGTATCACGGTGAGTGGCAGTTCCCAATCAGAGGCCATGATTTAGCCAACCGGTCTCCAGCTTGCAGCCCAACCGAGATACAAACAGAACATCATTGCAAGAACTCAGGCCCCATCTGACTACCCCTCCCCTGAAGACTCAAAGAGGGACCGTCTTTTTGGCGAGCAGGCCTGTTGAGTGTGGGTGATTTCTTGGCTCAGCTAGAAGCATCCCTCCAGAAGGGGGCCCGTTTTGTGAAATGAGAATAAGCCCTTTCCTTCCATAGCGAGATCTTCCTCCACGTCGGGGCTTCTCAGTGGTGGCACTGATGTCATTTTGGACCAGATAACTCTTCCTTGGAGGGGCTTCCCTGTGGCTCGTAGAATGTTTCACAACATCCCTGGCCTCGACCCGCCAGATGCCGACAGCCCCCTTCCCTCCAGTTGTGACAACCAAAAATATCTCTAGACATTGTCAGATGTTCCCTGGGGTGGGACAGTTGCCCTTGATTGAGAAGCACTCCTTTCATGAATCTCTGTAACGTCCCAGGGGTTAAGGTACCTTTTGGGTTCCCGGATTCCTCCACGTGTCCCCCTGTCCCTGGGATGGAGATGCTGGTATCACTCGGCCCGTGGGCTTCAGTGCAATGCCATTCAGTAACTGTGGATTGAGCACCTACTGTATGCCAGGAACCACTTGGGGTGGGGACCTGGGGATAAGTCTGAGAGATGCTGTTATTCTCTTCTCTGAGCTTCCAGACCTGTGGAAGAGCATGTAGTTGTCAAAGAATCCCTCAAATAAACAGATGATGACACGGTATGACTAAGAGCTTGGGAGGAAAAGAAGAGCAGGTTTCTAGAGTCATCACCTCTAGGGCCCATCCTTCTCTTCCTCCTCGTGTGTCAGCCCTGCCCCATCTATCCCACAGGAGGGGGCACGTGGTAGGGCCGCTAGGACTGGCCGGTGCCTCCGTCTGCAGGTTTGTGGGTGGGAAGATGGTAGGATGGAGATCTGACCACGGCATGGGGTGTCTCCAGTGTTCGCCATTCCAGATGTCACTTTGCGTCCTCAGAGGGGACTCTGGGGCAGCCACCATGGCCGGCTTGTCTGGAGGCCCTTGGAGATCTAGGATGGGCGCTGGTCGTGGCTTTGGAGAACTTTCCTTCTCCAAACAAATGCAGGAAACTCAAGATTCAGCATCCTAGAATTGTCTCTGGCAAGTTGGTTTCCAGCCATAGTGAGTGGGAACAATGGCCCCAGAGGCTGTGTGGCAGTTTAAACACAGTTTCCACTGCCTTCCCTTTCCCTAAAGAGTAAACACAGGAGATAATACTTTCTAACAACTCATCGTTATCAAGGGCCTACTATGTGCTGCTTGTTTTGGCTGCATGCGTAAACACATCTCAGACATTGTCTCACTGGATACTGTTTTAAGGAGCCTAATGTGGCCCCAGTAATTATGAAAACCTTTGAAATGTCTGGATCTCTAAGAAATTAGAAAAAGGAGGGAATGGCTGAGCATGGGGGCTCATGCCTGTAATCTGTGTTTTGGGAGGCCAAGGTGGGAGGATGGTCTGAGCCCAGGAGTTCAGGACCAGCCTGGGTGACATAGTGAGACCCTGTCTGTACCAAAAAAAAAAAAAAAAAAAAATCAAGAGAATTAGCTGGGCCTGGTGTGCATGCCTGTAGTCTTAGCTACTTGGGAGGCTGAGGCAGGAGGATTGCCTGAGCCCAGTAGGTTGAGACTGCAGTGAGCTGTGATCGTATTCCTGCAGCTAAACAGAGAGAAAAGAAACAGTATCAAGGAAAAGGAGCTGACCAGTCTGTCTGGGAGACTCCAGGCTGTTTGGGGGGATCAAAGTCATATATTCTCCAGCCCCTGATGTCCATGTGATGGAAATAACGCTGACATTTGTTTTATACTGTGTTGTTCAACCACAGCAAGGCCCATCTTTTGCCTACGTGAGTAACTGAGAGTGTTTTCCTGGTGTGTAGGGGAGGCACGGAGTGAACTTAGATCTGCATGATCCTCTTGCACCCACCGAGTCCCGTAGCTGGTGGTAGAAATGGGGTAGGCCCTAGAGTTTCACAACTTAAATCAGTAAATGCACCAAAATACCATCCTGTGGGTGTCTGATGCCAGGGAAGGGTGTGGGGGTGCATTTACCACCCACGGGACGCCTATTGGAGTCCCCAGGGTTGCGCTCCAGCCTGAAATGGATTTCTCCGGTTCAGAATGAACCCCTGCACCCTTCAAAGCATCCGCTCCTGGTACCCTTGACTGGAACAACCTAGACAGAGATGTCTGTCCCATCTGGCTGAGTGTTTTAGGACTGTCAGGCCCCAAAGCTTCCCTGGCTCGATGGACAGTCGATGGCACAGCTGTGGCATGCCTCCCTCTTCTCTCCCTGCCATCATCCCTAAGTGTCTTCCCTCAGCCCTGTCCCTGGTGCACCAGTGTGTCCCTGTGCATGCGTGTGCAGTGCGTGTCTGTCTCTTGCATGCTGGTTGCTTGACTCAAGCCTCCAGAAACAGTCTTGGAGGTCGCGATGCACTAGCTTTGGTGGCGCGGTAAGGCCCCAGCTACGCAACGCATAACCTGGTCCTGCTTGGACCTGTGCATATGTAAACTCATCTCTAACACAGAGCTTGGGGGGCTGATGTGTGGGTCCCAGCCTAGAAGAAACCCACAGGTGTCTTCCTTGGCTCCCGAAAAGATCATTCAATCCATCTTAGTTAGACCCTGGGTGACTGTGTTGCAGATCAGAAGGAGAATTACAGTTCTTATTTGGGATCTGCTTTTGTGTGACCTTGGCCGAGTCAGTTAACTCCTCGGGGCTATGGTTTCATCATCTATAAAATTGAGGGTTTGAACCAGGTCCCCCGATTTAAAGCTCTCTTGCCAAGACTTTTCAACCTTACCTGCCAGAATCCCCATTCTAGAAAGGGAGCCTTTTTCAGAGAGCATGGAGACCCCAAGTTTATGTGAACAAAAGTGATTCCTTTAGTCGTCTTCCCACCAACAAAGAAATGCCCGTGGTGCTCCTTGTAAATTTCCACCAGTCTCAGCTGTGGTGATTCCACTTGTAGCTGAGATTTGTATGCGGATGAGGCTTTTGCTTCATCTTTCTCTGGGAGCTACAAAAAGGAGGATGTGTGGACAAATCAAAACAGAAACAAATAGCAGCTTCCTGCTTTGTCCTGTAGACCAGGTACCCTGATGCCTTCCTAGCATGCGGAGGAATGAGGAGGAAGCCATGCCCATCCTTGTCCCCTCTAGACACTTTCCCGGCTCCTGTCCAGCCCAGCCCTGATGCCTGGAAAAATAAGGAAGGGAAAGCAGGAGGGGAGGACAAGGAGAAAAACTCCCAGAATCCAGGGCCTGGAGGCCTCGGGGCCCAACTGCAGCCGCCATGTTTTAGGGCTAGGCCAAGAGCAGCTCGTTTGCTTTCCCAGCTTAACTTACCACATTGGCCCTTTCCTGCCATGATTAATCACGTGACCGCGTTTGTGCAAAGGCATCCCGGCAGAGGGGGCCGGTGGGCTGTGTACAGTCTCAGCTTCCTTTAACCCAATGAATGGAGCTCAGGCAACCTGCTTTGAAGCTTTATTCCGCAGTCCGCTAAGAGGATTCCTGGTGGGTTTTGTGCATTCCTTACTTGTCTGCTGTAGAAGACTTCAGAAAACCAGTCCTGAGAAAGAAAAAATTGCAACTTAAAAAAAATTGCACTAAAATAATTAGAAGGAGGCTTGTAGTGGTTTAACTTGAAGAAGGCTGCTTGTTAAACATGAACAGCAGCACGACTGCCATGTACAGTGGGACAGGTGGTGCACTGCACAACTCCGGGGGGCACCATTCATCATGATGTAAATGACATCACCGACATTGTGCAAGGCAGTGGCTTTGAGTGGCAGTGATGTTGCACAGATGAGCAGGCCCTGGTCTTGAAAAAAGTGACCTTCCTAGGGAGCAGATGTCCTAGCTATTAGAGAGCTCAGACAGTTGCTTCTCTTCTGAAATCCTCCTGTAAATCTGAACATTAGCATCAGGGTCTAAGAGGAGGTAGGAGATAGGAGAGAACCTGTGGGTTAAGGGCAGAGTTTTGTGACAACATCCATCCAAGGTAGAACTGTCAGGACCTAGGTTGCTTTCTCCAATAACTAGATGTGAATGAATTTTAGGGAGAGCTGGAAAAGCAGCTTCTACAAGCAAACCCGATTCTGGAGGCTTTCGGCAACGCCAAAACAGTGAAGAACGACAACTCCTCACGATTCGTAAGTAGCAAAGCCACATGGATTTTCCAGAAAAGCTTTGGTGTCATCTCCTGCCTGGGGCTGCAGAGTGTTTGCGTGCAGAGGTGGGAGGGGCATCTGACCCTGGAGAGATGGGCTGTATCTCACAATCTTGCAAGGGCTCCTGCCTCTCACTCTCTCATTCATTCATTAATTTATTCACTATTCACTCAACAAATATTGATTGGCCTGGTGCGGTGGCTCACACCTGTAATCCCAGCACTTTGGGAGGCTGAGGTGGGAGGATCACTTGAGCCCAGGGGTTCTAGACCAGCCTGGGCAACAAAGCGAGATCCCATCTCTATTATTAAAATAAAATTTAAAAAATTAGGTATTGAGCACCTGGTATGGGCTAGACCCTTATATCCGATACCATTTTATGTAACAAAACATGAATTGAGTGCCAACTGTGTACCAGGCACACACCTCCTCCAAGAAATACTTAGTAAGTACCTACTGTGTACAATTACTCTGGTAGGCACTTTTACATGTACCACCATTCTCTTTGTTTTTTTCTCATTTGCTGTTTTTATTAAGTGCCTACTGTATACCAGGCACTCAGCGAGTCTCACAGGATTGCGATGAATAGTTCAGATATGGTTCCAGCCTTCATGAAGCTGGTTCTTCCAACTGAATAACAGAGAGTAAGTGAGGCAGGGGGTACTACCTTCCCATGCACACTCCCCCAGGCTCCAAAGCAAAAAGTTTTTGCCTGAGCCCAACAGGGCAGGGGAACTCTGAAAGTGGATGGTTGATGATAGGTAGACAACAATGGTTTTATTGTGCAAAAGAAGCGGTTGTCTCCGTAGGAGGGTCAGAAAGATATTTTAGTGAGAAAAGATGAAGGAAAAATTGCCTCTGCATTCCAGGAGAAGGGGGTCTCTGAACTGTTGCTCGCTGAGATGGGGCCCTGTGAAAGACTCTTTGCAGAAAGCTCTGCTCTGCTGAGCAAATGCACATGGTGGTCCCTGACCCTGTGATCCCCAAGGCCCATTTTAGTAACAAACAATTACATAATGTCTCCTTTCCTCGCCCGAAATTAGAATCATAGATAGTATCACCTCCTACACGTATTAGATGAATACACATCAGCATAATGCCCTAACTGGAATATGAAGAAGAAATAACATAAGACAATTCATAATGAAAGTGTGCATTTCAGGCCAGGCGAGGTGGCTCATGCCCGTAGTCCCAGTACTTTGGGAGACTGAGGCGGGCAGATCACTTGAGCTCAAGAGTTTGAGACCAGCCTGGGCAACATGGGGAAACCCCATCTCTACAAAAATAAATAAATAAAGTGCATTTCAGCATATCAATGCTCGGGCCAGGCCACACCAACAGAAGACACAGTAAGAGACAGACACTTAGGTCTATCCACGGCGACAGCTACAAATACAAGGAAAAGGGTCAAGTTCAGGCACTGATGATGTTGGCATGGGATTTTCCAGAATGGCAACTGACTCTCAGTGAAGCGCTGAACCAAAGAACAATCTTCTCTAGAGTCACACAGATGGGATATTCTTGTATTAGAACAACATTTTAAACACTTGTTAATGCTTTCATTTAAAAGCATAAAAATCTAGACCAGGCACAGAGTGGCTCACACCTGTAAACCCAGCACCTTGGGAGGCTGAGTTGGGAAGATCACCTGAGGTCAGGAGTTTGAGACCAGCCTGGCTAACATGGTGAAACCCTGTCTCTACTAAAAATACAAAAATTAGCTGGGCGCAGTGACACATGCCTGTATTCCCAGCTACTCGGGAGGCTGAGGTGGGAGAATTCCTTGAACCCGGGGAGATGGAGGTTGCAGTGAGCCAAAGTCACACCACTGCACTCCAACCTGGGCGACAGAGTGAGGCTCTTGTCTCAAAAAAAAAAAAAAAAAAAAAAAAGCGTAAAAATCTAAAGTCATAAAGGTTAGGTTCTAAGCCTGGCTAATTACAAACAGATTTTTACCTCCATGAGTGGCAGGTGAGACATTGGAAGAGTCATAAGGGATATAGACAAGGATTGGCATCAGAGACTCTCCAGGTCATTGCAGGACTCCCAAAATATCCTTGGCCCCACTGTTCACTAACAACAGCGGCCCCCCCCCAACATGTGACAAGCCAAATAATGGCTTCCACCGATTTCCAAAATCTCCATAGCAGATGTGCCGCCTCCACTGAGAAGCACTGCGTTTGCATGTTCCAATTCTGTGCAATGTTTCTAGCCTGTCATAAATGGAAGCACGTGCAAGACAAATCCCTAAAAACATCCTCCACTCACTGGCGTCCCTGCCATCTTGGGAAGGAGAGTGAAGAAGGTGCCTGGGCCTTGCCTGTGACCAGCCGGCTCTCCCTGGCTCCATCTGGGATATGGTCATCCCAAATCACTCTACTGCATGTTTCCCAATGGGGAAAGTTTGAAGGTTTTGTCAAGGACTGAGCAAGCCTAGGGGATTGTGTCCACACACGCCAACACTTCCCACCATGTTATGTCATGATGGGGGAAAAGGATGAAATCCTGTCTCACCTGTTGAGGAAACAGGAAAAGGGTTCATGCCAACAGATGGAGGATTGGGTTCCATCCTTGGTTTCATGGCTTAGCTGAGGCAGGTAGATAGGGCCATCTTTGGAGATACTTGTTGAGCCTCTAGGGCCAGGAACATGAGCCATTCCTGCCTAAAGGACATCCTACACAGGGCCTGCTTGGGCAGTGTGGCCAATGCATACTCACCTGTCCCACAGAAAAGGTTTAATCCATAGTTGGATGATGTGGATGTTTTGGAGCAGGGTGGGGTCTGGGGAGGGAGCCCTCTAGCCCCTGAATATGGAAAAACCTTCTTTCTGCTTAGGGCCCTACCTCTCAGGAGCAACGTCACGTTGGACAAGTCACTTGATCTCTTTTAGCCTTAGTTTTCCCAGCTTTAAAATGGGGATAGTGGGCTGGGTGTGGTAGTTTACTCCTGTAATCCCAGCACTTTGGGAGGCTGAGGTGGGAGGATTGCTTGAGTGCAGCAGTCTGAGGCCAACCTGGACAACACAGTGAGATCCTATCTCTACAAAAAAAAATTTAAAAATTAGCCAGATATGGTGGTGCATGCCTGTAGTCCTAGCTGCTTGGGAGGGTGAGGTCATGGGGAAAAGGGGATTGCTTGAGCCCAGGAGTTCAAGGTTACAGTGAGCTGTGATTGCACCACTGCACTCCAGCCCTCGCTGACAGAGCAAAACCTTGTCTCTAATAAATAAATAAGTTTTTTTAAATAGGGATAGCCATGATGGACTACGGTCATTGCAAAAGCCGAATGAAATTGATCTGTGAACATGTTTTACACGTTCTGTTGCTGTCAGGCCTGGGGTGGTTTCAGCTCAGCAGATGTTGGTTCCGCCTGACAACTTGACCTGTGGGGTTCTGAGTGTTCGCAAGAATCTCCCCGCCCCACCTCCCATCCTCTGTACCATCTGCCTCCTGCTTGCCCACAGCATGGGGTTAACGGCTGAAGTTGGGCAGCAAAGCCTGAACTGTGTTTTCCTGTTGGCAGGGCAAATTCATCCGCATCAACTTCGACGTCACGGGTTACATCGTGGGAGCCAACATTGAGACCTGTATCCTTTCCCTGAGCCTGGGCCAAATGGGTACCCCTGCCCCCTACCAATCTCCTGCCCAGAGGCTGGGAGAGTCCAAGAGCCACCTCTATCTTTCCAGCCTCTTAGGTTTCTTCCAGAACAAATCTCCCCTTAACAGCAGGCATTGTGGTGCAGTGGTTATACATGTGTGGACCGGACCCCTGGTTTGAACCCTAAACAAGCAGCCTAGGCTGCATGTGATGCTCAAATGATCTGTCCCTTAGCTGAGTGACCTTGGGCTGGTTACTCCACCTCTCTGTGCCTCATCAGCAAAATGGGGATGATAATGAATGGTACCTGCCTCATAGAAATGTGAGAATAGAGTGAATGAACTCATATAAAGCTCTAGGCACCATGCGAGGTGCAGAGTAAGGGCTGGCTACGTAGTGTCTATCGTATGATCTTCACTTCATCCTTATTCAGCCATTGTCCGAGGCCAAATTCTGGACCTGTCGTCCTCTTAGAGAGTTGGTCTGTGATCGGCTCCACTTCTTAGGTAGGAAATTGATGAAAACAGAGTTTACCCAGAAGAATGCTGGTATCGCAAGGAACAAGTAGAGCATCTCTTTCATGAACCTGAGCGGTGAAGTGGAGCCAAGTTAGAAATTTCTGGACGTGGGGGAACAACCAGGTCTAGAGTTCAGTGACTGATCAGCCTCAGGAGCTTTGCAGGCGGCCCTAGGGCTCAGGCTTCCTGTGGAACACGTGCTTGGCAATGTATAGGACCTGGGGGCCTGACTTAGCTTCTTTCTGCACCTGAGGTCCTCTAGCAGCACCTAGTGGTCCCATTTTTCCACGTTATGTGCCCTGGATAAGAGGGTGGGTTGTGGAGTAGCTTCCTCTCCACTGTACTTGTCTAAGCTGTGGGGATTTGGGAAAATCACTGAAGCTCTCTGGGCCTCAGTTTTGCCTCGGTAAAATGGGGGTGATTGCACCTAGTTTCTGGAGCTGGTGCAGGGGTTAAATGAAATAATATGCATAATAATATGCACAGCCCTTGGTACGGTACTGGGCCCAAAGTGAGCATCTCATAGGTGGTGGCTATTGCGTTAACTCAATGTTTTCTACGTTTCTACTTTAATCTGCCCAAACCAGCCAGGATTCCCATCCTGCAGCTAGGAGGGCTGTCAGGCTTCGGTCAAGTCCAGAGCCAGGGCCCTCTTGTCCTGCAGCCCTGCACACACCTCTCAGCAATTCATTTCCTGTGTTTAGAGCGAGCCCCAGGCATAGCCCCGTCCTTCTGGCCTCAGCCTTCCTTTTAGATCAGTGGTTCTCAAAGTATGTTTCCAAACCAGCAGCATCAGCATCACTTGGGAGCTCTTTAGAAACACACATCTCAGCCAGGCACGGTGGTTCACGCCTGTAATTCCAGCACTTTGGGAGGCCGAGGCGGGCAGACCACTTGAGGTCAGGAGTTCGAGACCACCTGGCCAATATGGTGAAACCCTGTCTCTACTAAAAATACAAAAATTATCCAGGCGTGGTGGCATGCACCTGTAGTCCCAGCTACTCAGGAGGCTGAGGCAGGAGAATTGCTTGGATCCGGGAGGCAGAGGTTGCAGTGAGCCAAGATCACACACTGCCCTCCAGCCTGGGTGACAGAGCGAGACTCTGGCTCAAACATACGTGCGTGTGTGTGTGTGTGTGTGTGTGTATGTGTGCGTGTGTATACCCATGTACACCATGAGAAAGTCTGAGAATCACTGCTTTCCAGATTGGACATGGGCTGTGGTAGCCCGGGCACTGCTAGCTGGCTTTAGGACTTGAAGAAGACAAGGTCTGCTGATCTAGCCCCATCATCCCGCACCATCATGCTTAGTGCTGTGGAAATCCACCCAGTACAGTAGCCCAGCCTCCCAGCTGCCCTCTCCCATCACCCCGGACCCTGTGATCTCCATGCCACCCTCACCTGCCCTCCCCTCTGCTCTCCCTCCTGCCACCCCGCATCGCGGAGAAGCTCTCCTGAAATTAATTAGTGTGGCGTGTTTACGGTCTCTCTCGCCTCCATCCCGTCAGACCCCACTCTTGGAACAGAGGGCATGGAAGACAGCTTTGCCACTTGTTAGCTGTATCATCTTGAGAAAGGACTTCTCTTCTCTGAGCCTCAGTTTCCCCTTATTGAAAACACCGATAATAGTTGCACTTATTTCCTAGCATACTTTGTGAGGCTTCAGTGAGACAATTTATATCAATCATTTCACACAGGAATGAATCATAAATCATAGGATCATAGATGGTGTCATTATTTGTATTCTGTCATGTCTGAAGACAGCTCATTTTAAAGAAGATTTGCTGGTGATGGCTGTTAGGGGAACATCTCGTTACCATTACCTTCTTCCTGGAGCCTTTTTATGCTTTTTCTTTTCACTCTATTCCCCTCCCTTTTTTTTGCATCTGAAGTCTGCTGGCAGCACCCAGCGGTTCCATTTGTCCATAGGGGCAATGGTCAAAGTTAGACATTACCGATCCCAGGGGTAGAACTGGAAAGTCATCCCATGTGAATTGGGTGTGACAGGGATGGAGGTGGAAGACCAGAGGAACACCCGCAGTATCCCCAGAATCCCTAACTCCCTCCAAACCAGATCTGCTAGAAAAATCACGGGCAATTCGCCAAGCCAGAGACGAGAGGACATTCCACATCTTTTACTACATGATTGCTGGAGCCAAGGAGAAGATGAGAAGTAAGTGACTAGCAATGACATGTGATTGGATGGCTTGAGCCTTCCCTTTCATCAGAATCCGGGGTTAAGGGATTGGCTATTAAAACAGTCTCAGATCCTGCCAGAAAGGACCATGTCTGTGAGTGACATATGAACAGTTCTTCATCTCCTCCCAATGAGTGAGTGTGGCTTGTGTTCAGTCATTCTCATTTACTGAGCACCTACTATGTGACATAGTAGCCATCAACTCCAATTAGACATTAGATCATTAATGATTCATGTCTCATTAGACCAGAGAGCATCAAGTCCAACTAGACACAATCTACGCCTTCAAGGAAAGGGAGAAAGACATTTGCCTTACTTGCCAATTTATAAAACTTGCAAATATAAAAGATGCATTCTGGTTTTATAAGGAATTTGCAGGGGCAGCAGGACTAAGCATTTTTCATTATACATGTTTTGCCAGTGACTTTGTAGAACAGGGGTCAAGACTTTTTCTGTAAAAGGCCAGATAGTAAATCTTCAGGCTTTGCAGGCCAGGTGGCTTCTGGCACAGCTATTCAACTCTGCCATTGTAATACAAGAGCAGCCACAGGCAATATATAAACCAATGAGTGCAGGCAACACATAAACCAGTGAGCTCAGGCAACACATAAACCAGTGAGCTCAGGCAACACATAAACCAATGAGCACAGGCAGTACATAAACCAATGAGCACAGGCAGCACATAAACCAATGAACATAGGCAACACATAAATCAGTGAGTGCAGATGCATCACTGTGTTACAATAAAACTTTATTTACAAAAACAGGCAGTGTGCAGAAGTTTGCTGACCTCTGTTGTAGGGAAAAGTTTTTTTATGTAAATATAATACACTGTATACCAAACTCCAGTAGGAAGTTATGAGTTCTGGACCTGCAGCTGTTTACTAACTCTTAAAAATATATACAAATCGCATAGCTTAAAAAAGGAATGGATCAGTGACTATCTGTACATAGTAGAGTCTACATGTTAGTAATAAGTTTTGAGTCTGAAATTCTATGGGAACAATACAGACTTTGCTTCCCATCTCTTTTGTGGCCCAAGGTTAGTTATTTTGGTTAAGACAGTTACCAAAAGGATCTGTGTGAGCTCAGAACTTCGCTGTGTCGGAGTGTATTGTAGACCTCAGCTACTAGGGGGTGGCATTATCCATTATTTAAATTTCCAGGGTGGGGCAAAGTGGCTCATGCCTGTAATCCCACACTTTCGGAGGCAGAGGCGGGCGGATTACCTGAGGTCAGGAGTTTGAGACCAGCTCGGCCAAGATAGTGAAACCCTGTCTCCCCAAAAATACAAAAATTAGCCAGGTGTGGTGGCTGGCGCCTGTCATCCCAGCTACTTGGGAGGCTGAGGCAGGAGAATCACTTGAACCTAGAAGGTGGAGTTTGCAGTGAGCTAAGATTGCACCACTGCACTCCAGCCTAGGCGATAGAGTGAGACTCTGTCTCAAACAATAAAAATAAGTTTCCTTAATGGCTGGCTTTCAGGAACATAGGCTATGAGGTGGAGCAATTTTTGGTAAAGGGGGAATGCTGAATGGATTTTTTATGTACCAGCAAACATGGTATATTAGCAGTTACAGTGCAGGACCCTGTGGAATGGGCCAGGGAAAAATGTTGACATTCCTTTTCCTTTTATTTGGCACCCAAGAAAACAGTTTGGTTGTTTGGTACCTTGGGTTCCAGTTTTGTGCTTTGCCTCTGGTCTTCCAGAAATGGGCAAGTATAGGGCTCAGAACTAAATTCCCAGGGGCCGTTTGTATTCTAGATGATAGAACTGGAAAGATGTTAGGCTTTTAGAAAGAACCAAATATTGCTAAATGCATCCAAACTCGGGATAATGAAGTCTTGGCAAAGACCTCAATCCTCGTGACTTGAATCAGGCATTTCAAGTTAATCCAAAAGTTTGAGTTAACTGGTGCCTTCAGTCAATTTAACCTCGAGTTTATCAAGCAGCTTCCAAGTGACTTGACCCATAAAAGACCTTGATTTTGAAAGAAAAATATCTTGCTGACGTCTCTCCAAAAGTATAACCGAATCCATCCTAATTAAAGATTGATCTGGAAGAGGATCCTTGATGTATTGGAGGGTATAATAAAAGCAAATGGTGCAGGAGAAAGAAAGGCAATTATAAAGTTGGGGGTGGGGGAGAAGCTGAACAACAACAAAGGAAATGTAATCATAGGATACAGTTTGACACAGAATATCTAATTAATGTCATAAAAAGGGAGTTGGCAAACTGTTTTTGCTAAAGGGTCAGTAGTAAACGTTTTAGACTTTAAGGACCAGATGGCCTCTGTTGCAACTACTCAACTCTGTTGCCTAGTGAGAAAGCAGCCATGAGAAATAAACAAGGACATCAGAGCAGCTGTGTTTCAATAAAACTTTATTTACAAAAACAACAGGGGACCAGATTTGCCAACCTGTGATATAAGCCTTATATATTGATTCAACTAAAAATAGCTGGGGGTGGCTGGGCACGGTGGCTCACACCTGTAATCCCAGCACTTTGGGAGGCTGAGGCGGGTGGATCACCTGATGTCAGGGGTTCAAGACTAGACTAGCCAACATGATGAAACCCCGTCTCTACTAAAAATACAACAAATTACCTGGGCATGGTGGTGGGTGCCTGTAATCCCAGCTACTCGAGAGGCAGGAGAATTGCTTGAATCCGGGAGGCAGAGGTTGCAGTGAGCAGCCAATATCGCACCACTGCACTCCAACCTGGACAAAGGTGAAACTCCCTCTCAAAAAAAAAAAAAAAAATAGCTGGAGGAAAGGAAAGGTAGTATAAGAAAGCTGCATTTTTGCCTACCATAGCAGGAAGTCACTAGATACTATCTAAACTTGACATATCCAGAAATCGCCTATTACAGCGATTGTGCTTTGCCTCTGGTCTTCCAATAGGCCAAAAGCACCTGTTACTTTTGGCACTGAGGACTGGTTTCCTGGAAGAAAAGTTTTCCACAGACTGGGCGGGCAGGGTTGGGGGGATGGTGTGGGGATGATTCACGTGTATTACATTTACTGTGCACTTTATTATTACATTGTAATATACAATGAAATAATTATACTAGTCACCATAATGTAGAATCATTGGGAGCTTGTTTTCCTGCAGTCCCATCGGGGGGTGATGGGGGACAGTGACAGATTATCAGGCATTAGAGTGTTATAAGGAGGGCACATGTGCAGCTCACGATAGGGTTTGCGCTCCTATGAGAATCTAATGCTGCTGCTGATCTTATGGGAAGCGGAGCTCAGACAGTGATGCAAGCGATGGGCAGCAGCTGCAAATAGCGGATAAAGCTTCACTTGCTCACCTGCTGCTCACCTCCTGCTGTGTGGCCCAGTTCCTAACATGGACCGGTACTGGTCTATGGCCTATGGGTTGGGGAACCCTTGGCCTATGATATGTAATACATAATGGTATATACATTATAATAGGCTAGTATATATAGCAAGCCTATTGTACAGAGAGATAGTGGTAACTGCCAGATAAAAAGCAGCTAAAAGAGATAAAAGCAGGTATTATGGAGTAAGGTAGAGTTGGAGAAGGGATGTGACAGGAGAATGCTATTTTTCATTATAAACCTTTGGTAGTAATTGATTTTTAAAACTCATGTGCCTGTTTGAATTTGATAAAAATTTTATAAATACATGAATAAGGCCAGGTGCGGTGGCTCACGTCTGTAATCCCAGAACTTTGAGAGGCCAAGGTGGGTGGATCACCTGAGGTCAGGAGTTCAAGTCTAGTGTGGTCAACATGGTGAAACCCCATCTCTACTAAAAATACAAAATTTAGCCGGGCGTGGTGGCGGGCGCCTGTAATCCCAGCTACTCAGGAGGTTGAGGCAGGAGAATCGCTTGAACCTGGGAGGCGGAGGTTGCAGTGAGCCGAGATCGCGCCACTGCACTCCTGCCTGGACGACAGAGTGAGACTCCGTCTCAAAAAAAAAAAAAAAAAAAAAAGAGTAAAGGTTGATCTAACTCTTCTGACAGCTTTGTCTCTGAAGGCTGAAGGCAGGGTGCCTCTAGACAATTGAGGTAAAGGCATCCCTTCCTCCAGGTAAATGTAACTTCGTGCCAGGGATTGTGGCTTAGCAAGCAGAACCAAGGCTGGATATCAGCTGCAGTCACTGGAGCAGTGCACAACCTGCACCGCTGTGTAAGGCTGGCAGTGGTTGGTGAGGCTGTCTACGTGACGATGCGTGAGGGCTTTAAACGGTTCAAGCCTTGATAAAGGGAAAGGAATTATGATGGCCCAGACCCTTGACCAGATCTCGGTCTCATGTTGAAATTAGAAGTATGTCTTATTGACCCTGACCTGTCTTCCTCTCCTTCTAGGTGACTTGCTTTTGGAGGGCTTCAACAACTACACCTTCCTCTCCAATGGCTTTGTGCCCATCCCAGCAGCCCAGGATGATGAGATGTTCCAGGAAACCGTGGAGGCCATGGCAATCATGGGTTTCAGCGAGGAGGAGCAGCTATGTAAGCCTCACACCTTGAGTCTGGAGGGTAGCTTGCCTGGATACCAGTGGAACCTGTTAAGAACTCTTCTCTGGTCAGGACAGATTTCTGCTCTCTGAATTCCCCACCTTCCATTAAAAAAAAAAAAAAAAAAGGAGGAAAATGAATTTTATTCTAGGTGGTTTGTTTGTGTTGTAGAAAAGTGGCTGTATAACTAGGGTTGCAAGTAACCCGAGCTGGCTTAAACCAAAGGGAAAGTGACTAACTCAGAATGTTGAGAAGTTCAGGGAGGTTAGGCACAGTGGTTCAGGTCTGTAATCTCAGCGCTTTGCGGGGCCAAGGTGGGCGGATCACTTTAGGTCAGGAGTTCGAGACCAACCTGGTCAATTTGGTGAAACCCTGTCTCTACTAAAAATACAAAAAAAAAATTAGCCAGGGCTGGTGGTGCACACTTGTAGTCCTAGCTACTCAGGAGGCTGAGGTGGGAGGATTGCTTGAACCCGGAAGGCAGAGGTTGCAGTGAGCCAAGATTACACCACTCCACTCCAGCTTGGGAGATGGAGCTAGACTCCATCTCAAAAAAAAAAAAAGTTCAGGAATTCAAGCTTCAGGTACAGTGAGATCTAGGTGTTCAAAAGATTTTTCTAGAACCTAATTTCTTGTCTTCTATCTCTCTCGACTACATTGTTTCTCTATAGGATGCAGTTTGTTGACAGCAACATAGCTGGGTTCCAGCCCTTATATTCTTTGGGTTTATGTCCAAAGAACAGAGTAGATTCCCGGCTTAAGTTCCTGAATGGAGTGTCATTGACTCTGATTGGTTGGCTTAGGTTGATATGCACATTCCTGAGCTATGCAGCATAGGCAGGGTTGTGGAAAGCGCAGGGTGGTTTCATTATGGTCCCTAAGAATGGATTCTTGGAGCTGAAGGTAGAGATGTTGGCCTCATCAGGAACATGTGGGCAGGGTTTAGGGGAGGGGGAGTGATCGAGGCAGTGGATTTACTCAGGCTTTTCCTGGAGGGGTTGCTCTGGTGATCAATTGATATTGATCAAAATCATCCAACCAATGGCCAAGAAACACACTGGGTCTTGAGAACAGGACAGCTCAGAAAGAAATTCTTGGTCGGGACACTGTGTTTCCAGAAACGATTTTCCTTCTGCGTTAGATGTGCCTCAGTGTTGAAGGTTAATCTCTTTCAGGAACACCAGGACAGAACTGTGGAAAGTTTCCCTTCCTTCCCACGCCTACGCCCGTTTGGAGCCCCAGAATAGCACTGAGGTTGCTGAAATGCTGCATAAGGGGAGGGGCAGCTCCTCCGAAGATAACTTGGGGTCTGGAAAATTAGGCTGTATGGGTCAGTTGACAAATGGATGGTGTATGTGGGTCTTGGCCAGGGTCCCACATCAGAATCTAGTGCTGATAGCCTCCTTGTCTGAATGACATAGGCCCTCCAAGAATGATTCATTTCATTTGGGACAGGGGTCAGTTTTGCTTCTAATCTTGCTTTTAAATAACAATGAACAATGGTTAAGTATTTGCTGTGTGCCAGGAATTTACCAAATCCTTTTTTCTTGATGTACTACACTGTTCAGTATAGTTTTATTTAAATAATAAAAAACTGGAACAGGCTGGGCACAGTGGCTCATGCCTGTAATCCCAGCATTTGGAGACACTGAGGCAAGAGGATTGCTTGAGCCCAGGAGTTCGAGACCAGCCTGGATAACACAGTGAGACTCTGTCTCTACAAAAAAAATAAATAGAAAAAAACTGGAACAAACTAAAATAGGTTGATTAATAGAGGGTTTATTAAATCATTGTCTGTCCTTGTGAAAGAAAACAATGAGACCATTTAAATTGTTTTGCTGGGCATGGTGGCTCACGCCTGTAATTCCAGCACTTTGAGAAGCCAAGGCAGGCAGATCACTTGAGCTTGAGTTTGAGACTAACCTGGGCAACATGGCAAGATCCCTTCTCTACAAATAATACAAAAAATTAACTGGGTGTGGTGGTGCACACTGTAGTCCCAGCTACTTGGGAGACTGAGGCAGGAAGATTGCTTGAGCCCAGGAGGTCGAAGCTGCAGTGAGCCGAGATCACACCACTCTGTCACCTAGGCTGGAGTACGGTGGCGCAGTCTCAGCTCACTGCAATCTCTGCCTTGCAGGCTCAAGCAGTCCTCCCAGCTCAGCCTCTCAAGTCGTTGAGACTACAGACATGTGCTACCACGCCTGGCTAATTTTTGATTTTAGGGTTTTTGTTTTGTTTTGTTTGAGATGGAGGCTTGCTATTGTCACCCAGGCTGGAGTGCAGTGGCACGACCTCGGCTCACTGCAACCTCTGCCTCCTGGGTTCAAGCAATTCTCTTGGCTGAGCCTCCTGGGTAGCTGGGATTATAGGCGCCCACCACCATGCCCCACTAATTTTTTTTGTATTTTTAGTAGATACTGGGTCTCGCCATGTTGGCCAGGCTGGTCTTAAACTCCTGACCTCAGATGATCCACCCATCTTGGCCTCCCAAAGTGCTGGGATTGCAGGCATGAGCCACCGTGCCTGGCCTGGGGTTTTTTGTTTTGTTTTGGTTTGATTTTTGGAGGGGTGGGTAGAGACAAGGCTTCACCATGTTATCCAGTATTCTCTGGTCTTGAACTCCTGGGCTCAAACAATCAGCCCACCTTGGCCTCCCAAAGTGCTGGGATTACAGGCATGAGCCACCATGCCCAGTCCCCAGTGTTCTCAATGTACTTTGGCACTTGTTTCCCCTTTAACCACAGAGACCAGACTCCAGGCCCAGCACCTTCGGCAGCCCCAAGCATCTAGCTAGAATTTGGTAATACTGTTTTCCTTGTATTTATATTTATAATTGCCATCTATTTATGGCAAGTGAAGATGATTTGTCACTGAAGATAGAGAAAGTTTTCTATTAAAACAAATGTAAGGAAAGAGAAGGAAGTAAATTTAAAGAAAATGATTAAGCAAATAATGGAGCAGATGGTACACAGAGCAAGCATTCAGACGATGGCGTGCAAATGACGAACTCTCATAGGAACCAACTTAGTCCTAAATGTACACCAACCCCATTTATAAACCAAGAGCTACTTCCAAACCCTCCATCAAGGGGCCTATGGAGAAGGGGGTGGGTCAGGCTTCAGGCTGGAGCTTCATGAGGCTCCAAGTGACCAGGGGACACCAGGATTTTCCCCACCACATTGGGTTCTGCAGCCTTGAACTCCTGGCCTCAAGATATCCTCATGCGCCACCATGCCTGGCCTGGTTATACTGCTTCTAATGTATTTTGAAGATAAAAAATAAAATCACCTAAATTGTCCATCCTGTGTATCCCTGGTGGTACACATGTCTGATGTTGGAAAGTCCTGTTTCTTATTCCTCAGCAAGAAGAGAGGTGTAAGGCCACTGTAAAAAATTAGCACAAACTTGATGCCTTAAAACAACAGGAATTTATTCTCTCCCAGTTCTGGAGGCCAGGGTTCTGAAATCAGGGTGTCGGCAGGAGCCGGGCATAATGGCTCATGCCTGTAATCCCAGCACTTTGGGAGGCCAAGGCAAGAGGATCGTTTGAGGCCAGGAGTTCAAGACCAGCCTGAGCAACATAGCAAGACCCCTTCTCTACTAAAAATTTAAAAAAAAAAAATTTTTTTTTTTTTAAAAGACAAGATGTTGGCAGGGGTTGTTCCTCCTGGAGGCACTGAGGGAGATCTGTTCCTTGCCTCTGTCCTGGCTTCTGGTGGCTCTGGCTGTTCCTGGCTTTTCCTTGGCTTGTCTCACTCCAGTCTCTGCCTCATCCTTCATGTGGCATTCTACTCTGTGGGTCTTCTCTTCTGTCCATCATAAAGACACTTGACATTAAATGTAGGGCCCACCAGGTTAATCCAAGATGATCTCATCTTGAGATCTTGTACTTGATTCCATCTGCGAAGACCGATTTTTTCCAAAATAGGCCACGTTCAGGCTGGGCGCGGTGGTTCACGCCTGTAGTCCCAGCTCTCAGGGAGGCAGAGGCGGGAGGATAGCTTGAGCCCAGGAGTTCGAGACCTGCCTGGGCAATATAGTGAGACCCCGGTATCCACAAAAAGGAAAAAAAAATAAATGTAACCCCCCAAATTAGGCCACATTCACAGGTTCCAGGTGGACATATTTTAGAAAGACCAACATTCAACCTAATATAGGTGGCTTCCACTCTTTATCACCTACTAGGCCAGGCCCTTGCTCAGCATCTTACAAGACCTAAACTTCACGAAGCAGGTACTACTGTTACCATCTCCGTTTTGCAGATAGGGAAACTGAGGCTCATGGGACTTATTGAGACTCATGTAGAGTCTCTATCCTCTATTCATCCATGATTCATCCATCAATCCATCCTCTATCATCCATCTATCCTCTACTCATCCTTCCATCACCCATCCATCCATCACCCATCCGTCCATCCATCTACCCACCCATCCATCCATGAACCCATCCTCTATACATTTATACATTCATCCATCCATTCACCCTCCATCTGCCATCCATCCATCTCCCTCCCTCCCCATGTGTATCTGGACCCGGAACTAGGATTTGGAAATTCAGAGATAATGAGATTTATAAGAAGCAAAGCTGGGATTTGAACTCAGGACTCTCTAACTGCAGAGCGCGTGCTTTGCACCAGCACACCAGGATGCTGCCAGCCGTCACCACCCTTGCTGTGTTGTGTCTCCTCACTGGTTTACTTCTTTGCTGTCTGCTAATTCTGCCCCAAGGTTCATCTCTTATGGCCTGGGAGTGGTGGCATTCTTTTGTCATTTCTGGAATTACATTTAACTATACCAGAAAGTGCAAACCAATGGTTCCTGAGCCCACAGGAGAGATCGGCCACTACAACCTTCAAAATTTTTAGAAATTGGTTCCTAAAGTTTAAATATGGGTAGGCCGGGCACTGTGGCCTATAATCCCAACCCTATGGGAGGCCAAGGCACATGGATCACTTGAAGTCAGGAGTTTGAGACCAGCCTGGCCAACATGGTGAAACTCCGTCTCTACTAAAAATAGAAAAATTAGCCGGGTGTGGTGGCACACGCCTGTAATCCCAGCTACTCTGGAGGCTGAGGCAGGAGAATTCCCCTGAACCTGGGAAGCGCAGAGGTTGCAGTGAGCCGAGATTGCACCAATGCACTCCAACCTGGGTGACAGCAAGACTCAGTCTCACACACACACACACACACACACACACACACACACACACACACACCAAAAAACATGGGTACACTTCACATAAAAACTCTGGGTTTCCATTATCTAGAAAAATCAGAAGTTCCAGCAACACTTGGCTTATATCCCCTGTGGCAATGACGGAGTAGCTGCTGGCCCCTTCAGATGGGTTTGTGGCCTCCTTGGGTCCCCACAGTCCTCATTAGTTGGCTTTGTTCATTTAGACCAGTGGTTCTCTGCCAGAGGTGAGTTTGCCTCCCAGGGGACATTGAGTAGTATCTGGTGACATTTGTGGTTGTCACAACTCTGTCAGGGTAACCACCACTGACATCTAGTGGTTAGAGGCCAGGGATGCTACTAAACTTCCCATGATACCCAGGACAGCTCCCCACAATAGAGAATTATCTGGCCCCCAATTTCTGCAGTGACAAGATTGAGAAACCCTGAGTTGGCCGGCTCGCCTGGGCTGTGCAGGCATTTCAGGAATCTTTAGTTTAAATTGACACTTTTAAAACTGTGAGTGCAACTCTTCATAGTTTACAAAGACTCTTTCATAGATGTTATGGTTAAAAGGAAGTGTGTTTCCAAGCCCTGTCAACAGCAGCTTCATTCATTTTGGGGAGAAGGCTTTCTACCATAGTAAGTGGGAGCAAATGGATGGGTGGTCAGCAGCTGGGTCCTTTTGCTGAGCTGGGCCAGGGACCCCATGGCGTGAGAATAGCTGTTGTGAAGGGCCTTGTAATGTCTGGTTTGGCCTGAGGAACCAGAGAAGTCTGGGATCTCTAGGCTTTGTTCCTGGAACATAGTGACTGATTTGAAGCCAGAACTCTGGGTGATTTGTACCTGAGTTAAGCTAAGCCAAGAATTTGCATTAATCATCATCCATCCATTCATCCATCTACCATCCATCCATCATCTGTCCATCCATCCATTCATCCATCCATCATCCATCCATCAATGCTGTATCCATTCCTCCATCAATTCTCCATCCATCTATCCATCGTCTATCCATCAATCCTCTGTCCATTCCATCTATCCATCTATCCTCTATCCATCCATCCATCATCCGTCTATCCTCTATCCATGAATTATTCATCCATCAATCCATCCTCTATTCATCCATCTATCCTCTACTCATCCGTCCATCATTCACCCATTCATCTACCCACCCATCCATCCATCCGTCCATTCATCCATGAACCCATCCTCTATCCATTTATTCATTCATCCATCCATCCACCTTCCACCTACCATCCATCCATCTCTCTCCCTCCCTCCCATGTGTATCAGGACCTTGGAATAGGCTTTGGAAATTCAAAGATGATTAGGGCAGGCCCTCCACTCTCCAGAAACTCATGGTCTTATGGGGATTTCAGACATAGAAACTATTTTAACAGTAACATGGCCTGAGTATGGAGTCAGAAAGGTTCCAAGTATTCTGGGAACACAGCGTTTTTGTTTGGAGACACCTGGACAACAAGTGGAAACAAATGTATATCTTCTTCATCCCAACATGGGCATCTGTTACACCCAGAAGAGTATGTAAGAAGCACAGGGTTTTTATTTCAAAAATCCTTTTATTGACATATGATTTACATGGAGAAAATTGTGTATGCCATAGCGTGCAGTGCAAAGAATTATTATAAACTGAACACGTCTGTGTAACTAGAATCCATTTTAAATAAGACAATGCCACCAGCCCCATGGAAGCTCCCACATGCACCTTCTAAGAACTTCCCTCAATTAAGGATAATCATTATCCTGACTTCTAACAGCATCGATTAGTTTTGCCTCTTCTTGAATGGACGGTCTATATATGGACTTAGACAGTATGTTCTTGTTTCCATCTGTCCTCTTTTGTTCGGTATTTGTGTCTGGAAGATATGTCAGGGTTTTTTTTTTGTTTTAGAGACAGGATCTCCCTACATTGCCCAGGCTGTATCAAGCTCCTGGCTTCAAGCAGTTCTCCCACCTCAGCCTCCCAAAGTGCTGGGGTCGCAGGCATGAGTCACTATGCTGGCCCCAATACATCAGTTTTGATTTGTGGTAGTTGTAGCTCATTCATTCTCACTGTTCTGTGGCAGGGGTTGCTAACACATTTTTCTGTAAAGGGTCAGATAGTAAATTCTTTAGCCTTTGTAGGCCAGACGATCTTTGTTGCAACTCATTAACTCTGCCAGTGTAGCATGCAAATAGTTACAGACAATATGTAAATGAATGAGTATAGCTGTTTTCCACTAAAACTTTATGTATAATAGCAAGCAGTGGGCCAGATTTGGTCCATGGGCTGTAATTTGCCAGTCCCTGCTGCGTGGCATTCCATTGTAATGCAAGGTTTTAAGCAACCATATGAAAATATTGAGCTCAGAATCTAGTTTCTTCAGAGGAAAGATGTAAGCTGGCTCTGGGTCCCCAGTGGCTTTAGGCTCCAAAACTCCAGGGTACCTTGGCATTGACCTTTGTGTCTGCTCTGCCCTTCTCTCCCCACCTCAGCCATATTGAAGGTGGTATCATCGGTCCTGCAGCTTGGAAATATCGTCTTCAAGAAGGAAAGAAACACAGACCAGGCGTCCATGCCAGATAACACAGGTACTTGCCACTTTTTCCTGATGACCAATGACTTTGGGGTTGGGGGGGTGGGGGAGGTGACATTTAACCACTGGTTATTTTTCAAGGTGAAGGTATCTGGGATTTTAACAACAGTTGGACTAGGTTCTTATCACTCACTTTTTCAAACTTTTCAGTGCTCAAGACCCTATGTGGAAAGTTATTGAATCAGAGCGCAGGGATTAAAAAAAAACAAACCTAATAGTTTTATTTATTTGTTCTTTTTTTTAAATACAAAATTTTACAAGTTTTAATAGAGACGAGGTCTCGCTGTGTTGCCCAAGCTGATCTTGAACTCCTGAGCTCAAGTGATCCTCCCACCTTGGCCTCCCAAAATGCTGGGATTACAGGCAAGAGTCATCACGTCCTACCCCTAATAGTGACCAGACAAGATCCCGAGGGACCATCTCTTCTAAAATACCCCACTTAATTGTTTTGTTAAAGAAATATTTCTCAAGCCCCTGCAATATGCCACTGGGATACAGCAGGAAATGACACAAGAATAGCTCTTCTTACGGTATCTGTGGTCGTCTTGGGGAGACAGACCTCAATTGCCCTGAGAATTAGGGGTGCCAGATAAAATACAGGATGTCCAGATAAATTTCAATTTTAGGTAAACAACAAACCTTTTTTTAAATTTTAATTATGTCCCTTGTAACATTTGGACCGTGATTATACCAAAAGAGTATTCTTGTTTATCTGAAATTCAGGTTTAACTGAGCATCCTGTAATTTTCCCCCTAAATCTGATAAACCTACCCACAAATAAACAGTATTTTGTGTTTTGAGAAGCTGGCCTGGCTACCACTATGCTTGTTGGTGGCTGAGCTGAGAGCAAAACTTAGGTTTCTTATTTCCCAGCCCAGGCTGTATATTGTGTTGCTTTTTCCCGCTCCCTAGAGCCCACCTTGATCAAACCTGTTGCAACCGCTTACTGGGTTTACCTTGCCCACAGCCTAGACAGAGCCAATTAATCAAGACAGGGGAATTGCGATAGAGTAAGAGTAACTCACGCAGAGCCGGCTGCATGGGAGAACAGAGTTTTATTATTACTCAAATCAATCTCCTTGAGCATTCGTGGATCAGAGTTTTTAAGCATAATGTGGTTAGGGGGAGGCCAGTGAGTTGGGGGTGCTGATTGGTTGGGTCAGAGATGAAATTACAGGGAGTCGAAGCTGTCCTCTTGCCCTGAGTCAGTTCCTGGACAGAGGCCATAAGATCAGATGAGCCAGTTTCTCGATCTGGGTGGTGTCAGCTGATCCACCTGGTGCCAGGGTCCGCAAAAATATCTCAAGTACTGGTCTTAGGTTTTACAATAGTGATGTTATCCCCAGGAGCAATTTAGGGAGGGTCAGACTCTTGTAGCCTCCAGTTACAGGACTCCTAAACCATAATTTCAAACCTTTGGGCTAATTTGTTATTCCTACAAAGGCAGTCTAGTCTCCAGGCAAGAAGGGGGTTTGTTTTGGGAAAGGGTTCTTGTGTTTTAAACTATAAACTAAGAGGCTAGGCGTGGTGGCTCATGCCTGTAATCCTAGGATTTTGGGAGGCCCAGGCAGGTGGATCACTTGAAGTCAGGAGTTCAAGACCAGCCTCGCCAACATGGTGAAACCCCATCTCTACTAAAAATACAAAAATTAGCCAGGCGTAGTGGCAGGCGCCTGTAATCCCAGCTACTCAGGAGGCTGAGGCAGGAGAACTGCTTGAACGCAGGAGGCGGAGATTGCAGTGCGCCGAGATTGTGCCACTGCACTCCAGCCTGGGTAACAGAGTGAGACTCTGTGTCCAAAACATAAAAAATAAACTATAAACTAAGTTCCTGCCAAGTTAATTCGGCTTACACCCACAAATGGTTCAGTGGAGCTTGGAGGTTAGAAGCAAGGTGGAGTCCGTTAGGTCAGATCTTGTTCAGTGTCTCAGTTATAATTTTGCAGTGGCAGTTTCATTCTCAGGTGTTTGTTATGTATTAGAGTCCCTAAATCTGGCAAATTAATGGAATCCGGATGCCAAGGAAAGACCTCAGGGAAAGAGAAATGAAAAAGTGCTCTTGCCAAGAGATGGGGAAAAAAAAATCCTAAAATCACTCTATTTACTCTGCCTTGCACATGCAAAGCAGCATGTAATGCTATTTTCATGTTAAGGGACCAGCTCGTGGTCACACCACTGCACTTCAGCCCGGGCGACAGGAAGACTGCATCTCAAAATAAAAGAAGAGCATTTAGGTTGACTCTAGCATTTTGCTATTGCAAACAATGCTGCAACACATATCCTAGAAGGGTGAAAGAAATATTTATTGAACAGTAACTGTTCAATAAATGTTACTATTAATAACTATTTAATACTTACTAAGTAACTGTTAAATAAATCTCAAGGGCCAGTGGCTCACGCCTGTAATCCCAGCACTTAGGGAGGCCGAGGTGGGCGGATTGCCTGAGTTCAGGACTTCGAGACCAGCCTGGGCAACACGGTGTAACTCCATCTCAACTAAAATACAAAAGAAATTAGCTGGGTGTGGTGGCAGGCACCTATAATGCCAGCTACTCGGGAGGCTGAGGCAGGAGAATTGCTTGAACCCGGAAGGCGGAGGTTGCAGTGAGCTGAGATCGCGCCACTGCACTCCAGCCTGGGCGACAGAGCGAGACTCTGTCTCCAAAAATAAATAAATAAATAAACAAATAAATAAATAAATAAATCTATCTATCTCAGGGACTTTACATACTTTACCTTATTTAGTCCTGGGTACCAACAAGGTACCGAAGAGCTGACCCTTTTTAAAGCTGAGAAAAGCAAGATGCTGGGAGGGTAAAGAGCTTTTCCAAAGTCACATGACTTGGAAGTGTGAAGGGACAGGGACTTGAAACTAGAACTACCTGACCCTAAACCCCCAACTGGGGCCTGCTTCAGCCCACCCCAATCATTGCCTCTCAGCAAAATACTGGGGAGTGTGACCACTAATGACAGCAGCCTTTAGGACACTTCAAGCTATATTCATGGTCAGCGGGTCCCATTTCCCCAAGAGAACCCGCTGTATTCACAGATCACAAATATCCCATGCGATGTGTCTTCTTGCCAAGCTATTTCTTTTGTGATGCACTCACGATGTTTCTTTTCTCCATCCAGCTGCTCAGAAAGTTTGCCACCTCATGGGAATTAATGTGACAGATTTCACCAGATCCATCCTCACTCCTCGTATCAAGGTTGGGCGAGATGTGGTACAGAAAGCTCAGACAAAAGAACAGGTAATGATGTACTTATCACTTATCCATCCATGCACCCACCCATCCATCCATTCATCCATCTATCCACCTGTTCACTCATTCATGTATTCATTAATCCATTCACCCATGGTCTGCCTCTGCATCTGTCCATCCATCCATCTTTCTACCCACTCATTCATCTGTCTGTTCATCCATCCATCCATCCATCCATTCATCTGCCCATCTATCTGCTCACCCATCATCTCTCCATCCCTCACTCATCCATCTGTCCATCCATCCATGACCCAGCCATCTGTCCATCTGTCCGTCCATCCATCACCCATCCAGCTGTCATTCCATTCATTCATTCATTCATTCATCTGTCCATGCATCCACCCATCCATCTCTTTATCCCTCATTTATTCAATACTAGAATATTCACAGTCCCATGTCAGGTTTTGTTTGTTTGTTTGTTTTTTGTTTTTGAGCCAGAGCCTTGCTCTGTTGCCCAGGGGGGGGTGCAGTGGTGCCATCGCAGCTCACTGTAGCCTCTGCCTCCCAGATTCAAACGATTCTCCTGCCTCAGTCCCCCAAGCAGCTGGGACTACAGGCATGCACCACAACGCCTGGCTAATTTTTGTATTTTTAGTAGAGAAGGGTTTTTGCCTTGTTGGTCAGGCTGGTCTTGAACTCCCGACCTCAAGTGACCCACCTGCCTCGGCCTCCCAAAGTGCTGGGATTACAGTGTGAGTCACTGCACCCGGCCAAGAATAAAAATCTTCACCACCAGCCTGGCTTATGTGAAAATGGAGCCCATTGAGAATAACCGGGTTCCCCTGGTTGCCCTCTGCAGGCTGACTTTGCTGTAGAGGCTTTGGCCAAGGCAACATATGAGCGCCTTTTCCGCTGGATACTCACCCGCGTGAACAAAGCCCTGGACAAGACCCATCGGCAAGGGGCTTCCTTCCTGGGGATCCTGGATATAGCTGGATTTGAGATCTTTGAGGTACAGCTCGGTGGGATCCTAAGAGCCATGGTCTTGGTTGTCTGAGATGGGCTTTTTCTTGGAGGAGTCATGATTTTGGAGAAAGGCATGTAGATGGCTACTGTAGGGTAGGAGGCTGTCTAGTTAAGGGTGGATCATTGAGGGTATAAGAGACAGAAATCCAACAGGAAATGCATTGGTTTCTGGAACTGAGAAGGCCAGACATGTAGCTGGATCCCGTAGGCAGGGTCTGATCTCCCGCCATCGTTCTCTCTCTCTCTCTGCCTTCCTCCATATTGGCTCCATTCTCAAGCAGGCTCTCCCCTCACGGGGGCAAGATGGCTGCCACAGCTCCAGACTGCCTCTCAGTAATCCTGGTAAAAAAAAAAAAAAAAAAAAAGCACATATCTCTTTTCTAACAGTTCCAACCAAAATCTTGGAATTAA
Organism: Homo sapiens; assembly: GCF_000001405.40. NCBI lineage: Eukaryota > Metazoa > Chordata > Mammalia > Primates > Hominidae > Homo > Homo sapiens. Next base: position 15,759,150 of record NC_000016.10, on the reverse strand, counting down.
GTCTCACTGACTCTTACTCACCTGAATTGGGCTACATGGTCACCTCCAAGCCAAGAACTGTTTGCAGGAGCTTGCAATACCTCATGTAGTAGAAACATGGATATTGGATCCTTTACCCATGGGTTTGAAGAAAGTTCTCAGAGAAAGGGAAGGTTTTTTTTTTGTCTTGTCTTGTTTTTTTTTTTTTGAGACAGAGTCTTGCTCTGTCGCCCAGACTGGAATGCAGTGTCACAATTTTGTCTCACTGCTGCCTCCGCCTCCTGGGTTCAAGCAATTCTCTTGTCTCAGCCTCCTGAGTAGCTGGGACTACAGGAGTGTACCACTGTGCCCAGCTAATTTTTTTTTTTTTTTTAGACAGAGTCTCGCTCTGTTGCCCAGGCCGGAGTGCAGTAGTGCAATCTTGGCTCACCGCAACCTCCGCCTCCCAGGTTCAAGTGATTCTCCTGCCTCAGCCTCTCGAGTAGCTGGGATTAGTGCCACCATGCCTGGCTACTTTTTTTTTTTTTTTTGGTAGAGACAGAGTTTCACCCTGTTGGCCAGGCTAGTCTCAAACTCCTGATCTCAAATGATCCACCAGCCTCGGCCTCCCAAAGTGCTGGGATTACAGGTATGAGCCACTGTGCTTGGCCAATTTTTGTATTTTTAGTGGAGAGAGGTTTCGCTATGCTTGCCAGGCTGGTCGCAAACTCCTGACCTCAAGTGATCCTCCCGCCTTGGCCTCCCTAAGTGCTGGGATTACAATCATGAGCACTACACCCAGCCAGGAGGTTTTAAGATTGATAGATGTCCCGAAAGAAGTGTACTACCGAGTCACTTTCTCTCTGCGCCTCTGTTTTCACATCTGTAAAATGTTTCCACATCTGTACATGCAGTAGCGTGCCTTACGAGGTTTGTCCATCCATAGATGGTTGTGCAGATGGAGGAGATAAGCATCTTTAAGGTGTGTGAGGGCCATGTGATATCAACTTCACCAGCCCTGGTGGACTCTAGGCAGCATGTTTTGGGGCCTCAGCCCTGTCTGGGTGCTGGGATGGCAGAACAGGATGTGGGCGGGCCATGGGGGCGCTGTCGGGTGGAGCTTCTGTGGGGCTCCTTGTCTTCTGACTTCATACCAAGATGCTCACGCCCCGCCCCCACGCCATGTGCTCAGGTGAACTCCTTCGAGCAGCTGTGCATCAACTACACCAACGAGAAGCTGCAGCAGCTCTTCAACCACACCATGTTCATCCTGGAGCAGGAGGAGTACCAGCGCGAGGGCATCGAGTGGAACTTCATCGACTTTGGGCTGGACCTACAGCCCTGCATCGAGCTCATCGAGCGACCGGTGAGGGGCACGTGGGCGTGCGGGGCTCCGTCACACCTTGTACACGTGTGTGGCCTCTGTGGAGCCGACGTGGACCCCACACTCTCCCCATGCACATAGCATTCCCCCACCCAATCCATCACCCAGTCCTGAAAGGCTGTAAGCTGAATCCTTGTGAACTCTTACAATTTCCATTAACCCACATTTTCATATCAAAGGTATTTTCTTTAATTTCTGCCTTCCTTCCATCCTCTTTTTTCTTCCTTTTTTTCTTCCCTACCCTCTTTCCCTTCCCTTTCCTTCTCTGCCATTGCTTTTTTTTTTTTTTTTTTTTTTTTTATGACATGGTCTGACTCTGTTGCCCAGGCTGGAGTGCAGTGGCACAATCTTGCCTCACTGCAACCTCCACCTCCCTGCCTCAAGTGATCCTCCCGCCTCAGCCTCCCAAGTGGCTGAGACTACAGGCGTGCACCACCACGCCCACCTAACTTTTGTATTTTCAGTAGAGACAGGGTTTCTACTAATTAGCCGGGCCTGGTGGTGCACGCCTGTGGTCCCAGCTATTTGGGAGGCTGAGGTGGGAGGATTGCTTGAGCCCTGGAGGCAGAGGTTGCTGTAAGCCGAGATTGCGCCACTGCATTCCAGCCTGGATAACAGAGTGAGACCCTGTCTCCAAAAAAAACTTTTCTAACAGGAACCCTAGGTGAATTCAAGTCAAGCAACAAATTCATTTGCAAGAATTATGAACTCGGCCGGGCGCGGTGGCTCATGCCTGTAATCCCAGCACTTTGGGAGGCCGAGGCGGGCGGATCACGAGGTCAGGAGATGGAGACCATCCTGGCTAACACGGTGAAACCCCGCCTCTACTAAAAATAGAAAAAATCAGCCGGGCGCCGTGGCAGGCGCCTGTAGTCCCAGCTACTCGGGAGGCTGAGGCAGGAGAATGGCGTGAACCCAGGAAGCGGAGCTTGCAGTGAGTCGAGATCGCGCCACTGCACCGTCTGCCTGGGCGACAAGGCAAAACTCTGTCTCAAAAAAAAAAAAAAAAAAAAAAGAGTTATGAACTCTTCATGATGTTGCCTGCGTGTTGCCCACTAGGGGGCGGCAGCAAACATTATGTTCTGCCTTCCATCCCTGTTACTGGTCCATTGGGCACAGGGTAATTTGAAGGTAGATTTGGAAGCATGGGGGTCATAAACTCATCTTTATATGTGGGCAAATACAGTATCAGATCTCGGCGGATGCCCATGCGTTGTGTATAGTTGGCCAGCTCTTCATGGAATGCCTGAGGTTGGGTGTTCTCTCTGATTCAAGCCCTACTTGTCTCCCACAGAACAACCCTCCAGGTGTGCTGGCCCTGCTGGACGAGGAATGCTGGTTCCCCAAAGCCACGGACAAGTCTTTCGTGGAGAAGCTGTGCACGGAGCAGGGCAGCCACCCCAAGTTCCAGAAGCCCAAGCAGCTCAAGGACAAGACTGAGTTCTCCATCATCCATTATGCTGGGAAGGTACCAGCCACAGGGCCCAGGGGACTCTGTCTCAGGGGACCCCCAGTGGCTGCTCAGCGCAGAGACAGTCTGAGAGTGGCAGAACCTTGGGCTGCCTGGAAACTGCAAAGCCATCTGCTGCTAAGCGAATCCCAACCAAGTCCTATTCGTAATTTGTCTACGCATCTGTAAGGCATCAGCTGTAGCCACTCTCATGTTTTCCAACCGTGACGTCCAGACAGTTATTTCTTTCTGTTTTTGTTGGAGACAGGGTCTCGCTTTGTCGCCCAGGCTGGAGTGCAGTGGTGCGATCATAGCTCACTACAGCCTCAACCTCCTGGGCTCACACGATCCTCCTGCCTCAGCTTCCCAAGTAGCTGGGACTACAGGTGTACACCACCATGCCCAGCTAAAATCTTTTTTCCTTTTTGAGATGGAATTTTGCTCTTGTCATCCAGGCTGGAGTGCAATGGCGTGATCTCTGCTAACTGCAACCTCTCCCTCCGGGTTCAAGAGATTCTCCTGCCTCAGCCTCCCAAATAGCTGGGATTACAGGCACCTGCCACCACACCCAGCTAATTTTTGTATTTTTAGTAGAGAAGGGTTTCGCCATGTTGGCCAGGCTGGTCTCAAACTCCTGACCTCAGGTGATCCACCCGCCTCGGCCTCCCAAGGTGCTAGGATTACAGGCATGAGCCACCGTGCCTGGCCGCCCAGCTAAATTTTTAAATTATGTATAGATATGGGGTCTTGCTGTGTTGCCCAGGCTGGTCTTGAATTCCTGGGCTCAAGAGATCTCCCTGCCTCGGCTTCCTGAAGTGCTGGGATTATGAGCACGAGCCACTGTACCTGGCCTCAGCCTGCTTTTCTTGTATAGACTCTAAATCCTTCCTGCTACAAGTTATACCCAACAGGCGGGGCCAACTGGAATGGGGTGACTAATACATCCACACCTGGCTTCAACAAAAATCTCCCATGTCACGGTCTTGAGTTTGCTATTGCCAGCCTGCTCTGGCCAGGGAAATCTATGATAGTTGTATTCATCATCATCATCATCATCATCAACATGCCTTGGCTGTTATTGTATAGGCCCTTGCCCTGTGGCTCTCAAGAGTCCTGGATAATGTACAAAGGACATAGCTTAGTCTGGCTTGCAGAATTGTAGTATTCTATTGACTCCTCAGTACCTCCACTGCATCATGGGCACAAACAATGCTCTCTACCAGGGCCTGGCAACAGAGTCCGATCTGGCCCACAGCTTGTTATTGTAAATAAAGTTTTATTGGAACACAGCCATGCCCATTTGTATGCATAATGTCTATGGCTGGCTGCTTTTGTATACTACAGTGCTAGAGTTGAGTAGCTGCGACAAAGACTGTATGACTTGGCTGGGTGTGGTGGCTCACGCCTGTAACCCCAGCACCAAGGCAGGTGGATTACTTGAGGTCAGCAGTTTGAGACCAGCCTGGCCAACATGGCGAAAGCCCGTCTCTGCTAAAAATAAAAAATAAAAAAAATTTAAAAATTAGCCAGCTGTGAGATTACAGGCACACAACTGTAACCTCAGCTACTCAGGAGGCTGAGGCAAGAGAACTGCTTGACCCAGGAAGTTGGAGGTTGCAGTGAGCTGAGACTGCACCACTGCACTCCAGACTGGGCAACAGAGAACCACTCTGTCTCAAAAACCAAAACAAACAAACAAACAAAACATTGTATGACTTGCCAAGCCAAAAATATCTACTATCTGGGCCTTCACCAAAAGTTTCCCAACTCCTAGCCTATATTCAAGGGGGTATATGTTCCTTTAAGCATATAGAGACAACACTTTTCTTTTCCCTACTTCATCAGTGGATTTTTTTTATTATTATTTTCAGTCTTCTCTCAGATCAAGCCTACCTATTATCCTGATAACCCACATCCCATGATAACCCAGCAAAGCTGTATTATCAGTTCCTTTCATTTAATATTCACCATAGTAAAAATTACGGCTTTGGGCATTGTCATTGTTTGAGTCAGGAATGTAAAAAGCCTATATGTCCTTTTTCTGTATATCCATATATCAGGATCTCTGAGTTACAAATTATGCTCATTAGAGAGTGGAAAATAGGATGCCATGCTTAATTAATTTATTTATTTAATTATTTTGAGACAGAGTCTCACTCTGTCACCCAGGCTGGAGTTCAGTGGCGCAATCTCAGCTCACTGCAATCTCCGCCTCCCAGGCTGAAGCGATTCTCCTGCCTCAGCCTCCCGAGTAGCTGGCATTACAGGTGTGCACCACCATGCCTGGCTAATTTTTTTTTTTTTTTTGTATTTTTAGTAGACATGGGGTTTCACCATGTTGGTCAGGTTGGTCTTGAACGCCTGACCTCAAATGATCCACCCACCTTGGCCTTCCACAGTGCTGGGATTACCAGTGTGAACCACCACGCTTGGCTGCCATGCTTAATTTCTAAACCAGGATGATTGGGAAGATGATGAGGGGGGAGTTTTGCATGTCGGCAGGAGGGCATCTGCCGTCATGAAATCTCTTAATAGTGTATAACTCACAGGTACTGTGCTGGCTTAGGAGGAGGGAGGCTACCACAGCAGCGTTAGTAGGAGAATATGGAATGGAAACTAGGCTTTCCCAGCAATGGCTATCACTGGCTGATGTCCTACTACGTGGGCACAGGTCCCTGGGCTGTTGGTCTCTTCACTGGTGTTTGTGGAGTCCCATCATGGTGGTCATAAACGTCATTTCCTCTCTGACCTCAGAAGATCTGGAAGGACAATGGGAGGGCTGGGGTCCTGGCCTTGGTTTCTAAGTTTCTAGTTTCCCAGGGGTTCTGACCAGCAGGGTGTCCTTGGCAGGTGGACTATAATGCGAGTGCCTGGCTGACCAAGAATATGGACCCGCTGAATGACAACGTGACTTCCCTGCTCAATGCCTCCTCCGACAAGTTTGTGGCCGACCTGTGGAAGGACGGTAAGGCCTTCTCTGCTCGGGTCCATGTTCTGCTTTGAGCTGGAGAATTGAACACCCAAGTCCCCCGACTCTCACACCTGCCCCAGGAGGGGAGGCCTTTACATGGGGGCAGGGGAAGGAAGAGCATTGGCATGGGCTGGTGATGTCTCGTTGAAACAATTTCTTCCTGAGTGGGGGTCCCTGAGCCCCTCAATCCTACATGTCCCGAGGGGATTGAGGTCCTGAGGTCAGGGCTCAGGCAATAGAGGAGAAACAGCATGCCAGGCACGGGGAGTTAGACTGCCCTGTCCAGAGTCAGAAGGACTTCACTGTATCTTGTCTCTGCCACCTCCTAGCTCTGTGGTCTTGGATGAGTCACTTGATGTCATTAAGCTTCATTGTCCTCATTAGTAAAACAGGAGATGCAATAATAGTTGCCGTCTCTACTAGAGGTATTATGAGGGTTAAATTAGACCAGTGATGCTCAAACTCAAGCAGGCATCATGACCCCCTGGAAGGCTTTGTTTATTTATTTAGGGACAGAGTCTTGCTTTGTCACCCAGGCTGGAGGGCGGTGGTGCAATCTTGGCTCACTGCAGCCTCCACCTTCTGGGTTCCAGTGATTTTCCTGCCTCAGCCTCCCAAGTAGCTAGCATTACAGGCACACACCACCATACCTGGCTAATTTTTGTATTTTTAGTAGAGACGGGGTTCCCCCATGTTGGCCAGGCTGGTCTCAAACTCCTGACCTCAGGTGATCCGCCCACCTCAGCCTCAAAAAGTGCTGGGATTACAGGTGTGAGCCACTGCACCTGGCCCTCTTTGGAGGGCTTTTTAAAACCCAGATGGCTGGGCCTACCCTAAGATCTAATTCTGCAGGTCTGGGGCCAGGGATGGGGCGGGCCTGAAAACATTCATCCCAGGTGATGCTGCTGGTCTAGGGACCACACTCCGGCTCCCTTTGAGAACCAGTGAATAGATGATCCCTGTGAAGAGCTGCTGGAGTGATGATGAGGGGAGGGGGTTTGCTGTTTGTCCCTGGCCATCAGTGTCCACAGCAGGTTTTATTCTTGGCACAGGGCCCATGGGCCTGGGGCTTACAGGACTGGTCTCCCCTTGTTTTAAGCATGCTAAAAAAAGGGCTCCAGGAGGGGCCAGCTGTGCCCTAACCATATGCCAGGCTCTGGGCCTAGGGAACAACATCGCACCCTGGGTCTGTGTCATCCCAGGACACATGATGAAGCCTGTAGTCCCTCCTCTGCGGGACCCACAGTCTTGTGGGAGAGATGAGACTCTCAAAGACAAGCAGAGAGACAAGCATGAGGCTGCGCATGGTGGCTCACACCTGTAATCTCAGCACTTTGGGAGGCTGAGGCAGGAGGATCAGTTGAGGTCAAGAGTTCGAGACCAGTCTGGCCAACGTGGCGAAACCCCATCTCTACTAAAAATACAAAAACTAACTGGGCGTGGTGGTGGTAATCCCAGCTACTCGGGAGGCTGAGGCAGGAGAACTGCTTGAACCTGGGAGGCGCAGGTTGCAGTGAGCTGAGATTGTGCCATTGGACTCCAGCCTGGGCAAAAGAGCAAGACTCTGTCTTGAAAAAATAAAACTAAAAATAAAAAATAAAAACAAAATTAGCCGGGTGTGCTGGTGGGTGCCTGTAATCCCAGCTACTCAGGAGGCTAAGGCAGGAGAATCACCTGAACCTGGGTGGTGAAGGTTGCAGTGAGCCAAGATCGTGCCACTGCTCTCCAGCTGGGCGACAGAGTGAGAGCTTGTCTCAAAAAAAAAAAAAAAAAAAAAAGATTGTTACACAGAATCTGAGTAGAAGGTGAAGAAATGGTGCCATCCATGGCCTGTGGGTTGGGCTTGGCATGTGCAGGACCTGCTGGGCTGGTAGAAAAAGAACCTTGGAGGTGATGATGATGATGATGATGATGATGATGATGATGGCCGGGCGCGGTAGCTCACGCCTGTAATCCCAGCACATTGGGAGGCCAAGGCAGGGGAATCACCTGAGGTCAGGAGTTCGAGACCAGCCTGACCAACATGGAGAAACTCTGTCTCTACTAAAAATATAAAAAAAATGAGCCGGGCGTGGTGGCGCATGCCTGTAATCCCAGCTACTGGGAGGCTGAGGCGGGAGAATTGCTGGAACCCGGGAGGCGGACGTTGTGGTGAGCCGAGATCACGCCATTGCACTCCAGCCTGGCCAACAAGAGTGAAACTCCGTCTCAATAAAATAAAATAATGATAATAATAATAATAATAATAATAATAATAATAATAATAATACCTACTTTTTGTTGAGCACTTACTGATGTGCCAGGCTATCTCGGAGTGTGTGCTGTATCTTCTGCCTCAGAATATTTCTTCCGTGGATACCTACATGGTTACCCACTCATTTCTTGCTGGTTTCTGCTCAAATATCAACTTAGCAGAGCCCACCACCTCCTTGTCTAAGAGAGCACCCTCTTCACTCTCTCTCCGCTTTACCCTATTTTTATTTTTCTACGCACACCTCACTACTCAAGATATTCCATACTTAACATCTGTGATCTCTGTCTGTCTCCTTCCCTGTGATATAAGCGGGGTGAGGGGGCCGGGTCTTTTTTTGTTCACAGCAGTGTCCCCAGGGCCTGGAGCACAGAAGGTCCTCAATAACTATTTGTTGGTGGATGAAAGATTGGAGGCTGGCAGGGAATAAGTGCCTTCTGTGCCTTATTTTTTTTTACCCCTGCCCTAGAAGGTAGACGGTATTATTACCTCCCTTTTGTAGAAAGGGAGACTGAGGCACAGGATAGTGCCAAGCCAAGGCTAGTCAGTGAGTGGACAGCGAGAGCAGGCTTGACTCCTAGGTCAGCGTGACTCCATCACAGGGAATTTGTTCTTTCTGCCACTCAGGTGCTCTCAGGATTTCCCCAATAGACAATACTTGGAAACCCTGACTGCCGAAGGAGGCGTTGGTGATGGAAGGAAAGATTGGAGTGGGCAGGTTGGTGGGTGGGGCTGGGGCTGAGCCTCTGGCCTATTTAGGGGTGGGTGGGCCAGAGGCTGATGCCACCCTGGCTGTGCCCCATAGTGGACCGCATCGTGGGCCTGGACCAGATGGCCAAGATGACGGAGAGCTCGCTGCCCAGCGCCTCCAAGACCAAGAAGGGCATGTTCCGCACAGTGGGGCAGCTGTACAAGGAGCAGCTGGGCAAGCTGATGACCACGCTACGCAACACCACGCCCAACTTCGTGCGCTGCATCATCCCCAACCACGAGAAGAGGGTGAGGCCCGCCGCCCAGACCCTGGGGCTCCCAGAAGCCAGGGCTGTCCCAAGCGGTCACAGCGTCCCCAGGGCGCCCTCTGCCCCCACCTACCCCGAGGACCCCATTTTCCATGTGGGGAAGGCTATCTGAATCTCAGACCCATTCCCCATCCCTGGAGGAAAAGGAGGAAGGGAGGATGCATCCAGAGACTTTTCAGTTGTGGAGTTGCTGTGCAGGTCATCCAGCCACTCATTCATTCATTATCCCAGGAAGTATTCACTGGGCTCTGCCCTGTCCTGGGTGCTGGGGAGCAGTGTTAGAAAAATTGTAGCCCTTCCCTGTGGGTTTCTCATAATCTGGTGCAGGCATCTTCAGCTTGGGGCGATTGTGTCCTCTATATGGACATGCTACAGACATTTTTGGTTGTCACAACCAGGAGGGGGCTGTTAGTCAGCATCTAGTGGGTAGGGGCCAGGGATGCCCTAAGCATTGTACAATGCACAGGATGGTCCCTCAACCCCCAGCACAGAATCCCTACAAGATGCCAGTAGTGCTGAGGTTATGGGAGACACGGGGAGAGGTAAACATACAGCTGATGATGGTGATGGAATGTGGTCAGTTAGGAGAACACCAAAGAGCCAGGGCTCCTCCCACAGCCTCAGGACTCAGAGAAAGCTTCTGGTGAACTTGAACGTTAAGAATGTGTGGCCATCAACTTGGTGACATGGAAGGCAGGGTGGGGCCTAGGATAAGCAGGGGGCCTAGGATAAGCAGAGGGCCCAGGCTAAGCAAGAGTGTGGAGGTGAGAAGTGAAGGAACTAGGTAAGAAAATGCTAGATAGTGTCCAGGCGTGTTGCTCACGCCTGTAATCCCAGCTACTCAGGAGGCTGAGAAACAAAAATCTGTTGAACCCAGGAGGCGGAGGTTGCAGTGAGCTGAGATTGCACCACAGCATTCCAGCCTGGGCAGCAGAGCGAGACTCCATCTTAAAAAAAAAAAAAAAAAAGGAAAGAAAATGCTAAATAGGTCATTTCATGTTGCAAATGTGTGATGGCATGAGGTAGGAATCAGATGGTGTGAGGTAGGATTGAGGCTGAATGGGTAGGCAGGGGCTAGATCGTGGTGCTCCTTGTGTTCTTTCTGGAGCTTGGCCTTCTCTCTCTAGGCATGCCATTGGGGGTGTTAAAGCAGGGCTATATCATGGTCAGATTTACATTTTAGGAAGTGAATGAGGGGGCTGGGCATATGCTAGCTCATGCCTATAATCCCAACACTTTGGGAGGTTGAGGTGGGAGGATCACTTGAGACCAGGTGTTCAAGGCTAGCCTGGGCAACATAGCAAGACCCTATATCTACAAAAACATTTTTAAAAATTTTCCAGGCATGGTAGCACATACCTGTGGTCCCAAATACTTGGGAGGCTGATTTGGGAGGATCACTTGAGCCCAGGAGTTTGAGGCTGCAGTGAGCCATGATCGCACCACTGGACTCCAGCCTGGCTGACAGAATGGGACCCTATCTCAAAAAATAAAAAGGACAAAGGGATTGAGGGGAGAGGCAAGACCAGAGAGAGAGACCAGGTGGGTGGTTTCTGTGGTTGTCCAGGCAGGAGAAGATAGTGGAGACAATGGTGGTGAAGAGAAGTGGGGGGGTTGGGAGATATTTGGGAGCTAGAAGCAATCAAACTGCTGATGGACAGGAAGTGAGGGAGACGAGGTGATGAGGAGGAAGCCCCAGGTTCCAGCCAGGCGATGCTAGTGTCACCAAGAACCAGAGAGATCATGAGGCAGCCATTGCCGAAGCAAAGAGATGAAAACCCAGAGGGGGGCACTGCTTTGCCCCTCGGCCCTCAGCTAAGCCCTCCTTGGGTGCTTCTGTTGGTACCCTCATGGCCTGGCCAGGTGGGTCATCCAGGTAGGAGGTTTGGGGCTTTGCTGCGCCATGGTTTCTGGCCCCAGGGATCCACTGCCCTCTTTGACCTTTGCAGTCCGGCAAGCTGGATGCGTTCCTGGTGCTGGAGCAGCTGCGGTGCAATGGGGTGCTGGAAGGCATTCGCATCTGCCGGCAGGGCTTCCCCAACCGGATCGTCTTCCAGGAGTTCCGCCAACGGTAAGTCCCAAGGTCTGGCCCAGGTAGGGCAGGGGGTGAGCGGGACTGGGTGGAGGAATGGATGCTGGAGGTACCCGGGGTGACTTCTGCTCTGTGTTTCAAGCTACGAGATCCTGGCGGCGAATGCCATCCCCAAAGGCTTCATGGACGGGAAGCAGGCCTGCATTCTCATGGTGAGCCCAGAAGTCCACCAGAGACCTCCCAACCTCTGGCCGCAAGCCACCTGCTGCTCTTGGTGGGACCGTTCTTACCCATGTCATCACTGGCCAAATGGCACAGTGGAAATCAGGAGCTCTTCCTTTCCTTCCTTTTGCAGATCAAAGCCCTGGAACTTGACCCCAACTTATACAGGATAGGGCAGAGCAAAATCTTCTTCCGAACTGGCGTCCTGGCCCACCTAGAGGAGGAGCGAGATTTGAAGATCACCGATGTCATCATGGCCTTCCAGGCGATGTGTCGTGGCTACTTGGCCAGAAAGTAAAGATGCTTTCCTGCATCCTAATACCTCAAACGCGAATCACAAACAGGGGCCTTTCTGTTCTGATTCCCTGATTCTAAGAGGCCACCTGTTTAAGATGCATCATTGACTGAATGACAGCCTTTTCTTGAAGGGGAAGAAATGCTTCTACTTTAAATAAATGTACCAAGTTACGAGTGCAGGAAGGGAACGAGTTTTAGACCTGGGTTCTCATCGTGGATGCCCCAGTTTTTGCTGATGAACCTTGGGCAAGTTACTCTACCTCTCTGAGCTTCCAGTTTTTTAGCTGGAAACTGAGCATAATCATTTTGACCTCAGAGAGCTGTTCATGAGGTGTCACTAAGATAACGCATGACGAGAGCTTAGAACAGTGCGTGGTTCTCAGGTCAGAAATGATTGTTGTTGTTTTTACCTCCCTCCCTCACTCCTTCCTTCCCTCCCTCCCTTCCTTCCTTCCTTTCTTCTTCCTTTTTGAGACAGAGTCTCTCTCTCTCTCTCTGTCGCCCAGGCTGGAGTGCAGTGGCGCAGTCTCAACTCACTGCAACCTCTGCCTCTTGGACTCAAGCAATTCTCGTGTCTGAGCCTCCCGAGTGGCTGGAATTAGAGGCGCCCACCACCACACTGGCCTAATTTTTGTATTTTTAGTAGAGACAAAGTTTCACCATGTTGGCCAGGCTGGTCTCAAATTCCTGGTCTCAAGTGATCCACCTGCCTTGGCCTCCCAAAGTGCTGGGATTATAGGCATGACCCACTGCGCCCAGCCTAGACATGTTAGAATTGGATAAACCATTGAGGAAAGAGGACTTGACGGTGTCTAGATCCCCGTGTCCCAGTGGGATTTATAAGGCAGGGTTTTGGAGGGTGTGATGTCCCAGCTGTTCTGTGAAGACTGGGAGCCGGGGAAGGGTTCGGGTTCCTTAATGAAAGTCATACCCCAGGGACTGCAGGGACAGGTGGGGTCGCTCTCTGTCTGGGGTGTGTGTTGTCATTGGGCAGAGACCACACCCTCACCAGTAGGACCCTGATGTGTCAGGTTCATTCATTGACACATGGACCCAAGATGGTCAAGGCCAGCTTTGGGAGCTCTTGGCCCTCCCGCAACAGACCTAACTTGTCAAGTTTCGTTACTAAGTTCCCTGTTGCTGTCCTTCCTGGATAACTGGGGCAATTTTATTCTTAAAGTTTTCCTGTGTCCAAGATGGCAGCCAAGCAGGGAAGACAGAATTACGTTCACTGTTCTATCGTTTCTCAATCTATCGATAGCCCTTAAACGGGAAGAGTGCTGGTTCAGGGTCACAGTGTGAAATTCCTAAAACAACCCAGGAGAGAATAGGTTTGACAGGGCTGGGTGTGGTAGCTGACACCTGTAATCCCAGGCACTTTGGGAGGCCGAGGCAGGAGGATTGCTTGAGCCCAGGAGTTTGAGACCAGCCTGGGCAACATGGCGAGACCCCTATCTCTACCAAAAAAAAAAAACTTTAAAAATTAGCTGGGCATGGTAGCATGTGCCCGTAGTCCCAACTACTTGGGAGGCTGAGGCAGGAGGATCATTTAAGCCCAGGAATTTGAGGCTGCAGTGAGCCATCATCACACCACTGCACTCCAGCCTGGGCCGCAGAGCCAGACCCTGTCTCTGAAAATAAACAAATAAATAAATAAGTTAGTCAGAAACAGCTGGTGTAGGCTGGGCATGGTGGCTCCTACCTGTAATCCCAGCACTTTGGGAGGCCAAGGTGGGTGGATCACCTGAGGTCAGGAGTTTGAGACCCACCTGGCCAACATGGGAAACCCCATCTCTACTAAAAATACAAAAATTAGCCAGGCATGGTTGTGGGCACCTGTAATCCAAGCTACTCAGGAGGCTGAAGCAGGAGAATCACTTGAACCCCGGAGGTGGAGTTTGCAGTGAGCTGAGATCGTGCCACCGCACTCCAGCCTGGGCAACAAGAGCGAAACTCTATCTCAAAAAAAAAAAAAAAAAAAAAAGAAAGAAAGAAAAAAGAAACAGCTAGTGCAGCTGGGGAGTACGGGAGCCCCCTTAGGAATGATGCACATAGTTGTGTTTTCTGAGTGGTGTTTGGATCTCAGCTAAGTCCAGGGCATGTTGTGAGCCCTGGGTCTTCCTTGTCCACTGAAAAAGGCTCTGTCCTGTAGATGATTTAAGTTGTTTGCAGCCAGACAACACATGTGTCACACAGGGTTTCTGGAAGAACCTGAGTTGGGGAGATTGGGGCATGTCCCTGTGCAGGTTCAGGATGCTGCAGGGCAGGGCTCTGTTGACAGCAGGGTGTGGCTTCATGACCCCCGCACCTTCTCTTCCCCCCTCCCTAGGGCTTTTGCCAAGAGGCAGCAGCAGCTGACCGCCATGAAGGTGATTCAGAGGAACTGCGCCGCCTACCTCAAGCTGCGGAACTGGCAGTGGTGGAGGCTTTTCACCAAAGTGAGTGCTCTGCCCCAGCCCCCTTCCCAGGGGCCCCCAGCCCTGCTTCTTCACTCTGGAGCCTTCACATTTGGGACAGGAGGTGGTCGCAAGTGGGTGTGGAATGGAGGGCTCGAACTCAGACCTTGAGCATTGGCGGTTCTCTGGCCCGAGGAGGCCCTGTCCTTTGGCACATAGGCTATAGCCAGGACCTTAACACAAAGTATTAATATTTCCATCCGCACTGGAATCCCTCGTGTGGCCCATTTATAGCCACACCCACTTCCTCCGTAGCCATGGAAACCACTCTGTTCTCCAGTTCTGTAATTTTGATGGTTCAAGAATGCTGCCGGGGGCGGCGGCTCACGCCTGTAATCCCAGCACTTTGGGAGGCCGAGGCAGGCGGATCACTTGCGGTCAGGAGTTCAAAACCAGCCTGGCCAACATGGCAAAACCCTGTCTCTACTTAAAATACAAAAATTAGCTGGGTATGGTGGCAGGCACCTGTAATCCCAGATACTCAGGAGGCTAAGGCAGGAGAATCTCTTGAACTCAGGAGACAGAGGTTGCAGTGAGCCAAGATCATGCCTGCACTCCAGCCTGGGTGAAAGATTGAGACTCTGTCTCTTCTTTCTTTTTTTTTTTATTTAAAAAAAAGGCCAGGCACGGTGGCTCACGGCTGTAATCCCAGCACTTTGGGAGGCCGAGGCGGGTGGATCACAAAGTCAAGAAATCAAGACCATCCTGGCCAAGATGGTGAAACCCTGTCTCTACTAAATGTACAAAAATTAGCTGGGCGTGGTGGCAAACGCCTGTAGTCACAGCTACTCAGGAGGCTGAGGCAAGAGAATCACTTGAACCTGGGAGGCAGAGGTTGCAGAGAGCTGAGATCGCGCCACTGTACTGCACTCCAGCCTGGTGACAGAGCGAGACTCCGTCTCAAAAAAAAATAAAACAAATATTCTATACATGGAATTAGAGAGCATCCAGACTGTTGCATGTATCAATACTGCAGGTTTTTTTTTTTTTACTTTTTGCATTTTTTGAAATGGAGTCTCACTCTGTTACCCAGGCTGGTCTTGAACTCCTGACCTCAAGCAACCCTCCTGCTTCAGGCTCCCAAAGTGCTGGGATTACAGGCATGAGCCACCTCATCTGGCCATAGCATATTATTTTTTATTTCTGGCAGAGTCAGGGCCTCCAGAGGACTCAACTGGTTCCTGTAGTGGCACTGGTTGCATTGTCCCCATGGCACAAAGACATGCTCTGTTGCAATAGACTAGGCTTCTCCTTATATGCCCTTGAGTGTATCCACTGGTGCAAGGCTTTTTCACCAAGCAAACAGACATTGAGTGCCTGCTGTATCCCAGGCACATGCTAGGTGCTGGGGGTGCAGCTGTGAACACACACCATGGTCCCTGACCTCCATGAATATTCTAGCCGAATTGGTGGGGAGTAAACAATAAACAGATAATCACAGAGACAGATACATAATGGCAAACTGTGATAAGTGCATGAAGCAAGCTGCTGGAGTACATAGCAGGGGCTTCCTTGTGCCAGGCAGGGGCTTGAAAACAAAGAGTTAGGAGGCAGCCCAGGGAAGGACAGCAGATGCTGCTTTTTGGAAATGTTCGTCCCCACTGAACCAACTTCTGAAAAACTATCCTAAGAAAATCGTCTTAGCCAGGTGTGGTGGCTCATGCCTGTAATCCCAGCACTTTGGGTGGCCAAGGCAGGAGGATCACCTGGGTTCACGAGTTCGAAACCAGCCTGGCCAACATGGCGAAACCCTATCTCTACTGAAAATACAAAAATTAGCCAGGTGTGGTGGTGGGCACCTGTAATCCCAGCTACTCAGGAGATTGAGGCAGGAGAATCACTTGAACCGAGGAGGCAGAGGTTTCAGTGAGCTGAGATCGTGCCACTGCACTCCAGCCTGGGTGACAGGGCGAGACTCCACCTGAAAAAGAGAAAAGAAAATCAAGAGTTAAGGGCATTCATTATGGCCTTATTTACAATAGCAGAATTTCAGTGTCCAGTCCTAGCTGAATGATGAGTTCAATAATGGTTCATCTATCAATGGAATGTTTTCAGCTATTAAAATGATGGCTTTGGCTACTGAATAGGTCTGCTAAAAAAAAAAAAAAAAAAGACTTCTACCTAGCTGTCTAGTTGGACACTGTGGCATGTGCCTGTAGTCCCAGCTACTCTGGAGCTGGGGTGGGAGGATCGCTTGAGGCCAGGAGTTCAAGGCTGCAGTGAGCTATGATTGTGTCACTGCACTCCAGCCTGGGTGACAAAACAAGACCATCGCTAAATAAATAAATTAACTTAAAAGATGGCTATGTAAAGTTGTAAGAATGATGTAACAGCATGGGGTAATACATATCTTATAATTTTTAAAAAAATTTTATTTGTGGAGACAGGGTCTCACTGTGTCACCCAGGCTGGAGTGCAGTGGCACAATCGTGGCTCACTGCAGCCTCAGCCTGCAGGGTTCAAGCGATCTTCCTGCCTCAGACCCCTCACTAGCTGGGACTACAGGCACACACCACCATGCCTGGTTACTTGTTTTTGTAGAGATGGGGTCTCATGATGTTGCCCAGGCTGGTCCCAAACTCCTGGGCTCAAGCGCTTGCCTCGGCCTCCCAAAATGCTGGGATTACAGGCATGCATCACTGTTCCTGTCTGTATCATATAATTTTAAATAATAAAAGCAGCCTCTACAACTAGGCAGCATGGTCTTAAGTCTATTTTTTAAACATAGAAAAAGAGCCAGGAAGGAAATGTAAACAATGTTAATAATGACTTTGATAGGGAGGTGGGTGGGATATGAAAGATTTTTTTTCTCCCTTTTGTCCTTGGAAGGAAATATCACTTTTCAGCAGTAGTTCTCTGTTGGGATGGTTCTAAAGTGGGGAAGATGAGACTTTTTCCTTTCACTTTGTACCTTTTCTGGTGCTCTGATTTAGAGCTCCTCAGTCTTGCCACTGTTGATATTTTGGGGTGACTAATTCTGTTGTGGGGGCTGTCCTGTGCACTGTAGGGTGTTTAGCAGTATCCCTGGCCTCTACCCACTGGATGCCAGAGGCACCCCCCACCCCAGCTGTGACAATCAGCAGTGTCTCCAGACAATATCCCCTAGTGGGGATCGGTGGGGGCAACATTGTCCCTGGCTCGGAACCACTGATCGAATTTATTATGACAACATATCCCTTTGCCACAAAAACAAATGATGGGCTAACCGTGTGTGTGCAGGTGAAGCCACTGCTGCAGGTGACACGGCAGGAGGAGGAGATGCAGGCCAAGGAGGATGAACTGCAGAAGACCAAGGAGCGGCAGCAGAAGGCAGAGAATGAGCTTAAGGAGCTGGAACAGAAGCACTCGCAGGTACCTGTATGGATGCATGGCTGGGGTTGCTGGGGAACAGGACTTGGCCCCGTGGGGCTCACCCGCCTCCTCCCCACCACCTGCGTGCAGCTGACCGAGGAGAAGAACCTGCTACAGGAACAGCTGCAGGCAGAGACAGAGCTGTATGCAGAGGCTGAGGAGATGCGGGTGCGGCTGGCGGCCAAGAAGCAGGAGCTGGAGGAGATACTGCATGAGATGGAGGCCCGCCTGGAGGAGGAGGAAGACAGGGGCCAGCAGCTACAGGCTGAAAGGAAGAAGATGGCCCAGCAGATGCTGGTAAGGTGTCACAGGGGCAGCCCGTGGTGGGTAGCAAATCACTTGACCCTCACCACAGGCCTGTGGAGGTGCATCCAGGGATATGTGTCCCTGCTGGGACAGATGATGAGACGGGGGCTTGGAGAGGGTTGGTCATCTGATCAAGGCCACACAGCTGGGATTGGGACTGGAACACAGTGAGCCCACTCTGTTCTATTGCCCTGCCTTGCATGTGCTAACCCCTTTTCTCCTAACAGCAAGCCTGAATGGAGGATAATTGTATTTGTTAGCTATTGCTACATAACAAAACATGCCAAACTCAGCAGCTAAAAATAAAAAGTATTGCATAGTCAGGAATTTGAGAGTGGCTTAGGTGAGTGGTTCTGGCTGAGGGTCCGGCCTGAGGTTGCAGTCAAGGTGTTGGCTGAGGCTGCAGTCATCTGAAGGCTCATCTGGGGCTGGAGGACCCACTTCTACTTGGCTTATTCACACAGCTGTTGGAGGAGGCCTCAGTTCCTTATCATGAAGGCCTCTCCCCTCAGGGCTGCTTGAGTGTCCTTCCAATATGGCAGCAGAGTTCCCCCAGAAGGAGTGATCTGAGAGAGGAGAAAGGAAGCCGCAATGCCTTTTATAGCCTAATCTCTGAAGTTACATTCCATCACTTCTTCCTGATTTTTGTTGTTGTTGTTAGAAGCAAATCTAACCCCCACTCAAGGGGAGGAGAATTAGGCTCCACCTTTTTGGAGTCGCAAAGAACTTGTGGATAGATTTTAAAACCACCATGGTACCTACTGTGCTCATTTTATAGATGAGGAGGTTGAGGTTCCATGAAGCAGAGCAGCTTACCCAGGTCTTTATTTTTTTTTTTTTTTTGAGACAGAGTCTCACTCTCTTGCCTAGGCTGGGGTGCGATGGTGCGATCTCAGCTCACTGCAACCTCTGCCTCTCGGGTTCAAGCGATTCTCCTGCCTCAGCCTCCCGAGTAGCTGGGATTACAGGAGCCCACCACCATGCCTGGCTAATTTTTTTTGTATTTTTAGTAGAGACGGGGTTTCACCATGTTGGCCAGGCTGGTCTTGAATTCCTGACCTCAAGTGATCCACCCACCTCGGCCTCCAAAAGTGCTGGGATTACAGGTGTGAGCCACCACGCTCAGGCCTTTATTTCTTCCTTTTAGGAGGCTACAGAGTTCTGGGCATCTTCAGGCCTAGCCCCTGTATTCATTAGTCCCCAGATCACCACGAGAGTAAATCTGTTATAACCAAAGCTGTTACTCTTTTCCCTCCACAACAAAGGACCTTGAAGAACAGCTGGAGGAGGAGGAAGCTGCCAGGCAGAAGCTGCAACTTGAGAAGGTCACGGCTGAGGCCAAGATCAAGAAACTGGAGGATGAGATCCTGGTCATGGATGATCAGAACAATAAACTATCAAAAGTGAGTAGGGGCCGGGTGCAGTGGCTCACGCCTATAATCCGAGCACTTTGGGAGGCCAAGGTATGTGGATCACTTGAGGCCAGGAGTTTGAGACTAGCCTGGCCAACAGGGTAAAACTCCATCTCTACTAAAAATACAAAGATTAGCCAGGTGTGGTGGCCAGTGTCTGTAATCCCAGCCACTTGGGAGGCTGAGGCAGGAGAATCACTTGAACCTGGGAGGTAGAGGTTGCAGTGAGCTGAGATCGTGCCACTGCACTGCAGCCTGGGTGACAGAGTGACTCTGTTTCAAAAAAAAAAAAAAGTGGAATCAAGTTTCTGCATTAAAAACAACAGGCTTACCAGGATCAGGGAGATTTTGGGGATTTGGGACTTTCAGTTCTCAAAGCAGAAAAGCCCTTAGAAAACCAGGACAAGCTGGTCACCGTAGTCAGTAGTCACTAACCAGCCCCACCTGCTTTTAGTTCTTTGAGCTGGATGTCAGCTTGGCCCCTACTGTGAGCCAGGCTCTGTGTTAGATGCAGGTATGCATGGTGAAGGAGGACCCTTCCCTTGTGGGGTTTATACTGTAGTGAGATGGCAAATAATCGTCATTTACCATGGTGATCAGGGCTCTGAAGGAAACGTTCACCATATTTTAAGAGTGCGGCAGGCCGGGTGCGGTGGCTCATGCCTGCAATCCCAGCACTTTGGGAGGCTGAGGCAAGTGGATTACCTGAGGTCAGGAGTTGGAGACCAGCCTGGCCAACACGGTAAAACCCCATCTCTACTAAAAATACAAAAAATTAGTTGGGTGTGTTGGCGGGCGCCTGTAGTCCCAGCTACTCGGGAGGCTGAGGCAGGAGAATCACTTGAACGTGGGAGGCAGAGGTTGCAGTGAGCTGAGATAGCAACACTGCACTCCACCCTGGGCGACAGAGTGAGACTCTGTCTCAAAAAAAAAAAAAGAATACAGCAGTGGGGGATAGAGGAAGGGTATTCATAGAAGACTTCCTGGAGGAGGTGACATTTAAGCAGAAACTTAAAGATGAAGGAGCAGTTAGAGGGGAGTAGAAGAGCATCTCAGCTGGTTGGCCCACTGTGCAAAGGCCCTGGGGCAGGGAAGAGCTGGCCAGTGGCAGGAATGGAAGGAGGGTACCTTTAGCTGACCATACAATATGAGGGACAAACTGGCACGAGATGAGAAATGGCCAGTTTTTGGAAATTGTTATGGGACTTCTCTTTACCATTTAAAACTCTAGTTGTATTTTGTTATAATGTGGGTTTTTCTTTCAACTGTTTACATGGAAATCACTAAAAGTGAAACATAGATTCTAGAGAAAAGAAAAATCCTAAAGCTATCTCTTTCTCTTTCCCCAAAAAGGAACGAAAACTCCTTGAGGAGAGGATTAGTGACTTAACGACAAATCTTGCAGAAGAGGAAGAAAAGGCCAAGAATCTTACCAAGCTGAAAAACAAGCATGAATCTATGATTTCAGAACTGGAAGGTAAACCAGCTACCAAGAGATTTATTTTTATTTTATTTTATTATTTTTTTTAGAGATGAGGTCTTGCTCTGTTGCCCAGGCTGCAGTGCAGTGGTGCGATCATGGCTCACTGCAGCCCGAAACTCCTAAGCTCCAGTGATCCTCCTGCCTCAGCCTCCTGAGCAGCTGAGACTACAGGCGTGCATCACCACACCCAGCTAATTTTTTTTTATTTTTTATTTTGTAGAGATGGGGTTTCACTATGATGCTCAGTCTAGTCTCAAACTCCTGGGCCCAAGCAGTCCTCCCACCTTGGCCTCCCAAAGTGCTGGGATTATAGGCATGAGCCACTATTCCTGGGCTTGAATGGGTATTTTTAAAAGCAGGAAAATCAGAAAGGAAATTTGAGGATGGCAGATCATCCCATGAGTGACAACTAACTCTATGCCACCTCTCGAAATCACCCTTAGTCATCACATGCACTAATAATATGATAAAAGGGCTGGGTGCGGTGGCTCTCGCCTGTAATCCCAGCACTTTGGGAGGCCGAGGTGGGCGGATCACGAGGTCAAGAGTTGGAGACCAGCCTGGCCAACATGGTGAAACCCTGTCTCAAAATACAAAAATTAGCCAGGCGTGGTGGCGGGCGCCTGTAATCCCAGCTACTCGGGAGGCTGAGGCAGGAGAATTGCTTGAACCCGGGAGGCGGAGGTTGCAGTGAGCTGAGATTGCGCCACTGCACTCCAGCCTGGGCAACAAGAGCAAAACTCCATCTCAACTAATAATAATATTATGACAATATAAGGTGCTGTTCATCGGGAGATAATGGTCCAGACCGTGACTATGATGGTTACTGATTGGGGGATGTGTTCATCTCCTCCGGGTAAAATGCCTGGGCAGGAAGGCTCATTTCCGGGCATCTCTCTGGGGCCTCCCCTTCCTGAAGAGCACCTTGGTTTTTGCAGTGCGGCTAAAGAAGGAAGAGAAGAGCCGACAGGAGCTGGAGAAGCTGAAACGGAAGCTGGAGGGTGATGCCAGCGACTTCCACGAGCAGATCGCTGACCTCCAGGCGCAGATCGCAGAGCTCAAGATGCAGCTGGCCAAGAAGGAGGAGGAGCTGCAGGCGGCCCTGGCCAGGTAGCGGGGCTGGCAAGGGGCATTTGCTGTGTGTCCATGTATCCCCTGGGCCCCTGCTCATTCGCTCATTCGCAGTGGCTGTCTTGGTCAAGGCGGCCCCAGGCCCTTGGCATGAACTTCGTTTCCCAGGCCAGGCCTCCCACAAGCCTTCTCGACCCTGTTCACTCCCCCAGATCCTCACCTTCGACTTTCTTCTCTTCCCTGCAAACACATCATGTCTTTGCAGTTGATCTCACCTACTCCCATGGTGTTGCTGCTGCCTCTTCGACATCCAGGCTTTTCTCATCTAGACCCCCTTCTGAATTTCCGATTGCCCAATGAGTCAATTTCCACCGTCATCTCAAACACCCCTGTCTAAGGCGGGAATGACCTTCCTTTCCCCAGCCCCTCCCTCTAAGGGCCCTCTTTTTTGTGAACACCAATCTCCTCCTTTGTTTCTGCCGACCCACAGCAAGCAGCAACCTTCAGATTCTGCCAGTCCTTCTAAATGTCCCCCACCCATTTCCTCTGGTTTTTCCCTCTTCCTGGCTCTTAGCTGGATTTACACTAATGCTAATACTGCAGCAGCCACTATGAATGATTATTTACCTGCTCACTCGGTGCTAAGTTCTTTTCAAGCAATACCTTTGCAGACACCTGGCCAGGTGTACTGCCGGTGTCTTTGAGGAGGAAGCTGAGCCTCCTAGGGGTAACGCAACAGGAGCAATGTCATTGCTTCTAAGAGGCAGAGCTGGGATTTAAGCCTCAAAGCTTTCTGATTGATCCCCTGGCCTGGCTCTTTTGTCGGCCAATTTGTGCTATGTTGACAGTGCTACGGTGATGAAGGGAAAGCATCTCTCTGGGGCAGGAACCTGCTCACAAAACTTTGCTGGCTGGATGCAGTGGCTCACGCCTGTAATCTCAGCACTTTGGGAAGCCGAGGTGGGGGGATTGCTTGAGGCCAGCAGTTTGAGACCAACATGGGCAACATAGCAAGACCCTGTCCCTACAAAAAGTTAAAAAATGAGCCAGGCATGGTGGTGTGTGCCTGTAGTCCCAGCTACTCAGGAGGCTGAGATGGGAGGATCACTTGAGCCCAGGAGGTTGAGGCTAAAGTGAGCTATGATCATGCCACTGCACTCCAGCCTGGGCAACAGAGCAAGACCCTGTCTCAAAACAATAATAACAACAAAACAAAAACCTAACTTCACTGGCTTACTAGGGAAAATCCAGTTTCCTTAGCCTCACCCTCAGAGCCCATCCACCCTCTGCAGTCTCACCCCAACCCAACTATTTCACTTTCTCTCTTGTTGCTGCCCTTTCACAAGTACAGTAAAATCAAAGTGCTTGCCTCTCCTGCAGCATTCTGCCATTTAACAGGGCTTCTTGCAGCCCACCTTGATCTCTGGTCACCACCTCCACCAGATGCAGAGCCCCAGTCTGAATATCCCCCGCAAGCAGTGGCTGGCCAAATGCTGTGCATGGGGCGGGTACTCAGTCACTGAGCAAATGCAGAAAGAACAGACAGTTGCCAGGGAAGAAGAACTGTCCAACATTCAGAAAGCATCTACACAGTCCCTACTGTGACCAGGTACCTTGCCAGTCTGGGGTCAATGCTTTGCATTCTTGCACACACATGCACACACGTGCATACACACGTACACACACCCATGCACATGTACAACCTGTTTTGATGTCAGACCTTGGCACTCACATCCTATGTTAATCTCATATAGTCTGGCATGTCAAGAAGCAGACCTGGGGACATGGATAGAAGGTGTTTGATGTCTCTGCAACATAACTGTCTGGTCCCAGAAAAGTTTTTGGCCACATTGTAAGAGAGGAAACCAAGGGACCTGGGGGTTCATTCTGCTGGGTCTCTCCCTGGAAGGCTTGACGATGAAATCGCTCAGAAGAACAATGCCCTGAAGAAGATCCGGGAGCTGGAGGGCCACATCTCAGACCTCCAGGAGGACCTGGACTCAGAGCGGGCCGCCAGGAACAAGGCTGAAAAGCAGAAGCGAGACCTCGGCGAGGAGCTGGAGGCCCTAAAGACAGAGCTGGAAGACACACTGGACAGCACAGCCACTCAGCAGGAGCTCAGGTGAGGGGCCCATCAATCCCACCATCCTGCTATCCCACTGCACCAATGGGATGGGGGCAGAAGAGGGGACAAACCCAAAGCAAATCGTGCATCAGCCCCTGTGCATTTACCTTCCTGGCCGCGGTTTGCTTTAACTTATAGAAGCATGGTTGGCTGTTTCTTTTTTTTCTTTCTTTTTTTTTTTTTTTTGAGGCAGTCTGGCTTTGTTGCCTAGGCTGGAGTGCAGTTGTGCCATCTTGGCTCACTGCAACCTCCACCTCTGAGATTTAAGCGATTCTCATGCCTCAGCCTCCTGAGTAGCTGGGATTACAGGTATGTGCCACCACACCCGGCTAATTTTTTGTTTTTAGTAGAGATGGAGTTTTGCCATGTTGCCCAGGCTGGACTTGAACTCCTGGCCTCAAGTGATCCACCCACTTCCGCCTCCCAAACTGCTGGTATTACATGTGTGAGCCACTGCACCCGACCCTCATCATCTTATTTCTCATCAGAAGAGTAGTATATACCAGGGATGTACAATCTTTTGGCTTCCCTTGGCCACATTGGAAGAAAAAGATTTGTCTTGGGCCACACATAAGATACACTAACACTAATAATAGCTGATCAACTAAAAAAATTTTACAAATTGGAAAAAACATCTCATACTGTTTTAAGAAAGTTTATGACTCTGTGTCAGGCTGCATTCAAAACCATCCTCATTGGTAAGCTTGGATATACTCAGAGAACAATTTGAAAACTATAGAAAAGCAGACATAAAAAAAAATCACCTTTAGGGTCGGGCTCACGCCTATAATCTCAGCACTTTGGGAGGCCAAAGACAGGTGGATCACTTGAGGTCAGGAGTTCAAGACCAGCCTGGCCAACATGGTGAAACCCTGTCTCTACTATAAATCCAAAAATTACCTGGGCGTGGTGGCGCATGCCTGTAAATCCCAGCTACTCAGGAGGCTGAGGCAGTAGAGTCACTTGAATCTGGGAGGCAGAGGTTGCAGTGAGCTGAGATCGCACCATCGCACTCCAGCCTGGGTGACACAGTGAGTGAGACTCCATCTCAAAAAAAAACAAAAAACAAAAAAATCACCCTTAGTCACACCAGTTAACATTCTTGAGAAATTCCTTCCTGTCTGTGTGTGTATCAGTCAGTCCCCAAGCTCCAATTCCCAAGTATGTGTGTGTATCACTTTTGTGTTAAATTTTAAAAATAAAATTGATCAGATTGGTTTTCAATTGAAGATTCACTTCAAATGAACAAACAATAACAAACTGCCTGCCAGATCACGAATCCTGACTCTAGTGAAACTAGGTCATTGATTCATTCAGTAAACACATAAATGTATTTTGATGCAATCTGTGGTGTTGGCATAGCATGTATCATAGCATATAGCTATGCTAGCTGTGCCAACACCATATACCCTGGGGTTTACTTCCCCCACTTTGGGTTTTGTGCAGTGTCACATGCACATAGAGCACAGCGTTCTGCTCCCTTGCCGCTTGGCCTTTGATACAGAAGAGCCCAGTGCATGGGCCAGGTATGGTGGCTCATGCCTGTAATCCCAGCACTTTGGGAGGCTGAAGCAGACAGATCACCTGAGGTCAGGAGTTCGAGACCAGCCTGGCCAACATCATGAAAACCTGTCTCTACTAAAAAGACAAAAATTAGCCGGGCGTGGTGGTGGGCGTCGGTAATCCCAGCTACTTGGGAGACTGAGGCAGGAGAATCCCTTGAACCTGGGAGGCAGAGGTTGCAGTGAGCTGACATCATTCCACTGTACTCCAGTCTGGACGACGGAGCAAGACTCGATAAGAAAAACAAACAAACAAAACAAAAAACCAGGCTGAGTGCGGTGGCTCACACCTGTAATCCCAGCACTTTGGGAGGCTGAGGCGGGTGGATCACCTGAGGTCAGGAGTTCGAAACCAGCCTGACCAACATGTTGAAACCCCATCTCTACTAAAAATATAAAATTAGCCGGGCGTGGTGGTGGGCACCTGTAATCCCAGCTACTTAGGAGGCCGAGGCAGGAGAATCGCTTGAACCCGGGAGGTGGAGGTTGCAGGGGGCCAAGATTGCGCTGTCGCACTCCAGCCTGGGCAACAGGAGTGAAACTCCATCTCAAAAACAAACAAACAAAACCATGGACTCAAGGTCAAGGTTTAGCTTCTAATTCTGGCTCCATCACACAATGGCTGTGACACCATGGGTAAAACTGCTTACCCTCTCTTAGCCTTAGTTTCCTCATTTGTAAAATGGAAATAATAACACACCTGCCTCTTTGGGTTGCTCTGAGGATTAGATGATGTATATAAAAAACTTAGCTCAGGGCCTGGCATATAGTAACTGCTCATTAAATAAGAGCCAACATTAATATTTAAGCAAAATTTTGCAGTTCACAGACATCCTTTCAATTCTATTACTTTGTGTATTTGTTTGCCAGTCATTACAGATGTCCTAGGCAGGTGATATGCTCCACATTTTGCAGCTGAGGAAATTTTAGGTCCAGAGATGTTAGGTGAATGACCCAAGGTCACACAGCTAGAGAGGGGTGGTGATGAGGACTGCAGCTCTGGGTCCTGGAAGAGCTCTCATTCTTTTGCACGGCACTGAGATGACCCTCTGTCTCCACCCAACTGCCATTCACTGTGTTCCTCCCACCAAGGGCCAAGAGGGAGCAGGAGGTGACGGTGCTGAAGAAGGCCCTGGATGAAGAGACGCGGTCCCATGAGGCTCAGGTCCAGGAGATGAGGCAGAAACACGCACAGGCGGTGGAGGAGCTCACAGAGCAGCTTGAGCAGTTCAAGAGGGTAATGCTTTTTGGTGATGCTTTTTGGTGATGACACATAAGAGTGACATCAGCAGCCTCAAATTACTACAGGTCAGGGTCTGCATAAAGACAAAAAACAAGTTACATAAGATTCTAATGATGATGATAGCAGCTTATATTTATTTACAAAATGCTTCCCATACAGGCTGGGTGAGGTGGCTCACGCCTGTAATCCCAGTACTTGGGGAGGCTGAGGCGGGAGGATCGCTTGAGCTCAGGAGTTGGAGACCAGCCTGGGCAACATAGTGAGACCTTGTTTCTACTAAAATTTTAAAAAAGTAGGCCAGGCGTGGTGGCTCAAGCCTGTAATCCCAGCACTTTGGGAGGCCAAACTGGGTGGATCACCTGAGGTCAGGAGTTCGAGACCAGCCTGGCCAACATGGCGAAACCCTATCTCTACTACAAATACAAAAAATTAGCCGGGCGCGGTGGTGCATGCCTGTAATCCCAGCTACTCGGGAGGCTGAGGCAGGAGAATCACTTGAACCCAGGAGGCAGAGGTTGCAGTGAGCAGAGATCATGCCATTGCACTCCAGCCTGAGCAACAGAGCAGGATTCCATCTCAAAAAAATAAAATAAAATAAAATATTGGCCAGGCCTGGTAGTGCATTCCTGTGGTCCCAGCTATTTGGGAGGCTGAGGTGGGAGGATCGTTTGAGCCTGGGAGGTTGAGGCTGCAGTGAGCCCTGTCATGCCACTGCACTCTAGCCTGGACGACACAGTGAGACCTTAATCAAACAATAAAAATAGGCTGGGCACGGTGGCTCACCATGTCTGTAATCCCAGCAATTTGGGAGGCAAGGCGGGCAAATCACTTGAGCTCAGGAGTTCGAGACCAGCCTGGCCAACATGGTGAAACCCCATCTCTACCAAAAATATAAAGAATTAGCTGGGTGTGGTGGCATGTGCCTGTAATCTTAGCTACTCGGGAGGCTGAGGCAGGACAATCACTTGGACCCAGGAGGAAGAGGTTGCAGTGAGCTCAGATCGTGCTACTGCACTCCAGTCTGGGCGACAGAGTGAGCCGCCATCTCAAAAAAAGAAAAAAAAAAAAGAATGAATAGAAATGCTTCTCATACAGTATGTCAATTAATCTTCACAACCACCCTGTGAGACGTGTACTATTAAACTCATTTTACAAGCAAAGAAACTGAGGTCCTAGGTGCCTAGAGGTGAAGAGACTTACCCAAGGTCACACTGCTGGTAAGTGACAGAGCCATGATTTGCACCCAAACAGTCTGGTCCTAGACCCCACTTTCTGGCCTCTACAGGACTGAAGGCCTATAGGATGGGTGGGGCCTATCAATATACTGCCCTTCAGGGATAAGCAAAGGTGTAACAACACTTTCGGGGAGATTTAAATGAAACTTAAAACTGGGATCATTCTATCCACTTTAATTTCTCTGCAGACTGGAGGAAGGCCAGGCATGGCGGCTCATGCCTCCCGTAATCCTAACACTTTGGGAGGCCAAGGAGGGAGGATTGCTTGAGCCCAGGACTTTCAGATCGCCTGGGCAACATAGCGATTTTTCTTTTGTAAAAAAAAAAAAGACTGGAGGAAACTTGTCATTATTTGATTTCAATGGCAGAACAGCTCTCTCCGGCATAATTTGAGAATGACTAGGTCAAATCACTCTCCCGTTGTTGGAACTCTTTGCGGTGTATGGGAGTGGGAGCTGGTAAATAGCAGTACCGAATGCTGAATCTTGGGTGCTCTTCTCTCCTTTGGGGTAGTGCCTGTGCTTCATTCCCCAGGGTAAGTTTTTTAGCTTGCGACCTTCGGCCAGATTGTTTTCCTGAAAGCCTGAGTTACATTACCCTCAGCGTTGCAGCTCCTCCACATCCCCTTCAGTGGAAGCTTTTGGTTCTGCTAGATTAAGTGGGTGCAGCATTGCCTAAAAATTTTGGGGAATTTGCATTTGGTTCTATCACTAGTGTATTGGTCCGTTGTTGCACTGCTCTACAGAAATACCCAAGATTGGATTATTTGTTTATTTTTTGAGCAGTGGAGTCTTACTCTGTCACTCAGGCTGGAGTTCAGTGGCGTGATCTTGGCTCACTGCAACCTCCACCTCCTGGGTTCAAATGATTCTCCTGCCTCAGCCTCCCAAGTAGCTGGGACTACAGGCACACACCACCATGCCCGGCTAATTTTTTTTTTTTTTTTTTTTTTTAGTAGAGATGGGGTTTTGCCATGTTGGCCAGGCTGATCTCGAACTCCTGACCTCAGGTGATCCACCTGCCTTGGCCTCCCAAAGTGCTGAGATGACAGGTGTGAGCCACTGCACCACCCTGAGATTGGGTAATTTCTAAAGAAGAGAGGTTTAATTGGCTCACGGTTCTGCAGGCTGTACAGAAAGCATAGCAGCTTCTGCTTCTGGGGAGGCCTCAGGAAACTTACCATCATGGTGGAAGGCAACGGGGAGGCAGGCATGTTTTACATGACCAGAGCAGGCAGAAGAGAGAGAATGGGGAGCTGCCAGACACTTTTAAACAACCAGATCTCATGAGGGCAGCACCAAAGGGATAGTGCTAAACCATTAGAAACTGCCCCCAAAGGCCGGGCGCGGTGGCTCATGCTTATAATCCCAGCACTTTGGGAGGCTGAGATAGGCGGATCACCAAGTCAGGAGTTCAAGACTAGCCTGACCAACATAGTGAAACCCCATCTCTACTAAAAATACATAAAATTAGGCTGGGTGCAGTGGCTCACGCCTGTAATCCCAGCACTTTGGGAGCCCGAGGCAGGCAGATCACCTGAGGTCAGGAGTTTGAGACCAGTCTGGCCAACATGGCAAAACCCCGTCTCTACTAAAAATACAAAAATTAGCTGGACGTGGTGGCGGTCGCCTGTAATCCCAGCTACTTGGGAGGCTGAGACATGAAAATCACTTGAACCCAGGAGGTAAAGGTTGCAGTGAGCCAAGATTGTGCCACTGCACCCCAGCCTGGGCAACAGAGTGAGACTCAGTTTCAAAAAAAAAAAAAAAAAATTATGGTTGGAAGAGTGAGGCCCCAGACAGAATCACTGACCCTCCCCATGCTTGGGGTTCATTAGACGTGAACAGGAGCTAGAAGCCAAGCCCATTCCCAGCCAGGCCTCTTTGGGAAGACGCAGTTATTAAGACCACCAGCAGACGGCATGTCCATTACTGACCCGCACAAAGCAGGTAGAGGTGCAAACCTCTGCCCATCTCAGGTGCAGGGAAACAGAGGCCTTTGCCTCTAACAACTTGAATTCTGATGTAGAGACCTGGTTCCATCTGCTTGTGGGGGAAACGTTTAACATCAGCTCCTACCTGGGCTCCCCAGGCCCTCGTGCGGTTTGGCCCCAGTTCTGGGGTCTTAGGCTGGGCTAAGGTTTCTGGGAGCCCATGTCCCCTAGGGTCCCCGCTTCACTGCTTTGTTACCACCAAGAGACTCCCTGTCCCCATCTGAGGTCTGGCAGCTCTTAGTCATGTCTTGGAGGGAGGACGGGCATCCAGGGCTGACCGGTCAACGTCCAGCACCTCCCAGGGACTATGGGAAGACTGAGTGGTGGGTCTCGTCCTCTCGGGATACTTGCGCTTCTCTTTCCCCTTCTCTACAACCTGGAAAGAAGCCCCTCACCGCGTCCTACTTTTGCCCAACACGCTTTTTTTTTTGAGACAAAGTCTCACTCTGTCGCCCAGGCTGGAGTGCACTGGCGGGATCTCGGCTCACTGCAACCCCCGCCTCCTGGGTTCAGGCAATTCTCCTGCTTCAGCCTCCTCAGCAGCTGGGATTACAGGTGACTGCCACCATGCCCGGCTAATTTTTATATTTTTAGTAGAGACGGGGTTTCACCATGTTGGCCAGGCTGGTCTCAAACTCCTGACCTCAAGTGACCTGCCTGCATAGGCCTCCCAAAGTGCTGGGATTCTAGGCCTGAGCCACCGCGCCTGGCCCCAACACACTTTTTTTTTCCTGTAGGGCAACTCACATGCCTACAGGAGCTGGTTCCATAAAATAAGTTTCCCTTAACTAGGACAGAAGTAGCAGTGTCAATCACACGACACCTGTGAAGGACGGGGGCGGTGAAAGGTGACTGCCCCACCTGCAGAGCCAGCCGCTACTTAGATGTGGCAGATTGTTGCCTTGAAGGAAAGCAAGACCCTCTGTTTCCAGATCTTTCGTTGTTGTTGGTTTTTTGTTTTTGTTTTTAAGTTTAGGATTACTGAGGCATATGTAGTAAAATTTATCCATTTTACTGCTCCATTAATTTTAACAAATGTGTATTGTGTAACTACCACCACCACAGTCACCACATAGAATGTTAGTTATTGATTGATTGATTGAGATGGAGTCTCACTCTGTTACCCAGGCTGGAATGCAGTGGCATGATCTTGGTTCACTGCAACCTCCACCTCCCAGGTTCAAGCAATACTTGTGCCTTAGCCACCCCAGTAGCTGGGACTACAGGCGTGCGCCACCATGCCCGGCTAATTTTTCCATTTTTAGTAGAGATGCAGTTTCGCCATGTTGGCCAGGCTGGTCTCGAACTCCTCACCTCAAGTGATCCACCTGCCTTGGCCTCCCAAAGCTACTTATTTCTGAAACAGGGTCTCACTTTGTTGCCCAGGCTGGAGTGCAGTGGTGTGATCATAGCTCACTGCAGCCTCCAATTCCTGGGCTCAAGCAAGCCTGCCATCCGCCTCCTGAGTAGCTGGGATTGCTGGTGTGTGCCCCCCACACCCAGCTAATGTTTTATTTTAGTAGAGATGGGGGTCTCACTACATTGCCCAGGCTGGTCTTGTACTCCTGGCCTTAAGCGATCCTTCTGCCTGCTTCCCAAAGTGCTGGGGATGACAAGTATGAGCTGCCATGGCATGCCTTCAAACATTAAAGTTTTTTGAAAAAGAAGCTGGGAATCCAGATTTTTATGTGACATTTATTAAAATGTCGGCAACTCATTTTTTTAAAAGTAGTGAAAGGGTCAAAGGGGACATGTCAGCAGGTTGGATACCGCTTGTGGGATTCCAGATTGCAACCCATGAGCTTTAGGAAAATAGAATCCAAAATATCAGCTGGGTGCGGCAGCTCACGCCTGTAATCCCAGCACTTAGGGAGGCCAAGATGGGTGGATCACTTGAGGTCAGGAGTTCGAGAGCAGCCTGGCTAACATGGTGAAACCTCGTCTCTACTAAAAATACAAAAATTAGTCGGGCATGGTGGCGGGCGCCTGTAATCCCAGCTACTTGGGCAGCTGAGGCAGGAGAATAGTTTGAACCTGGGAGGCGGAGGTTGCAGTGAGCCAAGATTGTGCCACGGCACTCCAGCCTGGGTAACAGAGTTAAGACTCCATCTCAAAAAAAAAATAACAACAAAAAAACCCCAAATCTCTTACTGGTGATTGTGTGCCCCCTGTTGTGTGCCTTCCTGGACCTCTCTGAGGGAGGAAAGGGCAGGGCCTGAAACGTTCTCCCGGCCACAGCCTCCCTGTTATCCCTCCCCTCTGCTTCCTTCGCCAGGCCAAGGCGAACCTAGACAAGAATAAGCAGACGCTGGAGAAAGAGAACGCAGACCTGGCCGGGGAGCTGCGGGTCCTGGGCCAGGCCAAGCAGGAGGTGGAACATAAGAAGAAGAAGCTGGAGGCGCAGGTGCAGGAGCTGCAGTCCAAGTGCAGCGATGGGGAGCGGGCCCGGGCGGAGCTCAATGACAAAGTCCACAAGCTGCAGGTGAGGAGGTGGCGCGGTGGTGTGGTGGGCAGTGCTGGGTGGTGCCCAGTTCTGTGGGGAGGAGCCTCTTCCCGGCTCGCTGAGGTCTCTCTTGCTGCAAGGCAAGTCCTTTCCTCTAGTTGCGTTCCTGGAGGAGAGGCGATGATCTCCCTGTTCAATTAAATATTAAAAAAACCTTCTGGCCAGGCACGGTGGCTCATGCCTGTAATCCCAGCACTTTGGGAGACAGAGGTGGGTGGATCACCTGAGGTCAGGGGTTTGAGACCAGTCTGGCCAACATGGTGAAAAGTCTCTACTAAAAATACAAAAATTAGCCAGGCGTGGTCGTGGGCACCTGTAGTCCCATCTACTCGGGAGGCTGAGGCAGGAGAATAGCTTGAACCCAGGAGGCAGAGGTTGCAGTGTGCGGAGACCGCACCATTGTACTCCAGCCTGGGCTAAAAGGGCAAAACTCTGTCTCAGGAAAAAAAAAAAAAAAGAAAAAAAACCCTTCCTTTTCCAATTTGATAAGTATTTATTGAGCACCTGCTGTATGCCAGGCACTGTGCTTAATCCTGAGATCCAACAGCAAGGAAGAAGAGACACTGTCGCTGCCCCAGTAGGACTCCAGCCGAGTAAGGGGAAGGGAAGGGAAGGGAAAGACATGAATAATCACACAAATGAATGTCAAATGATGCAGCAAAGGGAAGGCACATGATGCCCAAGTGTAAATAACCAGGGGGCCTAACCTGGGGGAGGAGGAGCCACGAAAGGCTTCCCTAAGGAGCATGGATAAGTCTACCAGGCAGAGGGAACAGCGTGTGCAAAGGCCCTGTGGTAAGTAGAAAAATTAGGAGAGAGACATACAGCCAGTAGAGCTGGAGTGCCCAGCTGGGGTTGGGGGTAGGGGGAGATAGTACAGAGTGGGGTTGGAGGGGGAGCTTGTACCCAGATGATGTAGGGCTTTTGAGAACCTATTACATGTATGTTGATCCTTACTCTGGGCAATGTGAAGCTGTTGAGGGGTTTTAAGCTGCTGAATGACATGGTCTTTTTGTCTTTGGTCTTCTTTCACTTGGCATAGCCATTTACCCTGCCTTGCCACTCATGGGGACGTGGCCAAAGTTTTCACAAATGTTTAACATGTCCACAGCCAGGGACCAAGGGGCGAGGGAAGAATTAAGTGAGATGTTTTTTTCTCACATGCAGTTGAGAGCAGGGCTTTTGCCGCCCTCATATAAGCAGTGTCAAGATCATTCATATCCTCCTTGTCAATGGAAGAGATGGAGGGGTAGGCTAACAGCCTCAAAGGGACTTATGCAGAGACACTAGGGAGTAAAAGCCAGAGAATACAGAGAGGACGTTTTTACCTTTAGGGCCTGCGTCTCTGGCTTTGGCCATCAGGGTCAAAGAGTAGGAGTGAGGAAGGAAGGGATGGGACAGCATCCCTGGGACGTTCAAGTACCATCCTGGTCTCCCTTCTCCAGCCTTAGAGAGTGGACCAGCCAGAGCACCTCGTCTGGACTCTCAGACCTGCTGCTTTGTCTCTACCAACCTTGGCAGGGATCTAGGATCCATTTAGTGGGATCAGGTCCCAGTCAATACCATTGGGGCTCAAATAAGTTCTTAGAACCACAGAGTCTAGGGCCAGGGTCCCAACTCATAGGTGACGGAGTTCCCTTCAAGCCACAGATTCTGTTTTTTTTGTGTGTGTGTGTGTTTTTTTTTTTTTTTATCAGAGTCCCATACCTCACGGGTATTTTCTCAATCAGTGAACACCTCAAGTACTAGCCCATGTGTTTTGAGTAAAAAGGGCTCCTTTCAACGAGGATCCCCTTCTAGAGGCTTTGACTAACCAGTCTCTTGGCACCCTTAGAATGAAGTTGAGAGCGTCACAGGGATGCTTAACGAGGCCGAGGGGAAGGCCATTAAGCTGGCCAAGGACGTGGCGTCCCTCAGTTCCCAGCTCCAGGACACCCAGGTGAGTGTCCTGCCACATCATCCAGGGGACCTGGGGGGTGGCCTTCCTCGGGGCAGGTCCCTGGGACCTCTTTGCATCCCTTTTGCAGGAGCTGCTTCAAGAAGAAACCCGGCAGAAGCTCAACGTGTCTACGAAGCTGCGCCAGCTGGAGGAGGAGCGGAACAGCCTGCAAGACCAGCTGGACGAGGAGATGGAGGCCAAGCAGAACCTGGAGCGCCACATCTCCACTCTCAACATCCAGGTGCCTGCCCCGTGTCCTTGCTTCCTTCATGGGTCCTCTCAACTTCTCTGCGCTGAGATCCCCCGCAGGCAGATCGCGGTGGAGTGTTGGTGCGATGGTGCTTGACCCCCCAGCTTCCCCTGCTATTGGGTTTCTCCAACGAGGAGACATGGTCTTCGCTTCTCAGAGTCTGTGGGGCCAGGGACAGGGGCCACTCATGGTCCCCCTCTCACCCTACCCTGGACGCTGTCCTTGTAGCTCTCCGACTCGAAGAAGAAGCTGCAGGACTTTGCCAGCACCGTGGAAGCTCTGGAAGAGGGGAAGAAGAGGTTCCAGAAGGAGATCGAGAACCTCACCCAGCAGTACGAGGAGAAGGCGGCCG
Source organism: Homo sapiens (assembly GCF_000001405.40). NCBI lineage: Eukaryota > Metazoa > Chordata > Mammalia > Primates > Hominidae > Homo > Homo sapiens. The sequence continues at coordinate 15,724,285 of NC_000016.10, read as the reverse complement.
CTTATGATAAACTGGAAAAGACCAAGAACAGGCTTCAGCAGGAGCTGGACGACCTGGTTGTTGATTTGGACAACCAGCGGCAACTCGTGTCCAACCTGGAAAAGAAGCAGAGGAAATTTGATCAGGTAGAGGGCGTGGGGTGTCCCCCACTCTGGCCATGGACGCTGGGTTGGGGAATCAGCTCTGCAGAGTATGACGCGTGGCTCTGGCCTGTGCCTGCATCCCCTCTCCACTCTGTGGGGAGCCATGGGAGGCTGTCTTATCTTGTCTTGGGCGACCATGGAGCATTAACGCTACCAGGTCACAGTAAGGATGGCAAAGAAGCCTTGATGACTGTGACTTTTCTGGGTACCAGCACCATGAGGGTCACCTGCACACATGGTGATGCCTTAGTTTCTAGCCTGAAGAAGGAATGAGGTGCTTATTTATTCACTAAATGTATTTACTGAATACCTATTGAGTAGTATTCCAAGTAATTCAGTTTCTATACTTTTAATACCACTCTTCCCTAAGATTTCATTCTGTAAAATTCCAAGTACACAGCAAAGTTGACAGAATTGTACGGTGAACACCTTTAAGGCCACCACCTGGATTCAGTCATTGACACTGTATTATATGAACTTTATCAGATACTTATTTTGAGACAGGATCTAGCTCTGTCACCCAGGCTGGAGTGCAGTGGTGTGATCTCAGCTCCCCGCAACCTCCACCACTGGGTTCAAGCGATTCTCCTGCTTCAGCCTTTCATGTAGCCGGGATTATAGGAGCACACCACTATGTCTGGCTAATTTTTGTATTTTTAGTAGAGATGGGGTTTTGCCATGTTGTCCAGGCTGGTCTCCAACTCCTGGCCTCACATGATCTGCCTGCCTTGGCCTCCCAAAGTGCTGGGATTATAGGTATGAGCCACTATGCCCGGCCCACATATTTATTTATAAAGACTAATTCTATCTATCATGCCTTATCTCTTGGGTACATTTCAGAGCAAATTACAGATGTCAGTACATTTCCCCTTCCACACCTCAACATTGCATATTAATTAGAGTTTATTTTTAAACACAATTTTGCTTCTTTTGGGGTAAAACTTACATGTGATGAGATTCACAAATCTTAATTGTACGATAAATGGAGACCCCTGTATGACCCAAACCCCTAAATACCAACTTTTAAGATACATTATTATTTAGTAAATATGATTTAGTTTACAAGTGACTCAGGGTTATTCTAAAAATCAGTTTGAGAGGCCAGGCACGGTGGCTCACGCCTGTAATCCTAGCACTTTGGGAGGCTGAGGCAGGTGGATCACTTGAGGTCAGGGGTTTGAGACCAGCCTGGCCAACATCGTGCAACTTTGTCTCTACTAAAAATACCAAAATTAGCCGGGCGTGGTGGCGCACGCCTGTAATCCCTGCTACTCTGGAAGCTGAGGCAGGAGAATCGCTTGAACCCAGGGTGGGGTGGAGGTTGCAGTGAGCCAAGATTGCGCCACTACACCCCAGCCTGAGTGATGGAGTGAAAACCCTGTCTCAAAAATAAATAAAATGAGGATTGTACAGTGAGGCTAAATGCCAGATGCCTGCAGGTTCCCTACCCCTCCCTGACTGACCTCCTAGTGTCAGGATTCTAGATAACATCCCAGTTTCTCCTCTTCCCATCAGCTACCTCTCCTCTGGGCTGTCAGCTCATCTTCAATGCTTCGTTATCTGGTTGAAGGCCTGAGGTTGCTTTTATTTTCCTGTCACATAGAGTGTAGTGCAGTGGCACACATAGTGTGGGATTTTTGTGTTGACTGTGCCATTTAGAGGTCCCTGTCTTTGCTGAATACTGGAAGTTTGGCTTTTGGATGTTACAATTTATAATCTGCTCTGTTCTCTCTGAAGATGAGATTAACGTGAGCATGGAATGTTCTCTGAGTTGCTTCTCCAAGCAGAGAGATATGTGTGCAGGGCCACCCATGCTTACCATTTCCCTACTGAGGCTCTTAGGATACTTTTGTAAGATATTAATAGCTACTTGTGGCCATGAAACAAACTAATAACTAGCTTCTGGCAGCTTTAAATCTCACTTTGACCTCAGTGTGCTCTAAGCAACGTGGGCAGGTCTAGTGGTTTCGAAGCACAAGGATTTGGCCAGGTGTGGTGGCTCACACCTGTAATCTCCGTGCTTTGGGAGGCCGAGGCAGGAGGCTCACTTGAGGGTCAGGAGTTCGAGACCAGCCTGGTCAACATGGCAAAACCACATCTCTACTTAAAATACAAAAATTAGCCAGGTGTGGTGGTGGGCACCTGTAATCCCAACTACTCTGGAGGCTGAGGCAGGAGAATCGCTTGAACCCACGAGGCGGAGGTTGCAGTGAACCAAGACTGCACCATTGCACTCCAGCCTGGGTGACAAAGTGAGACTCCATCTAAAACAAACAAACACACAAACCAACAAAAAAAAACAAGTCAGCTGATTTCTGGCTCTGCATAAGGTTGATGTAGAAGTCAGAACGCCAGATGATTATATAAATTACTCCCATAGCTAACCTACACTGCTTACACCTGCACCTCAATACATTCAGCAGGACACAGGGCTTCCCCCGGTATTTACAATTCAGTGACGCTGACCCCGGATATGCCTAGAAGTCACCTCTGGGTCTTGTGTTGTAGTTGTTAGCCGAGGAGAAAAACATCTCTTCCAAATACGCGGATGAGAGGGACAGAGCTGAGGCAGAAGCCAGGGAGAAGGAAACCAAGGCCCTGTCCCTGGCTCGGGCCCTTGAAGAGGCCTTGGAAGCCAAAGAGGAACTCGAGCGGACCAACAAAATGCTCAAAGCCGAAATGGAAGACCTGGTCAGCTCCAAGGATGACGTGGGCAAGAACGTAAGTGGCTCTGGGTGGTTTTTCTCGTCCATGTTTCGCCTGCCCACCCTCTGTGCTATTCACCAGTCCATGCGAGGCTAGCTCCTGGCCTTTTTCATAGCGAACTATCATCGGAAATGGAAGGAGGTTTTTGGACTGGTGCAGGGGCTGGGAGGGGCTGAGAATGGCAGTCGAGGATGGGTCTGAGTTGGGGGGTCCGAGGATAAGGCTGGGGTCTGAACTCTCAGGGGTCATCTTGAGTCCCGGCCATGCATCCTGTGGGAGGCCAAAGCCACCTCCCTGATCTCCTGAGGTGCCGCTCACGGTGGGTTTCTCAATCGTCTTCATGAAGTTGAGCCTCATAGAATGGGGCTGCCCGCTCTGCCGGCAGGTCCATGAGCTGGAGAAGTCCAAGCGGGCCCTGGAGACCCAGATGGAGGAGATGAAGACGCAGCTGGAAGAGCTGGAGGACGAGCTGCAAGCCACGGAGGACGCCAAACTGCGGCTGGAAGTCAACATGCAGGCGCTCAAGGGCCAGTTCGAAAGGGATCTCCAAGCCCGGGACGAGCAGAATGAGGAGAAGAGGAGGCAACTGCAGAGACAGGTGCGTGCTGCCGGGGAGGCCAGCAGAGGGAGGTCGGGTGGCCTTTTTCATTCCTATCACCACTCTCATGGTTGGTGTGGAAACTTCGTTTTCTTTATTTTTTTTTGAAACAGAGTCTCGCTCTGTCGCCCAGGCTGGAGTGCAGTGGCGTAATCTCAGCTCACTGCAACCTCCACCTCCTGCCTCAGCCTCCCGAGTAGCTTGGATTACAGGCGCATGCCACCATACCTAGCTAATTTTTTTTTTTTTTTCAGTGGAGACAAGGTTTCACCATGTTGGCCAGGCTGGTCTTGAACTCCTGGCCTCAAGTGATCCATTCTCCTGTTGGCCTCCCAAAGTGCTGGGATTACAGACATGAGCCACCCACGCCCGGCGTGATTCCGTTTTCTCATCTGCAACTGGGGATGAGATGCCCACCTCACAAGGGGGCTGTGCTGGGGAAGGGGTGCAGTGATGTGCTGCCTAGGTGAGCCAAAGGACCTCCCAGGGGCAAGTGGGGCAGCACACATCTCTATTCCTCGCCCAGCTTCACGAGTATGAGACGGAACTGGAAGACGAGCGAAAGCAACGTGCCCTGGCAGCTGCAGCAAAGAAGAAGCTGGAAGGGGACCTGAAAGACCTGGAGCTTCAGGCCGACTCTGCCATCAAGGGGAGGGAGGAAGCCATCAAGCAGCTACGCAAACTGCAGGTGGGTGACACTAGGAGCTTGGGGCATGGGTGGAGGGAGGGCACAGTTCCCCTCAGGCCACCGAAGTCAGCAGAGCGGGCTCCAGGAAGCAAGCCTGCACCTGCCATTGGTGTGGGTTCAGCTGGGGTTTTTCTGGAACCATTCAGGATTTGGTGGCTGTCTCCTGCCCTGGGTAGGGCAGCATTATTAGGTATTTGGCCACTGCCCTCAGATCACATCAGGGGCTCAGCTTCTCAGGCAGGTCTGTGGAGCCCACCCAGAATGGTGCTCCCAGCGCACCACCAGCCACCTGGAACTGAGAGCCATGCTCGTGCAATGGGAACTTCTTTGTGGTCAACTGCAGAAAATCCAAGGGGTGGGTGTGCAAAGCTGAACTGGGCAGCAGAACTTGGGGGAGTAAGGACATCTGAGCTTGTCCTCCCTGTTGACTCATGCAGGCTCAGATGAAGGACTTTCAAAGAGAGCTGGAAGATGCCCGTGCCTCCAGAGATGAGATCTTTGCCACAGCCAAAGAGAATGAGAAGAAAGCCAAGAGCTTGGAAGCAGACCTCATGCAGCTACAAGAGGTAAAGCCTCGCCTTGCTAGGAGAGCCTCAGATGCGGGTGTCACGGTAGCACCCCTTGGCAGCTCCAGTCTGTGCATTCCCAGATTTCATTTCGTCCTCCTCTGGGGTCCACCTGTCTAGAAAGACACACGCTTCCCTCCTCTATGTATTCACGGGGCCTCCCCTGAGCTCAGAGGAAGAACATGTACTTTCAAGGGTGGCTGAGTTGTCAGGGTGGACTCTTGGTGGGGCTTGGCCTTTCCCTGGCAGACAACAGCCTTCCTCCCTCCCACCTAGGACCTCGCCGCCGCTGAGAGGGCTCGCAAACAAGCGGACCTCGAGAAGGAGGAACTGGCAGAGGAGCTGGCCAGTAGCCTGTCGGGAAGGTAGGAAACTGAATGGAGGAAGAGGGCTCTGAAGCAGAGGATGGGGGGACAGGCAGCATCCTCGACCCCCATTTTATTTTTTAAATTTTTTCGAGACAGAGTTTCATTCTGTCACCCAGGCTGGAGGGCAGTGGCACAATCTTGGCTCACTGCAACCTCCACCTCCCAGGTTCAAGCAATTCTCCTGCCTCAGCCTTCTGAGTAGCTGAGACTACAGGTGTGTACCACCATGCCTGGCTAATTTTTATATTTTTAGTAGAGGTGGGGTTTCACCATGTTGGCCAGGCTAGTCTTGAACTCCTGACCTTAGGTGATCCTCCTACCTTGGCCTCCCAAAGTGCTGTGATTACAGGTGTGAGCCACCGTGCCTGGCCCTGGACCCCCATTTCAATGCTGCTGCTGACGAAGCGTCCTCTGAGATTGGGGACAGACCCATGGTGGTTAGGTTTTCCGTCAGCGCTTTCATGCCTGTTTGGGGGTGTGGCTGCTTTCATTCATTCCCAATAAGTAGCTGTGTGGGGAGAAGGGGAGGCCAGGAAGAGTCAGGGAGGAGTGTGCTGGTCCCCATCCCAATCCCAGCTTTGCTGACACGGACCCGGCCTGAGTCCCGGCTGTCCACTTCCTGGCTGTGTAACTACAGATGAGTCTTCTAATCTTCTCCAAGCCTCAGTTTCACCCATTAGATGATGAGGGCAATACCCCTGAGGCATGACTCCAAGGAGGGGGCATCTTTTAAGGCGGGGGAGGGTAGAGGCCCCCACCATGGCCGCCCTTCCCCCAGGAACGCACTCCAGGACGAGAAGCGCCGCCTGGAGGCCCGGATCGCCCAGCTGGAGGAGGAGCTGGAGGAGGAGCAGGGCAACATGGAGGCCATGAGCGACCGGGTCCGCAAAGCCACACAGCAGGTGAGGGCCGCCTGGACACCACAGTCACGCTGCCTACTGTCTCTCCTGCAGCAGGATCCTGCACCAGTCAACACACGCGTGGCGGCTTCCTGTGTGCAGGCCCTGGATTGAGGGACAAGAGGGTGGTGGGGCCTGAGAGTAGAGATCCAGGGCCCTTACACCAGTGCCCAGGCTGCTGTCTTCAGAATACTCCTCTCCACGCTGCAGTGTCTCATTTTCCAGCCACGGCGTGGCTGGCTCCCCGTACCTCACGGCCATCCCTGGAGTCCGGGCCTTGGGATGCTCTTTCATTGCGTTTTCCCCTAGCTGAAGCTCTGACCTTATCCAGTGAGCCCTTGGTGATGTCACTGAGCACTAGTTCCATGGTGGGCACTAGGGACCATCCAGTAACCTGCAGCCCCTTGTGGTGTAGGGTGAACAGGCATCATTCTCCAGGCGACTCCAGGACAGAGAAAGCAAGGGACAAGTCACTCGCTCAGCCTGGGTGGCACTGACACTTGTGGAAGCACCTCTTTTTTTTGGAGACAGGGTCTCTCTGTGGCCCAGGCTGGAGTGCAGTGGCGCAATCTTGGCTCACTGCAACCTCTGCCTCCCAAGTTCAAGGGATTCTCCTGCTTCAACCTCCCAAGTAGCTGGGACTACAGGCACGTGCCACCACTGCCCGGCTAATTTTTGTATTTTTAATAGAGACGGGGTTTCACCATGTTGGCCAGGCAGGTCTCGAACTCCTGAGCTCAAGTGATTTACCTGCCTCTGCTTCCAAAAGTGCTGGGATTACAGGCGTGCGCCACCACGCCCGGCCTGGAAGAAGCTCTTGAGTGGAGTTTTACAGGATGAAGGAGAGGACAGGGTGCCCGGGATCAAGGGACTCGTGCAGAGGCCAAACAAGGCAGGAAGAGGCATGGTCTCAGTGCGCTCTCTTGGGCTTCCCTGAGTCCGCCTCATGGCCTTCACTCTCCTCCCCAGGCCGAGCAGCTCAGCAACGAGCTGGCCACAGAGCGCAGCACGGCCCAGAAGAATGAGAGTGCCCGGCAGCAGCTCGAGCGGCAGAACAAGGAGCTCCGGAGCAAGCTCCACGAGATGGAGGGGGCCGTCAAGTCCAAGTTCAAGTCCACCATCGCGGCGCTGGAGGCCAAGATTGCACAGCTGGAGGAGCAGGTCGAGCAGGAGGCCAGGTATGCGGGTGTGGAGTTCCGAACCCAGTTTGCAGGGGGGTGATGGACAGCAGGAGTCATAGTGAAGTCAGGGAACCTCTTCCAGCATCAGTTCTGGCTTGTAAGAAGCAAGCTCTGTGATGCCTACAGTGCAGGTATGTTGTGAGAACTGAACGTAAACACAGCAAAGTGCCCTGCTGGTTCCTGGCCTAGGGCAAGCACCTAAAGTGTGAGCTGCTCTTAGCATCTCCATGGTCCTCCTGACATTAACCTGCCTTCCCAGCAGTACATATGACTTTTCCCAGCCTCTGCAGGGATAGCATGCTGACAGATCAAAAATCCAACCAGGCTGGACGTGGTGGCTCACGCCTGTAATCCCAGCAATTTGGGAGGCTGAGGCAGGTGGATCACTTGAGGTCAGGAGTTTGAGACCGGCCTGGCCAACATGGTGAAACCCTGTCTGTACCAAAAATTAGCCGAGTGTGGTGGCACATGCCTATTATCTCAGCTACTCAGGAGACTGAGGCAGGAGAATCACTCCAACGTGACACGTGGAGGTTGCAGTGAGCCGAGATTGTGCCACTGCACTGCAGCCTGGGTGACACAGTGGGACCCTTCCACACACATACACACACACAAAAAAAACCCCAAAAAACAAAAGTCCAACCGGCAGCCCATTTGGTACACACACTGGAAGCCTTCTTAATTATGGGTCGAATGAGGCATATGATCACAGCACATTTCTTACCATTGGATTCTAAGGATTCTCACCCATTCTCTTCTAGTAGCTTTTTCAGTAATTCGCACGCCCTGCAATGCACCCATTTAAAGTGTATAATTCAAGGGCTATTCATATATTCACAAACATGTAAAAACGATCACCACAGTCATTTTGAGAACATTTTCATCGGCTCAAACAGAAACCCCAGGCCATATGTGGTATTTCATGCCCATAATCCCGGCACTTTGGGAGGCTGAGGTAGGTGGGAGCAGCACTTGAGTCCAGGAGTTCGAGACCAGTCTGGGCAGCATAGCAAGACTTTTTTATTTTTATTTTTTTGAGACATAGTCTCACTCTGTTTCCCAGGCTGGTGTGCAGTGGTGCGATCTCAGCTCACTGCAACCTCCGCCTCACCCTCCCAAGTAGCTGGGACTACAGGTGCACACCACTGTACCCAGCTTGTAATTGTATTTTTTAGTAGGGATGGGGTTTCACCATGTTGGCCAGGCTGGTCTCGAACTCCTGACCACAGGTGATCTGCCCACCTCGGCCTCCCAGAGTACTGGGATTACAGGCATGAGCCACCACGCCTGGCCAGAGACTCCGTTTCTATGAAAAACTTTTAAAAGTCTGAGCATGCTGGTGTACGCCTGTAGTCCCAGCTACTTGGGAGGCTGAGGTGGGAGGATTGCTTGAGCCAGGAGTTCAAGGCTGCAGTGAACTATGAACTAGGGTGAAGAGCAGGCATTGGAGCACCACTGCACTCCAACCTGGGTCACACAGCAAGACCTTGCCTCCTCCCCGCAAAAAAAATAGAAACCCCATGCCCTGTAACCACTCCCTTCAGTCCCTGGCAACCATAATCTACTTTCTGTCTCTATGAATTTATCTATTCTGGACACTTGATATCAACGGAATCACACACTATGTTGTCTGCTATGTGTCTTCTTTCACTTGGCAAGAATTCCAGGCTCATCCATGCTGTGGCATGCATTGATACTTTATTCCTTTTCATGGCTGAATACTATTCCACCATCTGACTGATTCTTGAGAGGAGTCCAGATACGGGGCTCAGGAAAGCACTCAAGATGCCACCTCCAGGTGACACACCAGCTACAAGGGGTGCCACCCTCCGCTGAAACCACCTGTTTTCCTTGCTGTTTGCAGAGAGAAACAGGCGGCCACCAAGTCGCTGAAGCAGAAAGACAAGAAGCTGAAGGAAATCTTGCTGCAGGTGGAGGACGAGCGCAAGATGGCCGAGCAGTACAAGGAGCAGGTAGCCCCTGCCACCCAGCCTCCCTCGAGCCCCCAGCCCCCAGCCGGCCTCCCCTAACCACCCCTCCAACTCTCCGCGACAGGCAGAGAAAGGCAATGCCAGGGTCAAGCAGCTCAAGAGGCAGCTGGAGGAGGCAGAGGAGGAGTCCCAGCGCATCAACGCCAACCGCAGGAAGCTGCAGCGGGAGCTGGATGAGGCCACGGAGAGCAACGAGGCCATGGGCCGCGAGGTGAACGCACTCAAGAGCAAGCTCAGGTGAGGAGCCCGTGGCCCGGGAGGACCCCGTCTCTCAGGCCAGAGAAAAGCACTGGGGGCTCGGGCTCCTTTCGGCCTGCAAATGCCCCTTGTGCCCACAGCCGCCACTCCCTTCTGTGGTTTATTCCTGCTTCTCCTTAATCACTAAGCTTAGTGTGGGCCAGGCACTGAGATCAGACCCGGGCCCTGCCTTGCCTGGTAGCAGCTAACCTTCTAGATCCTTTAACGATCGACCGTCTCCCATCCGGTCCTCCGGCTGAGGAGGAGGAAGAGGCTATCCCCACTGTCTCCTCCAGCCCCTCCTTCATTGCATCACTGAGTCTTCACGACATCCATTGAAGCTGCAACACCACCCCCCGCCACTTCACCTCCTTCCTGACATGCTCTGCTCCTCCTTTCTCCCCCTCAGCACTGCTGCCATCTGGGCTGCATTATTCTCGGGTATGGGGGCTGTCCGACATTCCCCATCAGAAGGAAAAAGATCCCTGAAAAGTAGCAGGTGCTTACATTTCTGGCCTCTACCCACCGGCTGCAGTAGTCCCCCACCACCCTGCAATGTGACAACCAAAAATGTCTCTAGATGTTGCCAGAAGTCCTCTAGAGATGGGAGGGTACGACTGCCACCCCGCTGAGAATTCCTGCTGTCACTGGAGTGGGGGCTGTTTTCTCTCCCATGCCTCTGGTACCTTGGGGGTCCCCCCTGCTCCCAAGGGCTGCTTCCACCACCCTGTCCATCCATCCCGATTGGCTCCCAGGAGGTTTTAGCTCCGGGCTTCCTGTCTCCCACACCACTCCTCACAGTTCTCCATGATTTCAACATCCAGGTGGGCGACGCAGCCTCTCGGTTCCTTGACCCTCTGGGTGATCCTGCTGCTTCTACCGGGCCAACCAGTACTCCTAGGAGCCCTCACAATTTGACCCTCAGGCATCCCATTGTCTGCCTGGTGCCACCTTTCTTTGGCTCTGTCCCCAACGGGGTCTTCACTCCATTAATGCCATCAGCCTCTGACCCAGCTCCAAACCAGCTGTCTAGTAACCCCCGTCGCGCATCCTCAACATCCGGTTCCCCCTCTTGCATTGCTGCAATCATTTGGTGAAAGCACAACCCAAATGAAACTCAAGCTTGGCTGGGCACGGGACTCACACCTATAATCCCAGCACTTTGGGAGGCCAAGGCAGGTGAATCGCTTTGAGCTCAGGAGTTCAAGAGCAGCAAGACCCCATCTCTACAACAAACAAACAAAAATCAGCCAGGTGGGATGGCGCAAACCTAAAATCCCAGCTACTCAGGAGGCTGAGGTGGGACGATCAGTGGAGCCCCAGAGGTCAAGGCTGCAGTGAGCCATGATCTAGCCAATGCACTTACCCTGGATGGACAGAGTGAGACCCTGTCTCAAAAAACCCAAAACCCACTCTCCACCTTTTCCCACAGAGCAGGCCTTGCTCAGGGGTCCTCCCACACCCCTCCCTCATCTTCTCACTCTCTGCTGCTTTTCACTTTTTCTTTGAACTTATGATCGCTCCTCCCCATTCTCTCTCAGCTGGGGACCTTACTTCCTACTTAACTCAAAAGCAGAAATGATCATGAAACGTGCACAAGCTCCCACTGCCTCATCATCCTACCTCCGTGCACCTCTGTACACTTCTATTTTTTTTCCATTTCTATGCTGAACCCTCTGGCACCAACCGAGGCCAACACCTCCATTGGACCCGACCCTCTTGTTCACTCAAGCACATAGCTCCAAAAATCCTTATTTTGCAAGGTTTTCTCTTTCATTTGCTCCATCAGCAAATGGAATAACCTCTTAGCCCCATGTCTACCTTGCTACCCTTACTACAAAACTGGATGTGAATGCCGAAACCCTGTCTCTACCAAAAAATATAAAAATTAGCCAGGTGTGGTGGTGCATGCCTATAGTTCCAGCTACTCAGGAGGCTGAGGCACAAGAATGGCTTAAAACCGGGAGAGAGAGGTTGCAGTCCAGCCTGGGTGACAGAGTGAGACTCGGTCTCAAAAAAAAAAAAACTGTATGTGAAGAGTTGCTGGTTCCCCTCGCCCCCACCCATCACTCTCCCAGAAGCCTCCCATGGGTGACACTAATGGCCAGAGGTCCCCTGACAGGGCAGCAGCACGTGACGCAGTCCATCATGCCTCTGGCCTAATTCACTTGCTTCCCTGGACTTCCCCGACACCATCCACACCTGCTTGTCCCCCGACCTGTGGGGTTGTCCCTCTTCCTCTCCTCTGCTGATCCCTCACCTCGAAACCTGCTTGCCACTAGACCGCCCCAGGGTATCAACTTAGTTCTCTTTTGGGCAGAGTCTTGCTCTGTTGCCCAGGCTGGAGTGCAGTAGCACTATCTCAGCTCACTGCAACCTCTGCCTCCCAGTTCAAGCTATTTTTGGCCTATTTTTATATTTTTAGTAGAGATGGGGTTGCACCATGTTGCCCAGGCTGGTCTTGAACTCCTGATCTTGTGATCCACCCGCCTCAGCCTCCCCACGTGCTGGGATTACAGGCATGGACCACTGCACGGCCTTAGTTGTTTTCATCTCTCCCCAGCGCTAGGTGAGAGGTCTCAACTAATCTTGGCGCTTTAGAATTCCATGTATATCTAATGACTCCTCAGTTCATCTCTGAGAAGCCCTAGCTTCTTCCTAGAACCTCAGACCACCCTCCCGTTCCCACATGGATGTCTAATAGGCAGCTCACACCAAACATGCTGCACCCCAAGTCCTGACTGAAACTCTTCACCCCCAAACTGGCTCCTCTCTCCAGCTCAGCAGCTAAAATGATGAAGTTGCCAACAATTCACATCACAAACCTCGTGGTCCTTCTTAACGTTTTGGTCTCCTTTATACCCCACATCCCATCTATGGGAGAATCTGGTCAACTTTCCCTAAAGAATCCTGCCCAGGCTGGGTGCAGTGGCTCACCCCTTAATCCCAGCACTTTGGGAGGCCAACGCAGGCTGATCACCTGAGGTCAGGAGTTCAAGGCCAGCCTGACCAACATGGTGAAACCCCGTCTCTACTAAAAACACAAAAATTAGCCGGGTATGGTGGGGCGTGCCTGTAATCCCAGCTACTAGGGAGGCTGAGGCAGGAGAATCGCTTGAACCTGGGAGACACAGGTTACAGTGAGCTGAGATCGCACCACTGCACTTCAGCCTGGGTGACAGACCAAAACTCGGTCTCAAAAAAAAAATCTCCAGTGTCTAGGACAGCACCAGGCAGAGTGAACCTTTATCCCTCGGGTCCTAGATATTTTCCCCGCTTCATTCTCATACCACCACAGCCATGTGCTGAGCCTCTTACTACCTTTAATACCAATGACTTGATCTTTTAACAGTTTTAATCATACATGAATATAACGGCAAATAAACATACCTCCTCTATATTTTTAAACCAGCATCACCTCTATCAACTGGTTACGATGAAAGTAATATGATAAAAATAGTATCAAGTTCAATATCTAGCTATTGTGGCCACAACTTGATCACCAAGACCTGAAGCCTACTTCTCCACTAAAAAGGGAGTGACAACAGCCATTAGCACCAAATAGACTCTCTCTGACATCATAATTAGACTTGTTTAAAAAGAGTTGGAAAGGAAATGACTTTCTCAGGGCCCAGTTCAGTTAGCGGATGGCATGCCCGGAAGCCATCTGAAATCACCTCTAGAGTTTGGGGACCACTGCGTGAGACAGGGAAAAGTCCAAACCCCTCTGAGAAGGGGAAGAGAGCAGCTGGCGCAGGGCACCAAGCCTTCAGGGAAAAGCCCCACTCGCTGCATGGTGAGCGCTTGTTGGTCCCCCATGGATAGGAGAGAAACCAGGCCTAGGCTCCCAAAGTACAGCAGGGGCCTGGAAGCATCTCCCAGGGTTGAGGGGTCAGTGGAGGAGAGCTGTTCTCACTGTGAAGACTCCTGGGGCAAAGCGCGGTGGCTCACGCCTGTAATCCCAGCACTTTGGGAGGCTGAGGTGGGCTGATCACCTGAGGTCAGGAGTTCGAGACCAGCCTGGCCAACATGGTGAAACTTCATCTCTACTAAAAACACAAAAATCAGCTAGGCGTGGTGGCAGATGCCTGTAATCCCAGCTACTCGTGAGGCTGAGACAGGACACTCCTTTGCAACCCAGGAGGAGGAGCCTGCAGTGAGCCAAGATCAAGCCTCTATACTCCAGCCTTCAGAGCAAGACTCTGTCTCCAAAAAAAAAACAAAAAACAAAAACCCTCAGATGTGCTCTGCTGGCAACCAGTCCCCCTGCCTCTCCTGAGTGGCTGGGCTGAGCGATGGGGATACAGCCACTCTGACTCCCTACCCCACTGCTGTCTCTGCTTCCCTTTCTCAGGCCCAGTGATTTCTTTTCTTTTTATTATTTATTTTTAGACGGAGTCTAGCTCTGTTGCCAGGCTGGAGTGCAGTGGCGCGATCTCGGCTCACTGCAACCTTTGCCTCCCAGGTTCAAGCGATTCTCCTGCCTCAGCCTCCCAAGTAGCTGAGATTACAGGTGCGTGCCACCACACCTGGCTAATTTTTGTATTTTTAGTAGTGGCAAGGTTTCACCATACTGGCTGGGATGGTCTCGATCTCCTGACCTCGTGATCCACCTGCCTCGGTCTCCCAAAGTGCTGGGGTTACAGGCGTGAGCCACCATGCCCGGCCGGCCCAGTGATTCTTTAGCACACACTGGACACCTCCTGTGGGTTCTGCCCCAGACACTTGAGCCTTCTTGGGCAGCCAAGGGCAAAGTGGAACAAAAAGACCATTTTTGCCAGTTCCGACACGAATACACACATAATGCAGGTGGAAGGTCTGTCCTGCCTTCTGCATCTTTTGGGTGCACAAAAACATAAAATCAGGCACTAGAGCCCTGAGGGAGGTTGGTAAGCATGCCTGGCTCCTCAGCCAAGAAGGAACTGTAGTGCGAGTTTCACCAAGTTCTATCAGCCAGACGCATCTCGACACAAGCCCTCTCTAAAGCCAGACCCACTTACCTACCACTGGCTACACTGCCAGTTACCTCCGGCAAGAGCTGTACAAGGCCTCCACCTCTCCTCTCTTGCTAGAGGCCCGAAAGCTAATGAAGAGCAAGTAATCATAAACCAAGGGACAGGCGGCTGCAGGTTCCTTGCCTGGGACTTCTTGGCTTCTGTTCCAACACTGATTTCTCAAACTAGCTTGCTCAAATGCTTTTACTTCCCTGAACCAGTATGCAATCATGGGATTTATAGGAGGTTCTTAAAAGTAGCTCTAAAGGACAGACATTTTCCTTTCCATTTAAAAAACTGAGCCGGGTGCAGTGGCTCACACCTGTAATCCCAGCTCTTTGGGAGGCCGAGGTGGGTGGATCACTTGAGGTCAGGAGTTCGAGACCAGCATGGCCAACATGGTGAAACTCCGTCTCTACTAAAAATATGAAAATTAGCCAGCCACGGTGGTGCATGCCTGTAATCCCAGCTACTCGGGAGGCTGAGGCAGGAGAATCGCTTGAACCCGGGAGGTGGAGGTTGCAGTGAGCAGAGATAGATCATGCCAGTGCACTCCATCCTGGGTGACAGAGTATCAAAAAACTGCTTATCCTTTCATCTACCAGCCTCACCAAATGCTCTTGGCGTCAGGTGATTCACTGCAACGTTGACTTAAGGGTGCTTTTAATGCCAGGTGCGGTGGTTCATGCCTGTAATCCCAAATCCCAGCACCTTGGGAGGCCAAGGCAGGAAGATCATTGACATCAGGAGTTGGAGACAAGCCTGACCAACATAGTGCAACCCCATCTGTACTAAAAATACAAAAATTAGCCAAGCACGTGGGGCCTGCCTGTAATCCCAGCTACTCGGGAGGCTGAGACAAGGGGATCACTTGAATCCAGGACGTAGAGGTTGCAGTGAGCCAAGATCGCACCCCTGCACTCCAGCCTGGGTGACAGAGACTATCTCAAAATAAAAAAGAGTGCCTTTAATTATTAAATCGAAGCAAATGTCTTTAACAATTAAGAATATACTTAACCGGGCTCCTTCTTGTTTGCTGATGGTAACCTCCGGGGATTCTCTCTCTGTTTCAGAGGGCCCCCCCCACAGGAAACTTCGCAGTGATGCACCAGGTATCATGCCTTCAGCTTCGCAGCTGTGTGTTGTCTCAGTATCCATTTCTTTTCTGCCCAATGCGCCCCTCTGCCCACCCCAATTTTTAAACCCTTGCACATTTCCACGAGATTCTTGCAAAATCTGGAGGCTTGGATATCTTTGTGCAAAGCTTTCATTGAAACCAAGATCAGGATGACAAATAGACCTCATCTCTTGACCCACTGTCCTTCCTGCCTCTGGGCAGCACATGTGACATGACACCCAACAGTGTGCGCCCTTATCACTGCATCTTGACGAGATGGCAGAGGCTGTGTGTGTAGCTTGGATTTTTCTTCCTTTCATGCCAAAAGCCACTCTTACGTGGTTAGGGCACTCAGCAGTGCTGTCCTCCCTTGTCCAGTGAAGACACTGCACTGAATGAATATGACAGTTCCACTATCTGGGCACATTCCTGGAGAACGTACTTGGCTTCTAGTTGGCTGGTCTGGGTCACAAGTCAGAGATCACAAAGTTCACGGTAACTGCGGCGCGGCAACCAGTCCTCCCATGATTCAGCTTTCACAGGCTTGTCTGCGAAGGAAATGAGCTCACTGCGATGTCTGACAAATGCCGGGGGCTGCACGTGGCTTGAGTGATGTCTAGCTACAAACTGCATTTTCAGCACACGGGGTGGAAGCTGACCACCGCAAAGCCAAGCACAGTCCTGGCAGAGCCTTTTCTGGAGGCTTCACGGGCATGTACATGTTCAGGGACTGGGGAGTGGATACCCAAGACTCAAGGATGCACACAGGGCCCTTCCCAAGAAAGCATGAAGAGGTCTCTGCTGCTCTGGGATTTTGCTTTTTTTTTTTTTTTTTTTTGAGACGGAGTCTCGCTCTGGAGTGCAATGGCGCAATCTTGGCTCACCGCAACCTTTGCCTCCTGGGTTCAAGCGATTCTCCTACCTCAGCCTTCTGAGTAGCTGGGATTACAGGCTCCCGCCACCTCGCCCAGCTAATTTTTGTATTTTTATTAGAGACAGGATATCACCATGTTGGCCAGGCTGGTCTCAAACTCCTGACTTCAGGTGATCCGCGCGCCTTGGCCTCCCCAAATGCTGGGATTACAAGCATGACCAACTTTTCACAGGTGAAGTTAGGCCATGTGGATCTGACTTCACCTCATGGAGAGGCCAAACCAACCCTCATTTGTGTCCATCTTCATTTTTGGAGAATCTCAGCTTTGCTGTCACTACCAAAATACTTAAAGCGCAGGGTGAGGTCTTGTTAAGAGCCAGTTTTGTGGGGGAGCAGATGAGTTTCTAGGACACTTCAAGCAGCTCTCCTACCAGCTGATTGGGATCATAGGATAAGCCAAATTCCAGGGTGGGCTGAAGTGCAGAACCCACTGGTCAGTGGGAAACTGAGTCCTTGCAAACTAGCAGGTGCTTACACTCAAGATGATTCCCGAGGCCTTGGATAAGCTGAGTCCACGAATAGAATCCAAATGCTAGGCCAGGCACAGTGGGTCATGCCTATAATCCCAGCACTTTGGGAGGCCGAGGCGGGCAGATAACTTGAGGTCAGGACCAGCCTGGCCAACATGGTAAAACCCCGTCTCTCCTAAAAATACAAAAATTAGCCAGGAGTGGTGGCATGTCTGTAGTCCCAGTTACTTGGAAGGCTGAGGCAGGAGAATCGCTTGAACCTGGGAGGCAGAGGCTGCAGTGAGCCAAGATCACGCCACTGCACTCCAGCCTGGGCAACACAGCGAGACTCTATTTCAAAAAAAAATTCCAGATTCTCCAGGATCAGACCCTTTAAGAAAACCTTTAGGGGGGTCCCTTAGTTCCTGTAACAGGTATAGTTGGTGTCAACCTTGGTCTAGGATTTGAAACCAGTTCCAAGAAAAGCACTTCAGCCAAAACAGAGTATCTTGCAGGCTGACAGCCAAGCAAGGAGCTTCAACGGCCCAGGGCACAATGTATTTCTTAGGTCAAGGGAGCAAATTTATCCATTAAGCTTTTCCAGTTAGCAAATAGACTCTTCCAAGAGCCAAAAAGAGAGTGCCTAGAGCACTGATGTGGAGGTTAGGGACTACTTCCCAGCTCATCAGATTTTTTTTTGTTTTTTTTTTTGGAGACAGTCTTGCTGTTTCCCAGGCTGGAGTGCAGTGGCACAACGTTGGCTCACTGCAGCCTTCACCTCCTGGGTTCAAGCAATTCTCCTGCCTCAGCCTCCTGAGTGACTGGGATTCCAGGCGCCTGCCACCACGCACGGCTAATTTAGTATATTTAGTAGAGACGGGGTTTCACCATATTGGCCAGGATGGCCTCGAACAACTGACCTCACGAGTGATCTGCCCACCTCGGCCTCCCCAAGTGCTGGGATTACAGGCATGAGTCGCAGCAACTGGCCAACCCATCAGGGTTTGAACCTGGAGTTAAAACTGTGACGAAGAGAGCTGTGTGGGGAGCGTACAGGGAACAGTCAAACTGCTGCTCCTCTGCGCTGAATTTGAGCATCCTTCTGAGTCAAGCGCTTGGAAAACAGTGCTAAAAAAGAAAAAGACTTAAGGGTCACATCTAGAGAGAGAAGGATGGAGAGTTCTCTAGTAGGGCTGCAAGTCCAGAAGCTTCTCTGTGAAGCTGGGCTAGGAGTGTTTACTTTGAAGTGGCTGCAGCTTTAAGTATTTATTCCTGATCGCTGCACTGCGGGAAGTCCCATCCTTTATAGCCAGGTGGGCTTTCCCAGCCGGGGTCTCTCCCATCCTCTGTCAACAAAAGGGTCATTTGCGAATTCCTCTTCTCAGTGATCATGAATCTCTGGGCCTTGATTTTTTTTTTTTTTTTTTTTTGAGACGGAGTCTCACCCTGTCGCCTAGGCTGGAGTGCAGTGGCCACATCTCGGCTCACTGCAAGCTCCGCCTCCTGGGTTCATGTCATTCTCCTGCCTCAGCCTCCCTCCCGAGTAGCTGGGACTACAGGCACCCGCCAGCACGCCCGGCTAATTTTTTGTATTTTTAGTAGAGACACGGTTTCACCATGTTAGCCAGGATGGTCTCGATCTCCTGACCTCATGATCCGCCCGCCTCAGCCTCCCAAAGTGCTGAGATTACAGGTGTGAGCCACCATGCCCAGCCGAGTTGTTCCTTTTGACTAAAGAATTGGTCACTGAGTTGTGTTCATCCTTATGGCTTCTTATCCAACCCTTGCGTGGGGAGCAAAAGTCTGCTCTCTTCTTTGATGTCCTAAAATAAGACCTGTCTTCCGATTCAGGTCAAACAGGGCCAGATGGCCAGAGCCCAACATAATTATTTGTTGCGGTTGCTGAAAAGAGTTAAGTGTTTCTTCTGAACGGTGAAGGCTGGCAGCAGGCAGATCTGATTTTTCCTTCTTCTGCCCACTCTCTTCCTCCTACCCAAAGTCTCCCCTCACGTGACCAGCCCTTCCTGTGAAGTCGAGGTGATAAACTCAAGAGAGAACCAGCGCAGAGAGGAGATGGCAGCATTAAGGAGAGACAGGGGTGTCCTACTGGCTGGAGCTAAAATCCACCTCAGAGGCCAGGTGCACTGGCACACACCTGTAATCCCAACACTTTGAGAGGCTAAGACAGGTGGATCGTTTGAGGCCAGGAGTTCAAGACCAGCCTGGGTCACATGGCAAAATCCCATCTCTGCTAAAAATACAAAAATTAGCCAGGCGTGGCAGTGTGCACGTGCATGTAGTCCCAGCTACTCAATACTGAGGCTCAAGGACTGCTGGAACTCAGGAGGCAGAGGTTGCAGTGAGCCAAGATCATGCCACTGCACTCCAGCCTGGGTGAGAGAGACTCTTAAATTTCTTTTTTAAATCCACCTTGAAGGCCAGGTGTGGTGGCCCACGCCTGTAATGCCAGCGCTTTGGGAGGCCAAGGTAGGAGAACTGCTTGAGCTCAGGAGTTCCAGACCAGCCTGGGCAACAATATCAAGACCTCATCTCAATTTAATAAAATAATCCACCTTGGATTAACACGTATAATTTCCTTTTCTAATATTCACTGGGCACCTGTTTTACGCCATGTGCGGTATGTTCCACGATCAGCAAAACAGATGCAGCAGTCCCTGCAGTGGGGAAAACTCAGTCCATGAACATTCACACCAGCAGGGGGTGCTGTCTCGCCTTTTAACCAGGGAGCCCCTCTGTGTCCTTCTCAAGGCTGCCCTTGTCCATTTCACCTTCTTCCAATTCAAATCTTGAAAACTCACCTCTAAGGCGAATGGGGGTGAGGAGATACAGAAGAAAAACAGTATGTTCTCTCTTCAACTCTGCCCCATGGGCTATGAATAAAGTCAGAAGACAAAATCCCCTGCTTGGTTTTTGGCGTTTTTTTCCTATTCTAAATCAAAGACCACAGCAGACCAGAATCCTGTGGCTTCTCAAATGACCAAGCCTGACATATTGAAAAGCAGATCGTCTTGCTTTGAAAAACCTTCTCCACCCACCCCCGCAACCAATTTCAGCTGATTAAATTCAATCACTCATGCCTTAAGACTGGCAATGATTTGTTGACTTCAACTTGAATATCTGCATCTTATTTGTGCCGTGTGTGTTTTCTGCCATAAAAAAAATTTATATTGCAATAGGACTATAGCTACAAGTTTAAAATAGATTTATAAAAAATCTATCCCAACCATGAAGATTTCTTTGCTAAATAATGTGTTTTCTTACAACCCACAGGCGAGGAAACGAGACCTCTTTCGTTCCTTCTAGAAGGTCTGGAGGACGTAGAGTTATTGAAAATGCAGATGGTTCTGAGGAGGAAACGGACACTCGAGACGCAGACTTCAATGGAACCAAGGCCAGTGAATAAGCAACTTTCTACAGTTTTGCACCACGGCAAGAAAACCAAAAACCAAAACAAACAAACAAAAAAAACCCAACAACAACCCAGAACAAAGCAAAACCCAGCAGACTGTACTTAGCATTGTCTAAATCCATTCTCAAATTCCAAATATCACAGACACCCCTCACACAAGGAATATAAAAACCACCACCCTCCAGCCTGGGCAACGTAGTAAAACCTCATCTATACAAGAATTTAAAAATAAGCTGGGCGTGGTGGTACACACCTGTGGTCCCAGCTACTAGGGAGGCTGAGCCAGGAAGAACGCTCCAGCCCAGGACTTCGAGGCTGCAATGAGCTATAATTGCATCATTGCACTCCAGCCTGGGCAACAGAGACCCTGTCTCAACCACCACCACCACCACCACCCCTACTACCCCTGTATTCAAGGTAAAAATTGAAGTTTGTATGATGTAAGAGATGAGAAAAACCCAACAGGAAACACAGACACATCCTCCAGTTCTATCAATGGATTGTGCAGACACTGAGTTTTTAGAAAAACATATCCACGGTAACCGGTCCCTGGCAATTCTGTTTACATGAAATGGGGAGAAAGTCACCGAAATGGGTGCCGCCGGCCCCCACTCCCAATTCATTCCCTAACCTGCAAACCTTTCCAACTTCTCACGTCAGGCCTTTGAGAATTCTTTCCCCCTCTCCTGGTTTCCACACCTCAGACACGCACAGTTCACCAAGTGCCTTCTGTAGTCACATGAATTGAAAAGGAGACGCTGCTCCCACGGAGGGGAGCAGGAATGCTGCACTGTTTACACCCTGACTGTGCTTAAAAACACTTTCACTAATAAATGGTTATAAATCACAATGTCGTTGGCTTTTCTGTTGAGCTGTTTTCTATAGAGGAAAAGGAGTTGGGGAAGGCTGGGTTTTGCTTCATCGTCCCAAAGATTCTCTGAAGTCAGGGTTAACGTCATGAATGCAGAAACTGAGGCCTAGAGAGGTGAAATCAATTGCCTACAACCCCACAGCCAGCCAGAGAGCAGAGCAGAGATGCAAAGTGAGACTGTCTAAGGGGGTTACTGGGCCGCTCAGCAGGGAGGGCAGGGGAGAGAAATAAGGTGATGTGTGGTCTAAGGGCCACTGCCCCCTGCCCTCGAACATGACTGGGAAGAACATCTTGACTCATCAAAACCAGTATCTTAAGAAAAATACAGGATTTCCTTGATTTTTTGAGTTAAAACACAAGGTCTTGTCCAATGAGTCAGCAAACACTTTCCACAAAACGTCAGATGGTGGCTGGGTACAGTGGCTCACACCTGGAATCCCAGCACTTTGGGAGGCTGAGATGGGAAAATCACTTGAGGCCAGGAGTTGGAGGCCAGCCTAGCCGAGAGAGACCCCCGTCTCTATAAAAAAAAGGTGTTTTTTTGTTGTTGTTGTTAGTAAGCCAGGCAGGATAGTGCACACCTGTACTCCCAACCTCTTGGAAGGCTAAGGCAGGAGGATCATGTGAGCCAGGAGTTCCAGGCTGCAGTGAGCTATGATCACGCCACTGCACTGCAGCCTAGGTAACAGTAACACCTTGTCTCTCACACCACCACCACCACCCACCCAGCCAGATAGTATTTTAGCCTTTACAGGCTACATATGGTCTTGCCGAATATTCATCTTCTTTAAAACAACCCTTAAAAACATAATAAATCATTCTTAGAGTAAGGGCCATAAAAACAAGCTGTAGGCCCTGTCCTTCTTTCAGCTTGAGTGTTTTAGACAGACATGCCTGCAAAGGCTCTGTTCAACACAAACGATGCCGTATACCACCAACTCCATGGGATCAGACAGATTTGGGAGACAGGAAACATGGAAACAAAGGACTCCATCTTGTGACCAGATGCTAATATGCCTTGAATGACGCACAAACACATCCCGGATACATTTCTAAAAACCTGGCTTGAATAGAAATTTTCAAAAAGATTTTTTCATATTTTTTAACTTGGTTAAAAAAAGTTTTTCACCACTCTGTGGGAAAACATTAAAGTATAAACATACAAAGCCTCTTTGACCAGAAGCCCAACAAGTTCAACATTCGTTTCTCTTGATTTTATTGATCTTTTAAAAAAATAAAAGGACATCTTCTGTGGATACAGGTTAGGATGTTTCTAGGGTAAGAAACCCACCATCGCAGCGTAATTCTCTGCGGAATTTCAGTAGCACTTGGAAAGTTCTGTTTTCAACCTGAAATTTTTGCTGTTCTTCCAGAAAATAACTTAGTAACAAAATGAAGGCCGTGAAGCTGCAGGCACACTCCAGAAATTAGTGTGTTCTTTTAACTCGTGTCCCAAAGAGACAGCAGTTCCTAACATGCAGTGATGAGTGGACACACCATGGTGCGTTGGAAATCCCACGTTCACGTCTTTGACAAGGAAGCCTCCTACAATGATCTTGTGCTTTAATTTTACTTGATGGTCACCCTGGTTACTTCATTATGCCTTTGAATGAAGTCCTGTTCTTAGTGGCTGCATTACCAAGGCCATCTTGCCCCAAAGACCCCTCAGGGTCCTGAGGCAGAATTCCCCCCACCCCACCAGGGGACTCAGGAAAATGAATGATCGCAGTTTGCCAAAAGAGGTCAGATTTCCCACTGACGCTGGTTGGTCTGGAAAATTACTCTGAAAACTCGAACGCACCTCTAGGAATCTCAATGAGAAGCTAAGAAGCAGGCTACAGTCTCAGAGGTTTATGACACCTTTTTTTTTTTTTTTGGAGACGGAGTCTCACTCTGTTGCCCAGGCTGGAGTACAGTAGCGCAATCTTGGCTCACTGCACCCTCCACCTCCCGGGTCCAAGCAACTCTCCTGCCTCAACATCTGGAGTAGCTGGAATTATAGGCACGCACCACTGCACCCAGCTAATTTTTTGTATTTTTAGTAGAGATGGGGTTTCACCATGTTGGCCAGGCTGGTCTTGAACTCCTGACCTCAGGTAATCCACCCGCCTCGGCCTTCCAAAGTCTTAGGATTACCGGCCTGAGCCACCGCGCCCAGCCTATTCCAGTTTTTAAAAAGGCATGTGACTGTTAAGTTCTCTGTTCTTAGACATGATTTCAGTACACCACAAAGCACTGGGAGATTTTGTTCTGGAAGACGATTCCACCTGGTTGGGAGTTGGGGGGAAGAGCCTCTGAGAGAAGCTCCATCCCACATTTACGGAGACTTGGGACATTAAAAACACCTGTCAAGACCAATCAGGGGCCAGGCACGGTGGCTCAGGCCTGTAATTCCAGCACTCTGGGAGGCTGAGGCGGGAGGATCACTTGAGGCCGGGAGTTCAAGACCAGCATGGCCAACATGGTGAAACCCCGTTTCTCACTAAAAATACAAAATTAGTGGGTGTAGTGGCACACTCCTGTAGTCCCAGCTACTTGGGAAGCTGAGATAAGAGAATCGCTTGAACCTAGGAGGCGGAGGCTGCGGTGAGCCGAAATTGCACCACTACACTCCAGCCTGGACAAGACAGGGCAAGAGCATGACTCTGTCTCAAAAAAGAAAAAAAAAAAAAAGACCAATCAGGACCTCCGCTTGGGTTAGTGCAACACAATGGGGCATGGGAACGATGGCTCATGCTTGAAATCCCAGCATTCTGGGAGGCCGAGATGGGAGGATCACTTGAGGCCAGGAGTTCAAGACCACACTGGGCAACATGGCAAAACCCCGTCTCTATTAAAAATACAAAAAATTCAGCCAGGTGTGGTGGTGGGTGCCTGTAATCCCAGCTACCTGGAAGACTCAGGAACAAGAACCGTTTGAACCCAGGAGGCGGAGGTTGCAGTGAGCTGAGATCACGCCACCACACTCCAGCCTGGGTGACAGAGCAAGACTCTATCTCAAAAACAACACGGTAGCCTCATCACCGACAACTTAGAGCCCTTCCCAGAGAGCCCCTTTTGTCCCTCTTTGCAATGCACACGGTGGCAGGTAAGGATGAAAAGACATTTCCCAGGGACAAACCCCAGAGCACAGGTGATGGCCTCGGTCATTGGCTTGGGCCGCAAAGCTAACTAACTATGGTGACTGCTCTTATTTCTCAAACTAACTTAAAACAAAAACCTAGTGTAAAAAGACGACAAAAGGTAACGACTTCCGCACCAACACCAAGACCTTCAGCTTCCGTGGTTTTCCTAAAGCAACATCTTGACTACCCCCTGGGCTGACGGCAGCGGCGATGAAGACATGTGTGAAGGCGGCTTCCCAAATTCCAGGCGCTTCCCCAACCTTCAGACAGAGCAAACCAAATTAAGCTGACATAACAGCTGTGACAAACTGGCTAGCACCGGGGCCCAGAGAGTTATAAGGGTGAACATCAAGAGTCAGGAGCAGGGTCTCACAGGGTCTCAATTTTCTCTCCTGTGAAATGAAGAAGAGGACACTGGCTACCTGGCTCTCAGATTCCAAGGTCACACAAAACGCCCAGTCTCAGACCCACTAGAAAAATCCATCTCTTACCTATTGTTTGTTTGTTTTACAGCCTACGCAACATAGTGAGACCCTGTCTCTATGAAAAATGCAAACAAAAATTAGCTGGGTGTGGTGGCCTGCATGTGTAGTCCCAGCTACTTGGTAGGCTGAGGTGGAAGGATCGCTGGAGCCCAGGAGGCGGAGGTTGCAGTGAGCCGAGATCACACCACCGCAGTCTAGCCTGGGTGACAGAGTGAGACCCTGTCTCCAAAAAAAAAAAAAGGCCAGGCATGATTGCTAACGCTTGTAACCCCCAGCACTTGGGAGGTCAAGGTGGGAAGATCGCCTGGAAAATTAATCTGAAAACTCACCTCTAGAAATCTCAATGAGAAGCAGACTACAGTCTCAGAGGTGTATTCTCAAACTCAAAGCCAGGAGGTTTGAGACCAGTCTGGGCAACATAGCAAGACTGTTTCTATAAAATATAAAAAAAATTAGCCAGGGGTGGTGGTGTGCACCTGTAGCCCCAGCTACTTGGGAGGCTGAGGCAGGAAGATGGCTTGAGCCCAGGAGGACGAGGCTGCAGTGAGCTATGGTCGCACCACTGCACTCCAGCCTGGGTGACACAGCAAAACCCTGTCTCGTAGAAAGAAAACAAACAAAAATTAATTTTTTTTTTTTTCTTGAGAAAGAGTCTCACTCTGTTGCCCAGAGTGGAGTTCAGTGGTGCAATCTTGGCTCACTGCAACCTCCACTTCCTGGGTTCAAGTGATTCTTGTGCCTCAGCCACCCAAGCAGCTGGGACTACAGGCATCCGCGACCATGCCCGGCTAATTTTCGTATTTTTAGTATAGATAGGGTTTCACCATGTTGCCCAGTTTGGTCTTGTGAACTCCTGGCCTCAAGTGATCCACCCACTTCTGCCTCCCAAAGTGCTGGGATTACAGGTGTGAGCCACTTCACTGCACCTGGCCTAAAAATCCACGTGTAAAGGTCTCAAAGTTATGTGCATGCCATGGAAAATATTCTTAATTTCCTGTCACGTGTCTGCTACAAACCCATCAAATTCCTACGGCTTGGGGCCCAGAGAGATGGTAGTCACACACCTTGCAGAATTCCTGAATCTGAAAGCTGCCCCTTTTTTTTCTGAGACAAGGTCTCGCTTCATCACCCAGGCTGGAGTGCAGTGGCTGGGAACACGGCTCACTGCGGCCTCAACCTCCAGAGCTCAATTGATCCGCTGCCCTCAGCCTCCCAAAGTGCTGGGATTACAAGTGTGAGCCACTGAGCCTGGCCCTGATTTTCTTTAGGCAAGAAAATTAATGACACTGTTAGAGATCAGATCTGCACTGTCCCATCGGGTGGCTGGTTTCAGGAACATAGTCTGGGCTAGAAGTTAGTGCCAGTTTCTCAAAGGTTCTACAGATTTAAAAAGAAAAAAAAGGGCTGGTTGCAGTGGCTCACGCCTGTAATCCCAGCACTTTGAGAGGCCGAGGTGGGTGGATCACAATGTCACGAGATCAAGACCATCCTAACACAGTGAAACCCCGTCTCGACTAAAAATACAAAAAATTAGCTGGGCATGGTGGCACACGCCTGTAATCCCAGCTACTCAGGAGGCTGAGGCAGGAGAATTGCTTGGACTTGGGAGGCAGAGGTTGCAGTGAGCTGAGATCATGCCACTACACTCCAGCCTAGGCGACAGAGCAAGACGTCTCAAAAAAAAAACAAAACAAAACAAAAAAAAAAACTTCAGGGGAAGCAGAGCCATGACTGATGCTCAATTCCCCAAATAAGGGCTTTATTTTTATTTAACTAATTAATTAACTTTTTGATATGGAGTCTTGCTCTGTCACCCAGGCTGCTGTGCAGAGGCACAATTTTGGCTCACTGCAATCTCTGCCTCCAGGGTTCAAGTGATTCTCCTTCCTCAGCCTCCTGAGTAGCTGGGACTATAGGCACATGCTACCATGCCTGGCTCATTTTTCTATTTTTTTTGGTGGAGATGGGGTTTTACCAATGTTGCCCAGACTGGTTTTGAACTCCTGACCTCAAGTGATCCACCTGCCTTGGCCTCCCAGACTGCTGGGATTACAGGCGAGCGTCACCACACCTGGCCCAAATAAGGGCTTTTATACAGGACATTCTCACAGTGTAACCGTGAGTAGCAGCTGTAGAATCAAATGATAAAAATGACCTTCTTGGCCAGGCATGGTAGCCCACACCTGTCGTCGCAGCACTTTGGGAGGATGAAGGGTGAGGATCACTTGAAGCTCAGAGTTTGAGACCAAACTCGGCAACATGGCAAAACCTGTCTCTAGAAAAAATACAAAAAATTAGCCGAGCACGGTGACACGCACCTGTACTCCCAGCTACTCGGGGGACTGAGGTGGGAGGATCGTTTGAGCTGGGAGGCAGAGGGTGAGCCATGATCCTGCCATCGTATTCTAGCCTAGGTGACAGAGTGAGACCCTGTCTCACAAAACAAGACCCTCTCTCTAGCCCTTTGTTCAAGCCACAAGACACCACCTAATGCTGCCTGCAGGGAGCAGAGGAGAGGATAAGGTTTGCTGAAATAATCCTATAATTTAAAAAGACACATGGCTGTGGGCTGGGGGTGAGTGTCTCTTGCCTGGGGCAGGCGGGTTCTCCCCGCCAGCGAGAGGTTTATTAGAAGGTACTGACCCCTTATCACCCAAAGGCACGCTGGTGCTGCTTGGCCGTCTCTCCCCGCCATCTCTGTTCTTGCTGCTCCGCCCAGAGGCTGGGCCACCTGTTCGGTTTGGGGACTGATCGTACACGAGGTTCCGGCAGGAAGCGAGTTTGGACTCCAGTGCCTGGACAGAAATACACTTTTATCTCTCAAGTTATAGGCAAGGACTATTCTGTCTTACCAGAGCCTGTACAGAAGAACGAACCCCAGACAGTGGTTCTCAAACTGTTGTGCACTGGAATTCCAAGGTGGGACCCCAAGAGGAATCCAACGTATATGCCAGTCTCAGAACCAAGCACCTTAAGTATTTGGGAGCTGGCTGGGCACAATGGCTCACACCTATAATCCCAGCACTCTGGGAGGCCAAGGCAGGAGGATGGCTTGACATCAGGAGTTTGAGACCAGCCTGGGCCACAAAGTAAGATCCCATCTCAGTTTTTTTTTTTGTTTTGTTTTTTACTTTTTTAGACGCTGTGTCACCCAGGCTGGAGTGCACTGGTGAGATCACAGCTCACTGCAGCCTCAACCTCCCAGGCTCAACCAATCCCTCCCACCTCAGCCTCCTGAGCAGCTGGAATTATAGGCATCCGCAATCATGCCCAGTTAATAAAAAAAATTTTTAATGCAAAAAATTTTTTTTAATTACGAAAAATTTTTTAAAATGTTTGGGAGCTGCCTGGAAAAAGATCACGGCTCACTGCAGCCTCAACCAATCCTTCCACCTCAGCCTCCTGAATAGCTAGGACTATGCACAATCATGCTTGGCTTAAAAAAAAAAAAAAAATTCTTTTTTAATTACAAAAAATTTTTTAAAATGGGAGCTTTCTGGAAAAATCACTAACCTACCAATTATCCAACTCCGCTTGTAGGAAGTAGGAAATCCACTTCTGGAATCCTTCACCCTTTGGTTTACCTTGTTAAACCTCTGCAGAATGGCAAGAAGTTTGGTAAGGACTTGGTCTGGCTACAACAGACCCTGAGGAAACCAAAAGGACACTGACAGCACCCCAGGCTTCTCTATACTCCAACTAGGCTAAATACTGAAATGCAGACCTGCTTCTAGAATAGCAAACCAGACAGCCAAAAACCAGAAGTAAAAACAAAAGAAATGAGTTGCAAGCTTCTATTAAGTTGTAGCTACAAATACACTGTGTACAGTGACAACTTGGTAGGAGTTAAATTATGTGGCCTTCTAGGCATCATTTTTAAAAATAAACTACAAAGAATACCTATGTTTTTACTTAAGCACAAAAGGATCCCTCCCTGTAATTAACATAAAAGCTGAAAGGCCAAATTCTTTGCCCTAGGCTTTCAAGATTTTTTTTTTTTTTTTTTTTGAGACCAAGTCTCACTTTGTCACCCAGCGGTGCGATCTCAGCTCACTGCAACCTCCGCCTCCCGGATTCAAACAATTTTCCTGCATAAGCCTCTCAAGTAGCTGGGATCGCAGGTGCCCACCACCATTCCTGGCTAATTTTTGTATTTTTAGTAGAGATGGGGTTTCACCATGTTGGCCAGGCTGGTCTTGAATTCCTGACTTCAGGTGATCCACCCATCTCGGTCTCCCAAAGTGTCAAAATTCACTTAAACCCCAAGAAACAAACCAAAAAAAAAAAAAAAAAAAAAAAAGGTGGCAGTTTTTTTCTCTTCTGAGACAACGTCGTGCTGTCACCCAGGATGGAGTGCAGTGTTGGAATCTCAGCTCACTCAGCCTCAACCTCCCAGGCTGAAGCAATCCTCCCACCTCTCAGCCTCCTGAGTAGCTGGGACCACCAGTGTACACCATCAGGCCTGGCTAATTTTTGCATTCTTGTAGAGGCCAAGTCGGGGCAGGGGGTTTCACCATGTTGCCCGGGCTGGTGTCAGACTCCTGAGCTCAAGTAATCTCCCACCTTGGCCTCCCAAAGCACTGGGATTACAGGTATGAGCACCCGGCCAAAAGAGAAGGCAGTTTCCAAGTGCTCCTTAATTTTTCGAGTTAAGGAAAAAACACACATATCACCCTAATTTCCCAAATTTCCTAGAGGAAAAACGGTAAAAGGAAAGAGACATACATAGGGTTCAGAGCAGGGCTTCGAGTCAGAGCTCTGAGTGTCTGGCAGTAACTCCCACAGGAAGCTCTAATGATTCCCAGGGATGCTAAAGGAGCAGCCACACCTAAAACTCACCACACTGCTATGAAAGGGGCTGGACGCATTGGCTCATGCCTGTAATCCCAGAACTTTGGGAGGCCAACCTGGGAGGATCACTTGAGGCCAGGAGTTTAAGACCAGCCTGGGCAACACAGCGATACCCACATTACTACAAAAAAATGAAAGTATCAGCCAGGCATAGTGGCGCACACCTGTGGTCCAAGCTCCTCGGGAAGCTAAGGTGAGAGGATCGCTTGAACCCAGGATTTTGAGGCTGCAGTGAGTTGTGATCATACCACTACACTCCAGCCTGAGCAACAGAGCAAGACCCTGTCTCTAAAAAAAAAGAAAAAAAGAAGAGAGGGAAGGAACTAGATCAACCCCCTTCACACATCCTGAAAGACAGGCAGGAAGGCACCAAACGCCAGGAAAGTGTGGTCTTACCCCGACTTTCCGCAGTAGGTCTCCCACAATGTTGAGGGCTGATATCCGGGCCGCAGGTGTGAGGGGGGTCCCCCCGGTGGAGTCGTCCAGGCCTGGGTGTGCAAAGGGAAGAGCATGTAACTCACCAACCTATAGTCATGTCTGTGCGTTAACATCGCTAGATCCAAAACCACGGGACAGGAGGGACACTGACGCCTTTCCTCGGATCCCAAAAGCTACCCTATTTCTTTCCGTAGTTAACCGCATCACACACCCAAGGCCCGTATGACAACCAATTTTTCAAGTCCTTGTGATGACTGCAACAAATACTTATTTTTACATGTTAGTCTTGCTCTGTCACCCGGACTGGAGTGCGGTGATGTGATCTCAGCTCACTGCAACCTCCGCCTCCCAGGTTCAAGCGATTCTCCTGCCTTGGCCTCTTGAGTAGCTGGGATTATAGCCATGTGCCACCACACCCGGCTAATTTTTGTATTTTTAGTAGAGACAGAGTTCCATCACGTTGTCCAGGCTGGTCTCGAACTCTTGACCTCAAATGATCTGCCCGCCTTGGCCTCCAAAAGTGCTGGGATTACGGGCGTGAGCCACCATGCCTGGCCTTTAACAAATTTTTTTTTTAATAGAGACAGGGTCTCACTATGTTGCCCAGGCTGATCATGAACTCCTAGTTTCAAGCGATCCTCCCACCTTGGCCGCCCAAAGGGCTGGTATTTACAGGCATGAGCCACCGTGCCCAGCCACATTAGTCTTTTTAAACAAACCCAAAACAAATCCTTTTGAAATTGTAGAAAATCCATATAGTTAATTAACATAATGGCATCTGTGATAGATACAAGAACTATAGACAGGATGATCCAGCTTTACAAGGGTCCCGCTCTGCAGAGCCTCTCTTCTCCAAGTGGGGTCCATGCACCAGCAGCACATGAGAACTGTTAGAAATGCAGAATCTCTCGGCCAGGCACAGTAGCTCACACCTGTAATCCCAGTGCTTTCAGAGGCCGAGGCAGTTCGATCAGTTGAGGTCAGGAGTTCAAGACCAGCCTGGCCAACATGGCAAAATCTTGTTTCTACTAAAAATACAAAATTAGCTGGGCATGGTAACAGGTGCCTGCCTGTAATCCCAGCTACTCGGGAGGCTGAGGCATGAGAATCGCTTGAATCCAGGAGGCAGAGGCTGCAGTGAGCCAAGATCAATGCCGCTGCACTCCAGCCTGGCCGACAGAGCAAGACTTTGTCTCAAAAAAAAAAAAAAAGAGAGAAAGAAATTTCAGGCCCCACCCAAGACCCACTTGATCTGAGGTACATTCTACCAAGATCCCCAGGTAAGCTACATGCATATTGAAGTGTGGAAACATAGCCAGGCATGGAGTTGCATGCCTCTAGTCCCAGCTACTCAGGAGGCTGAGGCAGGAGGATCACTGGAGCCCAGGAGTTGGAGGCTGCAGTGAGCTATGATTGCACCACTGCACTCCAGCCTGGGCCACAGACCAAGACTGTGTCTCTAAAAACAACAATGAAATAAAGTATGCAAAATGGCTCTAGACTGGGGCTAGGCACAGTGACTCATACATGTAATACCACCACTTTCAGGGGCTGAGGCAGGCAGATCACCTGAGGTCAGTAGTTTGAGACCAGCCCGGCCAACATGGTGAAACCCCATCTCTACTAAAAATACAAGATTAGCCAGGCATGGTGGTGGGCACCTGTAATTCAAGCTTACTCAGGAGGCTGAGGCAGGAGAATCACTTGAACCTGGGAGGAGGGGGTTACAGCGAGCCAATATCGCACCATTGCACTCCAGCCTGGGCAACAGAGCAAAACTCCATCTCAACAAAACTAAACAGAAGGGCTCTGCACCGGAATTCTAGAAGTCTCACTGGTCTCTTCATGCCCAGGGGACAAGCTAAGGGATAAGGTAGTAGATGGTAGGGTAAGCCCTGGAGCCTGCCTGCCTGGGTCTGAATCCCAAACCATCTGCCATTCAATTGCTTCATGACTCTGCTTAACTCAGAGCCTCACTTTCATCAAACGGGGACAGCACCTGCATCCTGGGCCTGCGGCGAAGGCTGCAGGCTGGCCAGCACACACTGAGCACTCCTTAACTGTCTGTTATTAATATCTGCTGTAAAAGGCCTGATCGGAAGCTGTCAGCAGAGGGGCTGGGGTGAGAACTGAGATTCTTTTTTTCTGCCCATGCAGCACACGTTACGCTGAGTCTAGCTCTCGGTGGATGTATTACTAAACCCACAGAACGCTTTTTACTTTTTTGTATTTGGTCAGTGACATTTCAAATTTGGGAGGTTTTATATTCAACAAGAGGATTTTTGACCAGGCGCGGTGGCTCACACCTGTAATCCCAGCACTTTGGGATCAGCCGAGGTGGGCGGATCACTTGAGTCCAGGAATTTGATACCAGCCTGGGCGACATGGCAAGACTGTGTCTCCACCTAAAATACAAAAGTTAGCCAGGTGCCTTTAGTCCCAGCTACTCCGGAGGATGAGGTGGGAGAATCACTTGAGCCCACGATGAAGAGGTTGCAGTGAGCCAAGATCACGTCACTACACTCCAGCCTGGGCAACAGAGTGAGATCCTGTCTCAAAAAAAAAAACCCAACAAAAAAAAAGAGGATTTCTGGCTTTGAAGAATGGAAAAAGCTGCAGATGAAGGGCCAATCCTCGTAGCTGCAGAGTGGCAGCCACCCGCTCTGGGTGGGGTTTCCATTTCATCAGACTCCACTACTGCCTCTTACCCAGTCCTCACTGATCTCAATGCCCATCCCCAAGAACATCCCAGTCTACTCTCTGCTCAAAGCCTGAGAGCAAATCAGGCTCTGAGCCTGATGCAAATCATCACACCCCCAGGACCCACCCCAGATTCTTACCCAGAAACACTTTGTGAACCGAGAAAATCCTGCAATTCCCACTCCCCTTACCACGTCTGAAGCTCCCAGGTGTGTTTAAACTTGAGCTGGGTCCTCGGTGAGCAATGGGCGTGGACGGCACGGAGCCCGTGGCCTGCACAGCTGTGTCTGTCCTCTCAGCTTCCACTGAGCTGGGCATGGGGGTCCTGGGTTTCTCCTGCTTCTGCTGCACGGCCAGTTCCTGCCGCAAATCTGTGCCAGAAAAAGGATTCAGGAATTCAAGTCCTCAGCCAGGCGCAGTGGCTCATGTTTATAATGCCAGCACTTTGGGAGGCCAAGGCAGGTGGATCGCCTGAGGTCAGGAGTTCGAGACCAGCCTGACCAACATGGTGAAACCTCATCTCTATTGAAAATACAAAAATTAGCCCAGCATGGTAGTAGGCACCTGTAATCTCAGCTACTCAGGAGGATGAGGCATGAGAATCATTTGAACCTGGGAGGCCAGGGTGGCAGTGAGCTGAGATTGCTCCAGCGCACTCCAGTCTGGGTGACAAGAGCAAGACTACGTCTCAAAAAACAAAAAGGGAATTTAAGTCCTTGCTTAGGGTTGGTGGGGTGCAGGGAGAGAGGTTCAACAGTAGATACCAGTCAGAAAAAAGACCTACTGGGGTGAAACACTCCAGGTAGAAACCCCAAATAAAGGGAAACCCACAGGACCTTGCCTAGCAGACTTGGAACTCTACAGGATGTTTCTCTTGACTAACAAAATGGTTTCAGATTTTTAAAAAGCTATGACAGTGACACACTAATGCTTTTATTATTGAAAAAACAATTCCAACATAGCAGTGTATTTAGAACACTAAATGAAAATATGCCCGGGAGCAGTGACTCATGCCTGTAATCCCAGCACTTTGGGAGGCTGAGGTGTAAGAATCACATTAATCCAGTAAGTCGAGGCTGCAGTAAGCCATGATCATACCACTTCAGCCTGGGCGAGAGTGAGACCTCTGGCTCAAAAAAAAAAAAAAAAAAAAAAAAAAAAGAAAAAAAAAAAAAAAGGCCAGTTGCACTGGCTCAAGCCTATAATCCCAGCACTCTGAGAGGTCGAGATGGGAGGATTGCTTGAGGTCAGGAATTTTCAGGCCAACATGGCAAAACCCCGTCTCTATTAAAAATACAAAAAATTAGCCATGCGTGGTGGTGAGCGCCTGTAGTCCCAGCTGCTTGGGAGGCTGAGGCAAGACAATCGCTTGAGCCTGGGGGACAAGCAGTGAGTGCAGTGAGCTGAGATCACGCCACTGCACTCCAGCCTGTGTGACAGAGCAAGACTGTCTCAAAAATAAATAAAGTATGCTTTCCAGACTATCCCCAAATGCTCCTCCTCACTCATCATCACCATAACATGTGGGAGAGCTTTTCAACCATTGTTCTCTGAATTTTTTTTTTTTTTTTTTTTTGAGATGGAGTTTCACTCTCTTGCCCGGGCTTAAGTGCAGTGGCACAGTCTCGGCTCACTGTAAATCTGCCTCCCGGGTTCAAGTGATTCTCCTGCCTCAGCCTCCCAAGTAGCTGGGATTACAGGCACGCACCACCACACCTGGCTAATTTTTGTATTTTTAGTAGACACAGGGTTTCACCATGTTGTCCAGGCTGGACTCTAACTCCTGACCTCAGGTGATCCACCCACCTTGGCCTCCCAAAGTGCTGGGAATACAGGCGTGAGCCACTGCGCCCAGCTGTTCTCTCCATTTTCAAACATAAACTTTATACATATGTATGTATCTACTGAGCATAAAACAAGAAAATTTTTTATTAAGCATTACTGGAAACATACAATATGTTGTCCTGTGTATGACTTACTCTCCCCACTTCAGTGGTATGTCTTGGCAATGATTTTTGTTTTAGAGACAGGGTCTGACTCAGTCACCCAGGCTGGGGTGCGGTGGCACAATCATAGCTCAATGTAACCTTGAACTCCTGGGCTCAAGTCATCCTCCCACTTCAGCCTCCTAAGTAGCTGGAACTACAGACATATGCCACCAGGCCTAATTTTTACAATTTTCATTTTTGTAGAGATGGGGTATCACTATGTTGTCCAGGCTCATCTTGAACTCCTAGGCTCAAGCAATCCTCTTGCGTCCGTCTCTCAAAGCACTGAGATTACAGGCATCAGCCACTGTGCCTAGCCTTGGCAATCTTTCTACCACAACATTTCTATCTACTGTTCATTTTAACCATTAACATTTCACAAAATACATCTATGTACTTCATTTAACCACTTCATTACTGATGGACATCTAGGAACAACTACTTTATTAAACTTAAGAATTTTTACTTTTTATCCCCCACCTACTGGTTACACATTAGAAAGCAAATCGACGTTATAAATAATTAATTGGGCCAGCAACAGTGACCCACCCCTATAATCCCAGCACTTTGGGAGGCCGAGGCAGGCAGATCGCCTGGGGTCAGGAGTTCAAGACCAGCCTGGCCAACATGGTGAAACCCCATCTCTATTAAAAATATAAAAATTAGCCAGGCATGGTGGTGCACACCTGCAGTCCCAGCTACTCAGGAGGCTGAAGCAGGGGAATCGCTGAACCTGGGAGGCAGAGGTTGCAGTGAGCAGAGATAGCACCACTGCACTCCAGCCTGGACAACAGAGCAAGACGCCATCTCAAAAAAAAAAAAAAAAAAAAAAAAAAAGGTAAAAACAACTTGGACAATCCACTAATGAATGTCTTTTTTTTTTTTTTTTTTTTGAGACAAGAGTCTCACTCTGTCACCCAGGCTGGAGTGCAATGGTGTAATTTTGGCTCACTACAACCTCCACCTCCCAGGTTCAAGCAATTCTCGTGCCTCAGCCTCCTGAGCAGCTGGGATTGCAGGCACCCACCACCATACCCTCATGTTTTCTATTTTTAGTAGAGATGGGGTTTCTCTATGTTGTCCAGGCTGGTCTCAAACTCCTGAGCTCAGGTGATCCACCTGCCTCAGCCTCCCAAAGTGCTGGGATTACAGGTGTGAACCACTGTGCCTGGCCAAATGCCTCATTACAGTTTCAACATTCTACCTCTGGAAGTGCCAACTGAAAAAGAGCAAATGCTGATGAGGTTTCAAAGTTTTAGCCAAATATATTGGTTGCCATCAAGTCACAAAAATAATAGGCTAGCTGGCAATTCCACCAGAAATTTCTCCCCACAACATCTTTGCTTCTTAAGAGACAGGGTCTCACTCTGTCACCCAGGCTGGAGTGCACTGGTGCCATCATAGCTCACTGCATACTCCACCTCCTGGGCTGAAGCAATCATCCCACCTTGGCTTCCTGAGTAGCTGGGACTACAGGCACATGCCATCACACCCAGCTAATCTTTAAATGTTTTTGTAAAGATGGAGTCCCACTATGCTGCCCAGGCTGGTCTCAAACTCCTGGGCTCAAGAGATCCTCGGCCTCCCAAAGTGCTGGGATTACAGGTGTGAGCCACTGTGCCAGATCTCCCCACAAAACTCTCTGTTCCTACTGAGCATCAGGGTAGTTTGCTGTGTTTGTGAATTACAGACCAGGAAGCATCTTTCTGGAAATAAATTCTGCTGCCCAGAGGCAGAATCCCAATACAAGGACTTCATCTGTGAACCCCAAAGCTATTTCTCTAAATACCCATAAGGGGCCCTTACAGGGCTGGATGTCTGACTGTTCTCAGCTCCAGCCAGGGCCCAAGGCAAGAGTCTGCCCAGTGCAGTCCGACACCCTCTGATTAGACAACCTGGGTGCAGAGCAGGGTGTGGGGTCCCTGTAAAGATAATGCTGGGAGAGCTTGTGGGACAAGATGTTGCTCAGGTAGGGAGAGGGGACCATGCTGGTGAAGACACCAAGGCCTCCTGACCTCTGGCTTCATCCTTCAGTCTCTGAACAGATTCCAGGAGATTCTCTTTTTCATCAAGTTCACTTTCCAGGAAGGCATTTCTTTCGATGGCCTGATTCAAGCGCTGCTCAAAGTCTTCGAGAGACATGATCGTGGCGCTGGCGAAGAGAAAAGCAGAGTTATCCAAGAGGACAAACCGCAGCATCCCTCCAGCACCGCGGATCCAGGAGGTGCGAAGGGTCAGACACACCTGGGCACAAGTCCCAGCCCCAAACTTCCTAGATGCCACAGAGTGGGCCAAGTCCCTTAACCTTCTGGGGCATGGGCTCTTTACCTGCAGAATGGGACTCATCATAGCTCATGGGGTGCACGAGGCTGTCATGAGGATTAAATAAGATGCTGCCCACACAGCACTCAGCAATAAGCCAAAGCCCTATCAGGACTGCATGTGGCATTTGGTGGTTTGAGAAGACCACTATGCTCCATCTTCTCTTGCAAGCTCACAATGCCAACCAGCATTAAAAATAACCTAATATGACTGGGCAAGGTGGCTCATGCCTGTAATCCCAGCCCTTTGGGAGGCCGAGGCAGGTGGAAGACCTGAGATCAGGAGTTCAAGACCAGCCTGGCAAGCTTGGGCAAATGGCAAAATCCTGTCTCTACTAGAAATACAAAAATTAGCCAGTTGTAGTGTAATCCCAGCTACTTGGGAGGCTGAGGTGGGAGAACTGCCAGGAAGCAGAGGTTGTAGTGAGCCCAGATTATACCACTGCACTCCAGCCTAGACAACAAAGTGAGACTCCATCTCAAAATAATAATAACCTAATAAACACATATAACAACATGATTTTTTAAGACACAGGTTTTTGCTGTGTCTCTCAGGCCGAAGTGCAGTGGTACAATCACAGCTCACTGCAATCTCAAACTCTTGGGCTCAAGAGATCCTCCCGCCTCAGCCTCCTGAGTTACTGAGATTACAGGCATGAGGCATTGTGCCAGGCATAAGATGCACTTAAGCAGGTGGAAGAGATCATATTTAACCTCTCAGTGGAAGTTCAAAATGCCCAGTACCAGCCCAGCTGCCCTGCTCACAACCCCTTCTTGTGAAGGGCATAAACACTGTGGTAAAGGCACTGCCAAGTGCTGTAAGAAAACAATCTGTTATAATTCTGGGAAAACCACCTTCTCTGCACCTCAGTTTTCTCTCATGCAAAACAAGGATAGTAATAGTAACCTTCATGCAGGATTGTGGTGGGGAAGGGGTGGCAAGAAGTCATACAGGCCCGGACACGGTGGCTCACGCCTGTAATCCCAGCACTTTGGGAGGCCGAGGCGGGCGGATCACTTGAGGTCAGGAGTTCGAGACCAGCCTGGCCGACATGGTGAAACCTCATCTCTACTAAAAATACAAAAATTAGCCGGGCATGATGGTGCACACATGTAGTCCCAGCTGCTCGGGAGGGTGAGACAGGAGAATCGCTTGAACCCAGAAGGTGAATGTTGCAGTGAGCCAAGATCATGCCACTGCACTCCAGCTTGGGCAACAGAGTAAGAATGTTTCCCAAAAAAAAAAAAAAAATCCTACAGGAAGCACACAACAGATGTTTTACACATAAGCACACATCTATAAATTTTCAGCAATTTTTATTATTGACCCTGTGTCTGTCCCCAGACCTTACACAACCTGCTAACTGTATCCCACAGTGGTCAGAAGCACGTGTTTGGAGAGGAACCCAGGAGTTAACACCCAGCTCCTCCTCCACCTAGAACTCACTGAGTATCATTGCGGAACTTGATCTCCTTCATCCTCAGTTCCTTCAATCACCAAATTAATAACTGCACTGATTAATGGCTGCATCAGTTCATTTATTCAACATATCCTACTATGTCTAGATGGAGTCATACAAGTACCTACCCTCACAGGGTCTTTAGAAGTAGTGGATAGGATAAAGTTACCACAGTACCGATTAAAAACAACAAAGGGACAAGCACAGTGGTTCATGCCTATAATCCCAGCACTTTGGGAGGCCAAGGTGTGAGGACCGCTTGAGGCCCAGGGTTCAAGACCAGCCTGGGTAATATAGAGAGACCCTGTCTCTACAAAAAGTAAAAAAATTAGCCGTGCATGATGCGTGCCTGTAGTCCCAGCTACTCGGAGGCTGAGGTAGGAGGACTGCTTGAGCCCAGGAATTCAAGGGTACAGTAAGCCATGACTATGCCACTGCACTCCAGCCTGGGTAACAATGCCAGACCCTGTCTCGAAAAACAAAAACAAAAAACACACTACTACCAACAACAAAGGGATAATACTTCGGAGTACAATACCAGAAACAGTTAAAACAGCCCTAAGGTTGACATATCAAAGATAAAATATTCACATAATAATATGTAGAGTAGTACAGAATGCTTGCAGAAATGCAGACATACTGAGTATATAAAGAGGAAGACCCATTATCATGCAGAAATTAATTCTCCACAAGTTAAACTGATAAATTTAACACTGTCTTAATACGTTTCTACTGGGGGAATAAACTGGACTGATTTGAAAGATCCTGTGACAATGAAACAAGAATGATCAGAGGAACTCTGTAAAAGAGATCAGGGAACTAGCTCTACCAGAGAGTCAGAACGCACTACTATAAAGCCTCAACAATGAAGAATAGTATGCTACTGGTTGTAAGAACAAAGGAACCAAAGGTCCAGAAATAGACAAGAGTTTAATTTATAATAAAGGTGGCATCACAGATCATTGGTAAAAAGATGGCAGGTTCAGTTCTAGTTTTAGGGACCACTGGGTACCCACCAGGAAAAAATTATTAGATTCGTACCTCATACTGTACCCTAACACAAACTCCGACTGAATCGGAAATTTTAACAAACTCCTTATTTGGTCAAAATCTATTTTGCTTCTGGAATGCTAGGGAACTGGGGACCAGCTTCAGTGCCTTTTTTTTTTTTTTTTTTAAGATGGAGTTCCACTCTTGTCACCCAGGCGGAGTGCAACCTCTGCCTCCGGGGTTCAAATGATTCTTCTGTCTCAGCCTCCCAAGTAGCTGGGATTACAGGCACGCACCACCACATCCTGCTAATTTTTGTATTTTTAGTAGAGACAGCATTCCACCATGTTGGCCACGCTGGTCTCGAACTCCCGACTTCAGGTGATGCACCTGCTTCTGCCTCCCAAAGTGCTGGGATTGTAGGTGTTGGACACCATGCCTGGCCCTTCAGTGGCATTTCTGAATTTCCCTGCAACCTCGACACCCTGGGTTTAAGTCATCCTTTCACCTTTTTTTTTCTTTTTTGAGATGAAGTCTCACTCTGTTGCCCAGGCTGGAGCGCAACAGCACAATCTCAGCTCACTGCAACCTCCGCCTCTCGGGTACAAGCGATTCTCCTGCCTCAGTCTGTCAAGTAACTGGGATTACAGGCGCCTGCCACCATGCCTGGCTAATTTTTGCATTTTTAGTAGAGACAGGGTTTCACCATCTTTGTCAGGCTGGTCTCCAACTCCTAACCTCAGGTGATCCGCCCACCTCAGCCTCCCAAAGTGCTGGGATTACAGGCGTGAGCCAATGCGCCCAGCGATTCTTTCACCTTCTTACCTCAACCTCCCGAGTAGTTGTGACCACAGGCACAAGCTACCATAGCCGGCTAGTTTTTATATTTGTTTCTAGAGACGGGAGTCTCACTATGTTGCCCAGGATGTCCTCAAACTCCTGGGCTCAAGCAATACTCAAGCCTCAGCCTCCCCAAGTACTAAGATGACAGATTACAGGCATGAGCTATCTCACCTAGCGTATTTACTTTGAAATAAAGGTCAGCATGCTAGTTGTAACTGGAGTGAAAATTGCTTTATGTATTTTATATGTTGAAATTCTGTCAACTAATGTATAAAAGCATATTTAGTGCCTGTAATCCCAGCACTTTGGGAGGCTGAGGCGGGTGGATCACAAAGTCAGGAGATCGAGACCATCTTGGCTAACATGGCGAAACCCCATCTCTACTAAAAATACAAAAAAATTAGCCGGTTCGTGGTAGCGGGTGCCTGTTGTCCCAGGTACTCGGGAGGCTGAGGCCAGGAGAATGGCATGAACCTGGGAGGCGGAGCTTGCAGTGAGCCAAGATTGTGCCAATGCACTCCAGCCTGGGTAACAGAGCTAGACTCTGTCTTAAAAACAAACAAAAAAAACCCATATTTAGTATAACAGCAAAATATTGCAATAATTTGTGACTATGAAAGCTGTTAATTTCATGTGCAGTTATTGAGAACCTGAAAATACTTAAATAGGAAAACAGATTTTCAGTAAATATAAAGAGATATACTGGTTAGATAACTAAGAACATATCCTTTTTGAGCCAAAAAATGCTTTAAAAGTCCATGGAATTGGCTGGGCACAGTGGCTCATGCTTGTAATCCCAACACTTTGGCAAGCCGAGATGGGAAGATTGTTTGAATCCAGGAGTTTGAGACCAGCCTGGGAAACACTGTGTGACCCCATCTCTTTAAAAAAAAAAAATGTGTAAGTTGGACTGGGTGTGAGAGCTAACGGCTATAATCCCAGCACTTTGGGAGGCCGAGGTGGTGGATCGCTTGAGGTCAGGACCATGGTGAGACCCCATTTCTACTAAAAATAGAAAAATTAGCTGGGCATAATGGCACATGCAATGTAGTCCCAGCTACTCGAGAGGCTGAGGCAGGAAAATCATTTGAACCTGGGAGGCAGAGGCTGCAGTGAGCTAAGATCGCACCACTGCACTCCAGCCTGGGCTACAGAGCAAGACTCTGTCTCAAAAATAAATAAATAAAATAAAATGAAAAACTTATGAAAAGAGTAAAACTAGATTAAATCTATTTGAATTTTTGTAAAACTTTTTGGCATCTTAGTACTCATATGAAACAAAGTAACCTTTAGGAAATGTATTTAATTTTTAGTTACTTCCAATTAGGTCCTGCACACTTTTCAAGGTTATTCTTATACAAAGTGCCTGTCCTCAGTTAAAAGTGAGTAGTTTCGTTTGAGGGACGTATAGAAGAAGGACCATGAGAGCAATCAAACAGCTGATGGTGCTGAGAAACTCTTGTTCTTGGAGAAGACTGTCAAACGTTCTAAATATAACTATTAAACTTGCACAAAATTGTAACATTTTCAAGTCTTTAAAATAAAGCTTTGGAGCCTAGGCAACATGGAGAAACCCGGTCTTTACAAAGAATACACAAATTAGTGAGTCATGGTGGCACATGACTGTAGTCCCAGCTACTGGGGAGGCTGAAGTGATCGTGCCACTGCACTCCAGCAGGGGCGACAGAGAGAGACCTTGTCTCAAAACATAAATACATAAAACTTTGGTGACCTAGAACTTTATTGATTCTATAATGGTGAACTGGGCTTCTACCTCATCCGATTTTTAACACTAAACTATTCAGCATTTGGCCAAATTGTATTAACAAAAACAATGCACGTTTAGTACAAAAATAAAAATAGAAAAGAAAGAAAAAACAAAAATACTACAAGAAAACACTTGGCTAATTGCTTTATAAACCTTGGAGTGCACAAGGCCCTTCTAACTATGACTAAGAAATCTGACTACAAAAAAATCAAATACCAGCCTGGCCAACATGGTGAAACCCCATCTCCGCTAAAAATACAAAAATTAGCCAGGCGTGGCAGTGGGCGCCTGTAATCCCAGCTACTTGGGAGGCTGAGGCAGGAGAATAGCTTGAACCTGGGAGGGTGGAGGTTGCAGTTAGCCGAGATCCTGCACCTGCACTCCAGCCTGGGCCATAGGGCAAGACTCTGACTCAAAACAAAACAAATCAGTAACTCTGTACAATAAAATATACATCAGACAAAGCTGGAAACAAATGACAAACTCCCAATACTGTCCATTCATGTCACAGACAAATATATAAAAATCTCCTAGAAATCATGGGAAAAAAAACAACGAACAACCCAATTTTAAAATATGCCAAAGGCCGGGTATGGTGGCTCATGCCTATAATCCCAGCACTTTGGGAGGCCAAGGTGGACAGACCGAGTCCAGGACTTTGAGACCAGCCTAGGCAACATGGAAAAACCCTGTATCTACAAAAAATACAAAAATTAGCCAGGTATAGTGGCACATGCCTATAGTCCCAGACACTCAGGAGGCTGAGGTGGGAGAATCACTTGCCCCAGGAGGTCAAGGCTCCAGTGAGCTGTAATTGCACCATGGCACTCTACTCTGGGCAATGGAGCGAGGCCCAGTCTCAAAAAAAAAAAAAAAAAAAAAAAAAAAAAAGGCAGTGTTTAACAGTGCTGGCACAACTGGGCTATCCACCTAAAGAAAATAAAAATAAAATTGAACTTGTATCTTATACTAGATACAAAAATAAATTCATTGCAGACTAAGGAATAAGGATACAAAAAAATTAAACAATTAAAAAATATTGCAAAAAAAACACAAAACACATGAACAATCAAGAACCAAGGAGACTTCCCTAGTGAAATCTGCAAACCTAGAAGGTATTTAAAAAAAGATGTAACTGATGACCTAAAAATGAAAAATACATGTATAAAAAATTTTTTTTCAAAAGAGAAAAAAGGAAATATTTGTATGGAAAATGATACAATAGACAAAGTCAACAAACAAAAGATTACCACGGAAAAAATTATTTTCAATGCAGGAGAAAAGATTAGTAGTAAAAATATACAAAGGGCCAGGCACAGTGGTTCATGCCTGTAATTCCAGCTTTGGGAATCTGAGGCAGGTGGATCACTTGAGGTCAGGAGTTCAAGACCAGCCTCTCCAACATCGCAAAACTCCGTCTCTGCTAAAAATACAAAAATTAGCCAGGCGTGGTGGGGGGCGCCTGTAATCCCAGCTACTTGGGAGGCTGAGGCAGGAGAATCACTTGAAGCAGGAAGGCAGTGGTTGCAGTGACCTGAGATCACACCACTGAACTCCAGCTCCAGCCTGGGAGACAGAGCGAGACTCCATCTCAAAAAATATATATATGCAAAGAACTCCTACAGATTGACAAGAAAGGAATTTCCACTTCTGGTAATGACCAGGAAACCTGTATCAGATCAAACCTCGTATAAATTCTAAGTAAAATGTTTACAACAATAATCTGAGTGCACTGGCAGGAACTGGA
Organism: Homo sapiens; assembly: GCF_000001405.40. NCBI lineage: Eukaryota > Metazoa > Chordata > Mammalia > Primates > Hominidae > Homo > Homo sapiens. Next base: position 15,680,397 of record NC_000016.10, on the reverse strand, counting down.
AAACAACGCTTAGAAAAACAGAACAAGACTGGGTGAAGTCTGCATCTTTACAAGATTTTTGCCTAAAGCTCCAGGGATAGAAATCTATCACCGTGGGCCCCCCCACATTCTGAATATAGTATCTTCCCACATCTCTGGCCTCCCCCAAACCACACGTGCACAGAGCAGACACAAAGCAGCCCAGTTACGGCTAAAAAAAGCAAAGAGATTTCAGCTACTGCCCATCAAAGGGGAGACAGAATTTGGGCTGTAAGCTCAGCCAAGTAAACCACCTAAGAAAACCAAATAAATCAAGAACATAAAAGAATTCATCATCTCTGGCTGGGTATGGTGGCTCAAGCCCGTAATCCCAGCACTTTCGGAGACCGAGGCAGGCAGATCACCTCAGGTCAGGAGTATGAGACCAGATTGGCCAACATGGTGAAATCCCATCTCTACTAAAAATACAAAAATTAGCCGGGTGTGGTAACACACACCTGTAATCCCAGCTACTCCGGAGGTTGAGGCAGGAGAATCACTTGAATCTGGGAGGTGGAAGTTGCAGTGAGCAGAGATCGCACCACTGCACTCCAGCCTGGGCGACAGAGCAAGACTGTCTTAAAACAAAAACAAAAACAAAAAACAACTAATAGTCTGTGGGAAACACCACGTGGGAAACACCACTCACACTGCCTACAATACAACCCCAAAGTTATTGAATGCGTGGAGTATAAAGAAAATGTGACCCAGATGTTGAAAACTGCACAAAAGGACCTCAAAGCAGCTCTTACAACTATGCTCAAGGATGTCAAGAAACCTCAATAGAACAGAAATTATAAAAGAACAAACACAAATCCTACATCTAAAAATACAATATATTGAAAATTCAATATTTCATCTGCTATAATGGCAGATTGGAGAGAGAAGAGGGCGTCTATCAACTTGAAACTGGATAAACAGAAATTATTCAATTTGAAGAACAAAGACAAAAAAATAATTAGGGAAAAGAAAAATGAAGAGAGCCTTAGGAACCTGCCTGACAATATAAAAAGGTTATGTGTATAGATGGCGTCCGAGACGGACAGGAGAAAAAGAATGAGGCAGAAAAAAAACTCTCTGAGGAGGCCGGGTGCAGTGGCTCATGCCAGTAATTCCAGAACTTTGGGAGGTTGAGGCAGGAGGATCACTTGCTCCCAGAAGTTTCAGGCTGCAATGCACTATGGTGGCACCACTGCCCTCCAGCCTGGGTAACAGAGCAAGACCCTGTTTCCAAAAATAAATAAAAGAAAAAACATCTGTGCTTTTTTTGTTTTTTTGTTGTTTTTTGTTTTGTTTTGTTTTTGAGACAGAGTCTAGCTCTGTCACCCAGGCTGGAGTGCAGTGGCGCAATCTCGGCTCACTACACGCTCCGCCCTTCCCAGTTCACATCATTCTCCTGCCTCAGCCTCCCGACTAGCTGGGACTACAGGCACCCGCCACCACGCCCGGCTAATTTTTTGTATTTTTAGTAGAGACGGGTTTTCACCATGTTAGCCAGGATGGTCTCGATCTCCTGACCTCGTGATCCGCCCACCTCGGCCTCCAAAAGTGCTGGGATTACAGGCGTGAGCCACCGTGCCTGGCCACATCTGCGCATTTCACTGTATATAATTCATATATAAATTTTTTAAAAACAAGTGTTCTTATCCAAAAAAACTGCTTGGCTGAGAGTAATTCTTCTGTAAATGTTAGTCATTATCATTCTGCTAAACCACAGAACATCAGTTTAGGAATCACTGGGCTGGGCGCAGTGGCTCACACCTGTAATCACAGCACTTTGGAGGCTAAGGAGTTTGAGACCAGCCTGGCCAACATGGCAAGAGCCCATCCCTACTAAAGATACAAAAATTAGAATGGTGTGGTGGCACGTGCCTGTAATTCCAGCTACTCAGGAGCCTGAGGCATGAGAATTGCTTGAATCCAGGAGGCAGGGATTGTAGTGAGCCGAAATCACGCCACTGTACACCAACCTGGCGACAGAGACTCTCCGTCTCCAAAAAAAAACAAAAAACTGTTCTTTGAAAAAGCTTCCTTCCCACCTTAGGGGCTTAGCACAGGCTTGGTGTTCTGTCTGGAATGTTCTTGTCTCACACCCCTCCTGGCATCATGGCTACTCATTCCTCTGGTCTTAGCCTAAATAGCATTTCCCCTGGTAAGGCTCGCCTGACGCTCCCAGGCCAACAGCCAAATTAATACATCCTATTACACACCCCCACAGCACCCTGGGCTGCCAGCCTTGCTGCTGTAATGAAATTGCACTTCTTCGACTATTGTCCATTTCCCCCCGGGCACTAAAATCCAGAAGGGCACTGGCTTTGTTCTGCTCACTGCTTAGTTCCCTATACTCAGCACAGGGCCCAGTACCCAGCTGCTGGGGACAAAAAGCAGAGAGGAGAGTCTCCCACTCGTGCTTTTCCCTTCCACCCATACCGCTTGGCTCTTTCCAGGTCGTCATTTGCTTGCTCCAGCTCTCTGATGTATTTCTGCAATTGGTCTTTAATGGCTTTGGTCTGCGCGAGGTCATCCTCCAAGGCTGAGATCTGCCGGTAGCCTTCAGAGTGCTGCACTTCAAACTTCTCCTGAAGGACAACACAGACACTGAGTGAATGACTTAAGACTTCTGAGAAGGCTAGACACAGTAGCACACATCCACCTGGAGTCACAGCTACTCGGGAGGCTAAACTGGGAGGACTGCCTGAGCCCAGGAGTTAGAGGCTGCAGTGAGCTATGACTGTAACACTCCACTCCAGCCTGGGCAACACAGCAAGACTCCGTGTTTTTTTTTTTTTCTTTTGAGGCCGAGTCTCACTCTGTTGCCCAGGCTTGAGTGCAGCGGCAAGATCCTGGCTCACTGCAACCTCTGCCTCCCAGGTTCAAGCAATGCTCCTGCCTCAGCCTCCCAAGTGGCTGGGAATACAGCCACCCACCAACAATAGTGGCTAATTTTTGTATTTTTAGTAGAGACCGGGTTTTACCACGTTGGCCAGGCTGGTCTTGAACTCCTGACACCTCAAGTGATCTGCACGCCTCGGCCTCCCAAAGTGCTGGGATTACAGGTGTGAGCCACTGCACCTGGCCTGACCCTCTCTCTTTATGAAACTACTCCTCCCACCACACTCCCTGGGTGGGGCTCCAGGCTTTCTGTCCCACCCTCCCACCACAATCGGGAGACAAGCCAGGCTCAGTCAACAGAACCTTCTCTCCAGAGCTGACTCTTAGGCAAGTGATGTAACGTGGTGGGAACAGGCAGGTGTCATTCAAAGCAGGCACAACGGACCAACTGTTTTAATTATGTCCTGAGTGCCTCTGCCCCCTGAGCACCTTGAATCTTGCCTACTCTCAACAGGGTTGAGATTCCTATAGCCTCCATCATTCTTCAGACAAATCATTCTACCCAAGGTGTCCACAGCCAAAGCAAGCCACGTAAACCTCTCCAAGCCTCATCCACACGGCAACATGGGCCTCCTTCACACATATCATCAGTGTATTACAAAGAGAGTCACCAGCCCGGCTCACAGAGTGAGACCTGGCCTCTACAAAAAATAAAAACTAGCAGGGCATGGTGGCTCTTGCCTGTAGTCCTAGCTACTCGCGAGGCTGAGGTGGGAGGACCATTCGAGCCTGAGAGGTCGAAGCTGCAGTGGGCTGTGAAGGCACCACTGCACTCCGGCCTGGGCAACTCCCTGCTGCCTCAAAAGGAAAGAAATCATAATGACGTCCGTTGTTTGTGCCCACAACAATGGGAGGGCAGCATGAACTTGGTTTTAAAACAGTCCGCCATTCTGAATTTTTGATCCAGGACTCCCCGTTGTGACATGGAGAAAAAAGGAACAGTTTGATCTCTAGGTTATTTAAAAACATAAAGACAGGCCAGGCGCAGTGGCTCACACCTGTAATCCCAGCACTTTGGAGGGCTGAGGTGGGCGGATCACCTGAGGTCAGAAGTTTGAGACCTGCCTCGAAAACATGGTGAAATCTGGACTCTACTAAAAATACAAAAAAATTAGCCAGGCGTGGTGGTGCATGCCTATAATCCCAGCTACTCAGAAGGCTGACGCGGGAGAATCGCTTGAACACGGGAGGCGGAGGTTGCACCACTGCACTCCAGCCTGGGCAATAACAGCGAGACTCTGTCTCAAAAAAAAAAAAAAAAACCAGAAAAACAAAGAAAGAAAGAAAAAGAAGGAGGGAGAAAAGGAGGGGATAAAATGGGGGAGGGAGAGAGAGGAGAGAGGAAGGGAGACAGAGGAGAGAGGAAGGGAGGGAGAGGGAAGGAAAGGGAGAGAGATCTATGTTAATTACCAAAGGAACAGTCCAGCTGACTTCTCAATGATTCCCTGTTGCCAGCTGCAGCAATAACATCCATTACATACTTATTCTGTGCCACCTCCAGGCTAAGTACACCACCTATGTTGTCTCATTAATCCCACTTTGGAGACATGAACACTGAAGCTCAGTGACCTGACTAGCCCAGAATCAACTGGTAGCAAATGACTGAGCCAAGATCAAACCCCAGCCTCCTGAGCAGGTGTCCTTAAGCAATTATGCTAACCAGCCCCAAACCATTTCAATCCAGATCACCTGCCCACTCCCGAGCTCTCTTGATTCTGTTCCGGCTCTGCTTCCAAATTACTTTCCTTCACCAAACACCCAGAGCCAGGTGTGGTGCCTCATGCCTGTAATCCCAGCACTTTCAGGTGGCAGAGGCAGGATTGCTTGAGCCCAGGAGTTCTCGACCAGCCTGGGCAAGACTCTGCCTCTACAAAAAATGTGAAAACAGCCAGGCGTGGTGGCATGCACCTGTAGTCCTAGCTACTTGGGAGGGTGAGGCAAGAAGACTGCCTGAGACCAGGAGGTTGAGGCTGCAGTGAGCTATGATCACGCCGCTGCACTCCCGCCCAGGCCACAGAGTGAGACCACGACACTTAAAAAAAACAAGCAAAAAAAAAAAAAAACCCAAAATCACCAGCCTGGCAACATGGCGAAACCCCGTATCTACTAAAAATACAAAAAATTAGCTGGGCCTGGTGGCGGGCGTCTATAATCCCAGCTACTTGGGAAGCTGAGGCAGGCCAATCTCTTGAACCCGGGAGGCGGAGGTTGCAGTGAGCCCAGATCGTGCCATTGCACTCCAGCCTGGGCAACAAGAGCAAAACTCTCTGGCAGTGGTGGGGGACTGGGAGGGGGCGGGCAGGCAGGCACACTGAATAACTGTTTCAATTATGTCCTAAGTGCCTCCCACCTCCTGCCCCTTGAGCACCTTGAATCCTGCCCACTCCCAAACCTGGTTCCCACAATCTTCAGACAAATCATTGTCTGAAGCCCCCAGCAATCTTCAGACAAATCATTCTGCCCAAGGTGTCCACAACCAAAGAAAGCCACATGGACCTCTCCAAGCCTCATCCACAGGGGCAACGCAAGCCTGCTTTCACACATTATCACCGTATTACAAAGAGTCACCAGCGTGGCCCACAGAGCCAGACTCAGTCTCTACAAAAAATAAAAATTAGCAGGGCATGGTGGCGTCGCCTGTAGTCCCAGTTAGGAGGCTGAGATGGGAACACCATTTGAGCCTGGGAGGTTGAAGCTGCAGTGAGCCGTGATTGCATCACTGCACTCCAACCTGGGCAACAGAGTGAGACCCAGCTATCTCAAAAAGCAAAAAAAAAGGAATCTCAATGACTTCTGTTGTTTGTGCCCACAACAATGGGAGAGCAGCATGTACTTGGTTTACACAACAGTCAATTATTCTGAATTTTTGATCCAGGACTCTCCGTTGTAGCATGGAGACAGAAAGAACATTCCAATCTCTGGGTTTAAAAACAAAGACAGGCCGGGAGCAGTGACCCACACCTGTAATCCCAGCAATTTGGGAGGCTGAGGCAGGTGGATCACCTGAGGTCAGGAGTTCAAGACCAGCCTGGACAACATGGTGAAACCCCGTCTCTACCAAAAATGCAAAAAAAAATTAGCCGAGTGTGGTGGTGCGTTGTCTATAATCCCAGCCACTCGGGAGGCTGAGGCAGGAGAATCGCTTGAACCCAGGAGGCGGAGGTTGCAGTGAGCAGAGATTGTGCCACTGTTCTCTAGTCTGGGCGACGAACAAGACTCCATCTCAAAACAAACAAACAAAAACTAAGACAGAAGGGAGGGAGAAGATGGAGGAAGGGAAAGGGAGAGAAAAGGAGAGGAGAGAGACAGAGAGGGAGATCTTGTTAATTACCAAAGAAACAGTCCAGCGCACTTCTCAATGATTCCCTGTTGCCAGCTGCAGCAATAACATCCATTACATACTTATTCTGTGCTGGCCTCCAGGCTAAGTACACTTCCTATGTTGTCTCGTTTAATTCCACTTCAGAGACATGAACACTGAGACTCAATTACTTAACTAGCCCAGAATCAACCAGTAGCAAATGACTGGGCCAAGACCAAACCCCAGCCTCCTGAGCAGGTGTCCTTAAGCAATTATGCTAACCAGCCCTAAACCATCTCAATCCAGATCACCTGCCCGTTCCCGTGCTCTCTCGATTCTATTCCTGCTCTGCTTCCAAATTACTTTCCTTCACCAAACACCCAGAGCCAGGTGCGGTGCCTCATGCCGCAATCCCAGCACCTCAGGTGGCAGAGGCATATTAGCCTAGGCAACATAGGAAGACTCCATCTCTACAGAAAATTTAAGAACAGCCAGGCGTGGTGGCATGCACCTGCAGTCCTAGCTATGGGGGAGGCTGAGGTGGGAGGACTGCTTGAGGCCAGGAGGTTGAGGCTCCAGTAAACTATGATCATGCCACTGCACTCTAGCCCAGGCCAACGCTTAAAAAAAAAAAAAAAATCACCAGCCTGGGGCAACATGGCGAAACCAAAATACAAAAATTAGCCCGGCATAGTGGTGCACGGCTGTAGTTCCAGCTACTTGGGAGGCCAAGGCGGGCAGATCACTTGAGGTCAGGAGTTTGAGAACAGCCTGGCCAACACGGTGAAACCCCCGTCTCTACCAAAAATACAAAAAATAGCTGGGTGTGGTGGCAAGTGCCTATGGTCCCAGCTACCCGGGAGGCAGGGGAATCGCTTGAGCCCGGGAGGCGGAGGTTGCAGTGAGCCAAGATTGTGCCCCTGCACTCCAGCTTGGGTGACAGAGACCCCATCTCAAAAAAAAATCAAAACCGAAAACACAAAACACCCATCCTAGATTCTACAAACATAAGAGAAAACACTTCCCACAAGAAAGGCGCAAGGTCTAATTTAAAAGTTAAAAAAGGCCAACTTCTCTTTACTCAATCAAGTAAACAAAGCCGTTGCTAGAAAGTCCGGATGCACCCAGGGTGATGTAATGGTGCCTAGGCCAGAGAGGCGTGGCGAGAGCCATTGTGCAAGAAGACTCCAAAGAAAGAACAAACAGATGATTTACAGCGTTGGAAGGATGAGGAGGGCGGACCACATCCCTGCTGCCGCCCGCAGCACCCTCCCCATTTCCTGGCTGTAAGCAGAGAAGTATCTGCACCCAGCAAGTAGAGGCAGACCAGGCCCTGTTCCCAGGCGTGGCTCTCATCGCCTCACACCCTTTATTTGGGAACATCTCCAAATAAAACAGGATCTTAAGTCATTAACCTAAATTCAAACGCAGGCTCCAGGAGGACGCAGCGAGTGGGCTCCACCGACTGCACTGGCGATTGAGAGATCTCCTCGGAACCTGTGGACATGAAAACCTGTTGCTGAAATGTTGTGCTGCCATTTGGGGCTAATTCGAATAAGCTGTCAGCTGATGGGGGCATCAATAGATGCTCTGTTTGGTCCCTTAAAGGCTTTTTCATTCAACCCGTGATGAATAAGCCAGTTGTTAAGAAGTCCGGCCCAGCTGAATATATTTCTCTTAGGTGACTGACAAATACTTGCTGGTGGCAGGGTCCTCGTTATTCCAAGGTACCCTGTTTCTTCACTGTGCTGTGTGCTCTGAGTCTCCTGCATCTGACATGTGGCTGCAGTACAGTGGCGCAATCTCAGCTCACTGCAACCTCCACCTCCTAGGTTCAAGCAATTCTCCTGCCTCAGCCCCCGAGTAGCTGGGACTACAGGTGTGCGCCACCATGCCCAGCTAATTTTTTTATTTTTAGTAGAGACGGGGTTTCACCATGTTAGCGAGGACAGTCTCAATCTCTTGACCTCATGATCCGCCCGCCTCGGTCTCCCAAAGTGCTGGCATTACAGGCATCAGCCACCACGCCAGGCCCAAGAGCTCAGTCTTGAAGCAGAGAATTACTGAGTAATTCTCTTGATATTTTACTCAGGATCCATGGAGGGCCTGTTATCCTCTCCAAACTGCAGTTCATACCACTAATCTTCCTCCTACCCAGCTTTTCAACCCAGAGTCCCCTTCAATTTAGGAACTATAATCAGCCAGGCGCAGTGGCTCACACCTGTAATCCCAGCACTTTGAGAGGCCGAGGCAGGCGGATCACTTGAGCTCAGGAGTCCCAGACTAGCATGGGCACATGAACCCGTCTCTACAAAAAATAACAAAAATTAGCCAGGCGTGGTGTGGCAGGTGCCTGTAATCTCAGCTACTTGGGAGGCTGAGGTGGGAGGATCACTTAAGCCTGGAAGTCAGAGGTTGCAGTGAGCTGAGATCACACCACTGCACTCCAGCCTGGGTGACAGGGGGAGACTCTGTCTCCAACAGCAAAAACAACAACAACAAAAAGAACGATAATCATTGCTCATTGTGTGTAGCAGGTGTTCAGCTGTTAACAAATGGGTGAAGTGGGCCAAGTACAGGGAGAGGCAGATGACACTAAGGTCTCCGTGTCACGGATATGGGGATTGGGGGAAACTCAACAATGTGTGTTCTAAACAACCACTACTCAGGTTTTTTATTTTTTAACTTTTGCTCTGTCACCCAGGATGGAGTGCAATGGTACAATCATAGCTCACTGCAGCCTCAACCTCCTGGGCTCAAGCAATGCTCCTGCCTCAGCCTCTTGAGTAGCTTAGACTACAGGTGTGCACTACCATGTCCAATGAATTTTTTATTTTTATTTTTTTGTAGAGACAGAGTCTCGCTATGTTGCCCAGGCTGGCCTTGAACTCCTGGTCTCAAGCAATTCTCCCTCCTCAGCCTCTCAAAGGGCTGGGATTACAAGTATGAACCACCATGCCTGGCCAGAAATCCATCTTTTTACAGGAAGCTTTACAAATTTTGATGGATGGGGGAATATATATAATAAAAGGCAAGTAAGTAGGGGAAATATTATTGGTAGAGCCTAGGTGGTGGTGGATACACAGGTATTCACTGGAAATTCTTTCAGCCTTATATGCTGGAAAACGTTCATGGGGAAATGCTGAACAAAAACCCCTGAAGGCGATCAAACAACACCTATGGGGCAGATGGATCTGCAGACGGCCAGCTGCACTCTGTGGTCTCCAACAGAAAGCTTCAGCTTCAATGACCACCTTCAACGTGTCTGGGACCTCTCCTCCGCCCTGCCCCAAACCCCCAATCCATTTGTTGGTCCCACACCCTTTCCTATACATTAGTAAAGCTGGGCTTGCCAAGGTCCACCCGACACCCATTCTTGTCCACGTCTGTGATGGGTACAGATCAACTCTCCTTCAGCCCCATCTCCCCAAGCACCAAGTGTCAGCAACACATACACCTACAAACACCCTCCACACAGCCTCCCTCAACCCATGCAGTCCTTTCTTTTTCTTTCTTTTTTTTTTTTTTTGAGACAGAGTTTCGCTCTTGTTGCCCAAGCTAGAGTGCAATGGTGCAATCTCGGCTCACTGCAACCTCCGCCTCCCGGGTTCAAGTGATTCTCCTGCCTCAGCCTCCCAAGTAGCTGGGATTACAGGCACATACAACAACACCCAGCTAATTTTGTAGTTTTAGTAGAGACAGGGTTTTGTCATGTTGGTGAGGCTGGTCTCAAACTCCCAACCTCAGGTGATCTGCCCACCTCGGCCTCCTGAAGTGCTGGGATAACAGGCATGAGCCACCGCACCCAGCCAGTCCTTTTTCTCTTGAAAGGCCCCCACATCAGAGTTCTGTGACTGAGCTTCACGTCCCCAACTGCTTCATGGCATTAGGTTTGTCTTCCCAAAGAAGGCAACCAGCACTTCCCCTTTCACCGTCCATCATACCTAGCCCTGGGCACACACAGTTTTGACTCTTCCATGAAGCAGCTCATCAAAATGTACATTGGGAGTTTAATGAGAAAAAGAAAACCACACAGACATGCCAGGGCCCCACCCAGACTTACTGAGAAATGGAATCTCAGAGCAAGGCGGGGAGATGGGGATGGGGAGAGAGGGTTCAGGCCTGTCGGATGTTTATGAAGCTGGCCTAGTGATGCTGGCTGGCAGCTAAGGCTGAGAGCCAGTCTCTGGGGCACGGTGTTGACTTAGTGATCCCTTGCTGAGCCCTACAGCATGTACAGAAGGGATGGTTTTTACCTTGCAGAGCACTGGGTCTCCAGATACCTGGCTATGTCTAGAGGTGCTTTTGGTTTTCACCACCTTGGAGGTGCGGGGAATGCTACTGGCATCTAGAGGGTGGAGGCCAGGGATGCTGCCAAACATCCCACAGTGTGGTCAGGCGGGGTGACTCATGCTTGTAATCCCAGCACTTTGGGAGGCTGAGGCGGGCGGATCACCTGAGCTCAGGAGTTCGAGACCAGCCTGGCCAACATGGTGAAACCTCGTCCTTGCTAAAAATACAAAAATTAGCCGGGCGTGGTGGCTCACACCTGTAATCCCAGCACTTTGGGAGGCTAAGGCGGGTAGATCACACTGTCAAGAGATCAAGACCATCCTGGAAAACATGGTGAAACCCCATCTCTACTAAAAATACAAAAATTAGCCAGGCATGGCGGTGTGTGCCTGTAATCTCAGCTACTCAGGAGGCTGAGGCAGGAGAATCACTTGAACCCAGGAGGTGGAGGTTGCAGTGAGCCGGGATTACGCCACTGCACTCCAGCCTGGCAACAGAGTGAGACTGCGTCTCAAAAAAAAAAAAAAAAAAAATTAGCCAGGCGTGGTGGAGGGTGCCTGTAATCCCAGCTACTCAAGAGGCTGAGGCGGGACAATCACTTGAACCTGGGAGGCGGAGGTTGCAGTGAGGTGAGATTGTGCCACTGCACTCCAGCCTGGGCAACAGAGCAAGACTCCATCTCAAAAAAAAAACAGGCTGGGCACAGTGGCTCACGCCTGTATTCCCAGCACTTTGGGAGGCTGAGGCAGGCGGATCCTGAGGTCAGGAGATCAAGACCATCCTAGCTAACACGGTGAAACCCCGTTTCTACTAAAAATACAAAAAATTTAGCCAGGCGTGGTGGCAGGCGCCTGTAGTCCTAGCTACTCGGGAGGCTGAGGCAGGAGAATGGTGTGAACCTGGGAGGCGGAGCTTGCAGTGAGCCGAGATCGCGCTACTGCACTCCAGCCTGGGCAACAGAGCAAGACTCCATCTCAAAAATACAAAACAAACAAACAAAAAACCCACAAAGCAAACCTCAGTCCCTCCCAACGGAGGATGATCCGGGCTCCAATGTCAACAGCAGCCAGGTCGAGAAACCTGCTCTGAACTGGCAGAGTGCAACACACCTTTTGGTAATGAAGGAAATGGTCTGCAGCCCCTCTGTCCACTAAGGAAACTCACTGGCCACACGTGGCTCCTAAGCACTTGAAATGTGGCTACTGTGACTGAGGAATTAAGTTTTTATTTTAATTCATTAAATTTCAACAGCCAAATGTAGCTAAGGGCTACAATATTGGACCTGATGATATTACTCTAGCAACACCTCCATACCCTAAAAATGTCTCCCTGGCCAGGTGGTGGCTCATGCCTATAATCCCAGCAATTTGGGAGGCCAAGGCAGGAGGACTGCTCGCGTCCAGGAGTTCAAGACCAGCCTGGGCAACACAGCGAAACCCTGTCTCTATAAAAAATACAAAAACTAACCAGGCATGGTGCCGCATGCCTGTAGTCTCAGCTACTCCCGAGGTTCAGGTGGAAGGACTTTGGTTTTTTTTGAGACGGAGTCTCGCTCTGTTGCCAGGCTGGAGTGCAGTGGCACAATCTCAGCTCACTACAGCCTCCAACCATCAAGTGATTCTCCTGCCTCAGCCTCCCAAGTAAGCTGGGACTATAGGCGTGTACCACCACGCCCAGCTAATATTTGTAATTTTAGTAGAGACAGGGTTTCATCATGTTGGCCAGGATGGTCTCAATCTCTTGACCTCGTGATCTGCCCACCTCAGCCTCCCAAAGTGCTGGGATTACAGGTATGCACCACCTCGCCCGGCCCAGGTGAGAGGACTGCTTAAACCTGAGACGTCCAGGGTGCAGTGAGCTGTAATCCAGCCACTGTACTCCAGTCTGGGCAACAGAGCAAGACCCTGTTTCAAAAAAAAAAAAAAGTCTCCCTGCCATGTGCCCTATAAAATCAGTGTACACAACCAAGAAAGTCCACGGGAACATGTGTGTGACTTGCTTCTCAAAGCTCCACCCATCATGGATCCCGAGGTCAGGAGTTCGAGACCAGCCTGGCCAACATAAAACCCCGTCTCTACTACAAATACAAAAAAAATTAGCCAGGCGTGGTAGCAGGCGCCTATAATCCCAGCTACTCAGGAGGCTGAGGCAGGAGAATTACTTGAACCTGGGAGGTGGAGGTTGCAGTGAGCCAAGATCGCGCCACTGCCCTCCAGCCTGGGCAACAAGAGTGAAACTCCATCTCAAAAAAAAAAAAAAAACAAAACAAAAAGCACCACCCACTAGAGGCACAAAGAGTTCAAAGATCACGTCTGCCGCACAGGCCCTTCCAGAGATGAGCATGGGCCTGGGGTCTGGAGTCCCTCATTGCAGGGTTCCTTCTTCCAGCCAAGCATGCCATGCCTGTGTTGGACGCCTGTCTACACCTGAGCACACTTCCTCTCAGCCCCTCACCTTGATGGTTTCCAGCTCCATGCGAAGGCGGTTATTTTCGGACAGGAGGTCTCTGTTCCTGGTTTCAATTTGTTGCAGCTGCGTCTCCAATTCAGCTTCATATTCTCGGCTTCCCTCCTGGAATTCTCGGAGTTCCTCTTGCGTATTTTCTGCCCTACAGCAAAATTGTTAATCATCACGTAGTAATATTTTTGAAGACAGAGTCTCGCTCTATCACCCAGGCTGCAATGCAGTGCTGCAATCTCGTCTCACTGCAACCTCTGCTTTCCAGGTTCAAGCGATTCTCCTGCCTCAGTCTCCCGAGTAGCTGGGACTACAGGCATGCGGCACCACACCCAGCTAATTTTTGTATTTTTAGTAGTGACGGGGTTTCACCATGTTGGCCAGGCTGGTCTCGATCTCCTGACTGGAGGTGATCTGCCTGCCTCGGCCTCTCAAAGTGCTGGGATTACAGGCGTTAGCCATTGTACCTGGCCAAATTCAAGGAATATTTTAAAAATATCAAGCCTGAATTACCTTTAAGTCAAACTAGAATAAAGAAAGTAGGAAGGGCTGGGTACAGTGGCTCATTAAGAATTACTTGAGGCCAGGAGTTCCAGACCAGCCAGGGCAACATAGTAAGACCTCATCTCTACAGAAATGTGTTTAAAAATCAGCCAGACATGGTGGCACACGCCTGTAGTCCCAGCTACCTGGGAGGCTGAGGCAGAAGGATCACCTGGGGTCCCAGGGGTTGCAGTGAGATAGGTCACACTTGTGAAGAGCCAGTGCAATTCAGCCTGGGTGACAGAGTGAGACCCTGACTCTAAAATAATTTTTATTTATTTATTTGAGATAGAGTCTTGCTCTGTCACCCAGACTGGAATGCAGAGGTGTGATCATGCGTCACTGCAGCCTCGACCTCCCAGGCTCAAGCAATTCTCCCACCTCAGGCTCCCAAGTAGCTGAGACTATAAGAACATGCCACCATGCCTGCTAATTTCTGTATTTTTTGTACAGACAGGGTTTTGCCATGTTGCTAGAGCTGGTCTCAAACTCCTGAGCTCAAGTGATCTGCCTACCCAAAGTGCTGGGATTACAGATGTGAGCCACTGTGCCTGGACCTAAAATAATTTTTCAATAAATGAAAGAAACTAAGGGGACTGGAATAAGGCCTCTATGTACAAATTATAAAGACCCATTATAAATAAAAACAGTGCCAAACCAAACGCACACACACACACCTCCCAGATATGAGCCCTGACCAAAACACGAGTTTCAAATCTTAAAATCTTTAGCAATATATTTTGCTAGGCATAGGGAAAAGCTCTTTCCCTGTGCACAAAGAACTTACCAGATATGGCATCTAGGAACTGATAAAAACCCTTCTAGAAAATAAGATGGACACCGGGCGTGGTGGCTCACGCCTGTAATCCCAGCACTTAGGGAAGCCGAGGCAAGTGGATCACCTGAGGTTGGGAGTTCGAGAGCTGCCTGACCAACATGGAGAAACCCCGTCTCTACTAAAAATACAAAATTAGCTGGGCATGGTGGTGCATGCCTGTAATCCTAGCTACTCGGGAGGCTGAGGCAAGAGAATCGATTGAACCCAGGAGGTGGAGCTTGTGGTGAGCCGAGATCATGCCATTGCACTACAGCCTGGGCAAGAAGAGCGAAACTCCATCTCAAAAAAAAAAAAAAGAAAATAAGATGGAAGGCCAGGCATGGTGGCTCATGCCTGTAATTCCAGAACTTTGGGAGGGTGAGACGGGCAGATCACGTGAAGCCAGGAGTTCAAGACCAGCCTGACCAGCATGGCAAAACCCCGTCTCTGCTAAAAACACAAAAAATTAGCCAGGCGTGGTGGTGGGTGCCTGTAATTCCAGCTACTCGAGAAGCTGAGGCACGAGAATTGCTTCAACCCAGAGGTGGAGGCTGCAGTGAGCCAAGATGGCACCACTGCACTCCAGCCTGGGCAACAGAGTGAGACTCTGTCTCAAAAAAAAAAGAAGAAAAAGAAAATAAGAAAACAAAATGTAAAGTAGCATAGTAGGATAATCAGGACCATAGGTCTGGAGTTCAAATTCCAGCTCTGCTACTTATTGGCTGTGTGACTGTGAGCAAGTTATCTGCCTTCACTGAGGCTCAGTTTCTTCATCTATATAATGGGGTGCTAATAGTTTTTTCACAGGCAGTTTTGAGATAGTGTAAGTTAAGCCTTTCACACTGCCTGGCACATATAGGCCTGCAATAAATGGTTGCTGTTCTTTTTATAGAAAAAAGAGAGCTCACACCTGTAGTCCCAACACTGTGGGAGGCAGAGGTGCATCACTTGAGTCCAGGAGTTCAAGACCAGCCTGGGCAACATAGCGAGACCCCTGTTTCCGCCAAAAAAAAAAAAGCCTGGCCTGATGAAGCACACCTATAGTCCCATCTACTTGGGAGGCTGAGCCAGGATGATCGCTTAAGCCCAGGAGTTTAAGGCGGCTGTGCACTATGATCACGCCTAGGAACAGCCACCGCACTCAGCCTAGGTAACATAGCAGGACCCCATCTCAAAAAAAAAAAAAAAAGGAAAAGCAGGTGAACTCGGACTGACCTCTGTTTGTAGGTCATCGCCAGATCTTTCCAATAGTTAGCTTCTTCCTCCTCGGAGCTGAAAGTCTTTCCGGAGTCCTCCATTGTGAAAACAGGGGAAGAGATCACTCTCCTTGTGGCATGGTGTCTAGGAGAGAAGGTTTCAAAATGATTACCCACATCTGGTTAAACAGCTGATCCCCTTTAACAGAAAAAAAAAAAAAAACTTGGCCAGGCGCGGTGGCTCACGCCTATAATCCCAGCACTTTGGGAGGCTGAGGCGGGCGGATCACGAGGTCAGGAGATCGAGACCACCCTAGCTAACATGGTGAAACCCCGTCTCTACTAAAATACGAAAAATTAGCTGGGTGTGGTGGCGGGTGCCTGTAGTCCCAGCTACTCAGGAGGCTGAGGCAGGAGAATGGTGTGAACTCAGGAGGTGGAGCTTGCAGTGAGCCGAGATGGCGCCACTGCACTCCAGCTTGAGTGACAGACCGAGACTCTGTGTCAAAATAAATAAATAAATAAATAAACTTTATGCTGGGTTAAATGATTAAATACTGCCAAAAATCTGAAGCTAAACCCAAACAAAACACAATCCACTCACCTGTTATATTCCCTGGGTTAACATCAAGGCTCATGGATATCCCTATGCAAATATTTATTGAGCACCTACTAAAGGACCTAGGGAGCCACATAAAACGTCTCCAAGATGCCTGCCTTCCCTAAAGGGGCCTCACAGTCTGGTGGAGGGAGTGGGGGAGTGGGGGCTGGAATGGAAATTACGCATAAAATAATAATTATAATTATTATTTGAGACAGACTCTTGCTCTATCACCCAGGCTGGAGTGCAGTGGCGTGATCTCAGCTCACTGCAACCTCTGCCTCCTGGGTTCAAATGATTCTTGTGCCTCAGCCTCCCGAGCAACTGCGATTTTACAGGCATGCGCCACCACGCCTGGCTAATTTTTCTATTTTTAGTAGAGACAGGGTTTCACCATGTTGGCCAGGCTGGTCTCAAACTCCTGACCTCAAGTGAACCACCCACCTCAGCCTCCCAAAGTGCTGGTATTACAGGCGTGAACCACCGCACCCAACCCCATGTAAATTATGATAAAACTATGTGCCTAGTATAGCCACAGAAATGTGCACAGGATTTTGACATGCAATAAATTGCATATATTTGAGTATACACATTGGTGTGTTCTGAAATATGTATGCACCTGAAAATACATTTCTATCAGTGCCCAGGATATTTAAGAAGTTCAAAACTCAACCCGAAAGTCAAGGAAGGCTTCCTAGAAGAGGCGACACATGAGGAGCATGTGAAAGAATATGAAAAAGCCAGGTGCAGTGGCTCACGCCTGTAATCCCAGCACACTGGGAGGCTGAGGCAGGCAGATCACGAGGGCAGGAGTTCGAGACCAGCCTGGCCAATATGGTGAAACTCCGTCTCTACTAAAAAAAAATACAAAAATTAGCTGGGCGTGGTGGCGGGCACCCATACTCCCAGCTACTCAGGAGACTGAGGCGGTAGAATCACTTGAACCTGGGAGGTGGAAGTTGCAGTGAGCTGAGATCGTGCCGCTGCACTCCAGACTGGGCGACAGAATGAGACTCCGTCTCAAAAAAAAAAAAAAAAGAATATGAAAGAACTGGAAGGCAATGGTAATTGAGCAGGGGAAGAAGGAATGAGGAGAAACAGCCAGGCACTTGTAGGGGAGCTAGAGGGAGTCTGGTAAGCCTGGGTTGAAAGGTGACGAGTGGAAGGGAACCTACCTGGACAGACTGAAATAAAGGGGCTAAGTCACAGACGGCTTTTGCAAGATGTTAAGAAACTTAGTGGCAATGGGAAACCATTGGAGAAAGTTAGGGAAGAGAGTGATGTGATATGATGGGCTCTCCTGCTTAAAAAGCTGGTCCTGGTGGCCATGGACAGGCAGAGGAAGGACAAGGCCTAAGATGGGGAGCTCCTGCAGCAATGCAAGAAAGAAAGGAAGGTGGAGGCCAGGTGCAGTGGCTCACGCCTATAATCCCAGCACTTTGACAGGCCAAGGTAGGCAGATCGCTTGAGCCTGGGAGTTTGAGACCAGCCTGGGTAACATGGAGAAACTCCGTCTCTACTAAAAATAGAAAAATATCAGCCAGCTGTGGTGGCACATGCCTGTGTTCCCAGCTACTCAGGAGGCTGAGATGGGAGGATCACCTGAGCACAGGAGGCAGAGGTTGCGGTGAGCCAAGATAGTGCCACTGCACTAAAGCCTGGGTGATGAAGTGAGATCCTATTTAAAAAAGAAAAGAGACCAGGCACGGTGGCTCATGCCTGTAATCCCAGCACTTTGGGAGGCCGAGGCAGGCGGATCATGAGGTCAGGAGATTGAGACCATCCTGTCTAACACGGTGAAACCCTGTCCCTACTAAAAATACAAAAAAATTAGCTGGGCGTGGTGGCAGGTGCCTGTAGTCCCAGCTACTCGGGAGGCTGAGGCAGGAGAATAGCGTGAACCTGGGAAGCAGAGCTTGCAGTGAGCCGAGATCACGCCACTGCACTCAAGCCTGGGCGACAGATCAAGACTCCATCTCAAAAAAAAAAAAAAAAAAAAGAAAAGAGAAAGGAACGTGGCCTGAATTAGAAAGTGAGAATAGGCCAGGTACAGTGGCTCACACGTATAATCCCAGCACTATGGGAGGCCAAGGCAAGAGGACCACTTGGGACCAGGAGTTCAAGACCAGCCTGGGAAACACAGCAAGACCCTACCTTGACAAAAAAACTTTTTAAAAAATTAGACTGGTGTGGTGCAACACATCTGTAGTCCTAGCTACTCTGGAGGCTGAGGAAGGAGGATCACATGAGTCCAGGAATTTGAGGCTGCAGTAAGCTATGATCACGGTACTGCACTCCAGCCTGGGCAAGAGAGTGAGACCTTGTCTAAAAAAAAAGAAAGTAGGAATGAAGATGGAGGGAACAGAAATGGACTCCAAAAATATTTAGAAGGCAAACTTACCAGAACTTGATGAATTATGACTTTTCGGGGCAGGGGAGAGAGAAAAAGGAGGTGAGGACATCTTCTGGGGCTCTACCTTAGGCAATTGGGTGCCGCCACCATCCCCATCACCAGAGATAAAGACTTCCAGAAGGTGGCTGGGTGCAGTGCCTCGCACCTGTAATCCCAGCACATTGGTAGGCCAAAGCAGGTGGAATGCTTGAGCCCAGGAGTTCCAGACCAGCCTGGGCAACCTGGTGAGACCCTATCTCTACAAAAAATACAAAAACTAGCTGGTCATGGTGGTGTGTCTGTAGTTCCAGCTACTCGAGAGGATGAGGGGCAAGGAGAGGTCGAGGCTGCAGTGACCCATGACCATGCCACTGTACTCCAGCCTGGGCAACACAGCAAGATCCCGTCTCAAAAAAAAAGGACAATCAAAAGGAAAACTCGGCCGGGCGCGGTGGCTCACACCTGTAATCCCAGCACTTTGGGAGGCCGAGGCAGGTGGATCACGAGGTTAGGAGATCAAGACCATTCTGGCTAACATGGTGAAACACTGTCTCTATTAAAAATACAAAAAATTATCCAGGCCTGGCAGCGGGTGCCTGTAGTCCCAGCTAGTCAGGAGGCTGAGGCAGGAGAATGGCTTGAACCCGGGAGGCGGAGCTTGCAGTGAGCCGAGATGGCGCCACTGCACTCCAGCCTGGGTGACAGAGCGAGACTCAAAAAAAAAAAAAAAACAAGTAAAACTCTTGGGTAGGTGGGTGGGTTAAGGAGAGATAACAAACCCAGTCTCAGACATTCACAGCTTGACATGTCCATGACACACCAAGATGCAATATCGCAGCTGAAACTCAGGGTTGAAATTGGGTCAACAATATCCATTTGAAAGTCATGCGTCTATAGCTGGTTTTTCTCTTTTCCTCGTGACCATGGAAGAATCGCCTAGGGACTGTGTATGGAACAGTGAAGAATGCCAATATTGGAAAGGTGGGCAGTTTAAGAAATGGTAACCGAAGGAGGCAGAGAAGAAACAGAGTGAGAGAGATGAGAATCAGGAAGACTGTGCTGTCCTGGGAGTGGGCGGTTTCAAGGGAAAAAAGGGAAACATTCCAGTGTCACAAGGATGCAACAGAGAAGCAGGGAAGATAAGGGCTGGAAAATATCCACAAGGCTGAGCGAAAGTCGGTCACTGGCGGTGTGAGCAAGAACAGTTTCTACACAGTGGAGGAGGAAAGACGAAGAACTGAGTGCAGGAGTAACTGGGAGGTGAAAAAGAGGAAAGCGATGGAATTCTGGAGAATTACCTAAAAGACGATGAAATAAATTAGCCAACAGCTAGAGGATGTGGGCGGTAGGGGCCTTGGCTCTCAGGACTTTGAGCTGTTTCACAGCAGAGGTGAGGGAAGCAATTTTTTTTTTAAGAGATAGGGTCTCAATCTGTCAACCCAGCTGGAGTGCAGTGACACAATCATAGCTCACTGCATCTTTGAACTCCTAGGCGGCACTGATCCTCCTGCCTCAGCCTCCTGACTAGCTGGGACTACAGGTATAGGCCACTACGCCAAGCTAATTTTTTTTTTAAGAGATGGGGTCTTACTATGTTGCCTAGGCTGGTCTCAAATTCCTGGGCTCAAGCGATCCTCCTGCCTTGTACTCCCAAAGCACTAGGATTCTAGGTGTGAGCCACCACACCCAGCAAGAAAGCAGACTTCTATTAACAGTTGGGCTAACGGTTTGTATACTCCCTGTTGATAGAGGCTGTTTGATGTAATCACCTATTTTCTGAATTTATTTGAGGCTCTGAGCTTGTCAAAAGGGCATGAGGAATCCAAGTAAGATTGTGTCCAGGCCAGACTCAGTGGCTCGCATCTGTAATCCCAGCACTTTGGGAGGCCGAGGCGGGCAGATCACAAGGTCAGGAGTTTGAGACCAGCCTGGCCAATATGGTGAAACCCCATCTCTACTAAAAATACAAAAATTAGGCGGGCGCAGTGGCAGGTACCTGTAGTCCCAGCTACTCAGGCGGCTAAGGCAGGAGAATTGCTTGAACCCAGGAGGTGGAGGTTGCAATGAGCTGAGATCGTGCCACTGCACTCCAGCCTGAGTGACAGAGCGAGACTCCGTCTCAAAAAAAAAAAAAAAAAAGATTGTGTCCAAGGCCGGGCGCAGTGGCTCACACCTGTAATCCCAGTACTTTGGGAGGCCAGGGCAGGTGAATCACCTGAGCTCAGGAGTCTGAAACCAGCCTGGCCAACACACTGAAACCCCATCTCTACTAAAAATATAAAAATTAGCCGGGCATGGTGGTGTGCGCCTGTAATCCCCACTACTCGGGAGGCTGAGGCGGGAGAATCACTTGAACCCAGAAGGCAGAGGTTGTAGTGAGCCGAGATCGCACCACTGCACTCCAGCCTGGGTGACAGAGTGAGACTTCCTCTCAAAAAAAAAAAAAAAAAAAAAAAAAAAAAGATTGTGTGCAAGGTCCCTTCCTTCCCTCAAGAGAACTTAGAGGCTGGTGTGTATCCCTGGGGACAAAAGAATGAGCAAAAACCATCACTTTCTAAGATATAACCAACAAGCTATATAGTTTTGGTTAAAACATGAAATCATTAGGCTAAACATGTAAGTGTCAACACAGACACCACCACTAACTTCTGGTGGAAGTTAGTGAGCCTCACCCATGTTGAGCCAATGACAGAGGTGGGCCTAATTCATGCAGAACCAGGAAATGCACAATTGTACCTAGATTCAAGCACAAAACTTACCGATAACTCTGCATTTGTTGGGACTCATATTCACATCCTTTCTCCCTCCTACTTTTTCAATCCTTTCCCTCATTCAGAGAAAACATGCTATTTCCCGACCCACTCATCCCTCTGGAAAGCAGATTCTCTGAAAGTTTGATCAAGGCAGAAAGGCGAAATGTCATACAAAGCTGGCCAGACGTGGTGGCTCATGCCTGTAATCTCAACACTTTGGGAAGCTGAGGCAGGCAGATGACTTGAGGTCAAGAGTTCAAGACAAGCTTGGCCAACATGGTAAAATCCTGTCTACACTAAAAGCACAAAAATTAGCTGGGTGTGGTGGCAGGCACCTATGATCCCAACTACTCGGGAGGCTAAGGCATGAGAATCGCTTGAACCCGGGAGCCAGAGGTTGCAGTGAACCACGATCACACCACTGCACTCCAGCCTGGGCAACAGAGCAAGACTCCATTTCAAAAACATATAAACAAAAAATAAATAAATGTCATATAAAGCTAATGATTTGTAGTTTTGCTTGTTTTTTCCAGACATGCATTCATTTTTCCATCTTCTGTGACAGCACAATATTCCCTTGGGAGAATACCCTACTCATTTCATGAGTTCAGAGGGATCTGACATCATCCTCCACACCTGGGAAGAGGCATATGCCTATTCACGACCTTAGTGATCAGCTCATGGGTGGGCCTAACCCACGATGAGCCAGTGACAGAGGTGGGCCTAATTCACGCAGAGCCAATGATAGGGTGAGCCTAACCCCCATGCTCAGCCAGTGACAGTCACGGATCTAACCCATGCTGAGCCAATGATTGGCTTAAGGATGGGCCTAACCCATACTAAGCCAGTGAGGGCCCAGGTCCAGACCTTTTGCATAGCTGTCAAAAATGAAACTCTCTTTCCACTAGGGTTGGTAAGGTAAGCCTGAAGCTGGAGGTAAGCCTGAAGCCGGAGGTAAGCCTGAAACTGCCGGTGGTCATCTTGCTATCACAAGGGAGAGCCTGCCTCAGAGTGAAGCCAAAACAGAGGAAAGCTGGGCCAAGGGATGGAGAGCCTGGGTCCTGACAATATCATTTGAACACCTAGATGCAGCCACACCTGATTTAAGGTTATGAGATAATCAATTCCTTGTCTTGGTTATACCAGTTGGGGTTAGATTTCTGCCACGCAGGAATCTTAATGAATGTATGGAATCAACGACCTTACTTGCTCAAAGTCAAAAGGGTAGAGTGGTGCCTGGCGCAATGGCTCATGCCTGTAATCCCAGCCCTTTGTGAGGCCGAGGCAGACAGATCACTTGAGGTCAGGAGTTTGAGACCAGCCTGGGCAACATGGTGAAACCCCGTGTCTACTAAAAAAACAAAAACAAAAATCAAACGGGCACGGCGGTGCGTGCCTGTAGTCCCAGCTACTCAGAAGGATGAAGCAGGAAAAATCACTTAAGCCTGAGAAGCGGAGGCTGCAGTGAGCCAAGATCACTGCATTCCAGCCTCCCAGCCTGGGCGACAGAACAAGACCCCATCTCAAAAAAATAAAAAGGGGGTAGAGTGTTAATAGCAGTCATTAACAAGGCCAGGAGCAGCATAAACCTAGGCCAAGGAGTCCCTGCTCAAGCCATAAGCTCTAATGAGCCCAGATCTCATGTAATATGTACTCATCAAACCAATTCTATAGCAACAATAGCCCAGGGCCAAGGCATCTATCAATGAGCACTGTGTGGCCATTAAGATATTGGTGGCTGGGTGCGTTGGCTCATGCCTGTAATCCCAACACTTTGGGAAGCCAAGGCGGGTGGTTCACCTGAGGTCAGGAGTTCAAGACCAGCCTGGCCAACATGGTGAAACTCCATTTCCACTAAAAATACAAGAAATTAGCCAGGTGTGGTGGCAGGCTCCTGTAACCCCAGCTACTCGGAAGACTGAGGCAGGAAAATCGCTTGAACCCAGGAGGCGGAGGTTGCAGTGAGCCAAGATCACGCCATTGCACTCCAACCTGGACGACAAGAGTGAAACTCTGCCTCAAAAAAAAAAAACAAAAAAAGACATTGGTGATACTATTGAGGGCAGTCTCAGTCCCATGGTATGGAAGGTTGTCAGCATACAATAAAGTGCGGAAGTGAGGAACCAGTAACAACAAAAGCAGAATGACTCCTCCTGAGGTTTGGAAAAAGATGTGCAAGATCCAATGTGATCAGGCCCCTGCATAGTTTTCTACACATTTCTTACCCTACCACCTCTCATTCACTTATGTCCCAGCCACACTGCCTTCTTTCTCTTCCTTGAACACCCAAGCCTGGCAGGGTGCTGTGGCTCATGCCTGTAATCCTGATACTTTGGGAGGCCACAGCGGGTAGATCACTTGAAGCCAGGAGTTCGAGACCAGCCTGGCCAACATGGTAAAACCCCATCTCTGCTAAAAATACAAAAATTAGCTGGGCATGGTGGCACATGCCTGTAATCCCATCTACTCAGGAGGCTGAAACAGAAGAAACTCTTGAACCCGGGAGGTGGAGGTTCCAGTGAGCAGAGATCCTGCCACTGCACTCCAGCCTGGGTGACAGAGCAAGACTCCATCTCAAAAAAAGAAAAGAGTAATAATAATAATAATAATAATAAAAGAAAAGAGCCTCTTAAAACACTGTTATCTTGGCCAGGAAGGTTTAAAAACTTAATCCTCAGGAAAGAAATGAATCTGAGATGCTTTAGGAGGTGCGTCTATTGTGGGGCAGGTTCTAATTACAACGGGCCAATGGGAGGGATCTGGTTTTGGATTTCAAGGACTGAGGAGAAAATAAGCAGAGAACTGGATTTGTATCACAGCCTGCAAAATCTTTCACTCCAACCAAGAGACAAAAACCACAGGAACAGCATTTCAACCAAAAACTCTTACATTTTAAAAGCAATCCTTAGGGAAGAGAGATGCTGGAAGCAAAGAAGGAAGAAGTAACAGCTGCACTTCACTTTATCATAAAACAGCAATCTTTTTTTTTCTTTTTCTTTATTATTATTATACTTTAAGTTTTAGGGTACATGTGCACAATGTGCAGGTTAGTTACATATGTATACATGTGCCATGCTGGTGTGCTGCACCCACTAACTCGTCATCTAGCATTAGGTATATCTCCCAATGCTATCCCTCCCCCCTCCCCCCACCCCACAACAGTCCCCAGAGTGTGATGTTCCCCTTCCTGTGTCCATGTGTTCTCGTTGTTCAATTCCCACCTATGAGTGAGAATATGCGGTGTTTGGTTTTTTGTTCTTGCAATAGTTTACTGAGAATGATGATTTCCAATTTCATCCATGTCCCTACAAAGGACATGAACTCATCATTTTTTATGGCTGCATAGTATTCCATGGTGTATATGTGCCACGTTTTCTTAATCCAGTCTATCATTGCTGGACATTTGGGTTGGTTCCAAGTCTTTGCTATTGTGAATAATGCCGCAATAAACATACGTGTGCATGTGTCTTTATAGAAGCATGATTTATAGTCCTTTGGGTATATACCCAGTAATGCGATGGCTGGGTCAAATGGTATTTCCAGTTCTAGATCCCTGAGGAATCACCACACTGACTTCTACAATGGTTGAACTAGTTTACAGTCCCACCAACAGTGTAAAAGTGTTCCTATTTCTCCACATCCTTAAAAGTATAAGATTTTTGCCTTTGCCATTCAAAAATGTCAGAGAGAGGCCGGGCACGATGGCTCACGCCTGTAATCCCAGCACTTTGGCAGACTGAGGTGGGCAGATTGCTTGAGCCCAGGAGTTTGAGACCAGCACAAGGTGAACCCCGTCTCTACTAAAAATACACAAATCAGCAGGGCGTCACGATGCACGCCTGTAGTCCCAGCACTTTGGGAGGCTGAGGTGGGTGGATTGCTTGAGCCCAGGGGTTCAAGACCAGCCTGGGCAACATGGTGAAACCCTGTCTCTACTAGAAACACAAAAATTAGCCAGGTGTGGTAGAGCGCACCTATAATTCCAGCTACTTGGGTGGCTGAGGCCCAAGAATTGCTTGAACCCAGAGGCAGAGGTTGCAGTGAGCAGAAATTGTACCACTGCACTCCAGCCTGGGCACAAGAGCAAGACTCTGTCTCAAAAAATAAATAAATAAACAACATGAAAACGTCAGAAAGTTCTATTGCAGTACTCTCTGTGGCAGAAAGCAGGCAACATGACTTGCAAGGGTTCTCTTATTTTATCAGCATTAAGTACTGAATTTGACCTTCTGTTTGCTGTGTGCTAGACATTTCAAAAATTGTTTGCAAACATTATCTTCTTTAAGCTGTGTGACTGTAAGAGATGGCTAAACAGGACAACCACTCTGTTTCTTGGAAGCAGAAACACCGTATGCCTTGGCCATCTCTAAATGTGCATGTGAGCAGCAGAGGCAAACTAGATCCAAGTTCAAGGGATCTTTGCATTCAAGTCCAAGGCTTCCCAGGGGTTGCAAACTGACTGACTGCAGATCAGATTCACTTGTTTCATTTGGTCCAGTTTTGTTTTTTTTTTTTTTGTTTTTTTTTTTTTTGAGTCGGAATCTCTTTCTCTGTTGCCCAGGCTGGAGTGCAGTGGTGTGATCTCAGCTCACTGCAACCTCTGCCTCGCAGCTTCAAGCGATTCTCCTACCTCAGCGTCCCTAGTACCTCGGATTACAGGTGCATGCCACCACGACTGGCTAATTTTTTGTATTTTTAGGAGAGACGGGGTTTCGCCACGTTGGCCAGGCTGGTCTCGATCTCCTGACCTCAGGTGATCTGCCCACCTAGGCCTCCCAAAGTGCTGGGATTACAGGTGTGAGCCATTGCACCCGGCCCTCACATAGTGTTTTAAAAGGCACTGTAATAGGCAAGTGTTAATGCCTGGTCTCAGTATATACAACTTTGCACCTGCTATCTTAAAAATGCACCCCACATGCATTTATTTCATCTGTGTGCCACTAACCTGCGTTCTTAATACGCCACCACACCATCATGCCCCAGCAGCTCTGTAGACAAATCTGATGGGATCATGCAAGGAACAATGACAAACTAGGACCCAGTGGTACAAAAAGTATCTATTTTGCACAACAGAGATCTATGCCTCCTTCAAAAATTTGTTTCCGGCCGGGTGTGGTGGCTCATGCCTGTAATCCCAGCACTTTGGGAGGGTGAGGCAGGCAGATCACCTGAGGTCAGCAGATAAGAGACCAGCCTGGGCAACATGGTGAAACCCCATCTC
The DNA here is from genome assembly GCF_000001405.40 of Homo sapiens. Lineage (NCBI taxonomy): Eukaryota > Metazoa > Chordata > Mammalia > Primates > Hominidae > Homo > Homo sapiens. The sequence continues at coordinate 15,653,913 of NC_000016.10, read as the reverse complement.
TACCAAAAACACAAAAAAATTAGCCAGGTGTGGTGATGCACACCTGTGGTCCCAGCTACTCAGGAGGCTGAGGTGGGAGGATCACTTGAGCATGGGAGGCGGTGGTTGCAGTGAGCCGAGATCGCCCCACAGCACTCCAGCCTGTGTGACAGAGCGAGAACCCGTCTCAAAAAAAAAAAATTGTTTCCACATGCTTTTTTTTTTTTTGCATGTTTTACATGATTAAAGCTAACAAAAAAGTCTGAAAATACACTCGAGACACACACCTCTGATTTTAAAACTCTGGAAAAAAGCAAAGCAATCTCTTTCAGCTTTCCTCTGAGAGAAGAAACCCAGCACTGCTAGTCAGGAGCAATAAACATACAGAAACCATCGATAATTACTCAACACCCTTCTCCATCCCCACTCCATATCCTTCCCAATCAAAACAAACAGAAGAGCAGGAGGGAAGAGAAAGAAGCTGCCAAATGTCCACACATGCTCCGACAGCCAGGACGCAGGCTTTGCATTTTGCAGGAGTGACATCACTGGGGCAACATCAGTCAAGAGTCAGCAAGCCTGGCTTCTGTCTTTGTGCTTTCCAAGTTTACAATGATCAACCTACAAAAATACTTAGGCAGGCAAGGACCCATGTTCAAAGATGCACACCATCATTCACGAATGTGGAAAACTGGAAACCTCAATGTCAACAGAGGACTGAATGGAAAACGATGCAGTTGTTAAGAACTGTAAGTACTAATATGGAAGAAAGCTCAGGATATGTTAAAAATGGGTGCCCATTTTTGTTTATTTCCCTCTCTCTGTACACAGAATAGAAAAGGGTCTGGAGGATGCACCAGAATGGGGGTAAAGCAAGCCCTGTGGATTTGTACCTGACACCTTGCTTTAAGGTAAACTACATACACATATATACAGTAAGCATAGATCGCTTTAGAGATTTTAAAAAGCTTAGGCCAGGCGCGGTGGCTCTCTCCCACCCCGGCACGTTGGGAGGCTGAGGCGGAAGGATCGCTTGAACCCAGGAGTTCGAGACCAGCCTGGGCAACATAGTGAGACCCCAATCTCTACAAAAAATTTTAAAAATTAGCCAAGCATGGTGGCATGTGCTTTTAGTCCCAGCTACTTGGGAGGCTCAGGCAAGAGGATTGCTTGAGCCTGAGAGGTCGAGACTGCAGTGAGCTGTGATTGCATCACTGTGTTCCAGCTTGGGCGACAGAGTGAGATCCCGTCTCAAAAAACAAACAAACAAAAACTTGGACAAAAAGTAAAATAGCTATTGTTCCAGGATAATTTTATTCTACTGAACCAAGTGACAGGGAAAGAATTTTTCCTACTGTGGTTTTGCCTCCTCCAACCCTTTTCAAACATTTCTTGAATACCTACTAAGTGCTGGGCACTGCTGAAGGAGGCAGACAAAAAGCACCCACATCCATTGCACGAGGTGCACGTGTAGTACTAACTGCAGGCACAAACTTTCTGTACACAGGAATGCTCATGTTAGGAAATTACCTTGTGAGGAAAAGGAGTGTCAATTCTCGGCTCACATTCTAAGGCAAAAGAACACACTTTGGGCTGCATGCAGTGGCTCATGCCTGCAAGTAATCTCAGCACTGTGGGAGGCCAAGGCAGGAGGACTGCTTGAGCCCAGGAATTTGAGACCAGCCTGGGCAACAAAGCAAGATTCTGCCTCTACATAAAAAATAATAATAATGATAGAGTCGGGTGCAGTGGCTCATGCCTGTAATCCCAACACTTTGGGAGGCTGAGGTGGGCAGATCACGAGGTCAGAAGTTTGAGACCAGCCTGGCCAATATGGTGAAACCCCATCTCTACTAAGAATTAGCCGGGCATGGTGGCACGCACCTGTAATCCCAGCTACTCAGGAGGGTGAGGCAGAAGAATCACTTGAACCCGGAGGACTGAGGTTGCAGTGAGTCGAGATCATGCCACTGCACTCCAGCCTGGACAAGAACAAGACTCCGTCTCAAAATAAATAAATAAATAAATAATAAATAACACACTTTGGAAACAAAAATAAGTCAAGTTAATAAACTGTTATCCAACATGGGATAAAATATATGAATCACAGGCCCCTGAGACTTCAGCGGCACAGATCATCTGCATTTAATCCTACACAAAACACACACTAAGAGGAAAGGCTCAAAATGGGTTGTAGGCCGGCACGGTGGCTCACGCCTGTAATCCCAGCACTTTGGGAGGCCGAGGGGGCAGATCACGAGGTCAGGAAATCGAGACCATCCTGGCTAACACGGTGAAACCCCATCTCTACTAAAAATACAAAAAATTAGCCAGGCGTGGTGGCACGCACCTGTAGTCCCAGCTACTCCGGAGGCTGAGGCAGGAGAATCGCTTGAACCCGGGAAGCGGAGGTTGCAGTGAGCCAAAATCGCACCACTGCACTCCAACCTGGGCGAGAGTGAGACTCTGTCTCAAAAACAAAAACAAAAAAAAAAAAAAAAAAACGGGTTGTATACCAACGAGGTGATGGAGGCTGGGGTGGTCGGGTAACAAGAGGCTTTAGGAGTAGCTGGGATCTAATTAATCTTCAAAACACCCGACCCATGTCCTAAAATGCCATCCTATGCTAGAATACACTATAACAAAACTAAAAATGATGAACCTGCCTAGGTCGTGCTGCAAAGGCCTTTTCTTTAGAAAGTTAAAAGGGGCCTGAGGCTCAAAGTAGAAATTAAGAGGCACAACCTGGTAGTAACCACGGACAAAGCAATCAAGGAAGCTCAGGCCCTCAGGAGGCAGAAAGCCTGAGATGGCTCGGAGAAGATAAAGTCGCCTCCCCAAAAGCGGTGTCAAGGTGACAGCGGGGTTTCCCAGGACCTCAGAGACTCAGGTCCTCAGTGAGCCCAGCCATCACTCAAGCTGCGGAATAAGCATTTTCGTCCTTTACCCAATCCCTCCCCAAAGTGCTGTCAGAAGAAACCTGAACCGTCCTGCGGCAGAGACGGGAGCAAAGCGGAGAGCAGACTGCCCCAAACGTGTTCCCGGAGGGAGGGAGCAGGGTGGGTTTTTGGAAAGAGGCCTGCAGGGGCGGGACAGTGGGTGTGAGGGCAGGGGCAACGCTGCAATCGAGGGGTCTGGGGTCGCAGAGAAGCGGGTGGCAGGATGGAGGAATAGGAGAGAGAGAGAAAAGAAACGAGGGTCATCTAGGAGAGGAGTATGGGGAGGAAGGAAGAGGAGAAAGAGGATGGAGCCTGGCAGCGGGGTTTGGGGACCGGCAAGGCTTAACCACCCAGGAAGTCCCGGAAGGAGAAGAGGGCAACGGGGTGGGAGAGAGACCAACGCAGAAAGAGAAACAAAGTTGCCAAGGGCGAGGGGCCAGCGCGAGGAACGCACCGGTGGCAAGGCACTCAGTGCCTAACTTTTTAGGACGGGAGGCTCCAGGGAGGCGGGATTTTGGAGCCCAGGGACCGGGGGAGTCCAGGCGGCCGGGAAGCGACGCGCAAGCGAGGGGCGTAGGGGTCCCTGCCAGGCGGTGGCCCGGGGTCCCGGGATCCTGGGGCGGGGCAGAGGAGCTTTTCAGCCGCGGTGGAGGTCCCCGGACAGCCACCCCGACCCCAGCCCCGCGCAGCGCCTCACTTACCCGAGCAGGGGCGGCGAGGCCAACGCGGCGGCGGCGGCAGAGGCGGCTGCGAAGGGCGGTGCGGCCCCGGCCCTCCGGACCCCGCCCCCGCCCCGGAGCCTGCGGTCGGCGCCTCCCATTGGCTGCTGCTCTACGGTACCGCGTCCGCCTCGGCCAATCAGCGCAGAGCAGCGTCGTTTGGAAACTTTTTTCCCAGGCCGGGCGCGGCGCGGCCAAGCGGCGAAGGCTCCTGGCCGGAGGGGGTTTGAGAGGCGCCGGCTGCCGGGCGCTGGGCTGCGGCGGGCTGGCGGGCATTGGAGATGCTGCAGAACGCTGCCTGGACACCCGGGAAACGGGTTTGGGCTTGCGGGCCGCGCATTTCAGGAAAATACGCCGGCCTCTCCTTCACTTCGATTGCATTTTCCCATTCTTGCACTTTCTCCAAATCAGAAGGAAAGACAAAGATTCAGGCCCACTGAAGCTAGCAGTGCCCCGTGCCCTTCCTACTCCTTTACACCAAAAGTAGAATCTTCAGCATCATTATCTTCTCCAGAAGCAGGAGAACGTAGTGCACCAGAATTTGGTCATAAACTTGGCTTTGAGTCCTAGTCCTGCCCCTTACTAACTGTGTGGTCTTGGGAAAGTTGTTTAGCCTCTATGACTCCGTTTCCCCATCTATAAAACGCCATTATGGGTCTGGCGCGGTGGTCACGCCTGTAATCCCAGCACTTTGGGAGGCCAAGGCGGGTGGATCACGAGGTCAGGAGTTCAAGACCAGCCTGGCACATGGTGAAACCCCGTCTCTACTAAAGATACAAAAAATTAGCCGGATGTGGTGGCACGCACCTGTAATCCCAGCTACTCAGGAGGCTGAGGCAGGAGAATCACGGGAAACCGGGAGGTGGCGGTTGCAGTGAGCCGAGATCACACCACTGCACTCTAGCCTAGGCGACAGGGCAAGACTCCGTCTTAAAGAACAGACAAACAAACAAACGACATTATGCAGAGGACTAAATGACTTAACAGCATTTGTAAAAACGTTTAGAACAGAAATTTGAACTTAGTAAGTACAATATATGTATTTGTTAAATGATCTTGATTTTGTTTATTTATTTATTTTGAGATGAAATCTCCCTCTGTCTCCCAGGCTGGAATGCAGTGGCGTGATCTCCACTCACTGCAACCTCTGCCTTCTGAGTTCAAGCAATTCTCCTGCTTCAGCCTCCCGAGTAGCTGGGATCACAGGCCCGCATCACCACACCCGGCTAATTTTTATATTTTTAGTAGAGACGGGGTTTCACCATGTTGGCCAGGCTGCTCTCGAATCCCTGTCCTCAGGTGATCCACCCACCTCGGCCTCCCAAAGTCCTGGGATTACAGGCGTGAGCCACCACACACTGCCTGAAGATCGTGATTTTTAAATGGCTGTGTGTGCCAGGCACAATTCTCACAGCAACCCTAATTGTTCACTAACAAATTAAAATTAAAAAATAATTTTTTTCTTTTCGAGACAGAGTTTCCCTCTTGTTGCCCAGGCTGGCGTGCAATGGTGCGATCTCGGCTCACTGCAACCTCTGCCTCCCAGATTCAAGCGATTTTCTTGTCTTAGTCTCCCTAGTAGCTGGGATTACAGGCGCCCACCATTACGCCCAGCTAATTTTTTGTATTTTTAGTAGAGACACGGTTTCACTGTGTTGGCCAGGCTGGTCTCGAACTCCTGACCTCAAGCAATACACCTCAGTCTCCCAAAGTGCTGGGATTACAGGCGTGAGCCATGTAACTCAGAAGGCAGAGGTTGCGGTGAGTGGAGATCACGCCACTGCATTCCAGCCTGGGAGACAGAGGGAGACTTCATCTCAAAATAAATAAATAAATAAAATCAAGCCACCATGCTTGGCTGGAATTTCTTTTTTTCTTTATTTTCTTCTAAAACATCCTGTCATAACATGTTCATTAACAAATACCGAACATTCTGGTTAGTGGGTACAAAAATAGAGTTAGAATGAATAAGATCTAGTATTTGGGAGCACAGCAGGGTGACTACAGTCCACAACAATGTATTGTACATTTTAAAATAACTAAAGGAGTATAATTGGAGTGCTTGTAACACAAAGAAAGGATAAATGCTTGAGGTCATGGACACCCATTTACCCTGATGTGATTATGATGCATTGCATGCCTGTTATCAAAATATCTCATGTACCCCATAAATATAAACACCTACAGTGTACCCATAAAAACTAAAAATATATATATTATTATCCAGCTTTTTTTTTTTTTTGTGAGACAGAGTCTCACCCTGTGACATAGGCTGGAGTGCAGTGGCATAATCAAAGCTCACTGCATCCTGGACCTCCCAGGCTCAAGTGATCCTCCCACCTCATCCTCCGGAGTAGCTAGGACCACAGGTGTGCACCAACACGCCCAGCTAATTTTTACATTTTTTTGTAGAGACGTGGATCTCACTATGTTGCCCAGGCTGGTCTTGAACTCCTGGGCTCAAGTGATCCTCCTGCCTCAGCCTCCCTCCCAAAGTGCTGGGATTATAGGCATGAACCACAGCACCCGGCATTATGAGCATTCTTCTGTACAATGCACCCTTACAGCACAGTGAATACAGTCAGACAAAGTACCTGTCCTCAAAGGGCTTATATTGTTAAGAGAGAAACATACTAAATCTATAAGCAGAAAAAGTAACGTCATTTCAGATACTGATAAGTGCTATGACTAAGGCAAGCCCATTTGATACAACGGGCTGGGAGGGGTCACTTCAGATGCTATAGTCAGGGAAGGCCACTGTAGAGAGGAGACCATGCAACTGAACCACAGGTGATGAACCACAGGAAAGCATTAAATTGTATCCATGTTAAAGATAAGAAAATAAAGGTGCAGGAAGTTAATTGAGTTGTCCGAGGTCTTACAACTAGTAATTAACAAATCAGGCTTCAGAGCTGGCTCTGACTCCTAAACCCTCCTTCTTCAGCACTATGCTAGAGGCAAAGAGATCTTAGCTATTACAGGATCTCCCACCCCATCTTGCCTTCCTGCTATCCTACAACAGCCTTTCTCAAATTCTACTTTGAACTCCTTGCTAATTCCTAAAAACTGCTTAGAGGCACAAAGGGGAACCCCACCACCTATCAACAGGTTTAAGGAAAGTACCAAATGTCTTTCAGGAAACTTCCCAAACATTAATGAATCATTTACATGCTGCTTCACACTTTACTACGTCTGATGCCTTCCCCCTTGGAATTTTATTTTATTTCGAGACAGAGTTTCACTCTGTTGCCCAGGCTAGAGTGCAGTGCTGCAATCTCGGCTCACTGCAACCTCCACCTCCCGGGTTCAAGCGATTCTCCTGCCTCAGCCTTTCGACTAGCTGGGATTACAGGTGTTCACCACCATGCCCACCTAATTTTTCTATTTTAGTAGAGGCAGGGTTTCACCATGTTGGCCAGGCTGGTTTTGAACTCCTGACCTCAAGTGCTCCACCCGCCTCAGCCTCCAAAAGTGCTGGGATTACAGGCATGAGCCACCACACCAAGCCTCCCCTTAGGAATTTTATTACTTATTTACTTATTCATTAAGATGGAATCTCACTCTGTCGCCCAGGCTAGAGTGCAGTGGTGCGATCTCGGCTCATTGTAACCTCCACCTTCCAGTTCAAGCGATTCTCCTGCCTCAGCCTACCAAGTAGCTGGTATTAACCCCCCTTGGATTTTTTTTTTCTTTTTTTTGACGGAGTCTCGTTCTGTTGCCCAGGCTGGAGTGCAGTGGCACGATCTCGGCTCACCGCAACCTCTTCCTCCTGGGTTCAAGCGATTCTCCTGCCTCAGATTCCTGAGTAGCTGGGATTTCAGGTGTGCACCACCACGTCCAGCTAATTTTGTAGTTTTAGTAGACACAGGGTTTCACCATGTTGGTTTGGCCAGGCTGGTCTCGAACTCCTGACCTCAAGTGATCCACCTGCCTCGGCCTCCCAAAGTGCTGGGATTACAGGCGTGAGCCACTGCGCCTGGCCCCCCTCGGAATTTTATTTGGCCCTAACCACTCTGTGACGTTTCTGGACAGGAACTAATCACCTCAGCTTACAGAGAAACCGAAGCACAAACTGATGAGGTACTGGTGTTGCCTAAATGGCTTTGATCAAGGTATTTAAACTAGTTGGTTCTCAATTTCCCAAATTTTCCATAAAGAAAAAAGAGAGGGCATTGAAATAATAATCCTTAAAGTCCTATTTGGGAACAACATTTAGGGAAATAGGTTTGTCATTGGGTAAAACCTTAAAAACATTTAAAATGTTTTTCTTGTTCTTTTTAAATTCAATTTGTTTTCCTTGTAGCTTTGGACTATGGCTGAGCAGATAACTCAATTTAACTTCCTTAGGTCCTTCCATGATCATTTATTAATTCAAACCACTGAACCTAATACAGGTAGAAGATTGGTTTCTGGGGAGAAACTCCTTTAATAACAGCTTGGTTAGTTGAAAAGCTGAATTGCATGTAAAGTAGCTACTTAAATAGCACACAAAAAAGTCTTTCGGTTTTCATACATGTGAAGACTATAATTTGGACAAGGGAAAAACTGAAAGTTACTTGTACTCTCTAAAGTTTTCCCAGCAAAGAAACAGGAATACAATTAATAGAGGATACATACTTAAAATATATCTTAAGAGAAAATTTATGTATTTTGATTCATAATTGTCTCCTAAGGCCTGGTATACTTTGCTTAGGCTCCTAGTCTTTAGAAAGCAGCAATAAAATTACATTTCTTTTAAAAGTATTTGTAATTCAGACTTTTATTAGCCTTCCACTTAATACGACTGTTTTGTTTTTAAAAATTTTTTTAATAGAGACAAGTGTCACACCATGTTGCTCAGGCTGGTTTTAAACACCAAGCCTCAAGGGGTCCTCCTGTCTCAGCCTCCCAAAGTGCTGGGATTACGACATGAGTCACCATGCCCCGCCCATTTTCAATCACTACATTTACTTGTTGTGACTAGTTACAGCTTTGGACTTGAAAGAATGCCAAGCTAAGTCAAACAAAATGTGTCTGCTTGGTAAAAAGGAATCTAAAAGAAAAATATACATATAAAGAAAATGTGGTCAAGCTCGTTGGCTCAGCCCTGTAATCCTAAAGAGGCCGAGGCGGGAGGATCACTTGAGGCTAGGAGTTCGAGACCAGCCTGGCCAACATGGCAATATCCCGTCTCTACTAAAAACACAAAAATTAGCCAGGCATGGTGGTGGGCGCCTGTAATCCTAGCTACTCAGGAGGCTGAGGCATGAGAATCGGTTGAACCCGGGAGGTGGAGGCTGCAGTGAGCCAAGATCCTGCCACTGCACTCCAGCCTGGGCAATGAAGCAAGACTTTGTCTCAAAAAAAAAAAAAAAAAAAGTAAAAAGGAAATGTGTCTGCATTCTTTGATGTTTTCTGGCTAAAAACTATTTTTTAAAAAAAGCAATTAGAAACCTACAATTACCTTGTTTCTTAAGATTTTTAGTTAATATGGCTTGTGTTGAAACATACTCAACTGAAATAAAATGGGGAAAAAACACCTCTGAAGAGTAGCGTATTTGTTTGGTACTTTGAAAAAAGCCAAAACGCTAGAAACGGGTTTTTCATCTATTCTAATCTCCACTTGGAAAATACTACCTATACACAGACATAATGAAGATTTTTTTCTTTTTCTTTCTTTTCTAAATAGTGATAGGGTTTCACCGTTTCCCAGTCTAGTCTCAAATTTGTAGGCTCAAGAGATCCTCCCTCCGTAGCCTCTCAAAGTATTGGGAATACAGGCCTGAGCCACTGCGCCCAGCCCACAGTCAAGATTTAGTCAGCAGTAATAAATACCTACGCAGGGAGAGGATGTGTGCTTGTCATCTGCCTTCTGGAAAATTAAATACAGGCACAAAGGATTCTTCAGCTACATGTCTGATCCTGCCCTCCACAATACCCGTCTACAGGGATGTTTACAGGGATGTGTTAATCCCCACGTAATGGGGATTGCCTATTGAAATAACCTCCCAGTAAGGATTTTTTTGGGCAAAATATTCTCGTTTGGCAATTTCGACTTACTGATTCTTTTGCAAAGTCAACTTGTTTCTGGGCAAACTTTAAAAATAAACTCCTAAGGTAGCATTTAGCTAGCAGCTAGCACATCCTAAATCGTGTCTAGATTTAACTTACACAATATGTGCTTTGCTTTTTTCCTAATTTGCAACAGAAAATAGTAATCAGCTGGTAGTTTCAGAAATCACCCTTTTGCTGAGTCTTAAATTTTTTTTTATTCCAGGGAAACGTGAAGATTGTGGGGCGCTATTTTTTTTTTTAAAGCAAACCACACAGCATATCTGGCCACCTAAAACACAAAGTGTTTGAAACTAACCGTAAGATTTCCTTTCTGCTCGCCCAACCTGTCACTGGAAACGCAGTATTCATTTGTAACCAGCTTTGGAGCAGGGCTTTTAAAAATAACGTTTTCTTGCTAAAGTCCCCAAAAATCTCTTGATTCTTGGTGGCAATGTCCAGTTGAGTCTTTGCACACACTGTATTTTTGCCAACTGGGTCGCAACTTTGCGAGAACTCCGGGGGACCTCGTAGGAAGCCAGGTTGGCAGTTATTTTTTTCTCCACTTGCCACTAGGTTGCACTAGATTTAGGATGCTGGGGAATATGCGCCATTTAATTTTTAAAAATAAAGTAGGACCATCACGTGACGAGACCCGAGAGAGGAAAAAAAAAAAGCCGAAGGGACAGGGTTTTTCATTGAAATCCCGTTCAAATCGCCTTCCCTCCAAAGCCTGAAAGAGCTGAATTCTATTAAATCCTGGTTGGCAGGTTTTTTCCTCGGGTCCACGTCACGAGCTCATTCTCCGCTTCAAGGTTCCTTTCGACTCCACAACGTGAAGCCAGGGGGAAGGCCTCCTTAAACTGGGGGTTTTCGCCAAAAAAGCCAGGGTCACCCCCCGGGAAAGTCCCTATTTAGGGGTTTATCGGGAGGGGACTGAGCCTGACGAGGCTGCAGGGCCGCGAGGCCCCGCCCCCCCCGGGGTTCCCAGCATGCCCCGCGCGGACAGGACGCGGCGGCGGAGGCGGGGCGAGGAAGGGGCGGGGCGAAGAGGAGAGAAGGGCGTCGGTTTTGCGACAGGGGCGGTGCGGTGCGGAAGCGGAAGTGAAGGGTGCGCTTGGCGGCGGCGGCGGGAGCTGCGGAGTCGGGAATCAAAACAAAGGGCCTGGGGGGGGCGGGGGGAAGGCGGCGGGGCCGGAATGTGAGCGGAGGTGGAGCCGGCGGCAGAGGTGAGTTTGCAGACAGTCCTGCGACCAGACCCCGGCAGGCTCTGCTCCGAGGCCAGCGGGGCGGGACGGAGGACAGTGTCCCCTCTTTCCCCGCCTATTGCTGGTGGGATGGTGGTGGAGAGGGGAGGTTAGCTAACTGGGACGCGCCAGTTGGGCCCCCCACGAAAGAGTTGGCTTGTCTCCCTTTCGGGTCCATTCACTACTGTCACTGTTGGCGCCGCTGTTCCCCTTCGAGGGCATTTGGCTCCCCGCCCGCCCCTGTCTGACCCCTGGTGGGGCCCTCCAGGAGTGAAGTGCACAGCTGGAAGGTTAAGAGAGAAGGAAAGGGGCGGGTGTTTTTGCAACACACTCCCCCCTCCCCGGCCGTTTTGCATTCTCCTCGGCCTTTTAGCAACACATAGGGTGTAGTCTCAGGGTTGACAATGTCTAGGGCTTCAGCCACTCTCACTAGTAGTTGTAACGCGACCTCGTGATACACCTTTTAGAGTTTCTCAAGCACCTTTCCGGTATTACCAAGAGCTGTCCAATTGCATTTGTGTCTTTTGGACTTCTCTGAGCGGTAAATATTCTTCTCTTTTGCATATCGGTGTATTGAAACCTAAACTGTTTTCCTATTTATTAAGCTTTATTCGTTCAACAGTTATTTATTAAAATATGCCAGGCATTGTACTAAGGACAGGAGTTGGAATAGTGGATAAGAAAACATAGTCTCTGCTGTCATGGAGTTTATAGCCTAATGGGGGAGAAAGATAATAAAATAAGCTAAAAAGGCCGTTTTGGACAGAAGAGCTATGGGGGAGAAAACGGTAATGGGATGGGGTGGTGTGGGGTCAAAGACTAGATTGGGTGCTAAGGAAACAACATTTGCTAAATGTTCCCCGTGGATTACCTCATGTAATCCAAACAACGGCCTTGTAAGGTGGTTTCTATTATTATCACACCCATTTTAGAGATGGGATCTGAGGTTCAGAGAGGTTGTGAGTTGTCCAAAGCTGCACCGCAGTCAAATTGGAGACCAAAATGCAGACAGTCGACAGAGCCTATGCTCTCCTCATTGAATTGGTCAAAAGACTTGAAGAGAGTGACAGAAAGGAGACTGTCGCTCAAGTCAAACAGAACCTGCTTTTGGCTACCTAAGTTGCTTCGTGGATGGTATTTGGGAAGTTTTCAGGGTGCAGGCACCTGAAAGTTTTTACTTTTAATCGCTTGTATTGAGCAGTATTGAAGGCACCTTGATGTAGTGGAAAGGGGTGAACAAGCCTAATCTTGTGTCAGGCTCGCTACAAAACTTCATTAAGTTTCTTTTTCTCTCTCTGCAAAAATGTAGCTAATTTCTCCCCTGTCTATTTCACAGGATTATTGCAAAAATTATATAAGAGGATCCCACCGTCTGGGTTTTTTTCATCATTATATTCCTTGTGCCAAGCACAGGCCTGCTGCATAGTAGATACTAAGTAAATATTTGCTGAATGAAGACATAAGTAATGTTAAGTGAAAATACTTTATAAACTAGATTATACTGTGAATGTTAGCTCACTTTCAGGATTTGGCTTTGAAGAAGTTTGAGAGAATGTTTAAGTTATGAACACTGTGAATATCACAGATTCTTACGATTTTGAGAGGAGTTTTTTGGGGGACATAAAACCTGTATCTAATAGGAAAGACAAGAATCGTAATTTACTATCAGTGGTAGCAGTTAAATCCATCTCCAAATTAACCACTCCCAATAGTGTGTAGTAGGTAATGTTTACTTTGTATTTACAGAGTAGGGAGCATTTTGGTTGGCACAAGAGATACAGTGGTGAAAATAGACAGTGGGGTTCATTTATCTAATTTTTTTTTTCTCTGTAATGCAGTGGCGGGGAGAAATTAGCCACATTTTGCATAGGAGGAAACAGAAACTTGAAAACAAAAATTTTTTTAGAGATGGAATCTCACTCTGTTGCCCACGCTGAAGGGCCAGTGGCACAATATAGTTCACTGTAGCCTCAAATTCTTGGGCTCAAGAGATCCTCCTACCTCAGTCTCTCTAGTAGCTGGGACTAGGCGCATGCTGCCACACTATGCTAATTTTTTGAACTTTATTTTATTTTAGAGCTGTGATCTTGCTATATTGCCCAGGCTGACAAAAGAGCCACGTAGTAAATATAGGCTTTGTGGGCCATACAGTCTCTTTGCAGAGACTCTCTTTGCAACTCTGCAATTGGAATGCAAAAGCAGTCATAGGCAGTATTTAAGTGAATGAGTGTGTCTGTGTCCCAATTAAACTTTATTTATGGACACTGACATTTTAATTTCATGTAATTTTGTTTGTTGGTTTTTGAGACAGGGTCTCACTCCGTCGCCCAGGCTGCAGTGCAGTGGTGCAATCACAGCTCACTGCAGCCTTGACTACGCAGTCTTAGGTGATTCTTCCACCATAGCCTCCTGAGTAGATGGGGCTACAGGCATGCACCACCACGCTCAGCTAATTTTTTGTAGCCATGGGGTTTTGCCATGTTGCCCAGGCTGGTTGGGAACTCCTGGGCTCAAGCAATCCACCCACCTTGGCCTCCCAAAGTGCTGGGATTGCAGGCCTGAGCCACGGTGCCTCGCTTGCATTTATTGTTAAGACCTGTAAGAGTGTTGTTGCTCTGGCGTAGATATAACACATCTGCGACTTGAGATTTTTCTATCAGTTAGATTTTTGGTGGTATATCAGATTGCACTTTCATCATTAGTAAACTAAGAAATTGGTTCAATTTGTTCTGTAGCAAATCAAATTCAAAGTCCACAGAGGCCACTTAGTTTGGACTTTTCATGCTCAGATCAAGAAACCAGTGCAAGAAGTTGCTCTTAAGTCAATTTTAAAATCTTACATATAGTTGTCAATGAGGATGTGGTGGTGGCTCTTTTACTCAGATTAGATGCTCTCTTCTGTTAACTTTTGACTTTCCTGAGCAGCATCTTTAGGGAGAGAGAGCCGAAAAGAATTCAGAAAAACTGTAGAAAAAATTGATTCCAGCCAAGTGAGGAGGTGAAGTCTCACTCTGGAATATGCAAGTTTCCAAGATATGGCTACCTCTCTCAAACATGGTTACATGTGGAAAGGAAACAAGACTCATGGAGAGTTCATTTTTTATTTGAAGAGCTATGAAACATGAAGAATGGCAGATTATAGATTTTTTAAGAAATCAGGTTGTTGCAGTTAGATTTTAAGCATAAACAGTCAACCAAGTTTACCAAATTTTATTAACCCGTAATATGCTCTGATATTTTGTGTTTTTTTCTTTCTTTATTTTATTATTATTATTTTGTTTGTTAAGATTTGAATTGTTGGCCGGGCGCAGTGGCTAATGCCTGTAATCCCAGCACTTTGGGAGGCCGAGGAGGGTGGATCACTTGAGGTCAGGAGTTCAAGACCAGCCTGGCCAACTTGGTGAAACCCCATCTCTACTAAAAATATAAAAATTAGCCAGGCATAGTGACAGGCTCCTGTAGTCCCAGCTACTCTGGAGGCTGAGGCAGAAAAATCGCTTGAACCCGGGAGACGGAGGTTGCAGTGAGCTGAGATCGTACCACTGCATGCCAGCCTGGGCGACAGAGCGAGACTTCCTCTTGAAACAAAGATTTGAATTGTTGAGAGCCATAGGACTGTAAATATAGCTGTGGTTTCACATTTTAGTATGTTGTAAAATTTGTACTTATGCAAGGAAATAACACTGAAATCTTACTCATTCTTAACAGGGTGGAAGAATGAAAGAAAAGAAAGATGAAAGGATGTTGAATCACTTTGCATGGCTGTATGATGGAAGGAAACGGAACTGAGAACTCCTGCAGTAGAACACGTGGATGGCTTCAACAAGATAATGATGCTAAGCCATGGCTTTGGAAATTCTCTAATTGCTTTTCTCGTCCTGAGCAGACGCTGCCACATAGTCCCCAAACGGTAACTATATGCAAGACTAAGGATGTAGCAGATTCCTCATCCAAATAGATGAGAGAGGTCCATTTGGTCTGGGATACAGTCTCTCATCCTAGAGTCTGTGCCACATTTTTCTGTAGATCTTGCCTGTATTGCCTCTTATACCACATTATAATGTGAGAGCACAGCACAATTTTTTAACTCTTCTATTTCACTTTGAGTAACAGTAGATGCCTTGAATATTTAATGTTAAAATTTGGGAAAGATTTCTTCCTCATTAAAGTCACAGGTAACAAAGATTAAAAATCCACATTGTGGAGTAAAATCAGAGGAAAATACAAAATATGTTGTATTTTACTGTAGCCCTCTTGAGTTTTGAGTCTATAATCTAGGAAGGGTTGGGAAGAGCTTATCCACTGCCTGTTTTTTATTTCGAGATTTCTCTTGAATATTTACTTCTCAGTATACATTTATGTCTCTAACTTCTTGCTTACTCATTGTGATTTTGACATTTTCTTTTTTTTTTTTGAGGTGCAGTCTTGCTCTGTGGCCCAGGCTGGAGTGCAGTGGTGCGATCTCGGCTCATTGCAACCTCTGCCTCCCAGGTTTAAGCAGTTCTCCTGCCTCAGCCTCCTCAGTAGCTGGGATTACAGGCCTGTGCTGCCATGCCTGGCTAATTTTTGTATTTTTAGTGGAGACGAGGTTTCGCCATGTTGGCCAGGCTGGTCTTGACCTCCTGACCTCAAGTGATCCTCCCGCCTCAGCCTCCCAAAGTGCTGGGATTACAGGCGTGAGCCACCGCGTCCAGCCAATTTTGACATTTCCTGACTTCATGCACTCATGTTACCACCTTTCTATTTCTTATTTTCTATTGTATGTGGGATTCAAGTGAGACTGTAATATAATTTTATATAAGGGTATTAACAACTTTTATTTGATTTTATTTTTTGAGACAGAGTCTCGGCTCAGCCCCCTAGGCTGGAGTGCAGTGGCACGATCCGGGTTCACTGCAACCACTGTCCCTAGTTCAAGGGATTCTCCCGTCTCAGCCTCCCTAGTAGCTGGGTTTACAGGCACTCGCCATTATGCCTGGCTAATTTTTGTATTTTAGTAGAGATGGGGTTTCACCGTGTTGGCCAGGCTGGTCTTGAACTTCTGACCTTAGGTGATCCACCCGCCTCGGCCTCCCAAGTGCTAGGATTACAGGCGTGAGCCACCGCGCCTGGCCGGGTATTAATAACTTTTTAAAAACCAGTTTAATTCTCTATTTTCTCTAGGTTTTCACTATATAGTTGTCTTTGTTGCAAGACATCAAGTAATTTGGGTCATTTTAGGAGTGTTTTATTTTAGAGACAGTTGACAGTGAGGGTTGGCATCAAAAGCAAGGCTTCCTGGGATGGGGTGGTAGATCTGGTCCTCATGGAGTCACACAATTCAGAATTACACGGTCAACTTTACAGATCTTGAAACTCAATTTTGTCAGTGGCATGCAGAATGGAGTAGGTTCAGGGGATCAACTCATAGTAAGCCTGCCTGTATGAGCCTGATCTGTATAAATCAGAATACCAGTGTGTTAATTTCAGTCTGAACTATAATTACCAAGAGGGCAGTTCATTGGCTGGTCAGCCCGTTGCTGTTATCTCCCTTTTAGGGAAAGTTTAGCTGAAAATTCACATTTCTTCCAGATGAGCCTATGCTCCCAGGTGAGTGTAGAATCACAGCAAAGGGAGTGGAATTTTAGGCGTCAGATGGACCCTCATATGCTGTGAACGGTGAGCACGTCTCAGTCACTGTAGCAGGGCCCCCTCTTCATCTTAATGTCTCTTGCAGTCAGCCTGTGAAGGCTGATGAATTCAGTCCCCTTTCAGTGGCTAGGTACTGTGCCAGGTGGTCTATGTGCTCTATCTTATTTTATCCTCCTAGCAACTCTAGGAGGTATATTGTATTCCCAGTTTATGGATGAGGAAACCAAAGTGTAGGTTAAGTAACTTACCCAAGGTCATACAACTATTGAGTATCAGATTCTAACCCAGGTCTCTGCCACTGATGCTCTGCTCAGAACCTTTGTAATATACTGGCTTCCTGTGTCTGTGTTGGAGTCATGTGGCAAACTATTTGTCTTGGATCTTTTTCTTGGATAGTTTTCTAATTCTCTAAATCTTTTCACTGGCTGCAATATAATTGTCATTATGGCTTTAGGTCATGATATCTTAGGGTTTATGAAATGTCATCAGCAACACGGATGGGCCATCTGGGTAGATGGCTGATCTCATCTGTGTTTGAAACTTTACTCTTTTCCTTTGGGGGATCTTACTAAAACCCCTTATGGCCTGACCACAGAACTATTAAGTATTGTCCTCAAACCACTGTGTGTGTTAGCCATCTTTATTGAATGCTGTTTGTGAGGGGTTGTTTTCATACCACCTATTTTGTCTTCAGAAGATTCTGTGAGGCAAGGGGAAATTACCAAAAGGAAGTTACTGAGGCATGGTGGCTGCTAAAGATGTAAACAGGCCCTCCCACCCCAGTCTGTTTCAATTCAGGAAGAATGTAGTCTTAATTTTAGTTGTGTGTTCCAGTGTTCATGTCCTGCAGACCTCTCTGAAGAATGTTCCTGGTTTTAACTAGCTGTGATTCCATTTTGTTCAGTTATGATTTAGTGATGTAACAGAATTGAACACTATTTCTGTTTGTGCATGCAGTAAGATATGAGTAACCAAAAAACCACGGACCTCATAAAATTAATTTATGTTCTGATTTTCTTTTCTCAGAAAGAGTACATGGAGAACAAGAAAGTTGCTGTGGAACTAAAGGATGTACCATCACCCCTTCATGCTGGCTCTAAGCTTTTTCCAGCAGTCCCACTTCCTGATATTCGTTCTCTTCAGCAGCCTAAAATACAGCTTTCTTCTGTCCCCAAAGTAAGCTGCTGTGCTCATTGCCCTAATGAACCCTCCACTTCGCCAATGCGTTTTGGTGGTGGTGGTGGCGGTAGCGGAGGTACCAGTAGCTTGATTCACCCGGGCGCACTGTTAGACTCGCAAAGCACCAGGACAATCACGTGTCAGGTAGGGTCAGGGTTTGCTTTCCAGTCTGCATCTTCACTCCAGAATGCCTCAGCTAGGAACAATTTGGCAGGCATTGCAAGTGACTTTCCCAGCATGTGTCTAGAGAGTAACCTGTCTTCCTGCAAACACCTGCCCTGTTGTGGAAAACTCCACTTCCAGTCATGTCATGGTAATGTGCACAAGCTGCATCAGTTTCCGAGTCTGCAGGGCTGCACCTCCGCTGGCTATTTCCCCTGTTCTGATTTCACAAGCGGGGCTCCAGGGCATTTGGAAGAGCACATTTCACAGTCGGAGCTAACGCCTCACTTGTGCACCAACTCTTTGCACCTTAATGTGGTACCTCCGGTTTGTTTAAAGGGCTCACTTTACTGCGAAGACTGTCTAAACAAGGTTCGTATCTTTTTATTTCTTAAGTTGGGTGCAGCTGAGGATTGAGGAATGACTTTTGAAGTGGATTTATCTTGAAAAGTATTATACATGGGGTTGAAGATTCTCCCATGGTATAGGGGAATCTCCCCATCAGCATAATTTTTGCTGGTTCTGAAAGAAACAAAGGGTAAGATGGGAGATCATTCAAAAAAGTAGAGAGTCATTATTTTTGTAGTTTATACTTTTAGAGCCTCTTGTTGCAAACAAGAGGTTGGCAAAGCCTTCGTGTTCTATGTTTAAAGGCTAAAGCACGATGGATTTTTTATAACTTACATTCAGCTTACACATGGGCCCATTCATGTAAGGTAGATAACTGCATGTTGTCTTTTTGCAATAATGTGGGAAACCTGAAGCTTGGCCTCAGTCACATTGGTGTTCAAGTGAGACTTTGCTACCCTTTATGTAAAATATGTGTGAGGTCTTCGTTGCAGCAGACTCATGCCCCAGAATGTAAAGATCTGACCACGTGAATATCTTTCTTGATCATGTCAAGTCACTTCTGGAAATGAATTTATGAACTGATAGCTAATGGTTCTTGGAAAGATTATTTGAAAGTCCTTTTTATTAGAGGCTAGCAAGTGGAAAGGTAAAACACTTAGAGTGTATTTTCAGTTGTTGTATATAACTCCAGCTTCTGAAATGATGTATCTGACACCTCCTCCTTTTTAAAAAAAATTTAAAACAGCCAGCAAGAAATAGCATAATCGATGCGGCTAAAGTCTGGCCAAATATACCACCTCCAAATACTCAACCTGCACCTCTTGCTGTCCCTCTGTGTAATGGCTGTGGAACCAAAGGAACAGGGAAGGAGACCACGTTGTTATTGGCGACCAGTCTAGGCAAAGCTGCTTCAAAATTTGGTAAATGACAGTATGGCATAAAATGTGCATATTTAAATAGCTTTCAATATCTCATACTAACATTGCATTTAATCACCTTTGAAGGATTCCTTATGGTTCTAAAGCTACTGTGTATGTGAGTCTCCAATTCCATATCTTGGTAGAAATCTTTTTATTATTATGGACCAGGAAGTCATTTGCCCTTTATGTTGGGCCGAGGCTATACACAGAAGCTGTGTATAGAAAAATTGGTAGTATATCAGGAGAAATAAAAGTGCTGGAAAAGACTTGGTGTCACCTTAGGTTGGAAATCACACTTGTTGATGGTATACTCCCTAGAAGTGCTTAGAACAATTTACTAATGGCTGATTAAAAACAGTATTTGAAAACCAAAGAGTTCTCAGTTAAAATAATTTCCCTAAAAAGTAGTTAATGCGACGTTTTGAAAACATTTTTAAAATATTAAATCAGATGTTAATGCAGCGTTAACTCAAAATCAACGACAGTAACAGCTTCACCCTTTGTCAGCTCCTCAGTGTTGGTTACTACCAAGTAGGTAGATAAGTGTGGGCTAAGCTTGAAAGTCGGGTCCTGGAGCTGCAGTATCCGGTCAGTTAGTGTGCTTGTGTTCAGAGAAGCATCACTGCTTAATGTCAGAGTGGCTCATGCTTGGAGGTGGATTTATTGTGGGCTTAAAGTTACTTGACTTTTAGATTTGTCTTCTCCTGAAAAACAGAAATAATCTCTTAGAGTGATACTTTTTGACAGCTTGATTGCTTATTAGGTCAACCAGTGAGGTTGGTAGCCTTAAAACTTGGCATTCATTAATAATTTAGTTTTTCTACCACTGAGAATGATAGGTAGTTTATTATCTTATTGTAACTTGCCATTTATTTTCCACTACAAGTAATTGAAAATGTTAACATTTCTTAAGGGTCACCAGAAGTTGCAGTAGCTGGACAGGTGCTAGAAAACTTACCCCCCATTGGAGTTTTTTGGGATATTGAAAACTGCTCCGTTCCCTCTGGCCGGTCAGCAACTGCTGTTGTGCAAAGAATCCGTGAGAAGTTTTTTAAAGGCCACAGAGAAGCAGAATTCATCTGTGTATGTGACATCAGTAAAGAAAACAAGGAAGTTATTCAAGAGCTGAATAATTGCCAGGTAAAAAAAAAAAATTTAATAATTTTAATCTACAGTAGAGGAATAAGCAGATATTTGTTTGTTTGTTTGTTTTGAGACAGAGTCTAAGTGTCACCCAGGCTGGAGTGCAGTGACGCATTCATGGCTCCCTGCAGCCTCGAACCCTGGGACCCCAGTGATCCTCCCACCTCAGCCTCCCAACTAGCCAGGATCACAGATGCACGCCATCATGCTCGGCTCATTTTTTATTTTTTGTAGAGACGAGGTCTCCCTATGTTCCAACCAGAAACAGAAACTAAGAACCCATGACTGTATTCTGTCCCTTGGACACCCCTGGATGGCTTTCAGGATCCAGGGTTAGGTGGTGGAGGCTTGTCTCAAACTCCTGGGATCAAGCAGTCCTCTTGCCTTGGCCTCTAAAAGTGCTGTACGTGTGTGTGTGTGTGTGTGTGTGTGTGTGTGGTGTTTTTTTTTTTTTTAGAATTCTGATTGAAAATTTGTTTAATGATATTGCATTTGTGCCAAGTTTTCAAATAAAATAAATTAGCAAAAGATCACTTCCAAAGTACTAGAAATAATTTAATCATTCTTTCAGTTATGCTCCCTAATTTATATTTTAGTTCTATACTGGTATAATGGTTATATATGTATTATTTCCTTTGATTTTCATTACTGCTCTTTGAACCAGGCACGTAGAATATATAATTCACAATTTACAAATTAAACTAAGGCCCTGAGAGGTGAAGAAACTTGTTTAAGATCACTTGGCCAGGAAGAGCAAAGATCCAAATCTAGATTTGTCTGACCCCCAGAGTCTGCTTTTAAGCTGAAACTAGAATTTGGGTCTTTTGACTCTTAGATAATTAATTATATTGATAGTCCATATTGCTTGTCTAAAATGATATACCCATGTTCTTTACAAAAACCAGCAAGTTATTATTGTGTATTGCAGGTGCCTGAGGCAACTTTCTCAAAATAAACCTTTCCTTCCTTTGGGGACTTATATGCGAGCCTGATAGTTTTAACAGAAATAAATGCATTTTAGCTCCCTTAGGGGATATCCTCCCTCCTCTCTCTACCACCTCACCCCAGATCCTGAAAGCCATCCAGGGGTGTCCAAGGGAGAGAATACAATCATGGATTCTCAGTTTCTGTTTCTGGTTGGGCTAGTAAAGCACCTTCCTTATCTCTCTTTTCTGCTTATTAGTAGGGACGGAAACTAAAAACTATGGCTTCCAGCTGCTAAAAGCCCAAAACAAAACAAAACAGAAAACAACAACAAAAGGCAGATTGCACAAGCTTGCATGGGTAGCATGGACAGTTGACATAAAACACAGCCTTAAATCTTATTTTAGTCATTTGTCTGATCTTTACCACCTCCAAATTGTTGGCAGAAGCTATTAGAGCAAATTTAACTGAGTTCAAATTTCACTTCCTATATTCTACTTATTTTCTGAAAGGAGGATGAAAGAAATGCAAAAACAGAAGATTGGAGATGAGAGCAGGGTTAGTCACAAACCCAGTTCATATCAAGAACCAATGTTGAGATTACTGAGATCTGTTGTAATTTTTTACCATTCCCAATAGTAATAAGAATTTTTTTCTCAAGAATTACTTATTAAAATATGGGCAGACATCAGTGATAGACTGGATA
Organism: Homo sapiens; assembly: GCF_000001405.40. Lineage (NCBI taxonomy): Eukaryota > Metazoa > Chordata > Mammalia > Primates > Hominidae > Homo > Homo sapiens. Next base: position 15,631,983 of record NC_000016.10, on the reverse strand, counting down.
AAGAAAATGTGGCACATAATACACGATGGAATACTATGCAGCCATAAAAAAGAATGAGATAATGTCCTTTGCAGGGACATGGATGAAGCTGGAAGTCATTATTCTCAGCAAACTAATGTAGGAACAGAAAACCAAACAGTGCATGTTCTTGCCTTATAAGTGGGAGTTGAACAGTGAGAACACATGGACACAGGGAGGGGAAAAACACACACTGGGGTCTGTCTGTCGGGGTTGGGGGAAGGGGAGGAAGAGCATTAGAACAAATACCTAATACATGTGGGGGCATAAAACCTAGATGATGGGTTGATAGGTGCAGCAAACCACCACGGCACATGTATACCTATGTAACAAACCTGCACGTTCTGCACATGTACCCCAGAACTTAAAGTATAATAAAATTTAAAAAATAAAAAATATGGGCAGAATGTGTAGCAATTTTCTAGCCTCAGCTCCTGCTTATTCACCCTTATTATAAATTAATGCAGGTAACCGTTGCCCACATCAATGCTACTGCAAAGAATGCCGCTGATGATAAACTGCGGCAGAGTCTCCGCAGATTTGCAAATACACACACTGCTCCAGCCACAGTGGTTCTTGTGTCAAGTAAGTACAGAAACATCTGCTAATTTCAGCTAAACTCACTGTGTGGGAAATTATCATAGAAGCCAGCAACATGTGAAAGTAAAATGTATCCCCAAAGAGGCTGAAGTACATGAGACATGTTTATGGTTATTGTTGAGAACTGTTTAGAAAAAAAATTGGGTCTAGGTGGATTTCTGTATTTCCTCCTTGGAACTTGAGTTATTGTGGGACCAGGTTTATTTTTTATTTTATTTTTTTGTTTATTTATTTTGAGATGGAGTTTCGCTTTTGTTGCCCAGGCTGGAGTGCGATGGCGCAATCTCGGCTCACTGCAACCTCCGCCTCCCAGGTTGAAGTGATTCTTCTGCCTCAGCCTCCCAAGTAGCTAGGATTACAGGCATGTTCCACCACGCCCAGCTAATTTTGTATTTTTAGTAGAGATGGGGGTTTCTCCAGTTGGTCAGGCTGGTCTCAAACTCCTGACCTCAGGTGATCCACCCTCCTCGGCCTCCCAAAGTGCTGGGATTACAGGCGTGAACCACCACGCCCGGCCGGGACCAGGTTTATTAAAGAAAAATGTGATTTTTTTTTTTTTTTTTACCTTGTGCTCAGTATTAATAATTTTTAAAGTTTAAGTTAATTTTCAAATTTGAGTCTCCCCAACATATTTGCTCCTTTTTAATACTGAAAGTAACATATGTGTCTTGGAATTCTTTTGGTAAGATTGTCTTACATTCTTCTGATGTGAAACGTGTTTCTTTCCTAAGAAACGGGGGAAGCAATTTTGAATATAGTCCAGCCTTTCCTTTCTTCTCAGTGGGTGTCAATAGAGTTGTCTGTCTTTGTCAAGTGTTTCTAATGTTTGGGGATGGGGTTGGTCTGTACCTTTTCTTTCAGCTGATGTCAATTTTGCATTGGAACTTAGTGACCTGAGACACAGGCATGGTTTCCACATTATTTTGGTCCATAAAAACCAGGCCTCAGAAGCACTGCTGCATCATGCTAACGAGCTGATCAGATTTGAAGAGTTCATTTCCGACTTGCCCCCCAGGTTACCACTAAAAATGCCAGTAAGTGGGTTTGCGTTATTTTTGCCATTTTCCAATATTACATTGTGGAGGCTGAAAGACAGCCCATAATAAGGGGGTTGCCAGGCCCAGATGGGGCTGTTCTTTGTAAGAGGTGGGTTAGATTTTGAAGTAAGGCTTAGAAACCTTCGGTTCTTCTCACAAATATACAGATAATTGGTATGTATGAAGTTTGCTTTTATTTATTTCAAAATATCATATGAAATTGACTTGTAGATTTACCTTCCCAACTTGCCAGTGTCTTCAAAGCTAGCAGTGTTTTGTGTCAGGTGGATAGAAATAACGGATTAAAAGTCATGATTCTTTTTGCTTCCAAGTATTATGGGTAGAGAATATGGCGAGGGTTCTCACATACTTGTGTGGTTGGCACCAAATAAGTGGAGTCAATTGTGCATTTTTTTCGGTATTTAATCCTTAAGCTTCAGCGGGCCTCTGAGTCTGTGCTTTCTATTGTGCATTCCCTGTGGTGCATGGACACAATTAGCAGGAGTGGTTATTGCTCCACCTGTGTGTAGCCTGTTTATGCCATATACTGGGAGGAGGGTGTGAGCACATTTCCAGGACTAGCATTTCTGATAGACTTGACTTGGGATAAGAATGTTTATTGCAGTGCTGGGCTGTGTTTAAGCCGCTGGCGAATATGTGTGTAACTCTGAAAGAATTAATGATAATGGAGAAGGAGCCATGGTGTGGGTGATCCAGGAGAGTGGGCAATCCCATACGTTAAATGAAAGTCTTCACATATAATTTAATAACTGAGAGTTACAGAAGTACGTTAGACATGATCTCATGCAAAGTCTTCATTTAAGGGAGAAAGAAATCAGCTCTTAGAAAAAGTAAACGTGTCATTGGTGATTGCAGCAGTTAAGAGAGTGGGCCCCGGGTATCCTGATTCCGGCACTTGCCTGCTAGTCACCTGTGTCCCCGATACCCAACAAGCCCCCTGCGGTCTGGCTTAAGTTGAAACTCATGCTATGGACAGTTGAGAGTTGTGGATACCAGAGGCTTACCCAGGGAGTAAGCATATACAGGCCTTACCTTAATCTTTTGAGGCTCTTTCCTAACTCACCTTTGTCATTATTTGTTTTTAGTCACTTGGCTGTAGTTACATTTCTTCCCTTCTGCTTCTGTTTGACGGTCACTTTTCTAACTTTGAAGGCCTTATGTAAATACGGTGTTTTTTCCTGGGAGGTGAAGGTTGCAGTGAGCTGAGATCGCGCCACTGCACTCCAGCCTGGTCGACAGAGCGAGACTCTGTTTCAAAAAAAAAAAAAAAAGTAAATGTAGTGTTTTAGGTAAGAACTTGCCCACTTTGGAGATTCTTATTCCTTATGGTTAAAAAAACCAAAACAATGTTTTGATAATTCAAACCATTTAGTTTTGCTGGATGTTTTTTCCCATCCACTAGAGTGATAATTTAAGATACATTTCTTTTTATGTTCTTTAGTCTGTTCCTTTAATTTTAATAAATTAAACATACATTGGTACTGCCTGGGTTTTGAGTCCCAGGTGTAATAGGAAAAGTGTAGATTTTGTTGATAATTGGTCAGTACCCCTCAAATAAAAAGAAAAGCCTCTGATTAGAAAAGTATGGTGTGGGCCGAGTGATGTGGCTCACGCCTGCAATCCCAGTACTTTGGGAAGCTGAGGTGGGCAGATCACCAATCACCTAAGGTCAGGAGTTCGAGACCAGCCTGGCCGATGTGGCGAAACCCCATCTCTACTAAAAATACAAAAATTAGCCAGGTGTGGTGGCGGGCACTGGTAGTCCTAGCTGCTTGGGAGGCTGAGACAGGAGAATCACTTGAACCTGAAAGTGGAGGTTGCAGTAAGCCGAGATCACACCACTGCACTCCAGCCTGGGTGACAGAGTAGACTGTGTCTCAAAAAATCTAAAAAAAAAAGAAAGAAAAGAATAGTATGGTATGATCATTGTAAAAACAAACAAAACACAATATTTAGAAATGTGGAAAGTGAAAACCCCACAATTCTACCCTCCAGAAGTAACCACTGTTAATATTTTGGTATTGCCCTCCAGATTTAAAAAATGTACGTTTAAAAAAAAATGTGTCACATATACAGTGTTCTGTGGCTTTTGGAAAAAAACTATGTCAGAGCTTGGATGTCTTTTCATGTTAATATATATTAATATAAATCTGCCACATTTTAAAAACCAGAACTTTGGTTTGAAAAGTACTTGTATGGCTGGTCTTTATTTAACCAGTCTACCTGTTAGTGGACATTTTGTTTATACCCAGTTTTGTGTTTTGTTTTGTTTTTTACCATTTCCAGCAAGGTAATTTATATCTTTAGGCTCCTGGGCTGACATACCATAGGGTAATTTCCAAGGCATAAGAGTTCTGGGTTAGAACTTTACTAGCAAGATCCATGTCTTCCTCCAGGAAGGTGGTACTAATTTACACTCATAAGAGTGTCTGTTTTAAATGTTTGCCAGGCCAGTAAGTGAAAAACAGCATCATCTTATAATTGACTTTTAATCTTTAACACAGTGCAAAATATCCTTTTATGATTATCGTTGTTTGCTTTTTATTTCTTCTGTAAATTGTTCACATCCTTTGCCTGTTGTTAGTGATTTCTCTTATGGTTTCTGGATTTAACCCTTTATATAATTATCTTAAGTTTTCTCCTGGTGCTTTAATGGTTCTGCTTTTTAAAATATTATTCTTATTTAAAAAAAATTTTTTTGAGACTCTGTCACCCAGGCTAGAGTGCAGTGGCGTGATCTCCGCTTACTGCAGACTCCACCTGCCGGGTTCAATTGATTCTCCTTCCTCAGCCTCCCGAGTAGCTGGGATTACAGGCGCCCGCCACCACGCCTGGCTAATTTTGTATTTTTAGTAGAGAGGGGGTTTCACTGTGTTGGCCAGGCTTGCCTCGAACTTCTGACCTCAGGTGATCACCCGCTTTGGCCTCGCAAAGTGCTGGGATTACAGGCGTGAGCCACCGTGCCCAGCCTCTGGCTAGTTTTTTGTAGACGAGGTTTCACCATGTTGGCCAGGCTGGTCTTGAACTCCTGACCTCAAGTGATCCACCTGCCCCAGCATCCCTAAGTACTGGGATTAGAGGAGTGAGCCACAATGCCTGGCAATTTTTAAAAATTTTTAATAGAGATGGGGTCTCACTGTGTTGCTCAGGCTGGTTTTGAACTCCTGGGCTCAAGTGATCCCCCCGCCTCGGCCTCCCAAAGTGCTGGGATTACAGGCATGAGCCACCATGCCTGGCCAGTTCGTTCGTTCGTTCGTTTGTTCGTTCTTTCTCTCTCTCTCTCTCTTTTCTTTCTTTTTCTCCAGTTCTACTTCCTTCTTTCTTTCTTTCTTTTTTTTTTTTTTTTCACAGAATCTCGCTCTGTCGCCCAGGCTGGAGTACAGTGGTGCCATCTCAGCTCACTGCAACCTCCGCCTCCTGGGTTCAGGCAAATTATTCTGCCTCAGCCTCTGGAGTAGCTGGGATTACAGGCGTCTGCCACTTTGCTCAGCTAACTTTTTTTGTATTTTTAGTAGAGATGGGGTTTCACCATGTTGGTCAGGCTGGTCGCCAACTCTTGACCTCAGGTGATCCACCTGCCTTGGCCTCCCAGAGTGTTGCGATGACAGGCGTGAGCCACTGTGCCAGGCCAAGTTCTACTTCTTAATACATAAATTTCAACTTATCTGGAAGAATTATGACTACCCACTGCCAAATAAAACTTCCAGCCTAACTACTGGCAATCTGCTGTTGAAGCTGAACAGGCTCTAAATTGTTGGGTTTTAAAAAAATTTTTGTTTACTTAAGCCTATAGCTCCTAGTATTCCCAGGCATTCTCCTATGCAAAAACCAACCAGGACTGACCCTGCTCACCTTCTGGCTCTATAAGTTATTATTCAGCAGACCTGCAGAATAAATAGACTTTTAAAAAACAACTTCGTTGAGATATGATTTACATATTACAAAATTCAGCTCTTTTAAGTGTACAATAATTTTTAGTAAATTGAGTTGTACAATTTTAGAATATTTTTGTCACCTCAGTAAATCTATTATGCTAATTTATAATTAATCCCCTTCCCCACTCCCAGGCACTACTAATCTTTCTGTCTCTGTAGATTTGTATTTTCTGGATGCTTTATAGAAATGGAATCATATAGTATACAGACCTCTGTGCCTAGCATATTCTTTTTTATTTTTATTTTTTGAGACAGTGTCTCACTCTGTCACTCAGAGTGGAGTGCAGTGGCACAGTCACTCCAGCCTCAATCTTCCTGGGCTCAGGTAATCCTCCCACCTGAGTAGCTGGGACTGTAGGCATGCACCACCATGCCCAGCTAAAGCATATTCTTTAAAACAATATTCAGTTACTTTGTCAACACTAAATAATTTACCCTCTCCCATCTAAATCACTGTCATCTTCTCTTCAAAGTTGTTAACTGAAGTTTGGAGGTCACCCATTGTTCTTATTTTGAAATTGAATGTGTGCCCTTGAATTAACCTGACGTAACACTTCTTTCCTCTGTATTAGCAGTGCCACACTCTGCTCTATGTTTATAACCTACCAGCAAATAAGGATGGCAAGAGCGTCAGCAACAGGCTCAGACGCCTGTCCGATAATTGTGGTGGGAAAGTGCTGAGTATCACAGGCTGCAGTGCAATTCTCCGCTTCATAAACCAAGATAGTGCAGAGCGCGCTCAGAAGCGAATGGAAAACGAAGATGTCTTTGGTAATAGGATCATTGTGTCATTTACTCCAAAAAATAGAGAACTCTGTGAAACAAAGAGTTCAAATGCAATTGCTGATAAAGTGAAGTCTCCCAAAAAACTTAAGAATCCAAAATTGTGCCTCATCAAAGATGCAAGTGAACAATCTTCCAGTGCCAAAGCCACGCCTGGAAAAGGGTCACAGGCAAATTCTGGATCTGCTACAAAAAATACAAATGTTAAAAGTTTACAGGTAATTTTGATACCTCTTGCTTTCTGAAGTTTATGGTAGGTTTGGTTTGTTTCTGTGTTTTACGTGCCCGCTTGCTTTTGGCGTGTCCCTTTTTGATTTCAGTGTTTGATGATACTCAAAGTCAATCGTTTTCTGTAAAGGATCTAACACATCTTGGGTACTTAAAATTTAAACCCCACTGTGCTTGTGTCTTTGAAGGAGCTGTGCCGCATGGAGTCAAAAACTGGTCATAGAAACAGTGAGCACCAGCAAGGTCACCTGAGGCTGGTCGTACCCACTCACGGTAACTCAAGTGCTGCAGTGTCGACGCCGAAAAACTCGGGGGTGGCAGAACCCGTTTACAAAACCAGTCAGAAGTATGTGAAACTACTCTTTCTCATAGCTGCTTCTTGAATGTGAAGGAAGACATATGACCTTTTGCCTTCAATTTTCCCCTTCTGTTAGAAAGGAGAACCTCAGTGCCCGAAGTGTTACCAGTTCTCCTGTAGAGAAAAAAGATAAAGAGGAGACTGTATTCCAAGTGAGTTACCCGTCTGCTTTTAGCAAGTTAGTTGCATCCAGGCAAGTCAGTCCTCTGCTCGCATCTCAGTCTTGGTCTTCTAGGTGAGTCCAGCTTCTTGACCCATGGGGGTGGTTACATGTAATAGGAAGGATTATGAAATAGTATGTTTGTTGAAAAGAATTCAGATAGTACTGAAATGCACAAAGTAAGTCTCCCATCACTCTTCTGCCAGTCCCCCTCTCCTCAGGTAATCATCGTTAACATTTAGGGGCAATGCTTTCACCATTTCTTCTTCCTCCATCTGGAAATTGTGGTAAGCAGAGGTCAGAAAGAGAAGCCTGTTGGAGAGTCCCTGGCCAGTGCAGGGGGGCATGTAAAGATGTCCCTATGTTCGCTGTGTTGAGGAAAAAGCCCAAACGAGCCGTGCATTGGTGGTTCTGATTCATATGGTTCTGTATAGGAAGCTATTTGGAAGTAAAGTTTTCTGTAAACCATGGTAATTATTTATCACTGTCTCTCACACCAAGGAATTCTTGATGCTTGGGAGACAGAGAAGCCGTAAGGCCGTGTTGCATTCCCATGAGCTCCTTTTAGCATTGTGTTTGTTCTGCTGAGTTGGTGGCAGATCACTGTAGAAAGTGACTATGGATCAGCCGGGCGTGGTGGCTCACGCCTGTAATCCCAGCACTTTGGGAGGCCGAGGCGGGAGGATCATGAGGTTAGGAGATCAAGACCATCCTGGCTAACCGGCTAACACGGTGAAACCCCATCTCTACTAAAAATACAAAAAATTAGCCGGGCGTGGTAGTGAGTGCCTGCAGTCCCAGTTACTTGGGAGGCTGAGGCAGGAGAATGGCATGAACCTGGGAGGTGGAGGTTGCAGTGAGCTCAGATCGCATGACTGCACTCCAGCCTGGGTGACAGAGCGAGACTCCGTCTCAAAAAAAAAAAAAAAAAAAGAGAAAGTGACTATGGATCTATAAAATTACATCTAAAAAGCCACATAAAAGTTTTCCTTATGTGCAGAAAGAACTGTAACATGTAGGCAAGAACGTTTAACTCTTTCAGAGACACAGAGGAGGTTAGACGCCTTAAATTGGTATCACAGGCTGATTTCCTAAGGATAATGCACAAAGCAGAAGGTTAATTCATCAGGACTGCCTCTAATTCCTGCCTTTAGCTTTAACCCAAAGGAAGAATATATATTAATTGGTTGGCGGTAATTAGGGGTCAGTAGATAGTACTTTTGACAATGTCTGAAATCAATGTGTATTTAAGATTAAAAACACAGCTGGGCACAGTGGCTCACGCCTGTAATCCCAGCCCTTTGGGAGGCTGAGGCAGGTGGATCACTTGAGGTCAGGAGTTTAAGACCAGCCTGGCCAACATGGTAAAACCCCATCTCTACCAAAAATAAAAAAAATTAGCTGGGTGTAGTGGTGCATGCCTGTAGTCCCAGCTACTGGGGAGGCTGAGACAGGAGAATTGCTTGAATCCAGGAGGTGGAGGTTGCAGTAAGCCGAGATCGTGCCATTGCACTCCAGCCTGGGTGACAGAGCGAGACTCTGTCTCAAAAAAAAAAAAAAAAAAAAAAAGATTAAAAACACATTTGAAAACCAAATGTTTGGTTTGGTTGTGTTGTGGAAAATCTGCTTCTGTATATAGTTTCAAACAAAGCCTAAATGATAAAATCTAAATATACAGAACAGTTTTTTAAAATAATGTCAATATGTGTGTTTTAAGCAGGAGTATGTCTCCAAACCTTTTAAACAGAGCATCCCCGCTTGCTTTCAACATTGCAAATTCGAGCAGCGAAGCCGACTGCCCAGACCCATTTGCAAATGGTGCTGATGTCCAAGTCAGCAACATAGACTACAGATTATCCCGGAAGGAGCTGCAGCAGCTCCTGCAGGAAGCATTTGCCAGGCATGGCAAGGTAACTTTTTCCCTCTTGTGCTTGCTTTGTTATACTCTCTGATGGAGTCTCTAGTCAAGAGGACCTAATTTGATATACATAACCACAGCCGGGATAGAAGTGTGACTGAACAAGTTTGAACTCCTTCCTTTTCCCTTTGGTCTGCTCAGGGTGGTGCTATAAATCCAGTTTTTACAATGTTAGCCCCAGAGAGCAAGACGCCTAGCAGTGAAAAGCTCTTGTCTTAGGCAGAAATTGAAATGGCAATTTGTGGCCAGGCATGGCGGCTCATGCCTGTAATTCCAGCACTTTGGGAGGCCAAGGCGGCCAGATCACCTGAGGTCAGGAGTTTGAGACCAGCCTGGCGAGTGAAACCCCGTCTCTACTAAAAAAAAATTAGCCGGGCGTGGTGGTGCACGCCTGTAGTCCCAGCTCCTTAGGAGGCTAAGGCAGGAGAATTGCTTAAACACGGGAGGCAGAGGTTGCAGTAAGCTGAGATGACGCCACTGCTCTCTGGCCTGGGAGACAGAGTGAGACTCCATCTCAGAAAGAAAAAAAAAAAAAGGCAATTTGATAAGTAAAACATTGATGGATTTCAGTTAGCTCTTCCTGCTGAAATACAGGTAGGATTCTAAAATAATGTTGGCTGGTCTTGTTTATGCCTTATTATATTTGACTCATTTTTTAGGTGCAATTTTGCTAAAAATGCACCTTTTTAGTAGATTCTTAAAAATGGCCATGTCCTGGGTTTTGTAGAGTCTAGAAAAGACCCCAAACACTCTTCCCATGTGTTGGCCTCTGAGCCTGCCTTGGAAACCTGTGTGTGCCAGAGCACACAGGCAGGCCGGGCCAGTGTCACATCTCTAAAGGTCACCCTATCCTCACTTTCTTACGTCCTGGTCAGCAGAAGAGCAGAGTTCAGACATACTCCTTCATGGAAGCGCTGCAGTCGACAAATGTGTTCCTTCATGGTTCACCTTCAGTTTTAAGACGACAGGGTTCTGGGCGGACATAGCGTTTAGTTTTCGCTTTTCCTGTTGTAGGTGAAGAGTGTTGAGCTCAGCCCCCATACAGATTATCAACTCAAGGCTGTTGTGCAAATGGAAAACTTACAAGATGCGATCGGTGCAGTGAATAGCCTCCACAGATACAAAATTGGCAGCAAAAAGATCCTGGTCTCACTTGCCACCGGGGCTGCCAGCAAATCACTCTCTTTACTGAGGTAAGAAACAAGCAAGCTGTTTATTTCAGGAAATAACATTTGACCCAGAAACAATTTTAGAAATAATAAAAATAGATTCAATCACATTCCCACCCCCTTGTGATGATTGCATGTGGAATAATGCTTATTCTAGATTGATACAGTTAGAAACAAGCCATTTGACTCTTGTCTAAGTCATTAATCAAAGCTGGAATACAGCTTAAACTTGACAGGCACTTGGGAGTAAAATAATACGCAACATGTTCAAATAGGTTCTAAAAATAGTAGACCCCTACAATAAAAGTTTATAAGCCTGAAAAGTCTAAAATATTACCTTGAGATCTTAGGTAGAAGGTAGATTTGTGTGTAAAGACTAGATCTACAAATCTTCAAGCTCTCCATTTGCAGATATATCCTTAGTGTCAAATAGATACTCAGCCCCATAAGTCTACCTTAAGACTATCTCAGTCTCAAGCGTCTGGTGATGGTTTTATTCATAGTAAAATGTGATACTTCTTTGGGTCTCCCTGTTTCGGGGAGACTGGCAAAACAGGACCCACTCCTGAGTGTTTCCTTGGATGATCAGAGATCTTTTTTCTAACTTGTACTTCACTATTACTTAAATTACGAGTTACGGGTTTTTTTTTTGTTGTTGTTCTCAGAATAAAAATGATGCTTATTGAAGAAAATTTGGAAAGTTTAGAAACATAAAAGAAGCAGGGGAAAAAAAACCATCCACAGGCCTATGGCCCAAAGCCAATTGCACTTAACAGTTTGGCATCTTCTTTTAGTTTTGTTTGGATTTTTTCCCTTTGAGCGTTTTTTGGTGCCTCTGGTTTTTTAAAACTGTAGTTGAGATTATGTTGTATTCAGTTGTGTATCCTTATCTATGGGAACGCCAATCACATATATCTAACAAACTGCAGTGTGGCAGGAGATATTTAAGCTCTTCTCCCTTTTGCTCTGAATTCATCATGCTTTTCTGCTCCACTGGTGTGGAAAACCCTATGATTGATACTAATTCTACTGTGTAACGTAATCTTCTTTCATTGCCTTGTCCCTAAAATCCTTTCTTTAAATTTTTCTGGAAAATACATTCTGACATACCAGAAATCCGTAAATTTATTTTGCATATGCACTGGGTTAATTTTATGAACTCTGTTTATATAACTTGTAATATGGAGGAAATGGTCTGTTCCCTAATCAAACTTCTGTTTTACAGTGCAGAAACAATGTCTGTTCTTCAGGATGCCCCTGCCTGTTGCCTGCCTCTGTTTAAATTTACAGATATCTATGAAAAAAAGTAAGTTAGGTATATTTTTTCTTTATCCAGTCAGTACTGATTGGTGGCTTACATGCACAAAACCATGGTAATGACTCTTGAGGAACTTCAGCCTGGTAGAGGAGAGGAGACAGAGACACTGGCATTCAGATTTACATGTCAATGAATGTTTAGCAGACAGTTTTAAAACGTCTTTTATTTTTAACAAAGTTAGACCTTTGGTCCTCAGTGTTGTGCTTATTTTTCCCCTAATTGACTAGCTTTAGTTTGTTTTTTTTGTTTGTTTGTTTGTTTTTTAATTTTTTTGGAGACAGAGTCTCGCTCTGTTGCCGAGGCTAGAGTGCAGTGGCACAATCTCAACTCACTGCAACCTCTGCCTCACAAGTTCAGGTGATTCTCATGCCTCAGCCTCCCGAGTAGCTGGGACTACAGGCATGTGCCACCAAGCCTTGCTAAGTTTTCGTATTTTTAGTAGAGACAGGGTTTCGCCATATTAGCCAGGCTGGTCTTAAACTCCTGACCTCAAGTGATCTGCCCACTTTAGCCTCCCAAAGTGCTAGGATTACAGGTGTGAGCCACTGCGCCTGGCCAAGTTTTAGTATTTATTGGATGAACATTTTTAAGCACTAGACTATAAGCTCCAGGACAGCAGGGACTAGCTCTGCCATAATACTGTATCCTAAGCACCCAGCCCATAGTAGATGCTTAGCAGGGACTAGTGAGTACAAGACCAAGGCACTGCAGAGAAGGCAGAACTGGGCAAGACTTAGGTCTTGTCCTTGAGGAGCTTATGTCTAGCGGGAAGAGAAAATGCTCGTGAATCCTTATGGACAGTGAAGAAAACTGATTGGAAAGGAGGAGAAAAAGCTTTGAGAACACAGAGGAAGGGAAGAACAAGGAACTTGGCCATTATCCCACAGGTAATAGGGAGCCACTGAAGTGCTGGAGGAAGGAGGGGAGGGGAAAGGTGTGGTGATGGGAATCATGCTGCAGGAAGACTCTTCTCGTAGCAGTGGTGTCTGAGAGGGCAGGAACAGGGGAGAGAAGGAGGCAGAGAGGGAAAGTAGCTACATCAGTCCAAATTCAGAGCAGATACTGTTGGGACAGAACTCGATGTTACAGAAATGTCAAAATGTCAAATGTCATTGAAACTAGAGTGGGTAACTAATTTTTTTTATTAAAAACAATTTTTATTGAGCCAGGGTCTCACTCTGTCACCCAGGGTGTAGTGCAGGGGCACGACCCTAGGTCATTGCAGCCTCAGACTCCTGGACTCAGATGATCCTCCCATCTCAGCCTTTTGAGTAGCTGGGACCACAGGCATCCGCCATCCTGCCCAGTTAATATTTTTTAATTTTTGTAATGAGGGGGTTTTGCTATGTTGCCCAGGGTGGTCTTGAACTCCTGGCTTCAAGTGATTCTCCCTCCTAGGCCTCCCAAAGTGCTGGAATTACAGGCACGGGCCACCACGTCCAGCCAGAGTAACTAGTTTTATGTAGCAAGCAAGGTAAAAGGGAGAGGTCATTTTGATTCTGAGTGTTTTGCCTTGCATGACTGGGATGATGGTTGCACAGTTAAACTGGAAATAGGGAAATAAAGCATGGCAAGGAGGTACAGCAAGTTTTTGGTCTTGGTTTTGGACATTCAGGTTTTAGGGGCCATTGGAGTAGCTGGGTGGAGAGGTCACATAGTCTTCTGCACATTGAGGGACTTCTTTGGGAGAGAAGTAGGCTCTGGAGATAGGGCAGTCATTTGCCTTTAAGACGATTGGGACAGACTAGAGAGCAGATAAGGTTGGGAGGGGGAAGGAGAAATAGAGGGCAGGAATGGATGGAATGCCACCAGGGCCAGGGATGTGGGCGAGCACCCAGGATGTGTGCCAAGAGAGCACATCAGGAATGGGGGGATCCAAGGCCATGAGGAAATGCATGAGGTGTGGGGATGAGGCAGAGGCCGCTGATAACTTTTGAGTCATCACTACAGAGTCCTGTGGCTAAAATCCAGTAGGGAAGGGGCTGAGAGACTCGGGGGTAACACAGCAGAAGCAGCTCCTGAGCAGCTGGATGTTTCCATTACAGGGACAGGGTAGAGTACGAGACTGAGAATGAGAGTACAAGGGAGAGTGTGTCTCTCCGGGAGGTGGAAGAGGACCAGGGGCTGGTTTGGTAGATGGGAATCTGAGCATATGTAGGACACTGGGAAGAAAACACTGGTCAGACAGTGAGAAGACCAGGGAACACTTACTGAGCACTTACTATGAGCCAAGTTCTGTCCAGGCCTAACCACACTTAATCCTCACATTGACCCTGTGAGATAGGCGCTATCATCACCCCATTTTACAGATGGAAAAAGTGAGGCCCCGATTGGTCGTGGAACTTGACTAAGGTCACACAGGTTGAAGTGGAGTCAGGATGTGAACTCAAATCTGCCAGCCTCCAGGGCCAGTGCCTTTAAGTTCCAAGTAAGAAAGATACAGGTCAGGAGGAGAACTGGGGAGTCCAGTGTCAGAGGGTGTGTGGATCATGCAGTTGAGGCATAGGAGAGTTGAGAGGGTCACGGAAAGCACATATACTTCTGAGAGGGGAGAATGGGGATGGTGAGAAGTAACACAGAGAATTGGAAGTGAGGGGAGCTGCATCGAGAGAGGTTTCCAACTCAAGAGAATTTGGTGAGGTCACTTAAAGAAACTGGGCAGGGGCTGGGGGTGGCTTTCAAATGAAGTGAGCATTGTCATGGTCGGAGCCAGAGACGACTCAGGAGTACCAAGCATCACTGGTTTGCTAGTGAATGAATTTGTAGTAGAATTATTCCAGTTTTACCTTTGAAGAGATGGAGGAACCATTCTTGGTTATTGTTCTTTATTTAAACAGGATGCGTGTTTCTGTATAATCAAAGAAAAACCTTCTAAGTCAGCGTCTCTCTTCTCTTGCTTTTAGGTTTGGACACAAGTTGAATGTGTCAGATCTATATAAATTAACAGACACGGTCGCAATCCGTGAACAAGGAAACGGACGGCTGGTGTGTCTCCTACCCAGCAGTCAGGCCCGCCAGAGCCCCTTGGGGTCTTCCCAGTCACACGACGGCTCCTCCACGAATTGCAGCCCAATTATATTTGAAGAGTTAGAATATCACGAGCCTGTCTGCAGACAGCATTGTTCCAATAAGGATTTCAGGTGTGCCGTTCGTTTTCCTTTAGAAGTAATTCTTTTCTATAAGATTGTGGAACATGTTAGGATGACCTTGTGAACATCTTAGACCCCTGCGGAATGTCAGCTTCCAATTGTGTTCTCTTTTCTTCAGCGAACATGAATTTGATCCAGACTCTTACAAGATTCCTTTTGTGATTCTTTCTTTGAAGACATTTGCGCCCCAGGTTCACAGTCTTCTCCAGACCCACGAGGGCACCGTGCCTTTATTGAGGTGAACCATCTCAAAGCCTTTGTCGATATAATGCCCTAGTTCTGCTTTTTATAGGAAGCCTGCCCTTTCTGCCCACATCTCTTTACAAATAAGTACTCTACAATGCTTCATCCTCATGTGTTTAGCCTTCAGTCAAAGTACAGTCATGCACCACATAACAAAATTTTGGCCAACCATGGACTGTATATAGGACAGTGGTCCCATAAGATTATAATCACATATTTTCACTAGACCTTTCGATGATTAGATACACAAATACCATTGTGTTATAGTTGCTCACAGTGTGTAGTACAGTAACAGGCTGTCCAGATGTGTAGCTCGGGAACCATGGGCTGCACCAGCCTAGGTGTGCAGTGGGCCGCAGCATCTAGGTTTGCATAAGTGCACCTGATGATGTTCTCAGGTGACAGAATCACCCAGCAACACATTATTGAGTACATATCCCCATCATGAAGCAGCACGTGACTGTTTATCTGAAATGGGATCCATTCACTCAGTACTTCAACAAGAAAATGTGTGTTTGCGCTACATTTTAGAAACGTAAACGTGAGGAGGGCAGATTCTTCCACAGAGGGGAGATGTATCATAAGTGCTGCAGTCGAAATCTCCACAAGTGTTGAGAGTACACAGCTTCAAATATGCATACATTTCAAGACTTGTGAGAGAAAAGTATTCTTCAGAAGTTCATTTAATCACTCCATGAGCCACAACAGTAGACTTAACACAAAGGCCAACACAGGACTCAGTGGCCTGCACGTCCCTGCTGATGTGGAAGCAGACGCGTAACTGACTTGGAGCCCAGTTGCCCTATTTTTAATCCCCCTCCTGGAAAACTACCCAGAAAATGCCATCAGAATGCATCAGAGAGGCCAGTGCCTCAGTGCTTGCCTCCCTGGGTCCTTAATTTTAACCTTCAAACCTGGTGGTGGGCATTCAGACAAATGATTAACACATACATTAAACCAAAGCCTTCTGTTTAGCAAGCGCCTCCTTTTCTGTTATTTTGATTTAACCTTTCCTTTTTTTGTTGTTTTTTCCTATTTCAGCTTTCCAGATTGTTACATTGCAGAGTTTGGCGATCTAGAAGTAGTGCAAGAAAACCAAGGAGGTGTTCCCTTAGAACACTTCATTACCTGTGTTCCAGGTGTAAACATTGCCACTGCTCAGAATGGCATCAAAGTGGTTAAATGGATTCACAACAAGCCCCCGCCTCCCAACACTGGTAGGTGTCAGGTATTTTGTCCTGGAGCTACCACCTGTCCACTATGAGACCAGAGGAGGCTATTGGCTTTTATTTTAAACAGCAGCACAATTTGCCAAGTGTGAAAACACCATGGATGTGTCCTTTGATCTTTTGAAAATTCCTAAAATGCTTGAGGGGTTGGCGTTACTGGACTTTGTTTTATTTTTTATTTATTTATTTTTTTTGAGACGGAGTCTTGCTCTGTCGCCTAGCTGGAGTGCAGTGGTGCGATCTCGGCTCACTGCAACCTCTGCCTCCCGGGTTCAAGTGATTCTCCTGCCTCAGCCTCCCGAGTAGCTGGGACTACAGGCACCAGCCACCACGCCCAGCTAATTTTTTGTATTTTTAGTAGAGACAGGGTTTCACCATATTGGCCAGGATGGTCTTGATCTCTTGACCTCATTATCCACTTGCCTCCGCCTCCCAAAGTGCTGGGATTACAGGCCTGAGCCACAGCAACCGGCCTAGACTTTGTTTTTTAGATAGGGCCTTGCTGTGTTGTCCAGGCTGCTCTTGAACTCCTGAGCTGAAGATGTCGTCCCACTATGGCCTCCCAAAATGCTGGGATTACAGGCATGAGCCACCACACCTGGCCAGTTTGAAAGTACCAACATAAGCTATGTAAAAAATTTGAAACTCAAATTTCACATTTACAGATCCTTTTAGCAACCTAATTTTGTGAAGCTTTTGGCTTGCCAGTTGACTGACCTTTTAAAAATAGTTTCAGGGGCTGGGCCTGTTGGCTCACACCTGTAATCCCAGCACTCTGGGAAGCTGAGGTGGGTAAATCACCTGAGGTCAGGAGTTCAAGACCAGCCTGGCCAACATGGTGAAACCCCATCTCTACTAAAAATAGAAAAATCAGGCATGATGGTGGGCACCTGTAATCCCAGCTACTCGGGAGGCTGAGGCAAGAGAATCACTTGAACCCAGGAGGTAGAGGTTGTGGTGAGCTAAGATCAAGCCATTGCACTCCAGCCTGGGTGACAAGAGTGAAGCTCTGTCTTTTTTTTTTTGAGACGGAGTCTTGCTCTGTTGCCCAGGCTGGAGTGTAGTGGCACAATCTTGGCTCACTGCAAGCTCCGCCTCCTGAGTTCACGCCATTCCCCTGCCTCAGTCTCCTGAGGAGCTGGGACTACAGGCGCCCGCCACCACGCCCGGCTAATTTTTTTTTTTTTCTGTATTTTTAGTAGAGACGGGTTTCACCTTGTTAGCCAGGATGGTCTTGATCTCCTGACCTCATGATCCGCCCGCCTCAGCCTCCCAAAGTGCTGGGATTACAGGTGTGAGCCACCGCGCCCAGGATTTTTTTTTTTTTTTTTTTTTTGAGACGGAGTCACCCTCTGTCACCAGGCTGGAGTGCAGTGGCCGGATCTCAGCTCACTGCAAGCTCCGCCTCCTCGGTTCATACCATTCTCCTGCCTCAGCCTCCCGAGTAGCTGGGACTACAGACGCCTGCCACCACGCCCGGCTATTTTTTTTGTATTTTTAGTAGAGACAGGGTTTCACCGTGTTAGCAAGGATGGTCTCGATCTCCTGACCTCGTGATCCGCCCGCCTCAGCCTCCCAAAATGCTGGGATTACAGACGTGAGCCACCGCACCTGGCCGAAACTCTGTCTTTAAAAAAAAAAGTACTTTCAGGTATTTGAAGGAAATACCACTTAATGCAGATTTACCTTCGAAAGTCATTTTGGTCCACGTTTTGGACTTTGATAAATGTGAAAATAAATTTAAAAGACCAAGGTATTTGGACCTAGACTTGGGTGAGTGTCTGAGTTACGGGCATGTCCTGAGTTGCAGATATCCAAGGCTGCTGCCCGTGAACGACACTTTACTTGTTGCCTTCCTGTGTATACACACATACTTCCTCCTCTTTGTCCCCAACACTTTTGCTTCTCCCACCTCCCTTACCCTACAGGAAAAAAGGTGAGGATAACCAAGGAATTCTTTCTGAGTCAGCCTGCTCTTAGGAATGTGTGTACTCAGGTTTCTTACGGGACACCTCCTTTCTTTTCCCTCTGTCTTAGACTTCTCAGGGGCCATAGATTATGCCACTCCTCCTTTCTCCTAAGCCATGAGCCCACAAGCCTCCACTTTTTATTTTATTTTATTTTATTTTATTTATTTATTTATTTATTTATTTATTGAGACGGAATCTCGCTCTGTGTCCCAGGCTGGAGTGCAGTGGTGCAATCTAGGCTCACTGCAAGCTCCACCTCCTGGGTTCATGCCATTCTCCTTCCTCAGCCTCCTGAGTAGCTGGGACTACAGGTGCCTGCCACCACGCCCGGCTAATTTTTTTGTATTTATTTTTGTATTTTTAGTAGAGACGGGGTTTCACCTTGTTAGCCAGGATGGTCTCGATCTCCTGACCTCGTGATCCGCCCGCCTCAGCCTCCCAAAGTGCTGGGATTACAGGCATGAGCCGCCGCGACCAGCAAGCCTCTCCACCTTTCTATAAAGATTTCCGTTTGATTACTTATACCTTTTTAATAGGTATAAGCAGTCAAGATGGTGCAAAAACCTGTTCCTTACACCCTTTTATGTCATGCTAATCTTACAACATTATCACTTTCTGTGGTTTTCTGGGTAACGTTTTCAGCTCCACTATGGATTAATTTTGCTCTTCTGGGCCACCTACCTGATGACCATTTATAACTTTGTGGAAAGGTACGTTCCACATGACCAAGTTTCAGAAGGATCTTGGAAATATAACTAGTTTCTAAACTGGGAGCTTCTTGTGTACTTTGACTTCTGCTATAAATAACACTATAGTAGACTCTGCTTTACCTTGGCCGCTTAACTTTGAGGATTAGTGGGACAGCATTTGACAGCCCGTGAATAAGTTAGTTAGCTAGTTATTGGACTATGAGACCTGAATATAGAAACTGAGACGTAAAGCAGCTACTGTATTTGGTTTTGTTTGCTTCCCCATGATCGAACTCAAGCCAGGGACTGCAGGGCCATTTTCCCTTCTTTCAGCTGGTGAAATCTGTGCTTTCTGTCTTATACACGTTCTTTTTCTTCTAGACCCTTGGCTTCTGCGTTCGAAGAGTCCTGTAGGTAACCCCCAGCTGATCCAGTTCAGTAGAGAAGTGATTGACTTGCTGAAAAGCCAGCCATCTTGTGTCATACCCATCAGTCATTTCATCCCATCCTATCACCATCATTTTGCAAAGCAGTGCCGAGTGTCAGACTACGGATACTCCAAGCTGATTGAGTTATTAGAAGCAGTGCCTCATGTATTGCAGGTAAGGCGTGTCACGGGATTACTTGTTTACAGGCAGGAATGTTCCTCCATGGCTTTGGCTGCCTCCATCAAAGAAACAGTTTAATTCCTAAGAAGTCAGTTCTGGGCAGAACATCCACTAAAAACTTTCTTCAGAGGGCAGGAATAACACACACAGGCGGCTTCTCAATTTTTCAGAACGCTGCTAGTTTCCAGTTTTAGAGGAACTCCTTGGAGGACTGAGGAGTATTTTCCCTCTAAGCTCTATAGACCTTCTTCATCCCAGCACAGCTTTCTCCAGAACTGTTCATGATTACAAGGAAGCTCCCATGAATAGCCACATACTTGTATGTTGGTGCCTATGTGAGAGTCAAGGGCTTAACCTTTCTTCTAAATTTAACTAGTTGGAGACAAGTTACTGGGCTAGAGTGTAGCACTGGATCCTATGAAGACTTTTACCAGTTAACTCACAGTGTTATAACAGCTTCCCACTCACTAAAAACGGCTTGAAAAACTTGTAGACCAATTTGTCTGGACAACCAATACAGTTTTCATTTCTGTACTCACGACTTTTCTTTTCAAAAGATTACACTTTTCATTTTTATACTCAACGACTGTTTGGGAGAAGGTGTGCCAGGCCAAAAACGATAAGAGTTTCAGAAGGCCTTGGACATTTGTTCCTTTTGACCAACTACATTTTGTTGATCGACATGTGTTTCAAATTGCACACATTCTACATAAAGGGAGTCATGCTCTGAGGCTAGTAACGAGAGGGTGAGCCAGCAGCAAGGAAGTCGCTGTCTGCTGAGGTCTTATGTGTATAAATAAACTATTTGCTTTGCAGATTCTTGGAATGGGCTCCAAACGTCTGCTGACCCTTACCCACAGGGCCCAGGTGAAGCGCTTTACTCAGGATTTACTAAAACTTCTCAAATCCCAGGCCAGCAAACAGGTCATTGTGAGAGAATTCTCACAGGCTTATCACTGGTGAGTTGATGAAAAGAACAGAAATGAAAGTAAATATTTTAGGACATTTTATCTTCTGCCAAACTCTAAATAGTTATCTAGTATTTCTATTAAGCATTCTTTTGGAAAACTTGTAGTAGTTTTTTGTTTTTTTTTTTTTTTTTTTGAGACGGAGTCTCGCTCTGTCGCCCAGTGGCACGATCTTGGCTCACTGCAAGCTCCGCCTCCCGGGTTTATGCCGTTGTCCTGCCTCAGCCTCCAGAGTAGCTGGGACTACAGGCGCCCGCCACCACACCCGGCTTATTTTTTCTATTTTTTAGTAGAGACGGGGTTTCACCATGTTAGCCAGGATGGTCGCGATCTCTTGACCTCGTGATCCGTCCACCTCGGCCTCCCAAAGTGCTGGGATTACAGGCGTGAGCCCCAGCGCCCGGCCGGAAAACTTGTAGTTCTTCTACCGATGATACTACTCATTCCGTATCCACTTCCGTTGTTAAAACCTAGGTGTTTCTCAAAGGACTGGGATGTCACTGAATATGGTGTTTGTGAGTTGATTGACATCGTATCAGAGATTCCAGACACAACCATCTGCTTGTCCCAACAAGATAATGAAATGGTGATTTGTATCCCCAAAAGAGGTATGTGACTTAACATTTGCTGGAAGGATATTGTCTATCTCCTGTTATTTTAACATAGTGTGGCATGGAAGATGTGGTTTTCCCTCCCTGTCCGTGCTTCCTGAAGATTCCACAGAAAGCACAGTGTGAAAACTGCTGCTCTTTGGATTCTGTGTTCTTCAAAGTAGGTGAAGCTGTTCTCAAGAACAAAAGCAGGCTGGCTTTTTAGAATTGACTCTAAGGGGAAAAAGGGGCATCATCAGCACTTTGCTCAAATGCCTTCTGCAGCCTGGCTGTGGCTACATGAGCCTTAGTCATCCAGTTGAGAATCTGTCACCGTGCCTGTTGGCTTTGCTCTTCTGTTGAACTCTGAGCTACTTTATTTACTGTGCACACTTGAGAAGGGAAGACAACTCGAATGTTTTTTTTTCTTTTGCCTTTCAAATTTTAATAGTTGAAGTCAGAACTGCACAGGTCCAGTTACGGGTAGAAAGTACAGTATTTGAGGGATGCGAAACTCATGGATACTGGGGGCCAATTTTTCGTGTCTGCAGTTTCCGCGGGGCAGACCGCAAGACTTGAGTAGGTGCGGATTTTGGTATCCAGGCAGGGTCCTGGACCCGATCCCTTGAGAACACCAAGGGGTGACTGTATGGTCGTATCCTCCTTCTATTATCTGGTTCTTAAACGGTGCTCCTGCAGAACATTGATGTCCATGAAATCATAGAATTCCAGGGCCCATTCTCACTTAAAAATTAATAGAAACAATCTCAGCTTAAGCTTTCCCTCCTGTTTATTTTTGTTCAACTTTTGAAGCCTGATTCTCTCTTCTGCTAGCAAGTTTTAACTGAAGATCAGATGAATAAACAAAAAAAGTGGGGATATTCAGAAGCGTGATTTCATGGGAATAATTTCTAGAGTACTTGCTTAAGTACAGGGACCTGGGTGTGTGTCATGTTAATAGATATGGGGCAGGGGCTAGAAAATTGTTTCTAGCTTATAAGATGACATTGTTTCTAGCTTATAAGATGAATATATATGAATTTCATAATATAATAATATCATAACTTCCTGGTGTTCTGCCCTGGAACATGTTTGAGAACCACTTGCAAAGAGGGAAGAGTATATGTGTTTGTTTTAGGTTGTGTGTGTTTGGAAGGCAAGGATGATATCGTTTATAAATTCCCAAAAGGATTTACTCTAGTGTGGATGTTGAACACAAATGGGTAGAAAAAAACTGTGATTTTATGTTTTTTGGTTTTTTTAAAAGAACGCACTCAGGATGAAATAGAAAGGACAAAACAGTTCTCCAAGGATGTCGTTGATTTGCTGCGTCACCAACCCCATTTCCGGATGCCCTTTAATAAATTTATCCCTTCTTACCATCACCACTTTGGCCGGCAGTGCAAACTTGCGTACTATGGGTTTACCAAACTACTTGAACTTTTTGAAGCCATACCTGATACTTTACAAGTGAGTGAAGAAATTCTAATTTTATAAAGTATTTTTCTGAACAACGTATAGGAAATACTTTTTCACGTTCCAGACCTGTTTTTCTGGGAAGTAGGGAGTTACGAAAGAGGATGAAAATCTAAGCTATTCCAGTCAGAGAAGCCATATTCCTGACTCATTAGTATTTTTAGATAAATATGGCTTTTTCCTTCAATAAAGGATTATTCAAACTTGTTTTGGGGGTAATTATTGAAAAAAAGATTCAGTAGGTTTTCTTTTTTTTGTTTGTTTGTTTTTGTTTTTTGAGACGGAGTTTCTTTCTTGTCGCCCAGGCTGGAGTGCAATGGCGCAATCTTGGCTCACTGCAACCTCCGCCTGCGGGTTCAAGCAGTTCACTTGCCTCAACCTCCCGAGTAGCTGGGGATTACAGGTGCCCGCCACCATGCCCAGCTAATTTTTCTATTTTTAGTAGAGATGGTGTTTCACCACGTTGGCCAGGCTGGTCTTGAGCTCCTGACCTCAGTTGATCCGCCTGTCTCAGCCTCCCAGAGTGCTGGGATTACAGGCGTGAGCCACCACACCTGCTGATTTCTTACACTGAATATTTGTTCATTACTTTTATACTTTTAAAATCCTTCGTGTTGAAGGTAGGTCTGAGTACATGAGGTAACATCAGTGCTAAGCTGTTCGCTGTTGCTAAGTTAAACCAAATTTCTGTTGTTGATTTTATTTTCTTTTTTTACTACTGAAGTGCTTTTTAAAAATTGTTTTATTGTGGCACAATACACATAACATAGAACTTACCTTCGTAACTATCTTTATATCTCCTGTCCAGTAGTGGTCAGCACATTCACATTGTTATGCAACCGATCTTCTGAACTTTTTCATCTTACACAACTGAAACTTTATACCCATTCAGTAACGCTGACTTGTTTTTTCATTACTAGCTGCATACTTTTTTTGCTATTCTGTAAACACCCGTGATTTGTTTATTTTCCCTTTCCTCCCCCCGTGTGTTTTCAAAGGTATTGGAATGTGGAGAAGAAAAGATCCTTACTCTGACAGAGGTGGAGCGGTTCAAAGCTCTAGCTGCCCAGTTTGTTAAACTCCTTCGGTCCCAAAAAGATAACTGCCTTATGATGACAGATCTCCTTACAGAATATGCTAAAACTTTTGGTTATACATTTCGTCTCCAAGACTATGATGTCAGTTCCATTTCGGCTTTAACTCAGAAACTCTGCCATGTCGTGAAGGTAAATGTTTTTTTTTTTTTTTTTTTTTTTCCCTCATGGGATAAAACTCACAGTGACCTAATTCTCATTAGGACGTTTGCGTGTGCTGTAGCGTTTCTTTATTTACACCTTGAACTACTTAACTGTCACAGCATTATGACTCGTTTTGTGTCATTAGTGCTTATTAGGTAATAGAAGCCTTGGTTTGGAAGTTGAGAGTTTTGGTCTTCCTCTTGTGTGTTTCTGAATGGCCTTGCCAAAGCAATGCCTTTGTGAACTGATGAGGTCACTCTTCACCCCAGGGTTCGGTCATGAGGTGCAGCTGCCTCAGCACTGCTGGCCTGAGCTTGACTCCTTCCAGTGTGAGTTTTGCCTGTGACGTTCTTGGGAGCCCGTAATCACACAGTGTCCTCTCCCTCCACATTCTCACCCACTTAGGAGTAGGCTTAGGAGCAAGCGAGGGTGCAGAGTGGCCTTTGTCACTGGCAGAGCTGTAGTAGAGAGGGCAGCTCGTGCTGTTTGCTGTCCTGGACTGCACTTGACCCTTCCTGTCCTAGGCAGAGCAGCTGCCAGTTTTCGGCCTCCTCCCCCACAGGACCAGAAGAAGTCACTGCCAGGAGGAAGGAATGGAAAGGGAAGCATGAAGGACGGCACCCTCAGTTACAGGCCCATTACTAGCTGCACACATTTCTGTGTCATTTAATTCCGTAAACAGCCAGAACGGGTTCACTCTCCCTTTCCTTCCCACTGTGGGGTTTTTTTGGAGTTGGAGTCTTGCTCTGTGGCCCAGGCTAGAGTGCAGTGGTGCGATCTTGGCTCACTGCAACCTCCGCCTCCCAGGTTCAAGAGATTCTTCTTCCTCAGCCTCCTGGGTAGCTGGGATTACAGGCGCCCGCCACTACGCCCAGCTAGTTTTTGTATTTTTAGTAGAGACAGGGCTTCACCGTGTTGGCCAGGCTGATCTCGAACTCCTGGCCTCAGGTAATCCGCCCACCTCAGCCTCCCAGAGTGCTGGGATTACAGGCATGAGCCACTGCACCCAGCCCCCACTGTTTTTTAATGTATTGGACTGCAGCTAAGAAGACGTTCTTACCTTGGCAGAGGTAGGAACGCTCAGAGCTCTCCTTAGGTACTGATTGGTTGGAGGAGGAGGTGAGAGAGCAGGAAGCACAACCAGGAGAGCCGAACATCCCTGAGCCAAGGCAGAGGAATGGCCAGCAGCATCGCAGGAGGGCTGGTCAGAGAGGGACTGCCTGACTTCCAGGTTTAGCTCAGTGGGAAGAGTCGGTGCTGCTGGCCAGGTCAGTGGCAGTGTTGGTTGTGTAGACAGAAGCCACCTTGGAGTGTGGTGAGGAGTGAGGAGAGGTGAGAAAATGGCCCAGGTCATCTGGACAGCATCCTGGTTTGTCTGCTTGTGAAGATGGAGGGCTGTGGCAGCAGCTAGAGGCTGTGGGGCTGAGGGAGCAAGGGAGGATTTGGGCTGTTGGTTTTCCTACCTGGAAAAACTTGAGCATGTCTGAAAGCCATTGATGTGGATCTGTCTAGAGAGAGAAGATGAACATACAAGGGCGAGAAGGGGTAAGACAGGAGGGCCTTGAGGTGTGGGAGACTAGGAAACAGCACACAGAGGAAGGAGGAAGTATACAGGGCAATAGGCTGGGGGCAGGCATGGGCAGGTCTGATGTTTATCATCAGGAATAGAAGGGAGTCCTCTTCCAAGAGTGGTTTTCCACTAGAGAGAGGGACTGATCTCTGCTTAGAGAGAGAGAGGAGAGGCAGGGCTCAGGACTTAGGAGTGGGGAGAAGGTCCACAGTTGTCATGGTGAGTGGAGAGTGGCTTGATCAGGATGTCACGTGGAGTGCAGGGGTATCGAGAGCTCACTGCAAGTTGGCACCGTAGACTCTGGGAGAGCAGCAGTTGGGGTGTGGCTATGCAGGTGTCGGTTCAGGGAAAGCAGGTGGTTGGATTCAAGGTGGGAGTTTACCGATGGGCGTCAGGAAAAGGCATGGGATGAGCGAATTTAAATATTGACAAGAATGTCAGTGCCAGCATGACAAAAGAGGAGAGTGAAGCAAGGGAGTGGGCTGGCAAATTGGGAGCAGATAGGAGGCAGTGATGCTGCTGAGGTTTGAGAAGGGGCGGAGTTGAGCGGGTAGAGTCTCTTTCTGCACTCCCACCCCAACAGCAGCTCCAGACTTGCTTTTGCAAGTGGGATGCTCAGGAGGTTTGAATGATTTATGTTGGATGGGGTAATGACAGGTTTGCACTGTGACCCTGGAGATGGGTGTCTGCAGTGAAATTGAACACAGGAGGATGTCGTCGGAGATGACAGAGGCAAGGCATTGAAAGGCTATACGGCTGTGGTGTGGGACAGGTCCCTGGGTGTTCAGTTGCCCAGGATGATGAAAGGGGTGGACTCAGGTGGATAGGAAGACCCCACGCCATGACCTAGGGCTTTGCTGGGTGAGTGTGATGGGTGGGCAGCTGGGGTGTGAGCAGCAAGAATGGGGAGAGCTGAGAGAGGCTCCGTGGTGCCTCCCTGGCTGCCCACTGGGTCTCCTGGGAGCTTCTCCAACCTTACCTTTCAGATTCTTATAGAATTAGTCCCAGCACACTCTGAGCATTGGTGTTTTTAAAAGCTCCCCAGGCAATTCTAATGCATAGCCGGGATTGAGAATCAAGGGATGGATCCAAGTCGCACCAGAGGAGCAGGCTCTGGTTTGGTTTCTTTCCTAAGCAGCTGTAGTGATGGTGGGGGTCTGGGTGGCTAAGATGACTGGGATCCCCTGGACTTGTATCGGTTGGTTGATTAAACCCGCTTCTGAGGAGGAAATCTATACAGTCCCATAATCATGATAAGTAGGGTGGGACCCTGCCAGCCTCCCTCCTGCCTTGGCTCTGGGCACATGTCAGAACCAGATAAAGATGCCCTGGTCTTGGGATGGCTCCTCAAGTGCCACCCACCTCTCTCTGCCTCTCAGAATCCACGGTCCAAAGAGTGCCAACTTGTGGTGACTTAGCCCTGCCAAGACCTTTGGCCCTGGCAGGAAAACCAGATAAAGGGGGCAAACAAGCTGTCAGGATGAGCATTGGTTTGTGAGAGCAGTGCCGGAGCCGTGTGTGTGCCAAAGCTCTGCCTGTTTTTGTGCCAGGAAAGGCTCACGCCACAGCCTCACCCTCGCCACCCACAGCCTGCTGGCTCAGTCACCAGATGCGTGTTTCTTCACATGGTGTTTGGTCCCCAAGTGACAATCTCTGTCTTTTTTGTAAGGTTTCCCTCTCAGCGCATTTAACCGCTTAAACCCTTTATCTCCTTGAGAATCTGAAATAATTGAGGAGTGGACAGTTACTAGTCAGATGAAAATACCAGCTTTGTGGTGAGTAATAGCAGACTAGAAAAATGCAGCTTGCCTTGTAATCAGAGTAGGCCCTCTCTCACCTCCCCAGCCCGCCCTGGGGACGCATATGGGCAAGTCGGGTCTGCACAGAAGCCATGTGAGTGTTGCTTAGAGTCTAGCCTCCCCATCCCTACCCCCCTTCGAGCACAGCAACCCACACTTCACAAGCTTGGACCACTGGCCATCAGCTGGCCAGTCTGTGTCCTTCTTATAGTGGGGTTTGGAAAGAATGAATGAAAAATAAAGAGAATGATGCAATTTCCTCCCCCATTATTATCTTGTTGAGAGTTTTCAGTTATGGACCGGCAGGGGGAGGACAGTTTCTGCTTCCATGTTGGTCTGGTGTCCCAAAGACGCTAAAAACAAACCCACTTGCTTTATTTCAGTGTAAGAGAAAAAAATTAGAGATTTTTCATCTGTTGGTCTCATTAACCAAAATGAAGTGAGCTGAGTTGGGTATAACCTAGGGTGTCTCTCTTGAGCTCTGAAAAGTGTGAATTCTCGTTTTCCCCAGGTTGCCGATATAGAATCTGGCAGACAGATTCAGCTGATCAACCGAAAGTCTCTGCGATCTCTCACTGCCCAGTTGCTGGTATTGTTGATGTCTTGGGAAGGAACCACCCATCTTTCTGTTGAGGAGCTCAAGAGACATTACGAAAGTACCCACAACACTCCCCTTAACCCCTGTGAATATGGATTCATGACCTTGACCGAACTGCTGAAGAGCCTGCCATACTTGGTTGAGGTAGGCACGTTAATGGCTCTTTAGAACTATCATTGAAAACTATCGATTGGGCATTTCCGGATTACCTGATGGTCTAGATTAGAGTGTGTAGAGCTGGAAGGGACCCGAGAGACCATTTCATGGATGAACACGCCGAGACCTCAGGCAGTGAAGCAGCCCTGCCTAAATGGGTGGCAGAAGCCAGTGAAAGCCTGGTCTCCTCATCCTGGCACTGGGGTGTGTTTGTCCCGTTCTAGGATGAAAGCCTGGTCTCCTGATCCTGGCTCTGGGGTGTGTTTGTCCCATTCCAGGATGGATTTCGCTACTGTTTTATCTTTCTGAATGAGATGGTTTATGTGGTGGCTTGAAGAGAGAGATGAGTAAGGTGAGGGCAGAAAGGAAGGTTGGCCAGCCAGTCCCCCAGGCAGCCTTTCAAGAATGGCGCTCCAAGATTGAGAGAATCTTAAGAGAATACTGCATGCAATTCTCGGGCGACAGATATAAAAACCTAGAGTAAATAAATGAAATCCTGGAAAAAATAAGTTACCAAAATTCACTCAAGAAGTTAAAAATTAGACCAATTACCATAAAAGAGACTATAAAAGATCACTGAAATATACCAGTGAAAAAGGCATCAGGACCAAGTGAGATAACAATTGAATTTCAACCAACCCTAAAAGAACAGATAAATCTACCTTTTAAAAAACCATTCTGGGGCCCGGCAAGGTGGTACACGTCTATAATCCCAGCTACTAAGAAGGCTGAGGCTAGAGAATCACTTGAGCCCAGGAGTTTGAGGCCAGCCTGGGCAACATAGCAAGAACCCATCCCCAAGAAAAAAAATACTGTTCTAGGCTGCTGAAAAAGAAAAAAGGAAAGCTTACCATTTATTTTTACGAAGCCAAAATAAATTTAATACCAAAAACATAAGATAGTCCCTTAAAATGATCCTAAATAAGATATTAACAAATGAGCTCCAGCAATTTAAAAGAATGATATGCCATTATCATCTAACTGTGGGACACATCATTAAATAATGAAAGGATATACATCCAGCATTTTCTAAACTCTGTTAATATCTATCCTAAGAACACCAGTTCTGGACAGGTGTTAATGCATATTTCAGGACAAAGGACTTTCCCTGTCCAGCTAAGATTGGGAATATCCTTTCTCTTGGCGATTCCATAGCATGTTAAACACTTTGAAAAGGTTTGTGGTAAAGAAATCTGCTTCCTTACCCTGCATACACAAGGGTTTTGTGTTTGTTTCTTGTTGCTTTTGATGTGTTTTTAAAGAATGCTAGTGTCATCCTCTTATCACAGTGTTTCTTGGAAAACTGGTTTGGAGGTGCAGTTTAATGGCCCCAGTGTTCACTGTGTGTACCGTGATTTGCCAACACAGTTTGCCTCCCCCGATTTCTTCCCTACTCACACACTGTCTCTTCAGACCGCTGCAGCCTTCGACTTGCAAATAGAACTGAAGTTTGCTGGAGGCTATAGCCTTCTCTTGGAGGAAATCCTTGAATATATCCCTCCTCCTTTTCTTTCTCCTCTTCCTTCTTTCCTTCCTCCTCCTCCTTTCTTCTTCTTTGTCTTTTTTGTCATCTTCATCTTCTTCATCTTTGTCTTTGTCCAATTCGTCGTCTTCGTCTTCTTTATCGTCGTCTTCGTCTTCTTCATCGTCGTCTTCGTCTTGTCTTCGTCTTCTTGTTCTTTGTCTTCATCTTTGTCGTCTTTATCTTCGTTTTTGTCTCGTCGTCTTTGTCTTCATCTTCTTTGTTGTTGTCTTCTTTATCTTTGTCGTCTCCTTCTTCTTCGTCATCTTTGTCTCCTTCTTCATCTTCATCTTCTCATCTTCGTTGCCTTCTTTTTCTTCTTTGTCTTCGTCTTCAACTCTGGGCCTTTTCCCTCAGTGGGAGGCCTTCACTTTCCACGGGGCAGGGCCAGTCACTAATATTTCTAATGCTGCGTTTTCTTTTTAACCAGGTTTTCACTAATGATAAGATGGAAGAATGTGTGAAGCTCACAAGTCTGTATTTGTTTGCAAAGAATGTGCGGTCTTTACTTCATACTTACCACTACCAGCAGATTTTCCTTCATGAGTTTTCCATGGCCTATACCAAGTATGTCGGAGAAACTCTGCAGCCCAAGACCTACGGCCACAGCAGCGTGGAGGAGCTCTTGGGAGCAATTCCACAGGTGGGCATTTTTCTCAGCTTCCGGGAGAGCATCTTCTGAACAGCCACAGGCTAACTGTCCTGAACAGAAAAATAAAATGCTGCCAGAATAATGGAACGGCAGGCATTTTGAATTGATCCTTTCAAAACATACTGTTGGTCTAAAGTAAATGATTTTAGCATTTCTCCTTGATTCTTTCTGTAAACCTTTATTAAATCCCTATATGCCAGGTGAGTAAGTTTCAGGCTGTAACTCTAGAAAGGTGTTGGTTAATGGGAGAGTCAAGACCCCCAAGCAGGCAACTAGTCAGGGCGGTCAGGGCAGTGGGCGCGCTGAGGAGGGCCGTGTCAGGGCCCACTTCCCAAGCCTGGGGAGCCTGTTGCAAAACCTTCAAGGATGTGCCTGAGGGAAGCACGTGACAAGGAGGGGAGAGAGCATTCTGGGCAAAGGGGATGATGACATGAGCAGATGCAGGGTTGTGACAAGTGGCATGGAGTGTCGAGAGGCTAAGAGGGAGCTGAGAGCTCGGTTAGGGAGGGCGTGGCTCCTCCAGGTAAGGAGGGAGGACTGTGTTGGAGAGAGCTGGAGCCCAGGTTTGCATTTGAAAAGCACCCCAGTGGTGCTGTCCATGGTAGAGCCGAGAGAAGCAGGCATGGAGAAGGGAACTGGGCTAGGATCCTGGCCACTGCAGAGGTCTGGGTCAGTGTTAGATGGAGGGATTGAGCCAGAGTAAAAATAGTAGAATAGAGGAAGTAGGAAGGACCCAGGCAAAGCTTGCCTGGGAGCTGAGATCAGTGACCTGGCGACGGTGTGCACATGTAGGGGGCCTGGGAGCCTAGCTCCACTACTACCACTCTGCTTGGCTGAGATGGAGAGCGGCACCATCAGGGAGAGGACTTTAAGATGCTGATAATGAACTTAGTTTAAAGGGTCTGAGAGATTGCTCTTAATTCTTTTAGGTGGTTGTTCAGTTTCTGCAAAAAAATGGCAAAGAGCTCTCATGTGAGAACTACCTTAATTTATATGCCAAAGCTGGTGTTTGGAAGACAGTCTTTTTAAGAATTATAAAGGATATTTCTGAAACTGTGTCTCATGATTTTTGAACTACTCTGCTTTTTATAGGGGTATGTTTCTGTCAGCTTCTGTTGCTTTAAAAGCTAAGGAGAGAGTAGAGAAACATGCTTCTTGGCAGTAACTCAGCTCCTAAATTCTAGCCTAAGGCAGGCTCCGTAGGTCACACTCTTCCTGAATGTTAGGGCTTCTGTCCCCTCCTTTTCCGCTGCTTAACCAGTAGTATGTCTTGTGTGCAGGTGGTCTGGATAAAAGGACATGGTCATAAGAGAATTGTAGTGTTAAAAAATGACATGAAAAGTAAGTAAGCACCCATCCCCTCCCCCCTTAAAAAATCACGGTTCTCTCACTGACATTTCTCTCTGACGGGTGCTCTTTGTCCTGTAGGTCGTTTGAGTTCACTCAGTCTCTCCCCTGCCAATCATGAAAACCAGCCCTCGGAGGGCGAGCGCATCCTGGAGGTGCCCGAATCGCACACAGCCTCGGAACTCAAGCTTGGAGCTGACGGCAGTGGTAAGAGAGGAAAAGCAGAGACATAGGAGCTTGTGAAATTCTAGGAGAAACGGCTTTGGGGTCGGGGAGAGCGAGGGAAAGGACTCCAGCAAGTCATCCAATCTGCTGAAGTTACATAGCCACACATTTTTCAAAGCAGTTTTGGTATTTAGTTAGTAACAGGATAAAATTGACCTTTATCTGTTAGCATTGCATGGTTGACTGGTTAAAGTCCCTGAAGGATGTTGGCACCCCCATAATGATCATCTTACCCCAGTTCAGATGTTGAAGAAAAAAATTATTCCGACACTTATTATAATGGATATTCATGACACTTGCAACAGGGGAGAGAGAGCCAACTCCCAATACATAGCCTAGGAGCAGAGTGAGGGCTCAGTGGGTGGAAAATTACTAAGAGGATTCTTGCTATAGGCATGCAGGCCAGCCAAGGATCTAGACATCAGTGGTTGGGAATAAGGAATTCGATCAGCTGTGAAGGGTGAGGGGATTCTCACTAAACTGACTCAAGCTAAGACTCTAGAGCGAGCCGGCAAGTTCAGCAACAGACATGGAAGGCCAAGGTCAGGCCTGATCCGGAAGAGGGCTCAGGGTGCCTGACTCATGGCTGGTCAAGGCGTCTTTGTCACAGGACAGCCCTAGGCAGGATTTGATATACTAATGCATTAATATTACCCAAAATTACACTGAGTCACATAGATTTCAGATAGATCCACCTCTGTAGTAGATAGAGGCCAATTCTTGGAATGTTATAGCAGTTCTAACTTTTCTGAAGGACTTTTGAATTCATCGTTATAGGTGAGAATTTTGTCTTCATAACATGCGGCGAGATAGCACGTTACCGTCCCCTGTGCCCTTAGGATAACTGAGTTACACAGCATTTGACGTTTTATGAAGCGCCCTCCTGGGAATCATCTGCCGAAGCTGCCCCACAGCCTTCAGCAGTGCTGACCTCCGTTGTGCAGCGGAGGCTCGGAAATCTCAGGCAGTCACGTATTACAGCTCACCCAGAGTCAGCAGCTAGGAAGCCACGGAACCAGGCCCAGGGCTTCGGATTCTGAGCTTCCACTTGCTGTTAACTACGTACACCCCGTCTCAGGCTGTCCCTTCTCTTTGGAAGCTGACTGCAGGACCCTTTTCTCTGGTTGGGTCTTTTGAGGGGCCAGTGTTCCTAAGAACACGGATCTTCAGAAGAACTAGCTTATTAAGGCGTTCCATTACCAGGATCTTCCTGTTAGTGGGTTTTGGGTTTTTGTTTTTTTTTTTTTTTTTTTTTAATACCTTAAATACTTCTTGACTCTCTTATCTTTAAGGCTTAGAAGGAAAACTTCAGGTGTGAGCCCAGGGTGTGTGCTGGGGGTGGGCGTGGAGGTCCTGTGGTGTCACGGCCCTCCTTGTTTGCCCAGGGCCCAGTCACACAGAGCAGGAGCTTCTCCGCCTGACCGACGACTCCCCCGTCGACCTCCTGTGTGCGCCTGTCCCCTCGTGCCTGCCGTCCCCTCAGCTGAGACCAGACCCCGTTATCCTCCAATCTGCTGATCTCATTCAGTTTGAGGAGCGCCCTCAAGAGCCTTCTGGTGGGTGACTCCATGTTGTCATGGGGATTTTCTTCGGGGTTTAAAACAAAACCACGATGAGATACTGATATAGTAAATGACGGAGGTGGGAAGGGACTACCCCTTTTCAGGTGGAAAACACTGTGCTGATTATTCGACCTTCTTTCCCCACCTGGGTTCCTGCAGAATGGGATGCACAGCCTGAGGTTGCCTGGCGAGCATCAGGCAAGGGCGATTTGGCAGCTCTGGAGGGCTGGTGGCTCGGGGCTGTGGGCGAGTCCACAGGGGTGGGTGGGGCCTCCTGGGCTTCTGCTCTCCCAGACTTTGTGAAGGTTCAGCTGCTCTCAGGCACACCTGTCACCAGATGTACACGTCACCCATGGTGGGGGTCCAGAGGGCCCAAGGGCTTTATAAAGGGGTGAATGGAGGGAGGTGTCTGTGGCTGGAGCCCCGGACTCTGCCCAGTGATATAACAGACAGGAAGCTGAGCACACTGAGTCCCAGCCTAGTGCAGGCATTGGCACTGACCCTGTGCTCAGGGCTGACAGACACCATCACATTTAACTCTTACCACGGCTCCAGGTGAGAGCCGTGGAATAAAGGCAGCTGCTTTATTCCACAGGCTGCGTGACTAAGGCACAGCTGGTGCCGTCACTAGAGAGGCAGTGGCCCCGGGCTGCTGGGCTAGCAAGGGCAGAGCCGGCATTGGAACCCAAGCCCTCTTGTCCTGCGGTGTCTCCTGGCCTCTGGAGAGGATGGCCCATCTGCCCTGTACAGATCCCTCCCTGCTCTTCATCTGTTGGAACCCAACTCCTCCCCACTGCTGGTGCTGCTTTCCAGGTCACCAGGAACAACCCGTGGACTCCTGGCTTGGCTTTTACCATCTTGGTTGTTCTTGGCAGCGTTCAGCACTGTTGCCCAGGAAAAGAACTGAGGCTGTTGACTTGGAAAATAGGAGATGGGGAAGTAACTGCCTGCGGATAGAACCAGCCTGTGCAGTCAGACCTAGACCATGCCCTGCTCCTGTGCAGTGCCCCCCTAGGGTTGGTGGCACATTGATGTTAGCTCGTTTGTGGGGTTGTGGCCTTTGTGCCTTCAGTCTGGGCAAGTTCAACTGCATGCACCGGACAAGAGAGGAAAATAATTAAAACACTGTGGGCAGTTCTGTCAGCCGCTCTTCTCTTGAGGGTCAGCCTAGGCAGGGAGCTGGCTCTGCTGTCCCCTCTGCCACTCTCACCTTCCATGGGCCTTTGGGAGCAGGAGCCCTGTGCCCTATGCAGTGGGAGTCTAAGGCATAATGATGCATCTCTTTCAAGCAGCGTGGCCCTGTGTGTAGAGCAGGTGAATTACATGTGGCTCAGCCACAGAAATGGCAGTCCAGAAGCACTGTGGGAAAGCTGGCTGTGCTCAACTTCCTGGGTTCTGAGGGTAATTCTCACTCTGCGTAGTCCTTCCTTATCCCCGGTAATAGACCCATGGGGAGCATAGGTCCTCTCTAAATGGAGCAGGCCAGGAGCTCCCTGACACCCAGATGCTCCGACCCCACCCCCTACCACCCACGGCCTCCCGCCTCAGGAAGTCTCTAAGTCGTGGATAGCTTTATGGGTCCTTAATATCTGGCAGGCAGAATGAATGGGCAGAGAATCCAAAATGGAAAAACAAAAAGTTTTAACCTTTGCTCATTCATTTATAGCTCAAAATAGAGATCTTTCCAACTTTGTAATCCAGTGGGAGAGGTGGGATGCAGTTTATAGATACTTGATTTCTGTGCCAAGTTCACTGGCCACACAACTCATATGTAAACTGTGGCATAGATGTAGCATTTAGAAGCTTTTTATTACTATTATTATCTTTTGAGAAAATATGAGCAAGGAAGAGAAAACCCACACTTCTTACAGTTCCTGGATCTGAATCTGTTTGCTTTTCTGTGTTTACAGAAATTATGATTTTAAACCAAGAAGAAAAAATGGAGATTCCAATACCAGGAAAGAGCAAAACTCTGACCTCTGACTCCAGCTCGTCCTGCATCTCAGCAGCTGTCCCCGTGCCTCCCTGCCCCTCCTCGGAAACCTCCGAGTCACTGCTCAGCAAGGACCCCGTGGAAAGCCCGGCCAAAAAGCAACCCAAAAATAGAGTCAAATTGGCAGCCAACTTTTCCTTAGCACCTATAACCAAGCTTTAACTCCCATTTGGAATATAGAATTAGGATGGGAAAACACTGTCTGATTCTGCACACAAAAGTGGGTTTCAAAAATACATCCTTTTCTGTGTCATGAAAACCCCCCGAAGCCATTGACTTCATCTTACCTGTGTTCTATCATGTTTTTCTTTTCCATTGAACACAGCTTTGAGCTGAAGTCTTTCTTTTCTTCTTCCTTTTTCTTTCTTTTTTCAATTATTTGAAGAACTTGTGGCATTTGTTAAAGAATCCTTAATATATTTTACCAAATTTTTAGTAACTATTATGAAATACAATGGTGTTCCAAAAGAAGAAAGCACTAAAAACTCAACTAGCAGGAAGCGGTTTTGCTTCCATTGAGCCACGTCGGTGGTGTCATCCTACATGTAGCATAATAGAGTCTCTCAGCCTTTGCTTACTGGTGTTTCCGACAGTATTAACCCAGTGCGTGGCATGTCTTTGAAGCAAAGCCTGTCCCGCTAGCCTGTGTGTTCACACACCAAAGGAGAAGGGTAGGCGAGGGGTTCGGAGTGTATTTTCAGGTTGGAATGTGAAGGTTCCTGGCTTCCATGTGACTTGTAAGTGTGCCTTGTTTTTTATTTAAACTATGTCTGTAGTTGACAAAAGTGGCTTCATCACAAATTTTTTTAAACGTTTCTACTTTGGGGTTCCATTTAGGAGCTTTCTAGAAAGTTGAGGATGTTTGAAGCTTCCCTTCTGTGTTCCAGTTTGATATGGGTTAGGTTAAGGAAAAGGAGATGGTCTCGATGTCATGGATTTAAAGTCAGCATTTGGATTACAACACACATTATTGTGTGTCGAGAGGCAGCATTGGAAAGAGCCTGATTTTCTAAAATATGCATCAAGTGCATAAATTACAAATCAGAGCTGAGTGGGGAGGTGCTTCAGCAGCAGCGGGATCAATACGATTTCCACTGGGAAGAGACAGGAATTCTACCTACACATAGGAAGGCCAAGGTTGATCCACTTAACCTTGTTATTGTAATTTTAAAGCTGGTATCGGTAGCTGGGAAGCTTTATGTGTGTGTATGTCAGCTCAGCATCTTTTAATCGTGTCTGATTTTACTCTCGTTACTTCTCGCTGTTGGAAGCATCTCTGGGTTTCTTGTGGCGTCTGGTGTGGAATGGCCTTCCTCTCTAGGTGCCTGAGGTGTCCGCTGACGGGTGGCCTCTCACCCCCCTCTAGAGAAACCTGACATTTACAATGGATTGTATTTGTCCGGCAAAAAAGGCGGATTCATTCATAGAGCAGAAAGAACCTGTTGGCGTAAGGTCTTCCACTAGTTAGATGGTTTCTTTTGGGGAAATGTTTATATTTGGTAACTTCTAGAAAGCCAGAAAATGGACTCTGATTTCATAGCATTTTGATAAAATGCCACAAAATAAGGGCTATAGAGAGATTTTTACAAGTCAGATTTTTTGTTCCCCAAATCTTTTAAATGAAGCCAGTGACTCCCAGTTCTCAACACATGGCCCCAGTCAAGACAGAACACCATGGAAAAAACCCTGTAAGTATTATGGCACTCTCCGAATCCTCCTGAAGGCATTTCCTCTACAGACATAGTGTTACAGGAAGTGAAATGCAAATGTGCAATTTTTTTTAAAGGAGCTTTTAAACAAAGTAATAATAATTGGTGTTGAGAACATCAGTTGCCTTATTCTAAGATTTCATAAGGCTGAGTTTGCACGCTTGGACTTCAGTTCTGCTAGCATGTAAAGAGTGGTGGACTTTAAAACCGTAAGAGGTATCATTACAAGTCACCTGGAACAGACTCAAAGAACAGGTTCTTTGGGCAACAGACAAAGAAGAATCAAGTTCTGTGCTGTCCCGTGAGTGTGTCTGAGTACCATTCACTGGAGTTGCTGCTTAGGTCTGGGACGTGTGTGTGACTCTTAACAATTGCTGTCTGAAAATGAGAGAGAAGACTTCGGAAGCACATTGTGTTCATAATGTACTCCACAATGGCCAGTCCAATTGCTATCTATTTTTTTATCCAGAGGCTTAATTAAATGATGTGGTAAAATGATGTTTGAGCATTAAGACAATGTAATTCTTTATTTCTGGGTGGAAAGATATACCGGATTAAATTTATCTGTTTAAAAAAATGACAAAAGTTATCACCAAAACCCCCTTTCCCATCTTGCACTGTTTGTTTTGGATTGGGTTTGGGGGAAAGAGATGTTTTTCTTAGTTGTCTACTTTGTTTGAACACTTTTGTTGTGGTTCAAGTGCTGTTTTGTGTGTTGGGACCAAACAGTTGTCAATAAACTTTACAAGCGAGCATCTATTTTGAGTTTCCCAAGTGAGTGGTTTTGTCTGTCTGTCTGTCTGTGGGGAGGAATTACAAACCAATACAGTTCTGCCATCTTTCATTTTGGGTCTCCTCAACTTCTCTCCCCTTCTGGAAATAGAATTGTGAGGTGGAGAGTAAATCCGTCTACATCTTAGAGGCCTTTTAAACTCAGCACACGCCGAAGCAGGTGGCTGGATGGTGGGCCCTTCGTCGTCAGGATCCTCCAAGTTTTCCAGCCTTTGTTCCAGCTTATAATTACATGTGGGAAAATACAGTAACCACAAAAACCTTCCAGTTAGAAAACTCTATTAATTCCTAGGCTCTCTCTTCTTGTGAAAGAAATCCAGCGTGCCCGCTGTCTCGTTTTTGGTCACTGCTAAGCATGCTTTTTGAATAAGCCAATTTGGAAAAGAGTTATTCCACAGATACAGTTGTGAAGCCCTCCCATCCCCTGAGACCGCCATTACCCCGTCACCCCTGCCACCAGCACCCTCTGGCAAGAATTTAAAAGGACCCAGAAGAGACTTGAGTAAATTGCTTCTTGATGACATTTTTTTCAAGTTCAGCAATGTTAAAAGCTGCTAAAGACCTTTCCAA
This sequence comes from Homo sapiens, assembly GCF_000001405.40. NCBI lineage: Eukaryota > Metazoa > Chordata > Mammalia > Primates > Hominidae > Homo > Homo sapiens. The sequence continues at coordinate 15,593,783 of NC_000016.10, read as the reverse complement.
ACATTTCACGATGGCAAATTTGTGCAGAAAAAGTTGAGTAGCCATCGTGCCCCTTTTGAGCGGCGTCAGGAGGTCTTGTTAGGTGTGGACTGGGGCTGGAACGGTGGCTTTGCATTTATCTTTGTTTGTTTCCCACCTAGGAAGGTGATTCAGAGGTGGGGGCCTAGAAGACAGCTGTCTGGGGGAGAGCAGACCTGTCCGTAGCAGAGGGGGCTGCGCTGATTGAAGAAGATCTGTTCCCTCTCTGTTCCCTTTGCCAGAAGGAGCGTTGCGCTTTGGGATTCACCTTCACTTTCTAGCTGCTTCCATGGGCAGAGGGTGAGTCATGGCGCAGAAGCCCTCAGCGGCCTCCACCCACCTGCTGTCCCCATTGCTGGGGGGGGGGGCGGTGGGCGGCAAAACTTCCTCAATTCTCCTAGTGTCCCTGGCTGGGCCTTAAACTGACAAAGACATTAATAGGAAAAAAGCAAACAAATTTTACTTCATACCAGTTTTGCGAGAGTCTTCATAAGGAAATGAAGACCCCAGAGAAATGGCTAAGCCTGAGTGGTTTTTTGTTTTGTTTTTTGGTTTTTTGAGACAGTCTCACTCTGTCACCCAGGCTGGAGTGCAGTGGCATAATCTCAGCTCACTGCAACCTCCACCTCCCAGGTTCAAGCGATTGTCCTGTCTCAGCCTCCCGAGTAGCTGGGATTACATATGTGCACCATCACACTGGCAAATTTTTGTATTTTTAGTAGAGATGAGGTTTCACCATGTTGGCCAGGCTAGTTTTGAACTCCTGAGCTCAAGTGATCCTCTGGGCTCAGCCTCCCAAAGTGCTGGAATTACAGGCATGAGCCACCACGCCTGGCTGAGAACGCTTTTTTTTGGGGGGGGGGGGGGCGGGGGGAAAAGGGCTAGAGAGCTTAGAAGGTGCCAAGCCAGAGCACCAAGAGCCAGAACTTTCCTTAGCAAGATGAAGAGAAGAATACACACGTTCCGGGAAGGAACGCCTTGGAAGTGGGGGAGCTGAGGTGCAGAGGAAGAAGGCATTGCAGGGTGGAAGGGGCCGTTCTTAGAGGGAAATCCTGCTCAGTGGCTGGGCTGCTCAGCTCCTCACTCCGCACGAGGTGGTGAACCAACCAGGAGCATCCGCAGGGGAGCAGTACCAGGGCCAGCAGGGAACATATTGGGCCTGCTTGGCACCGTCTCTTCCATCCGCCTCAGGCAGCTCATGTGATGGCCTCCAAAGGCTTCCCAGGTGCAGGGCCTGGGCATGAGGGAACCCCCGCTCCTACCACCCACCTGCCCCCACTGCAGTTTCTGGTATCAGCAAGTGCAGACAAATCCACACTGGGGCTGCAGGGTCGCCGCCCTTGGTATTTCAGCAGCCAGAGTCTGATGCATCAAGGGCAGGTGTGGCAAGAATCAGGAAATACATTTTTTTTTTTTTTGAGACAGAGTCTCACTCTATCGCCCAGACTGGGGTGCAGTGGCACGATCTCGGCTCACTGCAACCTCCTACCGGGTTCAAGCGATTCTCATGCCTCAGCCTCCGAACAGCTGGGATTACAGATGCTGCCACCACACCTGGCTAATTTTTTTTGAGACGGGGTTTTGCCATGTTGCTCTGGCTCGTCTCAAACTCCTGGCCTCAAGTGGTTCACTTGCCTCGGCCTCCCAAAGTGCGGGGATTACAGGCGTAATATAATATAGATATTATATATAGATATAGATATAGATGTCTCTATAATATCTATATATAAATAGATATATCTATTATATATAATAGAGATATATATCTATATATAATATATAGATATCTATATATTATATATAGATATATATCTATATATTATGTATAGATATAATATAGTCACACAGTCAACCATGCCCGGAACCCCCAAGCCCCCACTTTTTTTTTCCGAGATGGAGTCTCACTCTGTTGCCCAGGCTGGAGTGCAATGGTGCGATCTCGGCTCTTTGCAACCTCCGCCTCCTGGTTTCAACCGATTCTCCTGCCTTAGCCTTCCGGGTAGCTGGGATTACAAGCATGTGCCACCACACTTGCTAATTTTTGTATTTTTAGTAGACATGGGGTTTCACCCTGTTTTTTAAATTCTCTAAAAGGAAGAGGACACTTTTTTTGTTGTTGTTGTTGTTGTGTTGTGTTGTGTGTGTGTGTGTGTGTGTGTGTGTGTGTGTGTTTTGAGACAAAGTCTTGCTGTGTCTCCAGACTGGAGTGCAGTGGCGCAATCTCGGCTCACTGCAACCTCTGCCTCCCAGGTTCAAGCGATTCTCCTGCCTCAGCCTCCCAAGTAGCTGGGACCACAGGCGCCCACCACCATGCCCAGGTAATTTTTTTGTATTTTTAGTACAGATGGGTTTTCACCATGTTAGCCAGGATGGTCTCAATCTCCTGATCTCGTGATTTGCCCGCCTCGGCCTCCCAAAGTGCTGGGATTACAGGCGTGAGCCACCGTGTCCAGCCCTGTTTGCTTTTAAATGGGAGAGACCTGTTTAAATCCCTCCGATGGGAAGAGAAAGAACAATTGGGGCTACAGTGGTGGGGAGGGAGGGAGATGAATGATGACTCTGTCACTAACAACCCCTGGGACCGTGGGCAGTGGATTTACTGCCACTTCCTCATCTGTAAAGTGAGAAGTGATAACAGGATCTGACTCACTGTTTCAAGTGTTTATTCTGCCTCCGCTTGCAACCTCTTGCAACCTCCGCTTGAAAAGGGTAATGGATTTACTGCTACTTCCTCATCTGTAAAGTGAGAAGTAATAACAGGATCTGACTCATCAGGCTGATGTGAGGAGGGAACCAGCCAGTGTGAGCACATTGCTCAAGGCATAGAGATAAGCTACAATAAATGTTATTCCCATTATCAACCTCCTCCATGGCTTCTAAAAGGAGCAAGTCTAGGTGTGCAGGACCCCACAGTCTGCAAGGTTTCCCAGCTTGGAAGGTGGCCCTGGTAATCTGGAAGCGTCTGTGACAGCTTAAATAAATTGGATTTTTTAATGTTTTCTTTTTTTAAAAAAATCAGTAGGAATTACAGGAACATACAGTAGGTGTACCCAGAGCTTAGCGGAAGTACCAGAGGCAGGATTTTGATGAGGGTTTGATCTCCTCTGGTTCGTTGGATCTGTGAGTGACTGCTGTATAACTGGCCTGAGGTCAGACCTCGCTGACCCCCCCACTCCCCTCTCCCCTTTTTTTTTGAGATGGAGTCTCGCTCTGTCGCCCAGGCTGGAGTGCAGTGGCACAATCTCTGCTCACCGCAAGCTCTGCTCACTGCAAGCTCCGCCTCCCGGGTTCACGCCATTTTCCTGCCTCAGCCTCCTGAGTAGCTGGGACTACAGGCGTCCACCACCACGCCCGGCTAATTTTTTGTATTTGTAGTAGAGATGGGGTTTCACCGTGTTAGCCAGGATGGTCTCGATCTCCTGAACTCGTGATCCGCCCGCCTCGGCCTCCCAAAGTGCTGGGATTACAGGCTTGAGCCACCACGCCCGGACCCCCCAAGCCCCCCCTTTTTTTTTTCCGAGATGGAGTCTCACTCTGTTGCCCAGGCTGGAGTGCAATGGTGCGATCTCGGCTCTTTGCAACCTCCGCCTCCTGGTTTCAACCGATTCTCCTGCCTTAGCCTCCCGAGTAGCTGGGATTACAAGCATGTGCCACCACACTTGCTAATTTTTGTATTTTTAGTAGACATGGGGTTTCACCATGTTAGCCAAGTTGGTCATGAGCTCCTGACCTCAAGTGAGCCTCCCACCTCGGCCTCCCAAAGTGCTGGGATTACAGGCATGATCCACAGTGCCCAGCCTTGACCCACATTTTTTATGGGGAAAAGAGGGCGGTGGGCCCTTTGCAGCCTGAGTTTTCACTGCACGTTGGAGCGGGAGGGGTCTGTGGTGGGTGGAATTGGGTCCTCCCCAAATGCATGTCTACGTGGAGCCTCAGAATGTGACCTTGGTTGGAAAGAGGGTTTTTGCAGAAGTAATTAAGGAAAGGGTCCAAATGAGATCATACTGCATTCGGGTGGCCCTCACTCCAATGACTGGTGTCTTTTTAAGATGAGAGGGTGCACAGAGGCACATATACAGCGGAGGCGGCCACGTGGAGACAGAGGTGAAGACTGGAGTGGTGCAGCCAGGGAACTGCCAAGGTGCCAGGAGCCACCAGGAGCTGCAAGAGGCAAAAGAAGATTCTTCCCCACAGAGGGAGCAGAGCACCGCAGACAGGTTGATTTCAGGCTTCTGGCCTTTAGGACTGTGAAAGGAGACGGTTCCACTGTTTTAAGTCACCCAGTAGAAGGTCATTCATTATGGCATCCCCAGTACACGAAGAGTCTGGCTTCATGATTGGTCTAGGTTGGTGAAGGAGGACACGGGGTCCTCTGAGGCCATTGTGGTGGCACTGAGTAGCCCAAGGGACCCTTTTCAGCATCAGAATGGTGGGAAGTGGTGTGCAGACCAAAGCCGCGAACACGCAGAGTGGGAGGACTGGGGTCTAGCAGCCTGCTGGGAGGGCCTGTCCAACCAAAGACCTTTTGATCTACAAATTTTTTTTTTTTTTTCGAGACGAAGTCTCGCTGTGTCACCCAGGCTGGAGTGCAGTGGCGCAATCTCAGCTCAGTGTAACCTCTGCTTCCCATGTTCAAGAGATTCTCCTGCCTCAGCTTCTTGAGTAGCTGGGATTACAGGCACAAGTCACCACACCCAGCTAATTTTTGTATTTTTTGGTAGAGATGGGGTTTCTCTGTATTGGCCAGGCTGGTCGCGAACTCCTGGCCTCAAGTGATCAGCCTGCCTCTGCCTCCCGACGTGCTGGGATTACAGATGCGAGCCACCGCACCCAGCCAATTTACAAATATTTTGAAAATGCTACTTATGAATGGCCCAATAATTTTACTTCTAGGAGTTTATCTTAAGGAAAAAATAAAAAATTCAGATGAAACCTTATCCCCCTAGATGTTTATCAAGACACTATTTTTTTTTTCCAGGGGGTGCGATCTTGCTCTGTTGCCCAGGCTGGAATACAGTGGTGTGATCATGGCTCACTGCAGCTGGAACCTCCCAGGCTCCAGCAATCCTCCCACCTCCCAAGTAGCTGGGATCACAGGCCCGCGCCACCGCATATGCCCAGCTATTTGTATTTTTAGTAGAGACAGGGTTTTGCCATGTTGCCCAGGCTGGTCTCGAACTCCTGGACTCAAGCAATCCTCCCGCCTCAGCGCCTGGCCCAAGACACTTTTTTTGTTTTTTTTTGAGATGGAGTCTTGCTCTGTCACCCAGGCTGGAGTGCAATGGCACGATCTCGGCTCACCGCAACGTCTGCCTCCTGGGTTCAAGTGATTCTCCTGCCTTAGCCTCCCAAGTAGCTGGGATTACAGGCACCCATTACCATGCCTGGCTAATCCAAGACACTATTTATAAGAAAACCTAGAACCAGTCTACACATCCAATAGTGAGGAAATGATTAGATGAATTACAGTACATCCACAAGATGGATTACTAAACAGACATTGGCATGATTTATGAAGAGTGTTTAATGTTTACAAAGAGCTTTTAATGATGTGGAAGATGGTGGTATAATAAGTAGGAAAAAACTGGTTATAAATGATACCACAATATGATGTCAACGATGAAAAAATGCACAAAAAAAGACTTTTTTAAAACGTCGAAACATCAGAGTGGTCTCTAGTTGGAGGAATAATTTTTTTTTTTTTTAAGACAAACTTCTTCATACTTTTTGTACTTTTAAAATGATTTACTATGTACATGGATTACTTCCATAATCAAGAAAAAAAGTAAAAACTTTTAAAATGCTGTGAACGTGGTTTCCATTTTTATTTTCTCTGATGGGTGACTGCACATCAGCATCTTGAGTTATGCTAACTACTTAGGCTGGTCACGACACACACACACATACAGAGAAGTCACACAGGCTGTACCGGGCTGGCTGTTGCAAATGTACATGAATTACACGGGTTGAAGTTGTTTGGCAGCTAGTTAACATATGCCACCCAATGACGGGACACAATCTGGTCACACGCTGCCTCTCCTGCCTGTTGCTGTTCTTTACAAAGGTCCGTGTGTCGGGCTGGCAAAGTGGCATCCTGCTGGCATCTCTGTGGTGGCCCCGGAATGGTGGAGTGCCCAGGTCAGCATCTACTCTGGGTCCCATTCTCAACTGCTCTGGCCTTGACATCAGAGCTTCCGGTTCCCTGCTGGCTCTTCTGCACACTGGATCCATGCCAGTCCAGGCCCCCTCCAGGCACACACCTGAGGCAGACTGAGAGCACAATGGACGCTGTCCTGATGTGAACTGTGCCCAGACACAGGATGGGGGGAAGCGGGAGATGTGACCACGACACCACACACAAGCTCGATCTTTACAGATGGGCCCTCTGGGACTGCTATATGGGTGGTGCCCGAGAGACACGGGGGCCATGTGGAGCCCTCCAGGGCACAGTTGCTGGGAGAGGACAGACGGGAGGGGACCTGTGCCCATGTGCCTAGCTCTGAGAGCAGAGCTAGGAGGGTGGATGGGGAACGTGTCCGACATGGTGCTAGATTGTTGAGAAGTCACGACTACACACAGCTGGGGAGCATGCCCCTCTCCCAGTTCATTCACACGGTGGGTTAGATACAGCTAGAGAGAAGTGGAGATATGCTTTTTTGAGGGAGGACCTTTCCTGGTGTTTGGATAAACAGTGAGACAGACTCCTGGGTTCGGCATGCTCTGGGGAGGACCATGCGACGGTGAGAGACTCCCTACTGCTACACTCTGTACAGGGTGGCCAGGCCCGCCTGCCGTGCCCATGGCCTCTGGTGACAGTCACGGGCTTGCCTTCAACCCCTTCTGCCTTGGAGAGCTCTTGGGCCCCGGTGAAATGGGGGCTATAAAGACAAGAGGGTGGGGGGGGGTCCCCATGGCCCAGGGCACCCCACGTGGGGGCTACATGATGTTGCACTGGGTGGCCCCGCAACAATCCTTGATCAGTGCCAGCCCCGTCTTGGCCACCGTGGGCTTGCTAGGTGGGGGCTCTGCTTTCTTCTCTGCCCGGGAGCCTGCAGCAAGATGTGGGCACAGGGAGAGGGGGAGAAAGGAACAGAGAGAGAGAGGTGAGGTGAGCAGAGCCCTGACCATCTGCAGCCCAGCCCCACTGCAACCCCTGGCCAGGTCTTGTTCCAGGCCTTGTTCAGGTGGTATGGAGAGCTGATGCACATTTCATATGATCCTCAGCTGGTCCTCATTTTATAGTCCTCATTTTATATGGTCCTCAATGCTCAGCTTCCAACCCTAACTTTCAGCCCTTCTCCTAGTCAGCTGTTATCATCATTGTACCTGCCAAGCCTAGCACAGGGCCTGACATCCAAGAAGTATTTGGTAAATAGATAAATGGGAAATTTTGTTCAAGTCACTTCAATCTGAGGGCTCATATTTTTCAATTTTTGAAAATGCTCATACATTGTCTTTTCAGATACCTCCACCTCCCATTCTCTGTTTTATCTCCTAGAATGCCTATCACATGTAAGTTGGACCTTCTCACTCTATCCTCTCGGTTTTATAACTTCTCTTTCATATTTCTCATCTCTTTTTCTCTTTGTGCTGCATTCTGTGTAACTTTCTCAGGGCTGTCTTCCAATGTATAAATTCTCCCTTCAGCTGTGTCTCTGTATTTAATCCATTGAGTTTTTACTTTATTGATAAAAAAAAATTTCAGAAGGCCAGTTTTTTGCATGTCTACTTATTCTTTTTTCATAGCATCTTACTATTTCATTTTGGGTTTTATTCCTTCTCTTAGCTCTTTGATCATTTAAAAGTACTTAGTTTATTTTCCTTTTTAAATAGTTCTATATTTTTGGTTCTTGGGAGGACATTCTCTTTGGTGCATCTACTGATTCTCCTCATGGTGATTCAGTTCTTCATGGGTTTTTCTTTTCTTTTCTTTTCTTGAGATGGAGTCTCGCTCTGTCACCCAGGCTGGAGTGCAGTGGTGTGATCTTGGCTCACTGCAACCTCCGCATCCTGGGTTCAAGCGATTCTCCTGCTCAGCCTCCTGAGTAGCTGGGATTACAGGTGTGCGCCACCATGCCTGGCTAATTTTTGTACTTTTAGCAGAGACAAGGTTTCACCATATTGGTCAGGCTGGTCTCGAGCTCCTGACCTCATGATCTGCCCACCTTGGCCTCCCAAAGTGCTGGGATTACAGACATAAGCCACTGTGCCCGGCCGGGTTTTTCATTTTTATTGAGGGCTCATCTTCAAGGGGGTTGCTTTTTTCTGTGAGAATACTGTATACCATGGGATCCAGAAGAATCCCTACTGAGCAGTTTTGCATTTGCTAAATCTGCTAGGATCCCAGAGATTTCACTGGTTTTACAATAGTTTTTATTTTTCAACTTGGAATTCCAGTACCAGATGAGTAGTGTAAAGTTGGCCCCTTGCATGTGGTGCATGCTTGGTGTTTTGATTTCTCGCCAGAATCATTTCTTTTTTCCACCCATAATCCAATAGAGAAGGCAAGTTTCCTTGCTCCTCCTCCATGCTGCTAAGTGGAGTTTTTCTACCTTGCCTTTCATGAAAGGGTCCACTGAGGATGCTGGCCTTCGGCAGTGATCACGTGCCTTGTGGTTATAGGAGCCAGCAGAAGAGATCATTGCCCTTCTCTTTCCTTACTCCCTCCAACCATCTTTCACAGGATGTTAATGAAAACTGGGTTTGTAGTTTTATAGACAGTGGCAGCTTTTGGTTTTTGTCTTCCCAGCAAGATTTCAAGTCCCTCTTCCTCTAACAGCTCATGTCCCTGTGGCTGCAGGAGTGGGCATGTTATACATTCCTGGCCAATCCCAGTACCCCCAGCCTCTTGGTGATGGTAATGGATCTAAGAGGTGGGAACATAATCCCAGAAGGGCGGGTGAGAATATTTCCCTGAGACTTATGTATTTCGATACCAGGGAAAAGAACCTGTGGTATTGCTTCAGAGTTGCTAAGCTATGGTTCTAGGGTTCTGGTCCCATGGAGAAGGCCTGTGTTGTAGGAAAAAATGATGCTTACATGCAAAGAGAGGCAGAGATGAGAAAAAGAAGAAAAGGAGGGGAGGTAATAGTGTTCAGTCCTTGAGGCTCTAGTTCTTGTTGCTCTTTCTCCAACAAATTCCTTTTTTTGCTTAGACCAGTTTGAATTGGGCATCCATTTCTTTTCTTTCTTTCTTTTTTTTTTTTTTGAGATGGAGTCTTGCTGTGTCACCCAGGCTGGAGTGTAGTGGTGTGATCTCGGCTCACTGCAAGCTCCGCCTCCCCAGTTCACGCCATTCTCCTGCCTCAGCTTCCCGAGTAGCTGGGAATACAGGCGCCCACCACCAAGCCCGGCTAATTTTTTGTATTTTTAGTAGAGACGGGGCTTCACCGTGTTAGCCAGGATGGTGTCGATCTCCTGACCTGTGATCCGCCCGCCTCGGCCTCCCAAAGTGCTGGCATTACAGGCGTGAGCCACCGCGCCCAGCCAGGCATCCATTTCTTCTAACTGAAAGAGGCCTCACTAATACAGCAGTTAAACACATTTGAGAAACGCTGGGTCAACAAAGAAAAGACAGTTTCTTGACAGCAGGATCCATCATCACTTTAATATCCTAATGGACACTGGGACTCTCCAAATACAGGGTCAAGTAAACAGCATTTCTCAAACTTATTTCATATAAAACCCTCTTTGCTCTGAGGATCTGATGAGGTTAATATTCTGAGACATATGCTTCTGGCTTCTCCAGAGATTCCAGACCTAAGAGAGGCCAGAGCTCCCTGAGCCTCAGTAGCTACCCAATTCTTTCTATGAAATGCACCAAACTTTGCAATTAGGGAGGAACAACTACCAGGACCAGGTACGTAGTTTGCAGAGTTCAATCCAATATGAAAATGTAGGGCCCCATGTTCCAAACGTATTAACAATTTCTAGACAGCAACAGGAGAACATTAAACCAAGCATGGCACCCTTCTAGGCATGAGGCCCCAGGCAACTGCCTACAGGCCCATGAGGCTGGTCAGGCATGAGGCCCCAGGCAACTGCCTGCAGGCCCGTGAGGCTGGTCCTGCCTGCTGTCATCCCATGCTGAAATCTGATCTCTAGATCTGATCTCTAGAAAGCATTTTGTTGCGCCCCTTATGGCTCCCAGACTTCTCTGAAATGGCCTTTTTTTTTTTTTTTTTTTTTGAGACAAAGTCTTACCCTGTCACCCAGGCTGGAGTGCAGTGGCCCAATCTCAGCTCACTGCAACCCCCACCTCCCGGGTTCAAGCAATTCTCCTGCCTCAGCCTCTCGAGTAGCTGGGATTTCAGGTGTGTGCCACCGTGCCCAGCTAATTTTTATATTTTTGGTAGATACGGGGTTTCACCATGTTGACCAGGCTGGTCTCGAACTCCTGACCTCAGGTGATCCACCCACCTTGGCCTCTCATAGTGCTGGGATTACAGGCGTGATCCACTGTGGGCCTGGCCTGAAATATACTTTTCTCTTTTGTGGGGGAGGGGAATGAATAATGTATATACTCACTGGCTGGAGATTTGGTTACTTTGTCTAGAGGTTTTAACTTGATTCTCAGGAAATCAGCCATTTCCTTGTCTTCTTCTTGCTCCCTGTGAAAGTAGATGGGTAAAAGAAAAGAAGATACACAGCAAGCAAGGAAAGCATCAAGGAACCAATGAAATAAACCAATAGGTTAAGCAACAGGCTTTGTGGATGGGGCATGTATGTTGTCACGTGTTATGCGTGTACAGTATGTATATGTTGTATCTGGTGAACCTGCTCTGAACCAGAGACACATATCAATGATGGGGTAAATGCTTACCCAGAGGTAGGTATGTGACCCCAGGGCAGAGGCAGGGACATTACAGGACCCTGCTGGGGGGTCAGTGAGTGAGGCAGCACCTCTCCTGACCTTGTATTTTGAAGCCACCCTATTCACCTGTGCTCCCACAAAGTATGAGGCAGGTCTCAGAGAGCGAGTCACCCCAGCTCTTCCAAGGATCACCAAGATAAAGTAGGTGGGTGCAGACTTGCTGAACTGCCTTGAAGAGACACGGTCTTTCTTTGCCACCCAGGCTGGAGTGCAATGGTGCAATCGTAACTCAAGAAGCCTTGAACTCCTGGGCTCAAGAGATCCTCCCACCTCAGCCTCCCAAGTAGCTGAGACTACAGGAGCACTCCACCACTCCTAGTTAATTAAAAAAAAAAATTGTAGAGATAGGGGGGTCTCACTATGTTGGGGCAGCTTGTCTGCCTGCCCAAGACTGGCATTGATAATTTCTTCTAGATCTGGAAGCAGAACCGGAGGTAAGGAGAATATAATATTTGTTGTAGTTTTCTGTATTTTTTGTTTTGTTTTGTTTTTGAGATGGAATCTCACTCTGTCACCCAGGCTAGAGTGCATTGGTGCAATCTTGGCTCACTGCAACCTCTGCCTCCTGGGTTCAAATGATTGTTTCCTGCCTCAGCCTCCCAAGTAGCTGGGATTACAGGCATGCACCACCACGCCCGGCTAATTTCTGTAGTTTTAGTAGAGACGGGGTTTCACCATGTTGCCCAGGCTGGTCTTGAACTCCTGACCTCAGGTGATCCACCCACCTTGGCCTCCCAGAAGCGCTGGGATTACAGGCGTCAGCCACTGTACCCGACCATAGAATATAATATTTGGATAGGAGGGAAAAGTTGGTTTCTCTCATTAACCAGAAGTCCATTGCAGCATGAAGAAGGGCAGTGGAACTGCTAGTCCCAGGACCCTTGAAGAAAGGTCTCTGAGAACACAGACAATAAAGAGCAAGTTGCCCTCTGGGTTGGAAGGGCCTTTTTCCTTGTGAAAGGCCCTAAAAGCTTTGCTCTGGTGTAAGGAAACAAAAATCAAGAACCAACATGTACAGCTTTCCACATTTTCAACATTTACAACATGTTTTTACACTGCAGCTCCAGGGCTGTGGTTGTCGAGGTCAAGGCAGCAGATGCAAAGAGAAGACCCTGATACTTAGAAAAGGGCATTGGCGCCACTAAGGGGAAGGGAAAGGGGAGAACAAAGCTGGGAGGTTGGGAGGACAGAGGTTGGGAGCAAGTCAGTTCAGGTGGCAGAGTTTCGGTAGAAACTGATAGCAGAAGTTTCAAGACATTGCCTTCAGGAGTGACAGGATGTGAAGGAAGCTCTGCCATGTATTATGGGATGTGACTCCTCCCTGGTCACTTCCTGGAACAACATTCCCTCAAGAGGCACAGATTTGAAATTCTCTTATATACAAAATGAATTCTCAAGCCAGAAGGCTGGGGTTCCTTGGGATTCAGTGTCCAGAGACTGTGGATCAAGGCCATGCCTGTTAGGCAAGGCTGTGAGTCCCAGGAGCAGAAGATGGGTTCTGGAAGGAAGCAGAAGGTTGCTGTCCTGCAGCCCAGTGATCGGGTACCCGCAGTGCACTCACCTTAACCGCTCGACCTCCGCATCGTCCACCAGGAAGTCTCTCTTCTGCACCAGTTTGTGGATCTTCTGGATTAGCTCATCCTCTCTCTGCTTCTGCAGTTTGGTTTTTTCTTTTTCTGGAAAGAAGACATCAACAAGGAGACAGATGAGCATTTTGGGAGGCTGAGGTGGGCGGATCACTTGAGGTCAGGAGTTTCAGACCAGCCTGGTCAACATGGTGAAACAACCCCATCTCTACCAAAAATACAAAAATTAGCCAGGCGTGGTGGCACACACCTGGAATTCCAGCTACTCGGGAGGCTGTCAGCCACCACCTCGGGAGGCGGGAGAATTGCTTGAACCTGGGAGGCGGAGGTTGCAGTGAGCTGAGACTGCGCCACTGCACTCCAGCCTGGGCAACAGAATGAGACTTCATTTCAAGAAAGAAAAAAAAAACAAAAAATTACAGAGAGACAGATGAGAGGGTGACCACTAAAAGCACTTGAGCTGGCCGGGTGCGGTGGCTCACACCTGTAATCCCAGCACTTTGGGAGGCCAAGGTGGGCGGATCACGAGGTCAGGAGATCGAGACCATCCTGGCTAACAGGGTGGAACCCCGTCTCTACTAAATACAAAAAATTCGCCGGGTGTGGTGGCGGGTGCCTGTAGTCCCAGCTACTCGGGAGGCTGAGGCAGGAGAATGACATGAACCCGGGAGGTGGAGCTTGCAGTGAGCTGAGATCGCACCACTGCACTCTAGCCTGGGTGATAGAGCGAGACTCTGTCTCAAAAAAAAAAAAAAAAGCACTTGAGCTGAGCGGCCAGGATTGATTGGAGACCTGACTCTGCCCTTCCACCCTCTGGATGAACTTGGAGAAGCAACTTGACCTCTTCAAGCTTCAGTTTTCTCATCTGTAAAATACACAGTGAGGCTTAAAATGGGAGTAATGGGCTGGGCATAGTGCCTGCCACCTGTAATCCCAGCACTTTGGGAGACCAAGGCAGGAGGATCACTTGAGGCCAGGAGTTCAAGACCAGCCTGGGCAACATAGTGAGACCCTCCTATGTCTACAAAAATTTTCTCTGTAAATTAGCCACATGTGATGGAGTGTTCCTGTAGTCTCAGCTACTTGGGAGGCTGAGGTGGGTGGATCTCTTGAGCCCAGGAGTTCTAGGCTGCAGTGAGTTATGATTGCACCATTGCACTCCAGCCTGGGTAACAGAGAAAGACCCTGTCTCTTAAAAAAAAAAAAAAAAATTGAGAGGGCAGGGTGAGTGTGGGGAGGGAGAGCATCAGGAAAAATAGCTAATGCATGCTGGGCTTAATACCTATGTGTCGGGCTGACAGGTGCAGCAAGCCACCATGGCCCACGTTTACCTATGTAATAAACCTGCACATCCTGCATACTAAATTGCATACAATTTTGAAATGCAGTAGTGTTAGTAAATGGCTTAGTGGAGTGCTTGGCCTTGGCTGAGAGCCTTCAGTAAATGGTCATGACAAAGCCAGGGTCTTCTGCAAAGGCAGGGGGTGAGGAGAGGCTCAGATAGGGGTGCTGGGAGGGAACTAGTTGTTTTTTTCCCTTTGGTGAAGGTAAACCAATTTATCAGAAGAAAATCATCCATGCCAATGACACTAACCCTGTCCCAAACACCAAGTGCTAGGATGCCAAAGAGAAAAAATAAAAAAAAGAGAGAGGGCTGAAGATGAGGTTTGAGAAAATTAAGAGGCAAAAACTTAAACCCACTTGGGCTCTTTCTGCTCAAATCCCTTCAGAATAAAAAATGTGGGACAGCTTGTCTGCCTGCCCACGACTGACGTTGATCATTTTTTCTGGATCTGGAAGCAGAACCAGGGGTAAGGAGAACATAATATTTGGATAGGACAGAAAGTTGGTTTCTCTCATTAACCAGGAGTCCACCACTGCACGAAGAAGGGCAATAGGCTTGCCAGCCGCTCCCCATTCCCAGCCATTGGTGCATTGGATGATGGTGTCACTGCTCCTGCCGTGGTAAATCTTGTGGGTTGGGTCTGATTCCCCAAATCACTCGTCAGCACCGCAGAGCCGCTCCCTGCCCTCTCCAAGCACGCACCAACACCCATCGACTCACCAGGACCCCTGCTCACTCAGGAGCTCGTGGTGTGACTTTACTCTCCAAATAACCATTGACAGCACTCTGACATTCCCAAGTGCCCTCCACTGCTCTCTAGATCTTAGCCAGAATCACCCAACAACTGGCTGGGCCCCCAACATCTGCAAACCTCTGTCTCCAAGCCATTCATCCATGTGTTCTGTCACTCACCAATAGAGGCATTCCCCAGCCTCAGCTGCAGCAACTCCCAGGAGAAACCACCTACTCACACAAGTGGCCTGCGTCAGCTCACAGACCTATGACTAGCCCAAGTCTCCAAGTCATTGGCCAATGCTGCTCACGTGCGTGTGTGCCACATACCTTTCCCATCATCTTCCACTTGCCTACAGGTGCCACCCACTGAAATCCTAACCTCCATGGTCATAGTATTAAGAAATGAGGCCTTTGGGAAGTGAGTAGATTATGAAGGTAGAACCCTCATGAATGGAATTAGTGCCCTTATAAAAGAGACCCAAGGGAGCTTGTTTGCCCCTTCCACCACACAAAGGCACAGTGAGAAGGTACCATCTATAAGGAACAGGCCGTCACCAGGCACTGTATCTGCCAACACCTTGATCTTGCACCTCCCAGCCTCCAGAACTGTAATAAATGTTGTTTACAAGCCCCCGGTCTAGAGCAAGCCACAGAGACTAAGGCACCCCCAAAGTTCATGTGTGCCCTATTTGGAAATAGTTTTCCCCAGTTTATATCTCTTCTATTTGGAAATACTCTATTTCCAAAGTAATTTGTAAGTTGCTTTGCACATGTAATTATAATAGTTAAGCTAAAATGAGGTCATACTTATTAGCATGGACCCTAAACCCAATGACTTGTGTCCTTATGAGAAGAGGAAAGAGACCCAAGCATGGTGGCCTGAACCTGTAATCCCAGCTACTTGGGAGGCTGAAGCAGGAGGATCACTTAAGCCTGGGAGTTCTAGACCAGCCTGGGCAACACAGCCAGACCCTGTCTTTTAGAAAAAAAAAAAAAAAAAGAGGAGAAGAGAAGACACACAGACACACACAGGGTCACGTGAAGATGGAGGCAGAGATTGAAGTGGTGCAACCAGAAGGCAAGCAATGCCAAGAATTGTGTGTGTTACTGTTAGAGTAGGTAGCCAGGCAGCCATGAGCAAGAAAGGAGAGGGGATTTCCCCCCCAAGGAATGCCAGGCAACCATCAGGTGATGTCAGGCAGTTGTTAAAATTGTCTCTCTAAAATAATAATTGGTCACAGCTGGTGCCAGGGAAAGGCCATCTCCCAACAGACAGAAAACACCTGAAGTTATCAGCGGTTTCCCGATGAGATCTCAGGAGTTGGGCAACTGGGCTCAAGCATGCACATTAAGAGGCAAAATGGCGGAGTCTAACTGGTATATGACCTTCCTCTAGGAACACTCAACTGGTGAGGGAAAAACATCTCAAATAATCAGGCCCATGACTTCTGTAAATACACTGTGTTTGCAGCCTCTCCCAAGCGCTGGCAGGCCACTGCGCATGCGCACAACCTGCCCTGAGGGAAAATGAAGGGAGGAGAGACATAAAACCCTGGAATATGCCAACATATAAAACCCCGGAACATGCCAACATATAAAACCCCAAATCAAAGGTCAAGCGGTGCACTTGGATCTCTCAAATCACCCACTTGGCCGTCTTCCAAGTGTCCTTTACTGCCTTTCATTCCTGCTCTAAAACTTGTTAATAAACTTTTGCTCCTTCTCTAAAACTTGCCTCGGTCTCTCACTCTGCCTTATGCCCGCTGGTGGAATTATTTCCTCTGAGGAGGCAAGTATCAAGTTGCTTCAGACTCGTATGGATTTGCTACTGCTAATGATACAGGAGTGAAGAAGAAATTATTTAGGCAGATAGGGTAAGGAAGTCCTCGGTAAGGTTTTCCTTTTAATGAAAAGCAACCCCCAAATCATTTTCTTTTCTAACAAGGAGCAGCCAGTAAAATCGAGCTGTAGACATAGTCAAGGGAGCTGGAAGCTTACACGGGTGAATGCTGGCAGCTGTGCCCATAGGAAAAGGCCACCTGGTCTAGGTATGTTCAAAATGGCGGCTCCACGCTCCCTTCTCTTTGCCAGCCATGTGTACAGTAAGGAGAAGACAACATGGCGCCGCCCAAGTGGAAAGTTCATTTGCATGATAAGATTAGGGTGGGGTGGCCAGCCTTCCCATGCACTATGCAAACGTCACACCTGCTCCAACCAATCTGTGGGCCCTATGTAAATCAGACACCACCTCCTCAAGCTTGTCTATAAAATTTGGTGCAGTCTGCCACAGGCCGGAATTCCCATTCAGGGACTTCTCGAGAGAGACCGAGAGAGCTGTTCCCTTTTCTCTTTCTTTTGCCTATTAAACCTCCACTCCTAAACTCACTCCTCTGTATGTCAGTGTCTGTGTCCTTAATCTGCTTGGAGAGAGACAACGAACCTTGGGTATTTACCCCAGTCAACAACACTACTTCACTAACACTACCAGAAGCTAAGAGGCAAAGGAGTCTCCTCTAGAGCCTTAGCAGGGAACAAGGCCCTGTTGACACCTCGATTTTGGATGTCTGGCCTCCAGAACCGAAAGAGAATACATCCAGAACCGAGAGAGAATACATTTCTGTTGCTTAAGCCATCCAGTTTGCACCAATTTGTTAGGCAGCTCTGGGAAATGAATGTAATGCCCTAGGGCTTCAGGAGACTCCACTGTCCTTCCAGTAATTGTTTGTTTTGTGCTTACATAAGCTTGGATGGGTTTCTGTACCTTTCAGCCAGACTAATCCTTGGAGAATTGTGAAATGAGAGAGGGGAACAGGCCTGGCGGTTCCTAACCGTCCCTGCTTATCACAATCAGGTGCAAAGCTTTAAAAATTGCCAATGCTCGGCTAGGCGCGGTGGCTCACACCTGTAATTCCAGCACTTTGGTAGGCCGAGGCGGGCAGATCACGAGATCAGGAGGTTGAGACCATCCTGGCTAACACAGTGAAACCCAGTCTCTACTAAAAATACAAAAACAAAATTTGCCGGGCATGGTGGCGGGCGCCTGTAGTCCCAGCTACTCAGGAGGCTGAGGCAGGAGAATCACTTCACTTGAACCCCGGAGGCGGAGACTGCAGTGAACCCAGATCTCGCCACTGCACTCCAGCCTGGGTGACAGAGCAAGACTCTGTCTCAAAAAAAAAAAAAAAAAAATTACTAATGCTGAGATGGATCAGGTGAGGCAGGAGAATATGGTCTGGAGGCAGGGAACCTAGGGCCAACTTCCTAGAACTAAATCAAAAGAAAAACCCCAACTTTCCACACATAAGTAACAAAAGGACTGGAGGCTACTCCCTTTGCA
This sequence comes from Homo sapiens, assembly GCF_000001405.40. Classification (NCBI taxonomy): domain Eukaryota; kingdom Metazoa; phylum Chordata; class Mammalia; order Primates; family Hominidae; genus Homo; species Homo sapiens. The sequence goes on along the minus strand of NC_000016.10, from coordinate 15,575,889 downwards.
AACCCTCCTCCTTTTCTGTGTGTCACATGAGAAATTGAAAGTATATCTGATTGGTCGCAGAAAGCAACTGCAAAAGCTTTCTGCGACCAATCAGACTAATTGTGGGCCACTACTTCATTTACATAGGGTGTACACCAAGTAGCCAACGGGAAACCTCTAGAGGGTATTTAAACCTCAGAAAATTCTGTATTGGGGCTCCTGAGCCCCTATGCTCAGGCACACTCCCACCCTATGGAGTGTACTTTCATTTTCAATAAATTTCTGCTTTTGTTGCTTCATTCTTTCCTCGCTTATTTTGTTTGTGTGTGCATTTTGTCCAATTCTTTGTTCAAAACACCAAGAACCTGGACACCTTCCACCAGTAACACAGGGACTCCCTTTTGGGGTCTGTGGGAGACCCCCACCCCAAGCATGGAAATAAAGGAAAATCTTGAGTTCCCTCAAAGGAAATTCTAGGCACCTAGCTAGCCTTGAAAAGTCAATAAGCAACTTATCAGTAAGAAGGTAATAGTAGCCTAAAACAATAGCCAAGGAAGTTAGAATCTGGAGATGTTTTGTTTTCTATAGAAACTGAAGATAAACATCTTAGCATATATGTCTGAGTTGTTTTTCAGAAACCCAGGACCCTACCAAATGGATCCACTGGCATATAGACGTCAGATAAAGGAAGACTAAGGACTGAATTCTGACCATCTTTCCTTGTTCTAAGTGTCTTCCAGAGAGGCCTGGAGGGAGTCACACCCATGGGCCAGGGATGCCATTCTTTTCTGCTGACCCCCGATTTTTATTATTTTTATTTATTTATTTATTTGAGGCAGAGTCTTGCTTTGTCGCCCAGGCTGGAGTGCAGTGGCACAATCTTGGCTCACTGCAACCCCCCTCTCCCGAGTTCAAGCAATTCTCCTGCCTCAGTCTCCCGAGTAGCTGGAAGTACAGGCAGGCGCCACCACACGCGGCTAATTTTTGTAATTTTAGTAGAGACGGGGGTCTCGCCATGTTGGCCAGGCTGGTCTCCAACTCTTGGCCTCAAGCAATCTGCCCACTTCGGCCTCCCAGGGTGCTGGGATTATACGCGTGAGCCACTGCACCTGGCCTTGACCCCCGATTTTTAAACAAAGCTTCTCTTCCTTAACCAATTGCAAATTAGAAAATCTTTCAATCTACCTATGACCTGTGAGCCCCAGCTTCAACGTATGCAGCCCTTTTAGGCCAAAATTGATATGTAATCTCAATGTATTGATTTACAATTTTGCCTGTAACTTCTGCTTGACTGAAATTTACCCCTGCCTTTAAAAACCTGCACTGAAATCGCCATTGCAAAATTATAAGAGACAGTGAAAGAGATCTGACCTAATCAACTCCATCTTGCTTCTAACCTCCAAGCTGTCCTTGTTCATTACTGGGCATAGGCTGAACTAACTATGGGAGGAACTTACTTTATCATTTAAAACAAAGACGATAACAGCCTTTTCCCAAAACAAACTCCCTTCTTGCCTGGGAACTAGACTGCATTTGTAGGTGATACGGTTAGGCTTTGTGTCGCCACCCAAAACTCATCTTGAATTATAATCCCCATCATCCCCACGTGTCAAAGGAGAGACCAGGTGGAGGTGACTGAATCACGCAGGCAGTTTCCCCATGCTGTTCTCGTGATAGTGAGCGAGTTCCCATGAGATCTGATGGTTTTATAAGGGTTGGGCAGTTCCTCCTGCGTTCATTCTCCTTCCTGTCACCTTGTGAAGAGAGTGCCTTGCTTCTCCTTCACCTTCCACCATGATTGTAAGTTTCCTGAGGCTTCCCCAGCTATGCCGAACTGTGAGTCAATGAAACCTCTTTCCTTTATACCCAGTCTTGGGCAGTTCTTGACAGCAGTGTGAAAATGGACTTAACAAATTAACCAGAAGATTAGGAATTATGATAGTGAGTGAGTTCCATGAGATCTGATGGTTTTATAAGGGTTGGGCAGTTCCTCCTGCGTTCATTCTCCTTCCTGTCACCTTGTGAAGAGAGTGCCTTGCTTCTCCTTGACCTTCCACCATGATTGTAAGTTTCCTGAGGCTTCCCCAGCTATGCCGAACTGTGAGTCAATGAAACCTCTTTCCGTTATACCCAGTCTTGGGCAGTTCTTGACAGCAGTGTGAAAATGGACTTAACAAATTAAGCACAAGATTAGGAATTATGGTTTAGGAATCATGCAGCTGGAGGCTACAAGATGCTGACCCTCCCCAGATTACTCCTGAAGATAACACCACTATTGTAAAAACCAAGATCAATGCTTGAGGTATTTTGCAGACCGTGCACTTGATGGGTCAGTGGGTACCACCCAGATAAAGTGGCTCATCTGACCTTGTGGCCCCAACCCAGGAACTGACTCAGTGCAAGAGGACAGCTTCGGCTCCCTGTGATTTCATCTCCGACCCAACCAATCAGCACTCCATTCTCACTGCACCCCCACCCCCATCCACCAAATCGTCTTTAAAAACTCTGATCCTGGAATGCTCAGGGGCACTGATTTGAGGAATAATAAAACTCCAGTCTCCCTCAGCCGGCTATGCATGAATTACTCTTTCTCTATTGTAATTCCCCAGTCTTGATAAGTCAGGTTTGTCTAGGCAGAGGGCAAGGTGAACCTGTTGGACAGAACATTACCTATAAGCCATTGAGGAGGTCAGGCTTGAAGCATTAGCTGCCCAGTCCTCCTGGCTTGGAGCCTTGCAAATAAACTGTTTCCTTTTTACCACTGCAAAAACTCTGGGGAGACAGCTGGTCTTACTGTGCCAGGAAAGCAGACCCTAGTTGTATTAGTCCATTTTCACGCTGCTGATAAAAACATACCCGCAACTGGGTAATTTATAAAGAAAAAGAGGTTTAATGGACTCACAGTTCCACGTGGCTGGGGAGGCCTCACAATCACGGCAGAAGGCAAAAGGCACGTCTTACTTGGCAGCAGGCAGCACAGAAAATGAGAATCAAGCGAAAGGGGAAACCCCTTATAAAACCATCAGCTCTCATGAGACTTCTTCACTACCATGAGAATAGTATGGGGGAAACTGTCCCCCATGATTCAATCATCTCCTACTGGGTCCCTCCCACAACACACGGGGATTATAGGAGCTACAATTCAAGATGAGATTTGGGTGGGAACACAGCCAAACCATATCACAAGTTGAGTTCTATTACAATGCCAGAGTCCAAAGCCAACAATGCCAGATCAATTGCATTGGGGTTTCTAGTGGGTGGAGAATAGACTTTGGTACTTTTCCCTCATTCCTTCGTTGTTTTATGTTTGACATTTAACTTTTTTTGGTAACAGCTTTATTGCAATATGATTCACATACCATGCAGTTCATCTGTTCCAAGTGTATTTGCAGAGTTGTGCAACCATCACCACAATCCATTTTAGAACATTTTAATCACCCCCAGAAGAAACCCCATACCCACTAGCTGTCGCTCTCTTTCAACTAGGAAAGTCTATTCACTCGTTTATCCTTAGGGCCTACACAGTGCTGGGCACCTAGTAAATGCTCACGAAAGCTAGAGGATTCAGTTCTACTGTCATTGCGCACACTACCCTTACAACAAGACTGTGTGGAAGACTCCTACACCTTGCCTTTGTTATTTATGGGATATTCACAACAACCATGCGGGGGGTAGTATTATTGGCCTCATTTTCCCAACAAGGAATTCAAGGCTCAGAGAAATTAAGTCGCGAACTTTCACGAAGTTCACCTGCCTGCTAAGGCTGAATTCAAACCCAGATTGCTGCACTCTAATTACTAAAGTAGTAGTTCTTATGTGGGAGCTGTAAGCTGCAAAGTGTCTGAGAAGGTCTCAATCAATCTGGAGGTTTATTTTGCCAAAGTCGAGGAGGCACCTGGGAAAAAGAGACACAGGCAGCAATAGGATCCCCGGCCTGTGCTTTTTTCTGCAGAGGATCTTAAGGACTTCAATATTTAAAGGGGAAAGAGAGGGCAGGAAGGGGAGGATTGCATTCTCTGGCCCTCAGTGAATTTGCATTTTACATAGGATAAAGGAAACGCGGAGTAGAGGAGGAAGTCAAATGTGCATTTGTCTCCGGGTGGGCGGAGGGACGATGATTTATAGTCTTGTCTTAGTCCCCTACCTGTTAGGATAAGCTGTTAATTTACATTGACAGGGTGAGGGAGGCCCCTGGGAAGATAGGTGGCCTTTCTATCTTGCAGCTATCTGTTTAGGAAAAAAAGAAAGGCAGTTTTGGCTGGGTGTGGTGGCTCACACCTGTAATCCTAGCACTTTGGGAGGCTTGAGGTGGGTGGATCATGAGGTCAGGAGATCGAGACCATCCTGGCTAACACGGTGAAACCCCACCTCTACTAAAAATACAAAAAATTAGCCGGGCGTGGTGGCAGGTGCCTACAGGCTCCCAGCTACTCGGGAGACTGAGGCTGAGGCATGAACCCGGGAGGCGGAACTTGCTGTGAGCAGAGATCGCGCCACTGCACTCCAGCCTGGGGGACAGAGCGAGACTCCGTCTCAAAAAAAAAAAAAAAAGTAGGTTTTTGTATGACTCATAGTTCCCAAGCTTAACTTTTCCTTTTGGTATAGTGAATTGGGGTCCTGGGACTTTATTTTCCTTTCATAGGGCAATGTTGCACACCCCCCTGACCTCGCTTGGGGTACATTCAGCAACATCTGTACATCTATAGACATTTTTGGTTGTCACTGTCAGAAGGGTTTGAACTACAGTGACTCCATCTTGAATAGGGGCTGGGTAAAATAAGGCTGAGACCTACTGGGCTGAATGCCCAGGAGGTTAGGCATTCTAAGTCACAAGATGAGATAGGAGGTCGGCACAAGATACAGGTCACAAAGACCTTCCTGATAAAACAGCATTAGTAAAGAAGGCTGCCAAAACCCACCAAAGCCAAGATGGCGATGAAAGTGACCTCTGGTCGTCCTCACTACTCATTATATGCTAATTATAAGGTATTAGCATGCTAAGAGGTACTCCCATCAGTGCCATGACAGTTTACAAATGTCATGGCAACATCAGGAAGTTACCCTACATGGTCTAAAAAGGGGAGGAACCCTCAGTTGTGGGAATTGCCCACCCCTTTCCCAGAAAACTCATGAATAATCTACCCCTTGTTTAGCATATAATCAAGAAATAGCTATAAGTACAATCAATCGAGGAGCCCAAGCTGCTACCCTGCCTACAGAGTAGCCATTCTTTTATTCCTTTGCTTTCTTAATAAACTTGCTTTCACTTTACGGACTCGCCCTAAATTCTTTCTTGCTCTTGGTCCAAGAACTTTGGGGTCTGGATCAGGATCCCTTTCAGGTAACATCACCATTGAGGGGTAGCGGAGAGGTACGTTGTGCTAATGGCCTGTAGTGGGTAGAGGCCAGGGATGAAACTCAACATCCCACAAGACACAACACAGAGCCCCGTACCCCCAACAAAAAATGATCAACCCCAAAGGAAGATACTGACATTTGTCAACCCCAAATGTCAATAGTTGAAGGTTGGGAAACGCTGCTCTAAGGCTCATCATGCTGCACTTGTAGCTCAGTAAGAACTGCCACTTATGGGCACCCACTGTGTGCTGGGCCCAGTCTCTTTCTGCTAACCTGGGGGCTCCTTGAGAGTGGAGAACCGTTCTCTGTTCATCACTGCAAGCCCGGCTCCTAGGTTCAGAGCTTGCTGCAGAACAGCCTCTTGGGACATAGTTATTGAACTGACAGCATGGCAAAAACATTCAAGTCAAGGGTAATGGTGGGTGCTTATCTGGCCTATTTGAAAACACCTTTGCAAAAATGATAACAGTGAGAAAATTAGGACAGTGAAAGGGATCTGATCTAACCAACCCCCATCTTGCCTTTAACCTCCAAGCTGCCCTTAATCATTCCCAGGTTTAGGCCATGCTAGCTTTGGGAGACATTTAGTTTATAGTTTAAATGATTATAACCTTTTCCACCAACTAAACTGCCTTTGTAAAGCTAATAAAAGGCCCCCATGTTAGAAGGATGGGAGGAGGCTGAATTCTGCTAAGGTGTAGACATAAATGACTACTGCCATTATTCCAGAGGTCACAAGATTTGCAACTTCCCCAATTACTCCTGCAGATAACATCACTATTGCAGAATCTAAGATCAGCCTTTTGAGATATCTCTTTAGGTTTTGCATTTCTGATGAATGATGATCCACGTGGACCTGCCACCCAGAAGTGGACTTAGCACCCCTGAGAATCATTTTTCACACACCTATGATTGCATCCCCAACCAATCAGCAGCATCCATTCTGATATAGTTTGGATGTGTGTCCCCGCCCAAATCTCATATTGAAATGTAATACCCAGTGTTGGAGGCGTGGCCTGATGAGAGGTGATTGGATCATGATGGAGGTTTCTCATGATGGTTTAGCCCCATCCTCCTTGGTACTGTCCTTGTGATAGTGAGTTCTCATGAGATTTGGTCTTTTAAAAGTGTGTGGCACCTCCCGCCTCACTCTCTTGCTCCTGCTCTGGGCACGTGACATGTCTGCTCCCTTGTCTTCCGCCATGATTATAAGTTTCCTGAGGCCTTCCAGCAGCTGAGCAGACACCAGCATCATGCTTCTGGTACAGCCTGCAGGACTGTGAGCCAATTAAACTTATTTTCTTTATAAATTACTCAGTTCTCTCTTTCTTTTTTTTGAGTCGGAGTCTCGCTCTGTCACCCAGGCTGAAGTGCAGTGGTGAGATCTCACCTCACTGCAACCTCCACCTCCTGGGTTCAAGCAATTCTCCCACCTCAGCCTCCTGAGTAGCTGGAATTACAGGCACCCGCCACCACCCCTGGCTAATTTTCATATTTTTACTAGAGATGGGGTTTCACCATGTTTGCCAGGCTGTTCTCAAACTCCTGAACTCAAGTGATCTGCCCTCTCAGCCTCCTAAACTGCTGGGATTACAGGCGTGAGCCACCATGCCTGGCCTGGGACTAGCATTTTGATAAGGGTAAGCCCCACAGAGGGCAACTAACACAGCCTGATGGGCAGGGGAAAATTTTTTGGAGAAGATGCCAAATAAGTCAGGCATTATTAACTACCAAATCTGGGGTGACTTCAAAGTTAGAGTTTGTACACACTTCATCTGTTCCCAAGTAGGATAATAATGGTCATAATTGCTAATATTTACTGGACTCTTGAGGCCAAATATCAAGCTAAGCACTTAGTTTGCATCATCTCATCGATTTTTATGATATTTAATTTAATTTAATTATATATTTTTTTGAGACAGTGTCTCGCTGTGTTGCCCAGGCTGGAGTGCAATGGCACAATCTCAGCTCACTGCAACCTCCACCTCCCAAGCTCAAGTGATTCTCCTGCCTCAGCCTGCCGGTTACCTGGGATTACAGGTGTGTGCCACCACACCTGGCTAATTTTTGTATTTTTAGTAGAGATGGGGTTTTGCCATGTTGGCCAGGCTGGCCTCAAACTCCTGACCTCAAGTAAGCCACCCATCTCAGCCTCCTAAAGTGCTGGGATTACAGGCATTAGCCACCGTGCCCAGCCTCTTTAGGATATTTATACTCAATGAATTAGACCCTCTTACTATTACTAGCCAATTTTCAGAGGAGGAGAAATTGAGTCTCAGAGAAGTACAGTGACTTGTCCAAGGACAAGAAGGTGACCAGAATTCACTAGGACTTGAACCCAGGTCTTCCTGACTCGAAGTTGTGTTTGACACATGCAGTCAGGGAGCACTGCATTGCAAGAATGAGGCTCTGTCTTCCAGACCCAGGCGTACAGATGGGCCAGGCTGGGGGCCCCCAAGCACCTGTTTAGCACAAGGTGAAGTTGCAAATGGTTACCTGGGATGGCGACCAAGTTCTGCAGCTCCTGCTTCAAGTCCATGATGTCCTTGCAGAGCTGGATGTCATCCATCCTGGGGAAACAGGACACCATCAACAGCAGGTTACATCAGCAGAGCATTACGCCCTGAGCATCACCCGGTTAACACAAAGAAGCTATTAAAGGTGGGTTATCTTTTGAAGAGGCCATACATGCTCATTGTAGAGGTTTTCCCTCAAAAGGAAAAAGCCAAACACTGCTCAATTATCCCACCACCTAGAAATGATCACTGTTTTTTGTTTGTTTGTTTGTTTGTGACAGAGTCTCACTCTGTTGCCCAGGCTGGAGTGCAGTGGCATGATCTCGGCTCACCGCAACCTCCACCTTCCGGGTTCAAGCGATTCTCCTGCCTCAGCCTCCCAAGTAACTGGGATTATAGGTGCCTGCCACCATGCCCAGCTAACTTTTTTTGTATTTTTAGTAGTATTTTTAGTAGAGACAGGGTTTCACCATGGTGGCCAGGCTGGTCTTAAACTCCTGGCCTCAAGTGATCTGCACACCTCAGCCTCCCAAAGTGCTGGGATTACAGGCATAAGCCGCGGTGCCTGGCCATCAGTCACTGTTAATAACACCTCGATAGAGCTCCTTCCAGTCTTCATGTGCCTGACTTAGGTTTGCTTATATAAGTGGGTTCATATGGCATATTCAGTTTCGTTTTTCAGCTAAAGTTTACGTTTTTTAAACACTGCAGAAATTCACAACATAGAGGAAAGTCTCCCTCTGTCCTTCGGAGAGAATCATTGTCAACGGTTTAGTATGTATTCCTCTGGATTTTTTAAAAACATTTTTATTTTGAAAATGTTTAATTTTTTATTTTTTATTTTTGGAGATAGAGTGTCGCTCTGTTGCCCAGGATGGAGTGCAGTGGCGTGATCATAGCTTACTGCAGACTTGAACTCCTGGGCTCAAGGGATCCTCCCACCTCTGCACAACCCCTCCCAACCCCAGCCCCCTACGGAGTAGCTGGGACTACAGGCTAATTTTTAAACAGTTTTTTGTAGAGAGAGGGACCTCGTTATGTTGCCCGGCTGGTCTTGGATTCCTGGCTTCAAGCAATCCTCCCACCTCAGCCTCTCAAAGTGCTGGGATATAGGTATGAGCCACTGCACCCAGCCTCCTCCAGATTTAAAAAAAAAGCGTATGCTTATAATATCATATATGACACCATTGTTATTGCACAAAAATTTTTTGCAATTTGCTTTTTTCAATTTAATAATCTTTAATAGTCTTGATCATCTTTCCATATCAGTATATGCAAATCTCCACATATTTAGTGGCTGCATAGTATACCATTATATTGATATACAGTCATCTATTTTTATTTTTTAAATTTATTTTTATTTTTATTTTTTTTAGACAGTCTCACTGTATCACCCAGGCTGGAGTGCAGTGGTGTGATCTTGGCTCACCGCAACCTCTGCCTCCCAGGTTCAAGTGATTCTCTGGCTTCAGCCTCCAGAGTAGCTAGTAGCTGGGATTACAGGCGTGAGCCACTGCACTCAGCTGATTATACAGTGATCTATTTAACTATAATTTATTTAACTATTCCCCTATTCATAGACATCTGGGTTGTTTCCTAATACATTTCTAGGATAGATTCATAGAAATGCAATTGCTGGGTCTAGTGGCATGAACACTTACATTGTAGTAGGAATTTCCAAATTGCCCTCCGGAGAGATCATGTGTGACATTACCAACAGTGTGGCCATGGGGGACAGTGGGTGCTGGCTCCTGTCATCTCAGTAATTGGGTTGCTTTTGCAACCTAGTTTTGCATTACACATTATAATTTTGCATTACACATTATGGTTTTGTGTGTGTGCTACAAAAATTAACTCATCTTGCTGTAAACAATATTTGTAATGGCTGTCTGCAATTTCACAAATGAGATTCATCGGGATTGTGCTAATTACACCCTCATCTTGATTACTAAGGCTGGCTTTTCAGGTTTGAGCAATTTTGGCCACTGCAGGATGAACATCAGTTCCTCTAAGGCTTCTTCTCCATGTTGGATTATTTGGGGTTTAGATTCTCAGAAGTGGAATCACTGTGTACAAAGGGCTTGATATTTCCATAGCTGTTGAGATGTATCTTCAAATAACTTCCCCGTGATACACAGGTTCACATTCACTCTGCGTGTCTTTGTCTTTGTTGTTCTTGTTTTGTTTTTTGAGACAGGGTCCTGCTGTATCACCCAAGGCACAGTCATAGCTCATTGCAGCCCTGAACTCCTGGGCTCAAGTGATCTTCCCACCTCAGCCTCTGAAGTAGCTGGCACTACAGCTGTGCAGCCATCATGCCCAGCTCATACTTTTTTTAATTTTTAAAATTTTCATAGAGATGGGGTCTTGCTGTTTACCAGGTTGGTCTTGAACTCCTGGCCTCAAGTGATCCTCCCGCCTTGGCCTTCCAAAGTGCTGGGATTACAGGCGTGAGCCACTGTACCTGGCCTGCACGTCTTTATTGAACATCTACTATGTTGGGCATTGTTGTCATCTCTGAGGCTTGCAACAGCAAAGAAGACCAAGCCCTCAGGAAGATGACATTTTGCTAGCAGAGACAGAAGGTAAACCCAAATACAATATTTCAGATGTTACAAAGAAGACTGAAGCAGGTAAGGGATGTAGTGGGTCAGCTTGGAGCCAGTATCTTACTTTGCTCCTGACAACTATCCTAGGAAAAACCAGAGGACAGAAATCATATTTTCATTTTACTCATGCGGAAACAGGTAAAGAGGCTCAACTGAGTACACACAGCTCATGGGGGCAGGACCAGAACTAGAAATCGACCCTTCGGAGTCTGAGTCCACTGATCTTTCTGCCTCGTTCCTCAGCGTCTCCATCAAGGGCCGGGGCTGCTGACTCCTTTCAGCAGTGCCATCTGTATACCAGCATGGGGCCCTATCTTAGTCCCCTGAGTGTTGCTATCAAGGAATGCCTGTGGCTGAGTGCTTTTTTTTTTTTTTGCATAAAGGAATATAAAACTATTTATTAACCACTGTTCACCAGTATTTACGATAAAGTAAACAATATACAGTTGGATAACATTCTGATTACTACAAAGTTGTTCTTCCTGGCTTTTGCTGAACCAGTAAAGCAAACTGAAGATTGAGGCTACATGTAAGGAATGAGCTGGGGTAAAGAAAAAACATGCAGGTCAGTAGGTTAGATTACAAAAGGTTGTTCACACATTTATGGCAGCAGGTCCTAAACTGCCAGCATCTCTAACCATCTGATTAGGTTTCTATGAGCCAAGTCTTACATATTCCATTCAACATGATCTTTTAGTCAATGTAGCAACAGGGATTTCAACATTTTGTTAAGGAATGGCCCACTAGGGAAATTTTTAAATATTCATTTAACTTAGTTTTGTTTAGCTAGTTAAAACACACTAGCATTTGTCTTGTTTTCTCATCTGGATGTGGAAACCTGCTGTGATGGCAGTGATAAAATTTTTCCTTTCAGGAATTTTGCAAATAAACCAATTATAGACGCTTTAAAATTATCCAATTTAAATTGTCCTATTTAGAATTACTTATTTCACTTGAAATGTATGGCTTCAGGAAAATTTTCAATTTACCTTGAAGTGATTATCTCTTATTTAGCTCGGAATAATGGCATCTCAGAAATATGGGTTTACCTGTGATTTTTTGTTTGGGTGAATGCTTAAAAACAAAAAAAAATTTATGTATGCATTTTATAGATACACACACACAAAAAAACATGTAAAAAATCTAGAATGGTCCTTAGGCTTATGGGAACACAAGTTTTGATTGAGTAATGACTATGGACATTTCCCCCAACATTTAGAAAAGCTGTTCTTTAATGAAGAGGAAATAATATCTTTATAAAGACAAGAGGTTTATTTGGCTCATGATTCTGCTGGCTGGAAGATGGGACATTTGGCATGGGCCTCAGGCTGGCTACATTCATAGAAGGTGAAAGGGAGCTCATGTGTGCAGAAGTCACAGGGCAAGAGTGGAAGCAAGAGAGAGGGGGAGGTGCCAGGCTTTTTTTAACAACCAGCTGTCCAGGAACTAAAAGAGTGAGAACTCACTCACCCCCACCTCCCAGGAAGAGCTTAATCTATTCATGGGGGATCCACCCCCGTGACCCAAACACCTCCCACTGGGGCCTATGATGTAGTTTGGATCTGTGTCCCTGCCCACATCTCATGTCAAATCATAATCCCCAGTGTTGGAGGAGGGGCCTGGGGGGAGGTGATTGGATCATGGGGGTGGACGTCTCCCTTGCTGTTCTCATGATAGTGAGTTCTCACGAGATCTGGTTGTTTAAGTGTGTGTAGCACCTCCCTCTTTGCTCTCTTGTTCCTTCTCCAGCCACGTAAGACTTCCCCTTCGCCTTCCATCATGATTGTAAGTTTCCTGAGGCCTCCCCAGCCATGCTTCCTGTACAGCCAGTGGAACTGCAAGTCAATTAAACTTCTTTTCTGTATAAATTACCCAATCTGAGGTAGCCTGTTTAAAAATTTTTTTTTCTGGCTGGGCACGGTGGCTCATACCTGTAATCCCAGCACTTTGGGAGGCCGAGGTGGGCAGATCACGAGGTCAGGAGATCGAGACCATCCTGTCTAACATGGTGAAACCCCGTCTCTACTAAAAATACGAAAAATTAGCCGGGCGTGGTGGTAGGCACCTGTAGTCCCAGCTACTCGGGAGGCTGAGGCAGGAGAATGTGTGAACCCAGGAGGCGGAGGTTGCAGCGGGCCAAGATTGCGCCACTGCACTGGGCAACAGAGCGAGTCTCCGTCCCAAAAAAAAATTTTTTTGTTTCTTTATAATAGAGATAGAGTTACACCATGTTGCCCAAGCTGGTTGCCAACTCCTTGGCTCAAGCAATCCACCCACTTCAGCCTCCCAAAGTGCTGGGATTACAGGCGTGAGCCACTGCGCCCGGCCTCAGGTAGTTCTTTATAGAAATGCGAGAACAGACTAATTTCAACATGAGATTTGGAGGAGACAGACATACAAACCACAGCAGGACCCCTTGCCTTTTGCCACTCAAGAACAACTCATGCTGTCCATTCTAATGCCAGCATCCCAGTTTCAGGACAAGAGGCAGGAATGCCTTGCTTCAGCCTGCATCTCTTGTTGTCAGAGGCACGCCAAGCATTTTTCAAGTCGTGCCCTGGAATGTCCTAGCAGGTGACAGCTGCCTCGAATGAGCGTGGACTTGCCGGGAGGGCACAGACTGTTCCCGTGAGTTTCTATCAGCGATCGTTCAACTGGAGAGACTCCAGACGCTTTTGCAGAGATCAGGCTACATCAGGGCAATCTTGGTCCCCAGGAACATTTGGCAATGCCTGGAGACATATTTGGTTATTATAATTGAGTGTGTGTTGGGGAGGGGTGTGGTTGCTACTGGCATCTAGTGGGTAGAGACCAGGGACACTGCTAAACATCCTACTGTGCACAGAACAGCTCCCACAACAGAAAGTGAGCCAGCCACCATGTCAATCACACTGAAGTTGAGGAATCTTGGATTCTAACCACAGAATTATCAAATTATTGATAATTTTTGAGAGGTAAGAGAGGAGAAGATGGAGAAAGGACAAAAGGAGAGACAGGTAGTGATTAGGAGGCAGAGTTTTGGCACCAAACAACTCTGGCTCAAAGGGCCATGGTACAGTGACTTCCTTTTCTGTCTCACCTAACTCATTTTTAATTATTTATTTATGTTTTTTTTTTTTTTTTTGAAAAAGAGTTTTGCTCTCGTTGCCTAGGCTGGAGTGCAATGGCGCGATCTTGGCTCATTGCAACCTTTGCCTCCCGGGTTCAAGTGATTCTCCTACCTAAGCCTTCCAAGTAGCTGAGATTACAGGCATGCACCACCAGGCCCAGCTAATTTTTTTTTTTTTGGACGAGATTTCACCATGTTGATCAGGCTGGTCTCGAACACCTGATCTCAGGTGATCCACCTGCCTCAGCTTCCCAAAGTGCTGGGATGATAGGCGTGAGCCACCGCACCTAGCCGTCATGTTTTAAATAGGAATAATGGCAGTACTATTTGCTGGGATTATTATGCACATCAAGCATTAAGCACAGTGCCTGGGACCTACACAGTCAAATGCCCAGTAAATGCTATCTACTATTATTATGTTTTTTAGAGACAGGGTCTAGCTCTATCACCCAGGCTGGAGTTCAGCAGTGCAATCATAGCTCACTGCAGCTTCGAACGCCAGGGGTAAAAGGATTTGCCTGCCTCAGCCTTCCAAGTAGCTAGGACTTTAGGCATATGCCCCTACACTCAGCTAATTTTTAAATTTTTTGTAGAGACAGAATCTTGCCATGTTGGCCAAGATGGTCTAGAACTCCTAGCCTCAAGCGATCCTCCCATGTCAGCCTCCCAAAGCACTGGGATTACAGGCATGAGCCACCACCCTTGGCCTTTACTATTATTATCATTAGCTGTGAGAAAGAAGCAGAGAATGGCTGGGTGGGGTGGCTCACACCTGTAATCCCAGCACTTTGGGAGGCCGAGGTGGAAGGATCACTTGAAGTCAGGAGTTCAAGACCAGCCTGGCCAACGTGGTGAGACCCTTTCTCTACTAAAAATATAAAAATTAGCCAGGTGTGGTGGCACATGCCTGTAATCCCCAGTTCTCAGGAGGCTGAAGCAGGAGAATCGCTTGAACCCAGGAGGCAGAGGTTGCAGTGAGTCAAGATCATGCCACTGCACTCCAGCCTGGCCAACAGAGTGAGACTCCTTCTCCCAAAAAAAAAAAAAAAAAAAAAAAAAAAATGGCCGGCGTGGTGGCTCACACCTGTAATCCTAGCAGTTTGGAAGGCTGAGGTGGGCAGGTCACAAGGTCAAGAGATCAAGACCATCCTGGCCAACTTGGTGAAATCCTGTCTCTACTAAAAATACAAAAATTAGCCGGGCATGGTTGGTAGTGGGCGCCTGTAATCCCAGCTACTCAGGAAGCTGAGGCAGGAGAATACTTGAACCCAGGAGGCAGAGATTGCGGTGAGCTGAGATCGTGCCACTGCACTCCAGCCTGGCAACAGAGCGAGACTCCGTCTCAAAAAAAAAAAAAAAAAAAAAAGCAGCAGAGAAAAAAGGAAAGAGAAAATGATGTGGAAGAAGCACTATTTCTGAGGAATGGAGCTAACAAGTAAAACCTTTTTAAAAATAACTTTCAGTGCTTATACTCTTCTTTGTAAAAGTTTTTATTTTTATTTATTTATTTTATTTTATTTTATTTTGAGATGGAGTCTGGCTCTGTCACCCAGGCTGGAATGCAGTGGCACAATCTCAGCTCACTGCAATCTCTGCCTCCTGGGCTCAAGCCATCCTCCCTCCTCAGCCTCCAGAGTAGCTGGGACTACAGGGAGGCGCCACCACACCTGGAGAATTTTTTGTATTTTTGGTAGAGAAGGGGTTTTGCCATGTTGCCCAGGCTGGTCTCAAACTCCTGGACTCAAGCAATCCACCCACCTCAGCCTCCCAAAGTGCTGGGATTACAGGCATGAGCCACTATGCCTGGCCAATAAAAGTTTGTAAATGGCAATTTTATCTGATTATAGAATGGATCCCTAATCATTGTAGAAATTTTGGAAAATACAAACAAGTACAAAGAAGGAAGATGAAAGTATGCAGAACCTTGACCTACGTGTAGCAGAGGCCACTTCTACTCCGAGGGTTCTGGTGTATTTCACAGCAATCTTTTTCCTCCATGTAACCTAAGGGTGGCGGGCATGCCCTGGGGGCCTTTGCCCTGGCCCTTTGTCCACCTCCAAGGCTGCCCTTAGCATGTCATTGAATCCTCCCAAAAGATCCAAGCCCACAACCCATTGACAAGCGAGGTGGAGCTCTACAGAACTGCTGACGGGATTCACGCTGCAGGACTCCATCAACGTCCCTATGAGATGGCTCTGTTTTCCTCATGTCTCATCTCTTCTCTCTCTCTCTCTACCTCCTCCACACACCTTCCGCTAAAGGAGGACCATCAGGTCCTAAATCAAGCTTGTCCAAATTAGGCCCAGGATGGCTTTTGAAGGCAGCCCAACACAAATTTGTAAACCTTTTTAAAACATGAGATTTTTTTTGTGTGTGATTTTTTTTTTAAGCTCATCAGCTATTGTTACTATAAGTGTATTTTATGTGTGGTCCAAGACAATTCTTCCAATGTGGCCCAGGGAAGACAAAAGATTGGACACCCCTGTCCTGAATTACTCAGCTCTGTTCTTCAACTTACAAACCCCAGTTGGCAAAACCAAAAGCTTCATGGTCCTTTGAACATCCTTCCAAGAAAGAAGCTTGTCCCCCGACCCCAAGCTGTCCATCAGGGTTAGGTGTCCATTCACGTAACTAAAAATCAAGTCTTTTTCTGGAATATGGAAGGATGGGTTCTGCCATTAAGGCAAACAAGAAGTCAGCATTTACGGAGCATTTACATGTAAATGCACTTTCTGTGCATAAACTCTTCTAGACCGTCACAGCAGTCCAGGAAGAGAAACATTGTTTTTAGCTCTATTTTACAGATGAGTACATGGAGGTTAAGCAACACACCCAAAGCTCTGCACTGGTAAGTGGCCTTCCAGATTCAGCCCTAGCTCCTGCTCTTGACAATTTCACCGTGTTGTCTCCTCTCCATGTGGCTCCATGAGTTGCAGCGGGCATGACTGGTTGTAGACCTTCCCCTCCCGCTTTCTCCCAGAGCTCTGATTTGTCCAGGAGGCAACCTGCCCTGCCTTGATGGAAGCCAGTCACAGAATCCCATTTGCTTTGGCTAGACACATACTTTTCCAGGCTCTCTTGCAAGTGGAGGTAGCTATGACATCTACTCTGGGCCAATGAAATGTAAGAGAACAACTTTAAGCAACCATTACCATAGTCACGTATGTGTCATAGTGCCATATAGGTGACATATGACATATATGTAACATAATGACATATAGTGACATATATAAGGAAGCCAGTGGAGGGTTTAGTTAAATATCATTTGGCTGCTTGACTTTTAGCTATATAAGTTTTAAGATCAGCTAGAAGTAAGTGGTTAAAAGCAAGCAAGGCAAGTTAAGTTTGGTGGGCTTAGAGAAAGCCCTTAAGAGAAACTCCGCTTGGGCAGGCTTCTGGGAAGGATAATTAGGGCCTTCGGTTCTCCCCTGTCCTGGTCCTAAGCTCCTACAGCCACTCACGTGAGAATGGCGAAACCGAACGCTAACCTGATGAAGCCCACCAAACTTAACTTGCCTTGCTTGCTTTTAACCACTTACTTCTAGCTGGTCTTAAAACTTATATAGCTAAAAGTCAAGCAGCCAAATGATATATACCTAACCCCCCCACCGGCTTCCTTACATATGTCACTATATGTCATTATGGTACATATATGTCATATGTCACATATATGTCGCTACGACACATATGTGACTACGGTAATGGTTGCTTAAAGTTGTTTTTCAGGACTATGGGGGCAGCTCCTGTCCAGTTCGAACCCGTTGAGATCAATGACCCTTCAACTGAACCTGTGCAAATGCCGGAGAAGTGACCTTTTGACGTCAGAGGGCCCAAAACTCCCCGAGATCATGCTAATGCTGCCATTTTCTAAACATGCACCCTATGAAGATCCAGGAAGCTTGGCTATGTATGTGCAGATTGCCAATGACCTCACTTTTCCTTGCCTCCAATCACCTCTTCCCACACTTTAGACCACCCTGCTCCTTTATTCCATAAAGATCCCTAAATTCCATCTTCAGGGAGGCAAGTATGAGACCTTTTCTCCTGCCTCCTTGCTTGGCTGCGTTGGTGTGAATAAATTCTTTTCTTTTGCCAAATCCATCATAACAGCGATTGGCTTACTACCCATGGGCAGAAGGGGACAGGTTCGCTATCTAGGGCAGAGGGGAGGAAAGGAAACAGCCAGACCCTTGATAGCATCCTGGGGCCACCCCACTGACCCTCGGGCCACCTGCATCTGGACTGCTTATCAAGTCAAAAAAAATTTTTTTTTTTGAGACGGAGTCTAGCTCTGTTGCCCAGGCTGGAGTGCAGTGGCATGATCTCGGCTCACTGCAACCTCCGCCTCACAGGTTGAAGCCATTCTCTGCCTCAGCTTCCCGAGTAGCTGGGATTACAGGCATCCACCACCAAGCCTGGCTAATTTTTGTATTTTTAGGAGAGATGGAGTTTCACCATCTTGGCCAGGCTGGTCTTGAACTCCTTACCTCGTGATCCACCTGCCTCAGCCTCCGAAAGTGTTGGGATTACAGGTGTGAGCCACTGTGTCCAGCCTCAAGTAAATATTAAATGTCCTTATGACTTAAGTAGTGTGAACAACTGACTTGGTTTGCCTGGGGCTGTCCCAGTTTCTGCACTGCAGTTTCCAGATCCTTGGAAACCTCTCAGTCCCAGGCAAACAGAGACAGCTGGTCACCCAAGATTTAAGACACTAGTCGTCGGACGCTGTGTTACTTGCAGCTGAAGACATTTTCACAGATACATATGTGTGGATAGGTGCATTTTTAATGTGTATTGGATCAAGACATACAGCTGTCCTGCTCATTGCAAGCATGACATCATGATGATTTTCCAATGCCATTAAATCATATTGTTCAAAAGACATGTGAATAGTTCATGCAAAGTGCTTTAAAAGCATAGCTGGAAGTTCGAATAAGCCATGCTTTAGAAGCATGGCTGGAACTTTGAATAAGCCACATTAGTCCAGGTCTCTGTACCATTAGGGCTGAACCTGGAAATCAAACTCTGCTGCTGCCGGCTCGTTCCAGAGAGAGATGTTATCTTCAAGAACCTGATTAATGTTCGGAAGGAAAAGAAAGCCAACCCGTGTCATTCAGCATCTTGGTCTTTCACGCTGGGACGATAGGGGAAAGCGGGTCATTTTTATCAGCGTTGGGTGCGGAGAGGTGATCAGGCCCTGCTGGAATAATAGAGCTGCTGCTTTACAAAATGTTTGTGAAAACGACATGAAATGGAGGCATCAGCAGCTTGAGTTGCAGCCTAATGGAAACCCAGCAGAGACCACGACAAAGGCAGAGGTAGGTTTTCAGAGGCAAGGATTGACTTTTAAAAATAGTCTTTATTGTCTCCTTTTAAAAATAAGTTACAGAGGCTGCAGGTATCTTAAGACAGGTGAGAAAAAGATGTCATGTCTGGGCCGGGCGCGGTGGCTCACGCCTGTAATCCCAGCACTTTGGGAGGCCGAGGAGGGCGGATCACGAGGTCAAGAAATCGAGACCAGCCTGGCCAACATGGTGAAACCCTGTCTCTACTAAAAATACAAAAATTAGCTGGGCGTGGTGGCACGTGCTTGTAGTCCTAGCTACTCAGGAGGCTGAGGCAGGAGAATCACTTGAACCTGGGAGGTGGAGGTTGCAGTGAGCCGAGATTGCACCACTGCACTCCAGCCTGGCAACAGAGCGAGACTCCGTCTCAATAAATAAATAAATAAATAAAAATAAATAAATAAGATGAGGGGTTTAGATGAGCCCTCGAGCCCCATTCTGCAAGCACAGAGAGGATACAACCCGCTTTAGACACAGCCAGATCTCAATGCAGATCTCAGTACCCCCATTGACTGGCTATGACCTACTTTGCTGCTCTCAGCCTCAGTGCTGTCACTGTTGAAAAGGGATTACACCTTTGTCTTGGGGTTGTATGAGAATCAAACAGGCTTGTGTGTGTGGTGCAGGCAGCCCACGGTTTTGCACAGGCAGTGTGGGTGTGTAGGAACAGCCACTTCCATCCACTCCTCCACCCTAGGTAAAAAGTCAGCTCACAGAGACTCTCCTGGACTATCTCAGCCAACATTTCTGTGCAAAATGTGTATCTCACTATCACATGCTATTTTTTTTTTTTTTGAGATGGAGTTTCGCTCTTGTCGTCCAGGCTGTAGTGCAATGGCGGGATCTTGGCTCACTGCAACCTCACCTCCCAGGTTCAGGCGATTCTCCTGCCTCAGCCTCCCAAGTAGCTGAGATAACAGGCACTTGCCACCATGCCCAGCAAATTTTTGTATTTTGGTAGAGAGGGGATTTCACTATGTTGGCCAGGCTGGTCTCGAACTCCTGACCTCAGGTGATCCACCCGCCTCAGCTTCCCAAAGTGCTGGGATTACAGGCATGAGCCACCGCGCCTGGCCAGCATGTGCTATTACAATTTCCTCAAATCAAATGGTTCCAAGATGATAAACATGTGCATTGGTTCAGCTTTCGTAGGATTCATGAGCTTAAACGCTATCCCTGGGTAAGGATAAGTGTTGATAAGTGTCCAGGGAGCCCCTGGCCTCAGCAATTTCTCAGCATCTTGCTGGGGACCAAGGGACCGGAGAGGTGCCTGCCAGTGTACATAGGAAGGGAATGCCCTCATGTTGCACCCTGGAAGGCCAATATGTCTGTTTTCTCTCTGTGGCCATTTTAATGGACTGTGGATTTACATCCACCTGTCACACTGGCCTTTCCTTTGATTGCAGTCAGACACTCGTTCCCAAACAAATGTCACCTTCTTCAAGACCCTTGTTCCCACTCTGTTCCCAAATGTCAACTTCCTCAAGCGCAGTTTATTCTTCTCTCTTCCAAGGGCTTTCTAGACTGCCTTAGTTTTCATTTTTCTTACAATAACAACTACTAATACTGCTCTTTTCTGTATGTATGATATAAAAAAATTATGGCCAGGCACAGTGGCTCATGCCTGTAATCCCAGTACTTTGAGGCTGAGATGGGAGGATCGATAGAGTCCAGGAGTTCGAGATTAGCCTAGGCAACATAGCGAGACTCTGTCTCTACACAATAAAAAAATTAGCTATGCCTGGTGGTGTGTACCTGTGGTTCCAGCTACCAGAGAGGCTGAGGTAGGAGGATCACTTCAGCCCAGGAGGTTGAGCTCCTGGGTGAGCCATGATCACACCACTGTACTCCAACCTGGGAGGCAAGGATTGACTTTTGAAAATAGTCAATTTTCTTGACGTGGGTTTCCAGCTGTCTGCCTTGACAGAGTGAGACCCTGTCTCAAAACAAACAAACACCAGTATTGCTTAGTTACCTTTGTTTTAGACCTAAAAGAATACTTGCTCCTGGCCGGGCACGGTGGCTCAAGTCTGTAATCCCAGCACTTTGGGAGGCCGAGGCGGGCGGATCACAAGGTCAGGAGATCGAGACCATCCTGGCTAACACGGTGAAACCCTGTCTCTACTGAAAATACAAAAAATCAGCCGGGCGTGGTGGCGGGCACCTGTAGTCCCAGCTACTTGGGAGGCTGAGGCAGGAGAATGGCGTGAACCTGGGAGGTGGAGCTTGCAGTGCGCTGAGATCATGCCACTGCACTGCAGCATGGGCGACAGAGCGAGACACCATCTAAAAAAAAAAAGAAAAAAAAAAGAATACTTGGTCCTTTTTTTTTTCTTTTTTAGAGGCAGGGTCTTACTATATTGCCCAGGCTGGACTTGAACTCCTGGGCTTAAGGGATCCTCCTGCTTCAGCCTCCCAAGTAGCTGGGAACACAGGCATATACCACCACACCCAGCTTGGTCTATTTAAAAAATTATACAAATATTACATAAATATGGTCTCACTATAAAAACATCAAACAATACAGAAGTATAATTGCTAGTACTTATTGAATGCTTTCATATGATTGGTGTCAGGCTCTGGATTAAGCATTTTACACAAATCATCTCAGTGAACTCTTGCAGCAACTCTATGAGGTAAGGACTATTATTATTATCTCTTAGACAGGATAAAGAACTTGTTCAACGTCACAGAGTAAGTGGTAGGAACTTGAACTCGGGCAGTCTGATCTGAGCCCATGCTCTCGACTGGGACTGTGAAAGCTCCAGCCAGTGACTGGAGTTCAAGGAAGACAGAGATCAGGATAGTCTGGGAGAAGGCTGCTCAAATCGAGATGCAACTTACAGGGGAGGGCACAACTTGGAGGGGTCAGGAAAAGATTCCAGGCACTCAGAGAGAAGGGGGAGCTGAGACAAATATTAGGAATGGGTGTGGTATGCCAGGGTAGGTGACAATGAAGAGTCTGCCCAATTAGGACATATCAGGGACATATGTGTCTGCGTTGTAAAGAACCTTAACATGGGAGCCATCTTAGGTTCTAGAGTGAGAGCATGGCATGGAGATGTGTCTATGAAACCCAGTTTGGAAGACATGGTGATCAGTATTTCCACACCAAGGAGAGAGTGCACTCTCCCTTTGACCTTCTGTCTAAGACGATCCAAGGAATTCCTGGAAGATGCGTTTGCTCCTCAATCTTTAGCTGGGGTTGGCAAACTATAGCCCACAGTCAAAATCTGGCCCACTGCCTGTTTTGGTACAACTCACGAACTAAGAATAGTTTAATTTTCATTTTTAAATACTTGGGGAAAATCAAAATCATAACATTTTCTGATAAATGAAAATTATATGAAATTCAAAGTTCAGCATCTGTGAATAACATGCTATTGGAACGAAGTCATGTCCATTCATTTCAGCATTGTCTGTGGCTGTTTTTCCCGACAGTGGCAGAGGTGAGTAATCACGACAGAGACTGTACACTCTGTAGAGCCTAAGGTGTTTAGTACTTGGCCCTTTACAGAAATATTTTGCTGAACTTACAGGAGTGTAATCATAGCTCACTGCAGCCTTGACCTCCTGGCTAGAGCAATCCTCCTGCCTCAGCCTTCCAAGTAGTTGGGACTACAGGCGCATGCCACCACGCCTTGGTAATTTTAAAAAAACGTTTTGGGCCAGGCACGGTGGCTCATGCCTGTAGTCACAGCACTTCGGGAGGCCGAGGCAGGTGGATCAATTCAGGTCACGAGTTCAAGACCAGCCTAGCCAACATGGCGAAACTCCATCTCTACTAAAAATACAAAAACTAGCCGGGCATGGTGGTGCATGCCTGTGATCCCAGTTACTCGGGAAGCCGAGGCAGGAGAATTGCTTGAACCTGGGAGATGGAGGTTTCAGTGAGCTGAGATCGTACCACTGAACTCCAGCCTGGGCAACAGAGTGAGACTCCATCTCAAAAAAAATGTCTGGTAGAGATGGGGGTCTCACTATGTTGCTCAGGCTGGTCTCAAACTCCTGGGCTGAAGCCATTCTCCTGCCTTGGCCTCCCAAAGTACTGAGATAACAGGGGTGAGCCACTGTGCCTGGCTCTAAAGAAATTTCTGCAGCTAGAAGAGCTCTCACCTTACATGAATGAAGAAATCAATGCCCAGAGAGGTGAATGCTGTTCACCAATTCACTGACTCATCCAGAAAACAGTTCTTGAGCGCCTACTACGTGTCAGCCCTCCTGATCTATTTTCACTTTCAAGAGACATTGAGACATAGGCCAGCTACCAAGGCCATGTGGCGAGACAGCAGGGCTCTTCCCACCCCACTGCTTCGACTGAGACCAGAGCTTGTTTTCTTCTCTGGGCTCTGGCAGGGAACTGGGCCGTGCCCAGTGCATGCAAGGTTGGCCAACAGATTTCCTGCACCTGCTCACTGATGCTACCTGGCAGTTTCTGGGACCGCACTTAGCCCTCTGCACATCCTTCACTCCTTTGAAGGAGACAGTAAGTGTTGTGAGTTCATTTCTTCTTCTTCTTCTTCTTTTTTTTTTTGAGATGGAGTCTCGTTCTGTCGCCCAGGCCGGAGTGCAGTGGTGCAATCTCAGCTCACTGCAACCTCTGCCTCCCAGGTTCAAGCAATCCTCGTGCCTCAGCCTCCTGAGTAGCTGGGATTACAGGGGCACACCACCATACCCTGCTAATTTTTGTATTTTCAGTAGAGACGGGGTTTCACCATGTTGACGAGGCTGGTCTTGAACTCCTGACCTCAAGTGATCCACCCACCTCGGCCTCCCAAAGTGCTGGGATTACAGGTGTGAGCCACCGCGTCCACTTGTTATTTTTGATTTTTTTTCCCCCAGACTCTTACCAGTGCCTAGAATGAGACACATAGTCCTTCCCTTGGAGGGCCCAGCGAGCTGTGAAGTGGATAGAAGACTGGCCCTTGGTGTCCCTAACCCTACCCCTAAGGCCTTTGGCTAAGCTGGCCCAGAATAATTAAAGATGTGAACAGAGATTAAGCTCCAGGTGGGCACAGCAGCTCCTGCCTGTTATCCCAGAACTAAGGGAGGCCGAGGCAGGAGGATCGCTTGAGTGCAGGAGTTCAAGAGAGCTGCTGGTTTTAAATGTGGCACTTCCTACACTCATTTTCTCTTGTGCTGTCTCTCTCCTGCCGCCACGTAAGACGTGCTTGCTTTCCCTTCGCCGTCTGCCATGACTGCAAGTTTCCTGAGGCCTCCCCAGCCATGCAGAACTGTGAGTCAATTAAACTTCTTTCCTTTATAAATGACCCAGTCTCGGGTAGTATCTTTACAGCAGTGTCAGAACAGACTGGTACACAGCCCATGTGCATCCCTGTGTAAAGCCTGGCCCCAAGGAGTTCTCTTGAACTCCTGCACTCAAGCCTTTGCCCAACTCCTCCCTCAGCTCAGAAATCTTTGTCTCAAACTAAGTGCTCTGCAGCTTCACTAATCCCTTCTCCTTCTGGAATCTTCCTGATGCCCTCAGCTACATCAGGTCCTCTTCCTTCCTGCAGCCATAGCCCCCTTGTTATCCCATTGACATCTAGGCATTCCAGAACCATCTAGGCATTTGTGTTTCTGCCTCAACAGACTGCACCTCCTTTAAGGGACTTTGCCTTTTTCCTTCATGGTTCTAGCACACCACCCCGTCCCTGATACATTGCAGTAAATACACAAGGAAGGAAGGAAGGCTGGCAGGCATGGAGGGTACACACAGTACTGCATTTTGTTGAAACAAGGCCTAAAGACTGCAGGTGCAGGTGGAAAAATTTCAAGTCTCATGATAGACACCACGAGGGCAATCGCATCTATCAAAGGCGGTGAGTCAGCCCTGGAGAAATCCAATTAAACATCCGTCATTCGAGTGATACTGCTTTGCATTCTGCTATCAATACCGTTTCTATTCTGAGCTGGCTCAGCATCTGGGCTCTCTTGTGCCTTCCACTCTCAGTCACCTGCTGCGAGTTCCTGCCACTGTGTGGCGTCCTCTCCCCCAAATCCACCCTCTCCACTCCCAAGTCCATCCCTCCTCTCAAGCTGATGCCAACAAAAGCTGATTTGTATCCAGCCCAATCTCATTGAATCCTCATCATCTGTAGGGTGGTATTCTTATTCTCCACTTTACAGAACTCTCAGAGAGGTTAAGTAAATCGCCCGAGATCAGACAGCTTGCAAGATTTGAAAGAAGACAGTCTAACTCCAGAGCCCTGACAATTGCCACTACAACAGACTGCCTACGCATGTCACCCAGATATACCAGGCTGTCATCTTCTGTTCCCATACCCCCTTACTTTATCCCGTTCTTTCAGTCAGGAGCCTTCTAAAATGCTTTCAGGCCGGGCGCGGTGGCTCATGCCTGTAATCCCAGCACTTTGGGAGGCTGAGGCAGGCAGATCACTTGAGCTCAGGAGTTTGAGATCAGCCTGGGCAATACGGTGAAACCCCGTCTCTACTTAAAAAAAAAAAAAAAAATTAGCCAGGCATGGTGGTGGGCACCTGTAGTCCCAGCAACTTGCGGGGCTGAGGTGGGAGGATCGCTTGAACCTGGGAGGCAGAGGTTGCAGTGAGCTGAGATTGTGCCACTGCACTCTGGCCTGGGTGACAGAGTGAGACTTTCACCAGTGGCAGTTCCAAGGAGTGGGCTTTCTTAGGGATGGCAGGGAATGGTTTCAGTCCCACCTCGTAATTTCCATTAGCCTTCAAACCACCTCAACATTTAAAAAGTGCTTTTGGGCCGGGCGCGGTGGCTCACACCTGTAATCCCAGCACTTCGGGAGGCCGAGGCGGGGTGGATCACGAGGTCAGGAGATAGAGACCATCCTGGCTAACACAGTGAAACCCTGTCTCTACTAAAAAACACAAAAAATGGTGGTAGGTGCTTGTAGTCCCAGCTACTCGGGAAGCTGAGGCAGGAGCATGGCGTGAACCCGGGAGGTGGAGCTTGCAGTGAGCCGAGATGGCACCACTGCACTCCAGCCTGGGCGACAGAGCAAGACTGCATCTCAAAAAAAAAAACGTGCTTTTGAAATGGGAAATATCAGGTAGGATAGAAGCAATAAGAGAAAATGAAATAAAGAAATGGGAAATAGACATTTTTCCCAATTTTGTGGAAAGTGTAAGAAAAAAACTTGATAGAAACTATGCAATTTTAATTAATTTGTACGACACAAATCTCACTAAAAACCATGGACTCCCTACTGCGAAGGCAGCTCTAAGGTAAGTCCCCTGATTGTTTCATGTGACCAACTGGCTGGCCCTAAGCCCCTCCTGTTTAGGAATTTTTTTTTTTTTTTTTAGACAATGTCTCACTCTGTCGCCAGGATGGAGTGCAGTGGCGTGATCTCAGCTCACTGCAACCTCCGCCTCCTGGGTTCAAGGAATTCTCCTGCCTCAGCCTCCTGAGTAGCTGGGACTACAGGCGCCCGCCACCACGCCCAGCTAATATTTGTATTTTTAGTAGAGACAGGGTTTCACCACGTTGGCCAGGATGGACTCCATCTCTTGACCTAGTGATCCGCCTGCCTCTGCCTCCCAAAGTGCTGGGATTACAGGCGTGAGCCACCGCACCCGGCCCTGTTTAAGAATTTTAAAGCAATCACTCCATTTTTTTTTTTTTTTTTTTTGAGATAGAATCTTGCTTGCTCTGTTGCCCAGGCTGGAATGCAGTGGTGTGATCTTGATCTGGGCTTACTGCAACCTCCACCTCCTGGGTTCAAGCAATTCCTCTGGCTCAGCCTCCCAAGTAGCTGGGATTACAGGCACCAGCCACCATGCTCAGCTAATTTTTGTATTTTTAGTAGAGTTGGGGTTTTACCAGTTTGGCCAGGCTGGTCTCAAACTCCTGACCTCAGGTGATCTGCCCACCTCGGCCTCCCTAAGTGCTGGGATTACAGGCATGAACCACCACATCCGGCCGCAGTCATTCCTTTCAGCTGAGCTTCTAAGGACTGAAGGAAAAAACTCTTAAGAACACAATCTGCAGGCCCCGGGGAAGCCTCCCCTGCCCTCTTCCCACCCATTCCTGCTTAGCCCATGGACTGGGCCACTAGGACCACTGTCTCAGCTTAGCCCTGCTCCTGCCAAAGCACAGAGCACACTTCTCTGAAGCCATCACCTATCTACCATCACCACTGGCAATTCCCATCAGAGTCATTGCACCAGCAGAAGCAGATAAGCTTTTGATAATAAGTAAATTAATGTTTAAGTCAACTTCATGTTTATTCAGCATGCTAGTGATTAGTGGTCTCCTTTGTAGGCAAGCGAGACCCTGGGGCTTGATAAACCACAAAGAAAACGCAAGTAATCTCTGTTGGATGCCCCAAAGTAGGGCAGGCTAGGACTAGAATGAGTGATGTGCTGGGGAATGTTTAACTGGCTGGAAGCAGGGGAGGGAGGTAGAAGCCTTGCTGTGAATCATTTGCCAATTTCCACGGTGTAAATACTCCCACTGCTGCAGATTTTGAGCTACCCACAGTTGAACAACTGGTTCTCCAGATTCCTAAAAATTTAACATCACTGGCTAGAATCAACAAGTGGGCAGATTTAGGGGTGCTTCTTCAACACTCTAAAGTATTCATTCAACGTTTACTTAGAAGAGAAGCTGAGTATTATTTGGGGAAAAGGTTACCTGTGGCGATGATGATGACAATGATTTTGGCTACCATTTACTCGGAATTCACCACGCACAGGGCGGGTGCAGTGGCTTACACCTGTAATCCCAGCACTTTGAAAGGCCAAGACCAGCAGATCACTTGAGATCAGGGGTTCAAGACCAGCCTGGCCAACCTGGTGAAATCCCGTCTCTACTAAAAATACAAAAATTAGCCAGGCATGGTGGTGCACAGCTGTAATCCCAGCTACTCGGGAGGCTGAGGCAGGAGAATCACTTGAACTTGGGAGGCAGAAGTTGCAGTGAACCAAGATCATGCCACTGCGCTCCAGCCCGGGCGACAAACAGAATTTACCATGCACCTTTTACACCCTAAGTGCTTTATACACTAAGAAGTGCTTCATAGGCACTAAATGCTTTACACAGATCATCTCAATCCTGATAACCACTGTTTGAGGTGGGCACTACGTGGTTGTCTCTTTTATACAGGAAGATCCCACAGCTCAGAGAGGTTAAGTGGCTCCATCGGAATCACACAGCTAGTCAATGGTGGAGCTGGGACACTGACCTGTGGATCCTGATTCGGACACCCACATTATCTCAATGAAGAACATCTCCTTCATTGTGTGGCAGGTCAGGTCTCACTAACGCAGGCCTCCATGACAGCTATTTCAGCAGGGACTGTGTGGTTAAGTTAAACATTAAAAGCTGAAAGTGGCTGGGCAGGCAGTGACTCATGCCTGTAATCCCAGCACTTTGGGAGCCCAAGGCGGATGCATCACCTTGTTCAGGAGTTCAAGACCAGCCTGGCCAACATGGTGAAACCCCGTCTCACCTAAAAATACAAAAAAAATTAGCTGGGCGTGGTGGCAGGCACCTGTAATCCTAGCTACTTTGGGAGGCTGCAGCAGGAGAATCGCTTGAACCTGGGAGGCGGAGGTTGCAGTGAGCCGAGATCCTGCCATTGCACTCCAGCCTGGGCGACAAGAGCAAAACTCTGTCACTAAAAAAAAAAAAAAGAAGAAGAAAAAAACAAAGCTGAAGGAGCCTACTGGGCATGGTGGCTCATGCCTGTACAATCCCAGCACTTTAGAAGGCAGAGGCGGGTGAATCACCTGATGTCAGGAGTTTAAGACCAGCCTGGCCAACATAGTGAAATCATGTCTCTACAAAAAATACAAAAATTAGCTGGGCATGGTGGCGCATGCCTGTAATCCCAGCTACTCGGAAGCTGAGGCAGGAGAATCGCTTGAACCTAGGAGGCAGAGGTTGTAGTGAGCAGAGATCGCACCACTGCACTCCAGCCTGGGCGACAGAGCGAGACTCTGTCTCAAAAAAAAAAAAAAAAAGCTAAAAGAGCCAGTGCCCTTATACAAAGGCTGGAATGTAACAGAAATCCTCCAACAGTTTTGCTCAGGCCTTTCCTGGGCCTTGAAACATGACGAGATAACGAGGCAATTCTTAACAGGACACGTTTAGGATTAAACAAGTTTTATTGGGGGTGTGAAGAAACTCCCCAGGCCTCCACAAACAAGTTTATTGGGAGTGTGAAGGAAGTCCCCAAACCTCCATGATTTAGCAGGAGACAAGATAAGGGTAATCACCCCAGCAACTGGACCCATTTAGATTAAGTAAATTTACTGAGGCTTCAGAGGAAGGTCTTCAGGACTCAGACCTTAGTTAGACTAGAAGAAGCTGATTATTTAGGTCTTTAGGTGAACGCACACTTACACGTGGACATATAGTTTAGAAGGTATGTAAGCTCTGGGAAACTTTGTAATTTTGAGTTGGTCTGGTGGTATTTTCCAGGCTTTTTCCCTGTAACTGGTAACAGAAATAGAAACTCCCTCCTTTCCCAGTTTATTTGCATCTCGTTATTGGGTCACTAGAATAAGCAGCCCAACCCTCAGTTTGATCCAGGAACAATTGTTCCAAGCAATTTAATTCTGATACCAGTTCAGCATAATGCTCTTGGAAAAAAATCAAAATCCTGCAGATAGCAGGACTCACTTTGCTTAGAACGACGGGGTTTATGTGTATGTGTTTTTGTTTGTTGTTTGTTTGTTTGTGACAGGGAAACAGGGTCTTGCTCTGTCATGTAGGCTGGAGTGCAGTTGCTTGATCATGGCTCACCACAGCCTCAATCTCCCAGGCTCAAGACATCCTCCTGCCTCAGCCTCCTGAGTGGCTGGAAATACAGGCGTGCCCTAGCATGCTTGGCTAATTTTTATATTTTTTATAGAGAGGGGGTTCCACCATGTTGCCCAGTCTGGTCTCAAACTTCTGGCCTCAAAGCAATCCTCCCATCTCGGCTTCCCAAATTGTTGGGATTACAGGCGTGAGCCCCTGTGCCTGGCCCCCACCCTCTTCTTTGACCTCTGTCAAAGAAGACCTTCTTTGGCCACCATTCCTGGCCATGGAAGGCTGTTTACAGACTACCTATTGTTACTTACACATGGTCTTGGGTGGGGTTGTGTCTCCCTCCTGTAATGGAAAAAAGTTGGAATTTTTGGCTGCTCAACCTCCAAACCCTAGTTTTAGGGAAAGCATTCACTGTGTCAGTCATTATTAGAGAAGTTCAACAAGGGAGCACCCCCACTTCCTCAGACTCAGCCAATCAGAAGCTCATGTCCAAGACTTTGACCACAGAGCAAATGACAGAGATAAAAGGATGGAGGGATTAGACTTGTGCTGTCCAGCAATGGCGGCTTCCTGGCCAGATTGGTCCTGTGGCCAGTCTCTGGGGCTTTCTTGATCCATACTCATTTCCAAGCCTGTCCTTCCGACTCCTGAGCCCCCATCCCCACTCATAGCCTTCTACAATCCCATTTTTTGGTTGAGTCAGGCAGAGTTGATTTCTGTTGCTTGTGGCCAACAACCCTAACCAAAAGAAGCGTCAGAGTGTTCCCACCAACCACACCGGGTCTTCTCTCTAAGGGAAGTCTGGATGGGGACAATTTTCTCCATCATATATCACTTTAGTGAGTCTGTACTGTCTTCTATCGATTGGTACTGGGCTAGCTTGCACCTAATCAGCTGTGGGCAGATATCAGTAAGAGGGTGTTAGAAAGCACTTATTAGAAAATTTGGGGCCAGGTGTGGTGGCTCACACCTGTAATCCTAGCACTTTGGGAGGCCGAGGCAGGTGGATCACTTGAGGTCAGGAGTTCGAGACCAGCCTGGCCAACATGGTGAAACCCCGTCTCTACTAAAAATACAAAAGTTAGTCAGGCGTGGTGGCGGGTGCCTATAATCCCAGCTACTCGGGAGGCTGAGGCGGGAGAATTGCTTGAACCCGGGGGGCAGAGGTTGCAGTGAGCCGAGATTGCACCACTGCACTCCAGCCTGGGTGATAGAGCGAGACTCCGTCTCAAAAAAAAAGAAAAAGAAAAGAAAAGAAAATTTGGGCTTGTGTTAGGTGCTTTGGGGGACAGTTTAAAGGAAGTGAGCATTTACTCTGGATTGGATGTTGTCAGGAAGTGGAGGTAATTCTCTGATAGAGTGTCTTCCTAATTCTTTCCTTTAAAGGGAGAAGAACAGAGTAAGACTGAAACTGTGATTGATGGAGAACTAGCAGTCACTCATATGAGCTAGGAAATGGGGCTATTGGGTGATTTTTGTGGCTGGGACAATGTTCATGTCTTTATCTGCCTTCAGGAGTAGTGTTATTTTGTCTTGATCTATCACGGTCTCAGGATGGCCTTGTCTGATGCCGGCAATCTGCAAAATTGTTTACATTCAACAGGAGAACACTTTGGCCAAGCTGTGAGTGTCAAGCCAGCTCCCGGCTGCCAGGGGCAGCTTTTCTCTTTCTCACAGTGTAGGAAGTAATTTATATACTTCTTTTCTGCCCATAAGTAATTACTAAATCTGCAACTATAGGGACCAGTCCTACCCATTTTAGTCTTCCCTGCGGGGCCCACCATGATGCTTTGCATACTGAACGTGCTCTGGGAATGTGCCCAGTGAACTAAATTATGGGCACAGAGAACTCTCTGGGACTTGGCATTATTAAGATCATGCTGAAGTATATTTTCAAAATTTAAAATGTGACTCATACAAATGTGGAATGAACACTTGTCAAAAAATTTATTTAACCCATTAATGAGGGAACCAGTAAAATGGTAAAGCTCGCTCCAAGGGCATTTAAAAAGTGGACTCATCAGCATCTTTAATGAAAACCTTAGCATAAGATTGCTAAATTCGAGAGAAATCTGGTTAACATGCTATAAGGGCAATAAAACCATAACCTTTAATGTCGTCTTTTTTCTACTGGACAGAAATCTACAAGTTAACGTGTAATTTCACTATGTCAGTGCTCTAATCAAATAATAAATAACAAAGTCAGATACATGTACTCTCTCCAAGATAATTAATCATCCGTGGGCAGGTCATTAAGCAGTGCCTCAGTATGACATGGAAAAGACATTCTTCCTTATTTCCAATTTTTAGTTAATTTTCATTTAAGAATCATAACAAAAGACTCTTTTGTGGCTTCTTAGGAACATATTCAACTGAAATTTTTGTTTTAATTGTGTTTTAGAGACAGGGTCTTGCTCTGTGGTCCAGGCTGGCATGCAGTGGTATAATCATAGCTCACTGCAGCCTTGACCTCTCAGGTTTAAGCAATCTTCCCACCTCAGCCTCCTGAGTAGCTGGGATTATGGGTACACACTACCATGCCCAGCTCATTTCAAAATTTTTTGTAGAGAGGAGTTCTTGTGATGTTGCCCAGGCTGGTCTCAAACCCCTAGGCTCAAGGAGTCCTCCTGCTTCGACCTCCCAAAGTGCTGGGATTATAGGATTGAGCCACTGTGCCCAGCCTGAAATTTTTCTAATGCCCACCTCACACCTGGCAATTCCCCAGGTATCAGCAGCAGCAGTAGCATCCTGCTGATACGGACAGGCGGCAGAAGGACAGGGTCCCAGGTGAGGGCTCCACCCTCAAGCCTGGACCTGCAGCCCTAAATGAGAACAGGCATTCCTGTTTTCACACCCAAATGTTGCCTTTTCCAAAACCGCTCTGGACCACCCTGCCCCCATCCTATGCCCTTAAGAACCCCAAACCCCAGGCTCCACAATCAGAATAGCACCAGAGTGGCGTGGCAGAGAAGGAGAGAAGAGAAGAAGTGTCTGAACATCGAGAGGAGTTTGGCTGGGGACAGTCAGAGAGGAGATCATCTGAGGATGGCTGAACTCCAGGGGAAGATTACCTTCCCACTCCATCCCCTTTCCAGCTCCCCTTCCACTGAGAGCCACTTCCACTACTTAATAAAAAATTTGTATTCACCATCCTTCAAGTCCATGTGACCTGATTCTTCCTGGACACCAGACAAGAACCCAGGTACCAAGAGGGCAGGGTGTAAAAGGCTATCACCCTGAATCTCCACTGAACTGGTTAACACTTAGTCATCTGCGTACAGCAACTGCTAAAAGAGTATTAATTGTAACACATCCCTAGACGCTGCCATGGGACCAGAGCCCAAAAGCACTCACCCCAGCCCCAATCTGCTCACCTGCATGCTCCCCCTCCTGCAAGGGGTTTGATGCAGTGGCAGCCAAGTAAGCGAGCCACACCCCTGTCACAAGTCCTGCAAAGGGGACAGGGGAGCTCCCCCATTTCACTGCTAACATTTACTGAACAGTTATTATGTGGTTAGGTATTGTAATATCTTTTTTATGTATCTTATCTCATCTGCTCCTGACCAAAAAAAAAAAAAAAAAAAAAAAATCCCTAGGAGGTAATTCATTAAGCCACTAGTGTGGTTAATAAAATATCTATTTGGTCTTCATCCCTGGTTCCCAGCACAGAGCTCCTAAAGCCCCTGGAGTTTCCTGAGCGATAGGACTGTCTTTTGTTATCCATAGCAATCCCCATTGTACTACATCTGAGTGTATGCTAATGAGGGCACTCAGGCTGAGTTCCCTAGAGAGATGGCTTCAGGTTGGGGCCTCGTCACCAGAAGAGCAAATGTGTGATAAAGACAGGGGAGAGGGGTGGGCAGGGCACGGTGGCTCACGCCTGTAATCACAGCACTTTGGGAGGTCCAGGCCGGCAGATCACGAGGTCAGGAGTTCGAGACCAGCCTGGCCAATATGGTGAAACCCCCGTCTCTACTAAAAATACAAAAATTAGCTGGGTGTGATGGCACGTGCCTGTAGTCCAAGCTACTTGGGAGGCTGAGGCAGGATAATTGCTTGAACCTGGGAGGCGGAGGTTGCAGTGAGCCGCAATCATGCCACTGCACTCCAGCCTAGGCTATAGAGTGAGACTCCGTCTCAAAAAAAAAAAAAAAAAGACAGGTGGTCGGGGGCACTGCCGGATGCAGAGGCTCATGCCTGTAATCCCAGCTACTCAGGTGGCTGAGCCAGGAGGATCACTTGAGCTCAGGAGTTTGAGACCAGCCTGCACAACATAGCAAGACTCCATCTCTACCAAAAAAAAAAAAAAAAAAAATTTAGGCCGGGTATGGTGGCTCAAGCCTGTAATCCCAGCACTTTGGGAGGCCGAGGCGGGCGGATCATGAGGTCAGGAGATCGAGACCATCCTGGCTAACATGGTGAAACCCCACCTCTACCAAAAATACAAAAAAATTAGCCAGGCATGGTGGCAGGCGCCTGTAGGCCCAGCTACTCGGGAGGCTGAGGCAGGAGAATGGCATGAACCTGGGAGGCGGAGCTTGCAGTGAGCCAAGATCGCGCCACTGCACTCCAGCCTGGGTGACAGAGCAAGACTCTGTCTCAAAAAAAAAAAAAAAAAAAATTAAAAATTAGCCAGGCATGTTGGCACCCACCTGTGTAGTCTCAGCTACTTGTGAGGCTGAAGCAGGAGGCTCACTCCTAGGAGGTCAAGGCTGTAGTGAGCTATGATCTCACCACTGCACTCCAGCCTGGGTGACAGAGTGAGACCCTGTCTCAAAAAAAAAAAAAAAAAAAAAACAATTCGGCGGGCAACTTCCAGTCCCACTCGCTGACCTGCCAGGAAGAGGAGGAGGCTGGCGACTGAATTATAAAAGCTCTTGAACAGTGAGATCCAGGGAGCCTCTAGGTTGGTGGACACACTGGTGTGCTGGGAGGGCAGTGCACCCAGAGAGGGCATCATGGAAGCTCTGCACGGCTCCCTCTCCACACCTTGCCCAATGCATCTCTCTTCCATTTGGCTATTCCTGAGTTCTGTCCTTTGTAATAAACCAGTAAACATAAGTGAAGGGCTTTCCTGAGCTCTGTGAGTCATTCCAGCAAACTATCAAACCCGAGGAGGTGGTCGTGGGAACCCCCAAGTTTGTAATTGGCCAGGCAGAAGGGTGGGTGGCTCCGGACTTGCGACTGGCATCTGAGATAGGGGCAGTCTGGTGGGATGGGGTCTTTTAACTTGCAGGACCTGATGCTAACTCCAGGACATAGTGTGATAGCTGAATTGAATTGCTTGGGCACCCAGTTGGCATCCAAGAATCAGAGACTTAGTGTAGAAAAATGGCACGTATTTGGTATCAGAAAAAACACATTTGGTGTCAGAAGTGGCGTCAGAAAACACCACACAGAGTAACAGAGAAGTCGAGCAATTTGCTCAAGACCACACAGCCGGTAAGCATCTCCGCTGGGACACAGACCCTGGCGCAGGCAAAGTCTGTGACTGTAACTGCTACGTGTGCTGCCTCTTGCTGCGCCTGACCTCCTCACACCAGCCACCAGGTGCAACATCCTTATCGCCTTGCAGGCAAGAAGGAAAAGTGTGGCTCAGGGTAGCAAAGCCAGTGTTTCCTGAACATCAGTCACTTGCACGTTACCATGGCAACAGTTGCTATGCCTCAAGCCCTCTCTATTATTATTATTATTTGAGACAGGGTCTCACTCTGTCACCCAGGCTGGAGTGCAGTGGCACAATCTCAGCTCACTGCAACCTCCACCTCTCAGGTTCAAGTGATTCTCATGCTTCAGCCTCCTGAGTAGCTTGGATTATAGGTGCATGCCACCGAGAGCCGCTAATTTTTGTATTTTTAGTAGAGACGGGGTTTTGCCATGTTAGACAGGCTGGTCTTGAACTCCTGGCCTCAAGTGATCTCCCCACCTCAGCCTCCCAAAGTGCTGGGATTACAGGCGTGTTCTCTTTTATTGTCTATTTAATACTTTTCTTTATGTTGATTCTCTTTTTTACATCACCATAAATGCAAACCTAATATTGTTCCTAAAAGACATGAAAATTATATATATTTTTTTCAGCAGGGTCTCACTCTGTCGTCCAAGTTGGAGTGCAGTGGCGTGATATCAGCTCACTGCAGCCTGGGTTCCAGCAATCCTCCCGCCTCAGCCTCCTGGGTAGCTGGGGGTACTACAGGTGCACTCCAGCACACTGGGCTAATTTTTTGTAAAGACGGAGTTTCGTCATGTTGCCCAGGCTGGACTCAAACTCCTAGGCTCAAGTGATCCTCCACTTTGGCCTTCCAAAATGCTAGGATTACAAGCATGAGCCACTAGGCCTTGCCTGAAAATAAATTCTTTTTCTTTTTCTTTTTTTTTTTTTGAGACGGAATCTTGCTCTGTCACCAGGCTGGAGTGCAGTGGTACGATCTCGGCTCACTGCAACCTCCACCTCCCGGGTTCAAGAGATTCTCCTGCCTCAGCCTTCCAAGTAGCTGGGACTACAGGTGTGCACCACCACGCCCAGCTAATTTTTGTATTTTTAGTAAAGGCTGGGTTTCCACCATGTTGGCTAGGCTGGTCTTGATCTCTTGACCTCATGATCCTCCCACCTAGGCCTCCCAAAGTGCTGAGATTATAGGCATGAGCTACCATGCCTGGCCGAAAAAAAATTCTTAATTAATGTTTTCCTAAATGCTGCCTAAAATCATCCCAGAGCGTACCCAACTTTGGGAAAAACTGGACCAACTAAGTCTGATAAAGCAGGGGTTCCCAACCCCTGAGCCACCACCAGTACAGGTCCTTGGCCTGTTAGGAGCCAGGCCGCACAGCAGGAGGTGAGTGGCGGGTGAGTGAGTGAAGCTTCATCTGCATTTACGGCCACTCCCCATGCTCACAGTACCGGCTGAGCTCCCCCTCCTGTCAGATCAGCGGCTGCATTAGATTCTCATAGGAGTGCAAACCCTATTGTGAACTGTGCATGTGAGGGATCTAGGTTGCACGCTCCTTATAGGAATCTAATGCCTGATGATCTGCCACTCTCTCCCATCGCCCACAGATGGGACCATCTTGTTGCAGGAAAACAAGCTCAGGGCTCCCACTGATTCCACATTATGGTGAGTTGTATAATTATTTCATTATAGATTACAAAGTAATAATGATAGAAATAAAGTGCACAGTAAATGTAATGCACTTGAATCATCTCAAAACCATGCCCCCACCCCATCCCTGGTCCATGGAAAAATTGTCTTCCATGAAACCAGTCCTTGGTGCCAAAGAGGTTGGGGATCGCTGCTATAAAGTCAAACAGCCAAGATATCAACCCAGGCTCCTGCCTCCAAGTCTAGGGCTGTTTTAGCTACAACATGGGCCCCTTCACCACATTGTGTTTCTGGTTAACTGTGTCGGGCAGCAAGTGGAGAGGAACTGGAAATTTCTCAACTTGGCTCTAAATGAGACCAAAGAGAAAAACCAAATAGTGATGGCAGACAACAGATGGTGAGAGGGCTCACTCCTCCAGGCGGTTAATGATGCCCTGGGCAAGCTTTCCGAATTTAATCACCAGAGCGATTCTGGACTATGCTTCAGTCCAGAATACTCTGATTGTTCTAGGATCCGCTGGAATTTTCCTCTGGAATAACTCAAGGTCAGTTCTAACAGGTCTAAGCAGCAGCATGAGCATTGAAGACATGGAACAGTAGCAAACAGTCACCATCTTCAAGGGGGAATGAGAGCACTGACTTCCAATCTAAGAGCCTTTTTTTTTTTTCTTTGAGACAGAGTCTTGCTCTGTCACCCAGGCTGGAGTGCACTGGCACATCTCGGCTCACTGCAATCTCCGCCTCTCAGGTTCAAGTGATCCTGGTGCCTCAGCCTCCCAAGTAGCTGGGATTACAGGTGCACACCACCATGCCCAGTTAATTTTTGTATTTTTAGTAAGAGATGGTGTTTCACCATGTTGGCCAGGCTGGTTTGGAACTCCTGACCTAAGTGATCCACCCACCTTGGGCTCCCAAAGGGCTGGGATTCCAGGCATGAGCCAACGCATCCGGCCCATCTAAGGGCTTTTTAATGACCTGGTATAGCTCACCAAACTCCACGTGGGGAAGCCTCCTATCGACTCAAGATGTCAGTTTATTCAGGCATTTCCCAAAGTGTTGCTTTCAAAGGTAAATTAAACTTCATTATCTAAATGAGCAGTTTTCGTCTTGGGTCAAACTATAGCTCCAAAATGCTTTCATAGGTGGCAGACATTTAAGAATTTTCAGCCACGCACGGTGGCTCATGCCTGTAATCCCATCATTTTGGGAGACTGAGGCAGGAGAATCACTTGAGGCCAGGAGTTTGATAACAGCCTGGGCAACACAGCAAGACCCCATCTCTACAAAAAAATTAAAAAATTGGCCAGGCATGGTGGCATGTGCCTATAGTCCCCACTACTCAAGGGGCTGAGGCAGGAAGATCACTGGAGCCCAGGAGTTCAAGGCTGCAGTAAGCCATGATTCATCACTGCACTCCAGCCTGGGCAACAGAGTGAAAGCCCGTCTCTTAAAAATACATATATATTTCTCGGCCGGGCATGGTGGCTCATGCCTGTAATCCCAGCACTTTGGGAGGCCGAGGTGGGTGGATCATTTGAGGACAGGAGTTCGAGACCAGCCTGGCCAACATGGTGAAACCCCGCCTCTACTAAAAATACAAAAATTAGCCAGGCATGGTGGCGGGCACCTGTAATCCCCGCTACTGGGGAGGCTGAGGCAGGAGAATCGCTTGAACTTGGGAGACAAGGTTGCAGTGAGCCAAGATTGTGCCACTGCACTCCAGCCTGGGCAACAGAGCGAGATGCTGTCTCAAAAAAAAAAAAAATTAAGAATAAGAAAAATCTATCTTCTGCTCTGCTCTTGGCCAGCTCACTTGATTTCTTTAAAAAAATAAAAATAAAAGGAGACCCTGTGTTGGTTTTTAGAAGTCCAAAACAGGAACAAATGGAAAGCAATAGTCATTGAATGATGACAAATTCTGTTTGGTTGGACACTGTCAGAAAGCCTGTGCTTATAATTTTCTTGATAAATATAGCCCCAGGTTCAATCAAAGGCATAATCAACGGACTTCAATAACGGATGTGATGATGAAGACAACAGATGGCATCGGAATTATCTGACGCCACGGGAGACCACAAACACACATTTCATTATGATTCTGATCACGATCCTAGGCTACAGGGGAGAGAGAGAGGCTCCCACTGCTGTGCCAAGGAGTCAAACTAACATAGGGCAGATTTTGTACTTTTTATTAACATCTGAAGCAAGTTTTCGTCAAGAAAGGATTAAGAAGATGAGTCATCTATAAGCAGCTGATGGACACTAGGGTTCTTCTATTTCAGCCAGCGAAGAGGTGAGGGGATGTCTGTGCCGTGGGAGGTGAGGGGGCATCAGCCTACCTGCTTCTAAGACTCTCAATGACCAGGCTATGCCTTGGAACAACTAGACAAGACTCTGGCTGTAAGACCAGGCCCCAGCATTTTCTTTAAAGTTCTCCATGTGATTGCAATAGGCAGTCAAGGCTGAGACGCGGAAGCATGGGGGGATGTTGGCCTGGTGCAAGATGGACACATTGCCTCCAACTTCTGGCTACTTCTGTAAAGGCTGTTGAGGGATATTAGTCAGTGCTCAATCGGGGAAGCAGGGTCACTACGTGCTCTGGGGCAAGGGATGCGTTATAGGAATTAGACCTTCTACAATTGTCCAGGGAGCTGGGGAGATGGCGGTCTGGGAAGGGTGGAGAGGATGAGAGAAGTCACCGACAGCTGATATGAGAGTCAGATGCGTCCAGCTGTTAAGATGGAGTGGCAGAGGGGAAACAGGTAGAGGGGTCCCTAGGGGGCTGCTGCCTCGTCTGCCAAGCATCCAGAGGCGGGGGGGCTGCTGTTGGTCAGCAGGCCCAGCGGTCAGGAAGACAAGCTGCAAGGGACACAGGGGAGGGTGAGGACAAGCTGGAACCTCTGTGGCCCCTCTGTCAGATCACCTCCTTGTCTCATCTGGACAGCCTTCAAAGAGTAAACACTGATGTCACCTTCCTTCCACTTCCCAAATCTCCCGCACCATCCTCTTCTGCCTACTTTTAACCCACAACCCTACAGGGAAAAGGATATGGTTTGGCTCTGTGTCCCCACCAAAATCTCACTGCAAATTGTAATCCCCACGTGTCGAGGGAGGGAAGTGATTGGATCATGGCGGCAGTTTCCTCCATGCTGTTCTCGTGATAAAGGGTGAGTTCTCATGAGATCTGAGGGCTTTATAAGTGTCTGGCATTTCCCCTGCTGGCTCTTATTCCCTCCTGCTGCCTTGTGAAGAAGGTGCCTGCTTCCCCTTCTGCCATGATTGTAAGTTTCCTGAGGCCTCCCCAGCCATGCGAAACTGTGAGTCAATTAAACCTCTCTATTTTATAAATTACTCAATCTTTGGTATTTTTTTTTTCCAGTGTGAAAATGGACTAATACAAAATGGGATATGGGAAATAAAGTTCTCGGTATAGCTAAGCTTTCTTTTTTCTTTTCTTTCCTTTTTTTTTTTTTTTGAGATGGAGTCTTGCTCTGTCGCCAGGCTGGAGTACTGTGGCACGATCTCAGCTCACTGCAACCTCCGCCTTCTGGGTTCAAGTGATTCTCCTGCCTCAGCCTCCTGAGCAGCTGGGTCTACAGGGACACACCACTGTAGTCACCTAATTTTTTTTTGTATTTTTAGTAGAGATGGGGTTTCACCATGTTGGCCAGGATGGTCTCCATCTCTTGACCTCATGATCCACCCACCTTGGCCTCTCAAAGTGCTGGGATTACAGGCGTGAGCCACCGCACCTGGCCCTCTTTCTTCTTTTTGAGACAGAGTCTCACTCTGTTGCCCAGACTGGAGTGCAGTGGCACAAGCATAGCTCACTCCAGCCTTAGACTCCTGGGCTCAAGCAATCCTCCCACCTCAGCCTCTAGAATAGCTGAAGCTACAGGCATGCACCACTATGCCCAGCTAATTATTTAGTTTTTTTGTAGAGATGGGGTCTTGCTATGTTGCCCAAGCTGGTCTTGAACTTCTAGGCTCAAGCGATCCTCCCACCTAAGCCTCTCAAAGTGCAGGGATTACAGGTGTGAGCCACTGCATTCAGCCTAAATTTTTAATAGAATATTGCAGCACAGACTAGAAGGAACAGAAATCCACTCAAGCTCACTTGAGAAAAATATAGTTTAGTAAAGGTGTAAGAAAATGAAGGGAAATGCTAGCATCTTGACAGATGGTACCCATATGTATCTTGGGGAGATAATGGTTTTTGCTTGGAATTATGGCTTGACAAACACCTGGGGTGGTACTTGCAAGAGCTCAGCATAAATTGGTGCCGTGGCTTCTTAGAAGAGGGCAAAGCTGCTGTGGATAAGACAGGAGAAGTAAGTGTCTTCCTTGGAATGGAGGGAGCTGAGATAAAGGAGAAGAGAAAAAGAGGTGATGAAACTGGACCCCGTGTGTGGAAAAGGCCAAGAAAAAGGAAACCACCCCACTGCCTTATGGCACAGGGTGGTGAAAAAGATCTTGTTAACCAGGAATGTCAAATGTGGATTTCTAGTTCTCCTAGTTATGGCCATATGGATACCACGATGCCCTTTACTGGAACATTGACTTTTTTTTTAAGACAGAGTCTCACTCTCTTGCCCAGGCTGGAGTGTAGTGGCACAATCTCGGCTCACTGCAACGTCTTCCTCCCGGGTTCAAGGGATTCTCCAGCCTCAGCCTCCCTAATAGCTGGGATTACAGGCATGTACCTCCACACCCAGCTAATTTCTGTATTTCTTAGTAGAGACAGGGTTTCGCCTTGGCCTCCCAAAGTGCTAGGATTACAGACGTGAGCCACCGCGCCTGGCCTTTTCTTTTTTTTTTTTTTTTTTTTTTTTTTTTTGCAATTAAAAAAAAAATCAAGGTCTTTGCAGGGCTGTGGCTGGGGCTAGTCCTCTGGGGCTGGAGGGACAGTTACATGGTGAGCCAGGAGACGATTGTCACTGGTCATGGTTTTTAAGCTGTCTGCTGTGAAGAGATCAATGACACCCTTTTTGTGATCCTCATTGTATTGCTCCTCAAATGACCTGTGGGAGTAGGATAGGGCATTGTTTTATTCTGTTGTTATGGAAACCAGTGAAGCATCTGAGTTTCATATTCAGTTGGATGGAGGTACAGGACTCAAGGAACCAAGCCTAGGAGCAGAGAAGACTTGAGGATGGAAGCCCCTGGAAATGTACAGACATTGTACAGCTGGATTTTGGATTTCCCTAGGCGGTGGCAACACGGGGTGGGAGGTATTTCTCCAAGGGTCTGGAGAAAGGATGCGCAGGGTTGAACAAGGTGCAACATCTTATGGACTACCCAGTTCATCTGGACTGCAATGGGAATGTCATGGCTGAGTTCCTTCTCTGCTTTCAAAGGACACTGTCTCTCTTGTTATTCTTGAGGCAGACGCTCTGTCCTCTTTCCCTTCAAAGACTGGC
Source organism: Homo sapiens (assembly GCF_000001405.40). NCBI lineage: Eukaryota > Metazoa > Chordata > Mammalia > Primates > Hominidae > Homo > Homo sapiens. The sequence goes on along the minus strand of NC_000016.10, from coordinate 15,533,703 downwards.
TTTCTCTGCTTATGCATAGACTTCGGTTTGCCACTCCCTCATCATCCACCTGGGCTAATCTCTCTGCATCCCAGGAGAAAGACTCTGATTGGCCCAGACTGAGCAAATTTGGACCAATCAGAGAGGAGTGAGGAGAGGCTCAAGCCCCCCTACACCTGAGGCTGCTACTTGGTCCCAGCTACTCAGAAGGCTGACGCAGGAGGATTGTTTGAACCTGGGAGGCAGAGGTTGCAGTGAACCAAGATTGAACCACTGCACTCCAGCCTGGGCAACACAATAGACTCTATCTCAGGAAAAAAAAAAAAAAAGAAAGAAACGAACTTCCTCTTCCACGTAATATCCTTCAGATATTTTGAGACAAATCTTAGGTGCCCCTTGAGACTTCTCTCGTCGTTTCAACAACCTTGACATGGAAAAGATCATCATTCCACCCTCTAATCTCCCCCTTCTCTTGTGTCTCCTCTTCCAAACAAAGAAACCAGTGTCTACACTTATGCCTGTATCTATCCATTTCCAAACTCAATTTCTTCCTGGTGGTAAAGGAAAGTAACATTTAATGAGCACTTACGTGGTAGCAGGCACTGGACTGAGCACTTAATATGCTTGATCTCTTTTACTCCTCATGACCACCCTGCGAGATACTGGATGCATGGCTATTTAACAGATGAGGCCACCGAGGCTCAGAGAAGGTAAGATATTTGTGCAAGATTGCACAGCCTATAAATGGCAGAGGTAGAATGTAAATCTAGGTGTAATTTAATCCGGAGCAAGTAAACACACTTACCAGGCACGAGGTCTATTTATCAGAAAGCAACCCCATCCAAGACCAGGATATCTAGTAATGAAAAAACAGGGATCTGGCCAGGCGCGGTGGCTCACGCCTGTAATCCCAACACTTTGGGAGGCCGAGGCGGGCAGATCACGAGGTCAGGAGATTGAGACCATCCTGGCTAACACAGTGAAACCCTGTCTCTACTGAAAATACAAAAAATTAGCCGGGCATGGTGGCAGGTGCCTATAGTCCCAGCTACTTGGGAGGCTGAGGCAGGCGAATGGCGTGAACCTGGGAGGCAGAGCTTGCAGTGAGCCGAGATCGTGCCACTGCACTCCAGCCTGGGCGACAGAGCGAGACTCCGTCTCAAAAAAAAAAAAAAAAAAAGAAAAAGAAAAAAAAAAGGCCGGGCATAGTGGCTCAAGCCTGTAATCCCAGCACTTTGGGAGGCCGAGGCAGGCGAATCACGAGGTCAGGAGTTCAAGACCAGCCCGGCCAATATGGTGAAACCCGGTCTCTACTAAAAATACAAATTAGCTGGGAGCAGTGGCGGGTGCCTGTAATCCCAGCTACTAGGGAGGCTGAGGCAGGAGAATCGCTTGAACCCAGGAGGCAGAGGTTGCAGTGAGCCAAGATCAAGCCACTGCATTCCAGCCCAGGTGACAGAGTGAGACTTTGTCTCAAAAAAAAACAAAAAAAACAAAAAAACAAAACAGGGATCCTACCACGTTTGGCAGAACCCAACCAGGAATGTCTTGGATTGATCTAATATAACTTGAGATCCCCGAGGAGTTTAGGGGACTGAGGACAGACACAGTAGACTGGAATTCCAGGAGACAACAAGATCTAAGTAACTGATGGCTCAATGAATAGCAGCCAATTACATAACATGAAATATGTAAGTCAGGATATTGCCTTAAGGGGGTGCTCGGGAATCTGGTTGTGTAGACCCAAAACACCAAGGCAGCTCTGCTAAGTCACTTGCAGTTTTATTCCCTCCCATTTCTCTTTGGGCATCCTGTCCTAGAACTGTCAAGAAAGGGTTGGTATTTTATTTGAAGGAAAATGTGGGAAGGAGGCTCAGCCAAGCATTATCCTATTCAATTCAGACCATCACGTGATAGGGACAAGCCCTTCTCAATCTCTGCTGCCACTCACATCAGCAGCTTTCCAGAAATAAGCAAAGGGAATGGAAAAACCCTTAATCGCCAGGCCACGGTACATGCAATTTACTGGTATCTATTGCCCTGTCTTTCTAAGAAGCTTCTTTTTTGGGAGATTTCAAAAAAATGATGAGAACCCGGCACAGGATGAAGCTATGAGGGTGCCCCATGTAGTGTGTCATCTTCCCCTTTCCCCAGCCTCACCAGGGCCGTCTCTGTCATTGTTGCTGCCACACTGTGGCTCCTGCTCTGGGCTTGGCCCTTATATGAATTGCTGTGGTCACTCAATATGGTAGACTGAAGAATGGTCCCTGAAGATATCCATGTCCTAATGAACCTATGAATCTGTTACCTTACACGGCAAAAGGGATTTTGGGCCAGGCATGGTGGCTCATGCTTCTAATCCTAGGACTTTAGGAGGCCTAGGCGGGAGGATCACTTGAACCTAGGAGTTCAAGACCAGCCTGGGCAAGGTGATGAGATCCCAACTGTATTAGTCCATTCTCATGCTGCTATGAAGAAATACCCGAGAAGGAGTAACTTGTAAAGAAAAGAGGTTTAAGGCTGGGCGTGATGGCTCACACCTGTAATCCCAACACTTTGGGAGGCTGAGGTGGGCGGATCACGAGGTCAGGAGTTTGAGACCAGCCTGGCCAACACAGTGAAACCCCGTCTCTACTAAAAATACAAAAAAAAATTAGCTGGGCATGGCAGCGGGTGCCTGTAATCCCAGTTACTTGGGAGGCTGAGGCGAATAATTGCTTGAACCCGGGAGGTGGTGGTTGTAGTGAGCCAAGATTGAGCCACTGCAATCCAGCCCAGTGACAGTGCGAGACTCCGTCTCAAAAAAAAAAAAAAAAAAAAAGAAAGAAGAAAAGAGGTTTAATTGACTCACAGTTCCACATAGCTTGGAAGGCCTCAGGAAACTTACAATCATGGCAGAAGGTTCCTCTTCACCAGGCGGCAGGAGAGAGAATGAATGCCAGCAGGGGAAATGCCAGATGCTTATAAAACCATCAGATCTCATGAGAACTCACTATCATGATAACAGCATGGCGCAACCACCCACATGATTGAATTACCTTCCACCGGGTCCCTCTCATGACATATGGGGATTATGGGATTACAATTCAGGATAAGATTTGGGTGGGGACACAGCCGAACTATGTCACCATCTCTACAAAATTCAAAAATTAGCTATGTGTGGTGGCACGTGCCTGTGGTCCCAGCTTCTTGGGAGGCTGAGGCAGTAAGATTGTTTGAGCCCAGGAATTAAAGGAAGCAATGAGCTATGACCGTGTCACTGCACTCCAGCCTGGACAACAGAGCAAGACTTCGTCTCTGAAAAATATATATTTTTAAAAAGGAAATTTGCAGATGTGATTAAATTAAGGGGTCCTGAGATGGGGAGATCATCCTGGGTTATCCAGGTGGGCCCTCAATGTCATCACAAGTGCCCCTACCCATTTATGCCTGAGGTTGCAATTTTTTGAATTTGAGAAATCAGACCTGGTGATAGCCTTGAGAAGTAGCATATAAATAACTCCCACATGCTTAGTGTTCCAATAATGGAATGCTAGGCATACATTTAAGAGAAAAACAGAGGGATTTGACACAGAAGAGCAAAGGCGACAGGATGACCTCAATCGAGAGGGACTGGACTATGCCATGCTGCTGGCTTCGGAGATGGAGGAGGGAAACACAAGCCAAGAAATGCAAAGAGTACGGTTCTAGAAGCTGGAATGAATGAGGAAGAGGCTTCTCCTCTAGAGCCTCCAGAAAGCACGGCTCTGCCAACACCTGATTTCAGCTCAGTGAAATCGATTTCAGACTTCCAGCCTCCAGAACTGTAAGATAAAAGAAATGTGTGTTGTTTTAACACATTTGCAGCTGTTTGTTACAGTAGCCACAGGAAAATAACGCACTTAGCTGCATTATCACTCTGTTCCTTCCTATGAATGGACCCACTGTTCACCCTAACCATCAGAGAGCCAGGCAGTTCTCACCACCCAGACCTGCCACATGGAAGGGAACCCTTGAGATTATGTGACCGTGGGAGAAGCAGGAAGATGAGCCCTCATTAATTCATTCAATCAATCTTCACTCAGAGTGCCTACGCTGAGTTTGGCTGTGTGCTGGGTACCGTCAACATTTTTGGGAGTGAAAATAGCTCAGCCTCTGTCCTCATGGAGGTCAGCATCTAGGAGGAGAGTCAGATATTGAACATACACTCACACCAATGAACACAAATTTACAAAAGGCTTCTAAGGAAAGGATTGCAGGGATGGTAATGGGACAGGGACTGGGGAAGTGCTGGGAAGGTGTCCCTCCAGAAATGCCCTAGATCTCAGTCCTCGAGGGGACAGAGTTTATCAGGTGCCTTAGTCCATTTGGGCTGCCATTCTCCCTTTCTTAGCCTAGGTGGCTTATAAACAACAAACACCGCCGGGCGCGGTGGCTCACGCCTGTAATCCCAGCACGTTGGGAGGCCGAGGCAGGCGGATCACGAGGTCAGGAGATCAAGACCATCCTGGCTAACACGGTGAAACCCTGTCTCTACCAATAAATACAAAAAAGTTAGCCGGGCGTGGTGGTGGGCGCCTGTAGTCCCAGCTACTCGGGAGGCTGAGGCAGGAGAATGGCGTGAACCTGGGAGGCAGAGCTTGCAGTGAGCCAAGATCGCACCACTGCACTCCAGCCTGGGCGACAGAGCTAGACTCCGTCAAACAAACAAACAAACAAACAAACAAACACTTATTTTTCATGGTAAAAGAGGCTGGAAAGTCCAAGATCAAGGTGTCAGCAGATTCAGTGTCTGGTGAGGACCTCTTCCTCATAGATAGTGAGTTCTCACTGTGTCCTCACACAGTGAAAGGGAGAAACAAGCTACCCTGGGCCTCTTTTACATGGGCACGAATCCCATCCATGAGGATCTGCCCTCATGACCTAATCACCTCCTGAAAGCCCCACCTCTTGATATTATTACATTGGGAATTAGATGTCGACATATGTATTTAGGGGTGATACAAACATTCAGATCATAGCACCAGGGAAGGAGAGGGGGGTGGGAGGAGAGGGATCCAGGCAGAGGGAACATCACAAACAAAAAGGCCCCCACGGCAGGAGGGGACCTGGTGTGTGTATCGGGGGGTGGGGAGGTGGAGACTAAAAGGAGGCCCAAGGGAGTGGTGTGTGTGTGTAAGGGAGGGAGCTGGGGGTGAGGAATGGATGAAGAAAAGAAGTTGGAGAAGAGGTGTGAGCAGATCCAGCAAGATCTCATGGGCTTTATCATGCTAACAAATTCTGGAAGGTGTTTGCTATGGTGTAAATGTTTATGACTCTTCAAAATTCATGTTGAAACTTAATTTCCAATGCAATAGTATTAAGGGGTGAGGGCCATTAGGAGGTGGGATCAGTGCACTAACAAAAGTGCTCGAGAGAGCAAGTTCAGTCCTTTTTGCCCTTCTGTCCATTCTGCTTGTGAGAAGACGGTGCCCTTCCTCTCTGGAGATCACAGAAGCAAGGCGCCATCTTGGAAGCAGAGAATGAGCCCTTCTAAGTATGGAATCTGCTGGCATCTTCATCTTGGACTTCCCAGCCAGACTCCAGAACTGTGAGAATTAAATTTCTATTTATAAATTACCCAGTCTAAGGAATTTTGTTACAGCAACAGGAACGGACTAAGACAGTGTTTAAATCTGAGAGTTATAATCAGATTCACATGGTGAGAAAATCCCTCTGGCTGCAGGACAGAGATGGGCATGTGAACCTGGGTGGTGGCCATGGAGATGGAGAAAGATGGACAGCTGAGCATTATTTTAGGAGGTAAAACAAACACCAGTTGATGATGAACTGAATATATGAGGTGGAGGGTTGGGAGGGGTCAAGAATGATGTCTAATTTTGGAATTTGAGATTTCCATGGATAGATGGTGATGCTTGACCATTTGCTGAGCTAGGGCTGGTGGGTATTGGGACTAGATGGGGGGATCATGAGTTTGACTTGGACAGATTGAGTTACAGGTATCTTTGAGACATTTAAGTGGAGATATCAGATACTGTACCTTCCCCTGCCTGTCTTTCTCAGCATTTTCCCCTTAGAAATGTGTGTCCAAAAAGAAAAATACCGTGTGATTCCACTTCTTTTTTTTTTATTTTATTTTTTGAGACGGATTCTCACTCTGTAGCCTGAGCTAGAGTGCAGTGGCACAACCTCAGCTCACTGCAACCTCTGCCTCCAGGTATCAAGTGATTTTCATCCCTCAGCCTCCTGAGTAGCTGGGACTACAGGTGTGCGCCACCACGCCTGGCTAATTTTTGGTATTTTAGTAGAGACAGAGTTTCACCATGTTGCCCAGGGTGGTCTCGAACTCCTGAGCTCAGGCGATCCACCCACCTTGGCCTCCCAAAGTGCTGGGATTACAGGCGTGAGCCACAGCGCCTGGCCTGATTCCTGTTTTATGAAGTATGTAGAGTCATCAAAATCAGAGACAGAAAGCAGAATGCTGGTTACCAGGAGCCAGGGGAAAGGGAAAATGGGGAGTGAGTGTTGAATGGTACAGAGTTTCAGTTTGGGAAGATGAAAAAAATTCTGGGGAGGGATGGTGATGGTTACACACAGTATGAATGTTCTTAATGACATAGAACTGTACTCTTAGAAATGGTTTCAGATAGTAAATATTATATATATTTTGCCACAATTTAAAAAATAGAAGTGTGTGTGCAAACTACATATAAGTGTGCATAAAATGTTTTATTTTTATAGTAAAATTTATATAAAATATACTATAATAATAATAAAATATAATAAAATATGATTTATTATATTTTATTATTATTTACTATTATTTCATACTTCATAGAATTATTATTATATTATTTTTATGGAATAATAAAGCAGTTATTTTCCCAACATCCTACTTAAGTAAAAATCTGTGTGTGACTTTTAGACGGCCCCGTGTGCCCCATTCCCTCATATTTTTCTCATTCCCTCAGAGGTAGGCACTATCACAAACTTGTGGTAATGCTTTTTATTTTTATCATTTACCACCCATATATGAAGCCCGGAACAATTATATTTTTTAGTTTTTTTTTTTTTTTTTTTTTGAGATGCAGTCTCGCTCTGTTGCCCAGGCTGGAGTGCAGTGGCGGGATCTCAGCTCACTGCAACCTCCACCTCCTGGGTTCAAGCGATTCTCCTGCCTCAGCCTCCCGACTAGCTGGGACTACAGGCATACACCACCACACCCAGCTAATTTTTGTATTTTTAGTAGAAACGGGGTTTCGCCGTGTTAGCCAGGATGGTCTCAATCTCCTGAACTTGTGATCCACCCACCTCAGCCTCCCAAAGTGCTGGGATTAGAGGCGTGAGCCACCACGCCCGGCCTATATTTTTTACTTTTATACACTTTATATAAACCTGTTGCTCAACATCTTGTTTTTGAGATGCTTTCATGTTCATACCTGTTGCTCATTCATTTTTCACTGCTGTATAGTATTCTGTGGTACAGCTAGACCACAAACGAGGCAGTTATGAACATTCTGGAACATGCCTCCTGATGCTCATGTGTAGTTTCTCTAGGGCAGTGCTGGTGAATAGAATGTTCTACAACAATAGAAATGTCCTATACAAATGTATGCTTTCCAATAGGGTAGCCACTAGCCATTATTTACTAATGAGTGCTTGAAATATGGCTCAGGCTACCGAGAGACTGAATTTTACATGCTATTTAATTTTAATTAATTTAAACTGAAATAGCCACATGAAGCTACTGGCTAACCAGGGGTAGACCCAGGAGCAAAACTGCAGGTTATAATCACCTGTTCATCTTTACTAGGTAACAATGAACTGTTTTCCAAAGAGATAAGGCCAATTTCCCTATATTTTCATTTTATCCAACTTGCTAGGTCTTTGCTAACCTGATAAACTATCCAAATGAAAATTTCTGAGAATAAAAAGGGCTCTATCAGTCAGGGTTCTCCAGAGAAACAGAACCAATACTACTGAAGAGATTTATTTTATTTGTTTTTTCTTTATTCTTTTCTTTTTTCTTTTTTTTTTTTCTGAGATGGGATCTCACTCTGTTGCCCAGGCTGGAGTGCACTGGCATAATCTTGGCTCACTGCAACCTCCACCTCCCAAGTTCAAGCGATTCTCCTGCCTCGACTTTCCGAGTAGCTGGGACTGAAAGCACACGCCACCACAGCCGGCTAATTTTTGTATTTTTAGTAGAGGCAGGGATTCACCACATTGGCCAGGCTGGTCTCAAAACTCCTGACCTCAAATGATCTGCCCACCTTGGCCTCCCAAAGTGCTGGAATTACAGGCGTGAACCACTGCACCTGGCCTGGAAAAAGATTTATGATAAGGAATTGGCTCATGGGATTTTGGAGGCCAAGAAGTCCCAAGATCTATAGGTGGCAGCTGGAGACCCAGGAGAGCTGACGGTGTTAAGTTCCAGTCCAAAGGCTGGCAGGCTCAAGACCCAAGAAGAGCTGATGTTTCAGTTTGCGTTCAAAGGCCGGAAAAGACCCATGTCCCAGCCCAAGCAATCAGGCAGCAGGAGTTCCCTCCTACTCACCCTTTCTGTTGTAGTCAGGCCTTCAACTGATTGGACGGGGCCCACCCACCTCTACATTAGGGAGGGCAGTCTGCTTTACTCAGTTTACCAATTCAAATGTTAATTTCATCCACCAATGCTCTTGCAGACACATACATCGAAGAATCTTTGGCCAAACATCTGGGAACCCTGTGGCCCACTCAAGTTGATGCATAAAATTGATAATCACCAGGGTCTTACATGGTAATCTCCCTCCCAACCCAATGGAGTCTAGGTGGTTCAGAGGTGGTCCTCTGAGCAGAATGTAATACAGTTCTAGGAAGACGGAACTTCTAGAGAGTATTTTCCTTCTCGAAACTTGTTCTGACCATGAAAGGCAACTCGTAGCAGCAAGAGCTTGTCAAGTACAGAACATTTATTTGATTTATTTATTTTCTTTGACACAGAGTCTCATTCTGTCACCCAGGCTGGAATGCAGTGGCACAATCTTGGCTCATGGAAACCTCTGCCTCCCAGGTTAAAGCAACTCTTGTGCCTCAAGCCTCTCGAGTAGCTGGGATTTCAGGTGCACACCACCATGCCTAGCTAATTTTTTTGTATTTTTAGTAGAGATGGGGTTTTGCCATGTTGGCCAGGCTGGTCTGGAACTCCTGATTTCAGGTGATCCACCTGCCTCAGCCTCCCAAAGTGCTGGGATTACAGGTATGAGCCACTGCGCCCAGACTAACATGTATTTCTCCATTCAATCAACACAGATTCCCACCTTCCTCCCCACCTCCCAGTACATTTAGAAATTCAGGAGGAGGGTCCTTCCATTCAGAAGTCTAGCTTAGAAATTCTCCCTCCTCTCTCCTCCCTTTAGTCTCTCCGTTTCTTCTTCCTTCCTTTCCCTCCCCTACACCCCAACTTCTTGTATATTTTGTCCAAGACAAACTGCTTCTTAGATCTTCTGCAATTAAGGGCATCTCTTCCCATCCGATATGTACAGTGGCCCCGGCAATGGTGACCTGTTCCTGGAAGATGCTATTTAAAACCCTGTGTGCAACTAAAGTGACGCAGAGCTCCTGAATGTGGCTGAAATGTGTCAAGTTACATAAACGCACATGCTTCATTTTGCCCTTGGCTTGAAGCTCTTCCTAACAGACTTCAGAATTATCAGCTCATTAAAGGGGAAAAAATGCAGGTTTATAAAAAAATCTTAAATAATCATCATAATAAAATCAAGGCCCCAGGGTAGAGTTGCACTTAATGGTTGAGAGCCACTCTCAAGAGAGTTGGCACCTCCCAAGAGGGTCTCAAGGAAACCACAGTGAATCCCATCTTCTCTTGGGGAGAGGAATATTTTCTGGGAATTCTCTGGAGACAACCATAAGCAGCCCTGATGCCCTACTCTCCCACGAAGCACAATGTTAACAATGAAAGGAAAGAAGGGAATTTTGAATTGCTTACTACCTAGGAAGGGCCACCCAATTTCATACCTGTGTCTGTTTTCATCCCTTGCTATGATGCTGCAGGGAGATATCACTGTCCCCCTTGTACTGATGGGGAAGCCGAGGCTGAAACAGGACAAAGTATTTGCTCCAGGCCACACAGTTGGTAAGAAGTAGAATTCAAAGCTAGTTGAGAGACCCCACAGCTTGATGACTGAGACCATGGACTCTGTGATATGCAAGAGAGGTGATAGGAAGGGAAGGGCATGGTCGCTTTAAATGCTACAGAAGGAAGGAAGGGAAGTGCTGGGTAGAGGAGGGTGTGGTCCCTGGTAAGGGCTCCACCCCCACGCCTGTGCCCACAGTCCTAGGTGAGGACAGGCATTTTTGTTTTCCTGCCCAAATGTTGCATTTCCCAAGACCACCCTGGCCTGCCATGCCCCCATCCTGTATCTATAAAAACCCCAAGACCCTAGCAGGTGACACACAAGCTGCTGGACGTCAAGAGCTGCAGATCGGCAAAGAAGACACAAGCGTCTGGATGTCAAGAAGACGTCAAGAGGAACACGCTGGCAGAAGAGCACATGACAGATGCTGGCAGGCCATCTACTGGCGGAACAAAGTGGAGTTTGGCCTGGGCAGTCGGAGGAGTGCCCAGGCTGCTGGGCGGCCTGACTCCAGGGGGAAACCTTCCCACTCCATCCCCTTCTGGCTTCCCCCATCTGCTGAGAGCTACCTCCACTCAATAAAACCTTGCTCTCATTCTCCAAGTCCAGGTGTGATCCGATTCTTCTGGTGCACCAAGGCAAGAACCCAGGATACAGAAAGCCCTCTGTCCTTGGGACAACGTAGAGGGTCTAATTGAGCTAGTTAACACAAGCCGCCTATAGATAGCAAAACTAAAAGAGCACCATGTAACACACACACACTGAAGCTTCAGGAGTTGTAAACATCCACCCCTAGACACTGCCGTGGGATCAGATCCCGACAACTGGCCCATCTCTATGGTCCCCTAGAGGTTTGAGCAGCGGGGCACTGAAGAAGCGAGCCACTCCGACATCACACACCCTGCGAGGGGGACAAGGGAACTTTTCCCATTTCATCTGGACTTAGAATGCTATTTCATGGAAACTGTACAACCATGGGCAAGAGACTTGACCTCTCAGTGCCTCAGTTTCCTCATCTATAAAATAAAGGCTATGTGATATTTTCTGCCTGGATGGTGATAGTGAGGATTATATGAATCAAAACAATAAAACACTAGAAAACTAGCCAGCATAGAAAATGTTTTAAAAGAACTGCTATCTACAATGCACACACTTTCCGTGTGTGTGTGTGTGTGTGTGTGGTTTTCAACACAATGCATGCACTATTACCCCATTTTGAATCTCTGCCAGGTTCCCAGGGCCTGTCCTCTTTACCACACTTGGTACCTCTTAATAAAACGAAGTTACTGGATTTCAAGCCCAGGCTCTGGAAATATTGGAACTCAAAGGCTGTGCTCTTGAAATATGTCCTTCGCACGCCTACCTTCCCTGCCTGCTGCAGTTCTGTCTCTGGCTGATTAAAACCTGCTTTTGCCCAGAGCAAGCTGAGTGGCAGGGCATGCTATCCCTTTTTATGAAAATCCAGCAAGCGGGTGTAAAAGGAAGATAACCACACCCCTGCCCCATGTGGAGGCCAAAGATACTTAATTATCTGAAACCCAGATAAACAGCAGGAGCGGGTTGGTAGACTAGATGTGGAAAAGCTGAAGCGAGCCAGAGGGGCTGCAAGAAGAATTATTAAAAACTAATGATGTGATTCAGTGCTGGAAGGAAGGCGAGAAAATGAGTCTGAGGTTGTTGACAGCCTCTGAGAGTTCTTGCCTGCAGTAAGATGGGGGCAGGATGGGTAGGGAGATGGGGTAGCAGTGGGAGGTACTAGGAGGTGGGTGGAACATAGGGTCAAGAAGTGAGAAAACACAGGCGTTTCAAGCATTATCTGCCAGATGTTTGCTGCCTGTTTTCCGGAGGCAGTTTTGTGTTACTGCCCTGTTCCAGTAAAGTTGATAAAATTGCCAAGCCTCAAGAAAGAGATCTCTAAATGCCATTTTGCACATTGGAAACCAGGGGTCAAGCAAAGGGAAGTCAGCAAGGGAACACACACTGGAAATTCAGAGTGAGGAGCACACTCAGAGTTCACACCTGCCTGCTGGGAGCTCACTTATGGCTGGTCTGTGAACTTGACCTCCTGGGCCTGATTCAGGGCAAGTGGGTGTCCTGGGTTGGGGTGGTTCCTGATGCATCTTTCTGTTAGTAAGCATTTGATGTGGGTTATGTGAGCATGTGTGTAAAGGGCTTAGCACAAGCCTAGGTCCACAATAAGGGGTCTGTAAATGCCAACTGTTGTGGGCCTTAAGAGTTATTACGGGAACCGGGTTCTTTTTCTACAGCACATTCCCAGCAGACTGACTTCACAAACTTTGACTGTCTGCATTGGAGCTCATCATTTTGGTCTCTGAAATAAACAGTTTATGTGCAGAGAAATGGTGATACTGAAACACCAGGGGTTTGGTCTAGGTCCTGCTGCTCGCCGCATAGAAAGCCCATCACTGACAAGATGAGTATTGCCAAGGAAGATTTTAATTGCGTGCTGCAGCCAAGGAGATGGGAGCTCAGTCTCAAATCCATCTCCCTGACCAACTAAAACTAGGAGTTTACATAGCAGGGAAGAAATGTAACAATGTATAAGAAAACAGGAACTCGGGAGGAGCAAGGAAGCAATCATGAAGAAAACAGGAACTCGGGAGGAGCAAGGAAGCAATCATGATGAATGAGGGGTCTGGTATCTCATCTCTGGATGTGGTAATCTGGTGAGTTTCAGTTCTTTGATATTTTTTGAGAGGCCTGGGGGTCCCTTCCTGAGGAAATAACTCAGATAAGACAAATGAGGGCTTCAAGCTTTAAGATCAGAAAGGTCAACTTCTGTATTTATCCAAAAGAGTATCTATGGGCCGGGTGCAGTGGCTCATGCCTGTAATCCCAGCACTTTGGGAGGCCAAGGCGGGAGGATCACGAGGTCAGGAGATCGAGACCATCCTGGCTAACACGGTGAAACCCCGTCTCTACTAAAAAATACAAAAAAAAGTTAGCCAGGCGTGGTGGCGGGCGCCTGTAGTCCCAGCTACTCGGGAGGCTGAGGCAGGAGAATGGCGTGAACCCGGGAGGTGGAGCTTGTAGTGAGTCCAGATCGTGCCCCACTGCACTCCAGCCTGGGTGGCAGATCGAGACTCTTGTCTCAAAAAAAAAAAAAAAAAAAAAGAACATCTATGATGGGACTATTGGGTCAGTTTCAATGGTACAGAAAAGTCCAAAGCCTGACTTAGTAAAATCTGTCCAAGTTCCACCACACACAATTCAACATTGCAGAACAAGACAAGACCAAGTGTGGGACTGGGGGCATCTAATCGGGGGTTTGTCCTTGCGTTGTAAAAGAGTAAGGCAAAGAGAAAAGGGGTCCTGGCATTGAGAATAAAGATAACAGAACAGCTTAAGGTTAAGGGCTCTGCCCCCACGAGACAGACACCTTGGGTTCAAATCCTGGTACTACTTTATCCTAGCTGGTGACCTCGAACAAGTCACTTTGCCTCTCCGACCTCAATTTCCTCATTCATAAAATAAAAGAGATAGAACTTACTCTATTGGGGTTCTTGCGAGGACTCAAGAAGCTAAAATTAAGGGGTGAATGCATGCAGGGGACGTAGCACTCAGGGTGGCATATCAGTGCCCGCGGGAAACAGCAACTCTGTGTGCTCCCTCATGTGTCCAAGGTCACAGACCAAGGACGTCAGAGAGCCAGGATGATGACCTCTGATCCCACATCTCCCGAGTTCTCACCATTCCCTGGGAGTAGGGAAATCTCCCTCCTCTTCTTCCTCACTGTCGTGGCAGGAAAAGAGGAAGAACAGGCAGGGGCTGTGGATCTTGGGGGAAAGGACAAGTTAAATCAGCTGAGAAAAAGGAAGCCCATGAAATAATCTAAATGTGAGGGTGCCAGAGCTTTGGGGCTGGGGCAGGCAGTCCCCCCCGGACTCATGCTTAAAAGAGTCAATGCAGGCTGGGTGCAGTGGCTCACACCTGTAATCCCAAGGAGGCCAAGGAGGGCAGATCACTTGAGGCCAGGAGTTCAAGACCAGCCTGGCCAACATGGTGAAACCTTGTCTCTACTAAAAATACAAAAATTAGCTGGGCATGGTGGTGGGCACCTGTAGTCTCAGCTACTTGGAAGGCCGAGGCACAAGAATCGCTTGAACCCAGGAGACGGAGGTTGCAGTGAGCCGAGATCGCACCACTGCACTCCAGCCTGGGCGACAGAGCGAGACTCTGTCACAAGAAATAAAAATAAAAGAGTTAATGCTGCGAGAAGCATTGGAAGTGAGACACATTCTCAACCATGAAATAGGGGCTGACTCACATGGTCTCTGCAGCAGCTGATGGGCATTAAGGTGATTACTTCGCAGCAGGTGTGACAAAACAAATCTCACCGCGGCTATTACACTACGGCCACCGGGAGTCTTTCAGCCCAGGGCTGTCACATTCCTGTCACTTAAAGCTTCCTCGCCTGAGCCTGAAAATGATCAGTAGGGTCTGAAATTTTTTTCTCTCCTACTCTGTGCCAAGAGTGTCTCACGTGTGTGTGTGTGTGTGTGTGTGTGTGTGTGTGTAAGAGGATTGTTGGGGTAAGGATGGAGTGAGAAAGAATAATTTATTGCACATTTGACAAATATTCATGACACTCAGTGCCAGGCATTGTTCCAAATGCTGGGAAGACGTTGTGAGGAAATTGGATAAGGTCTCTGCCCTCATGGAGTTTATAAACTTGAAGGAATTATCTTGGTAGTTTATACTCAAAGCTTCCTTCCTTCCTCCTTTTCTTTCCTCCCTTCCCTCCCTTCCCCTGTCCGCCTCTCCCCTCCCTCTCCCCCTCCCTTCTCTCCCACTCCCTTCCCTCCTTCCCTGATTCACTTAATAAACATTCTGGAGTCAGACTGCATCCTAGCTTGGCTACTTATTAGCTAATGCAGCATCAGGCAAATTTTGTAACCTCCCATTACTTCCCATCCAAAATGGAGATAAGAACAGGACACACTCACAGGATAAGCCCCACAGCTTCGGGAAAAACCATCTCTGAGGAACAGCCAAGAAAGTGAATTCAAGCAGGGCCTTGGCTCAAAGCCTGTTGGCCTGGAGGGCTGAGGATGATGGATGAGGACTTTGTGCAGATCTGAGCATACTGTGTCCTTTGTCCTGGTTGCCTTAGTGTCCACCGTCTATCTCTGAGATTGATGAGGCAGGTGCACCACTGGGCAAGCTACACACCATACAAGGCTGAGCCTGGTTGGGGAGCGTCATCACCATCCAATACTGTCTGTAGGACTCCATTCCAGCAAGACATCTGGGGGCCTGGAAGGGGGTCCCTCCCCTGGAAAATGTCACAGAATCCCTGATCTATGTCCTAACAACACTCAGGTCCTTCTGTATCCTTTAGATAATTTGATTTATCCTAGGGTCTACTGTTGACATTTGTCCCTAAGTGGTCAGATTCATGGGCTAGATGAGGACATTCAATGAGATCACAAGTCAAGAGCTTACTGCAGAGCTGCCTCTTAAGAAATGCTAGTTATTCTTGTCCTTAAGCCTGGGCTAAGTGACAGGCATGTGCACATCCATACACACACACATATCCATACATCCATACCCACATCCACACACGCACACATCCACACCCACACACACATCCACACATGCACACACATCCACACGCACACATACACACCCACATCCACACACACACCCACACATGCACACACACATCCTCACACACACATACACACACACAGATCCACACACACACATCCACACACCCACACACATCCACACACACACATCCACAATACACATATACACACACATCCAGACACCCACATACGAACACCCCCACACACATCCACACATCCACATCCACACACATCCACACACATCCACACAAATATCCACACACACGCGCACACAGTAAAGGTCAGTAAGTGCACAGTGGTAACCATTGTTCCTGCAGCAGCACCATTAGGTAAATAAAAATAAATATATATTTTTAAAATTTTTAATTTGTATTTGTATTTTTAAATTTTTTGTATTTTTGTAGTTTTTTTTTTAAACAAAGGGATCTTGATCTTGATTACTTAAAAGCAAGACTCATGTTCTCTGTCTTCCTTTTATTTTATTATTATTTTGGGATAGTTTCTCTCTGTTGCCCAGACTGGAGTGAAATGGTATAATCTCAGCTCGCTGTAGCCTCCGCCTCCCAGGTTCAAATGATTCTTGTGCCTCAGCCTCCCAAGTAGCTGGGATTATAGGCGCACGCCACCACACGTGGCTAAATTTTTTGTATTTTTACTAGAGACGGGTTTTTGCCCTGTTGGCCAGGCTGGTCTCAAACTCCTGGCCTCAAGTGATCTACCTACCTCCGCCTCTCAAAGTGCTAGGATTATAGATGTGAGCCACCACACCTGGCCTCTCTGTCTTCCTTTTAAAACACAGGGAGGAAAGGATTGTTTCTGAATGCTCACGTATCATTTTAGCTTATTTCCAGACAAAAGGGAAGATATTTCTTAGCCATGAAGTGGAAATGTTCTAGAACCTTCCTCAGAGATGTCTGTGAAAAGGAATTATGCATGGGAAGCATTTAGCTCACGGTCTTGCACATGCAAAGGGCTGGATAAATGACAGCTGTGAATACTGCAGTTCATTTTATGTGGCGAGAGGGAAGGTCATATAACGTCCCAGTGAGAGTATGGGCTTTCAGGAGTTCGAGGCTGCAGTGAGCTATGACGGCCTCACTGCATTCCACCCTGGACGACAGAGCAAGACCCTTTATCTAAATAAGTAACTAAAAATTTATAAAGAAGAGGTGTTTTAAAAGCAGAAAGAGCTGAGTCTGAACCCTAACTCCCCATTTACTAGCTGGGAGGCCTTGGGCAGGCTGTTTCATTTCTTCAAGCCTCAGTCTCCTCATCTGCAAAATGGGATGATCACAGACTCAGCCTCTTGGTGTTGTGAAAAATCAGTGAAAGAATAGGGGAGGGGCCTAGCCTGCCTAAAAGATTTGATGTTCCTGCTGCTTCCAGTGGAGGGTGGGTGGGTGGGTGAGCTGACAGGCAGCGCAGGGAATTTTCCAGCCAGGTTGCCTCTTAACCTCTGGTTTGGTTTGGTTTTGCTTGTAACCTTTCACTGTTTGTCGGCAAAAGCCCAATTTTTAAAAAAACTTTTTCATTTTAATTTGATGTTTTTATATTTTTTGTATTTTTAATTTTTTTCTTTTAGCGACAGGCTCTCACTGTGTCTCCCAGGTTGGAGTGCAATGGTATGATCATAGTTCACTGCAGTCTTGAACCCCTGGGCTAAACCGATCCCCCCACCTCATCCTCCTGAGTAGCTGGGACAAAGGCACACACAGCCACACACAGCTAATTTTATTTTTTGTAGAGACAGGGTCTGGCTACATTGCCCTGTCTGGTCTTGAACTCCTGGGCTCAAGCGATCATCCCGCCTCAGCCTCCCAAAGTGCTGTGATTACAGGTGTGAGCCACTGCACCTGGCCTTAATTTGTGCTTTTTAGAGACAGTGCCTCTCTCTGTCACCCAAGATGGAGTGTGGTGATGCGATCATAGCTCACTGCAGCCTTGAACTCCAGGACTCAAGCAGTCCTCCCACCTCAGCCTCCTGAGTAGCTGGGACCACAGGTGTGCACCACCACACACTCAGAGCCCAACTTTTTAAATGAGAGTTTGTCTTGAAAGACTACCTGCAACTCTTCAGGAATGCTGTGCTCTGTAGATAATGAACGTTCAACCCATGTGACTCTGATGTTGCTAGAGACCCCATCTTGTTATTTTTCCCCATTTTAGAAATGAGGGAACTGAAATTCAGAGAGTCCAAGTAACCTGCCCAAGCTGACAGGCTTAAAAAAAACTCAGGCCTATCTGAGAGCAGAGTGTGCGCTCGTGAAAGACACCAGCACAGGGTACAGCCTCTGCATTCCCTTCCCTCTTTCTTCCCCGTGGGTGATACAGAAAGAACAAAGGTTTTGGAGTCAGATTGGCCTGAATTCAATTCCAACTTCAGGGTCTTGCTTAAAACAGGAGATGACAATATCCACTTCCCTGGGTGGTGGTGAGAATCAAATGAGGCTTTTAAAAACGTGCATAATGCCTTTATCTCAGTGCCTGGCACACAGTAGACGATCAACAAATATTAGGTTTTCCTCTCTCCTCCACACACTTCTTTCCTTGGCCACATCCCCAAAACACTCACATGAACCTGAGCTCAGACTCCCGGCGGACCAAGACTTCCCGGAGACGCTGAATTTTTGCCATCTCCAGCTCAATCTCCTCTGGCATCATGGTTGTCTCCGCCATGGAGATGATGTCCAGCTGATCTGTGCAGGAGACAGGAAATACAACCATCAGGACCCCAAGGCTGCACCATGGGACAGACCCTGACATGGTTCCAGGGCACAGCCTTGCTCTGCGACCATCATACACCTTGAGGACAGACTTCAGCCTGTGCCACAAATGTGTATTCGTGAGCACACCCTTTGGGAACCAGAAAATGTGTTTTCCAAAGTAATTTACTTCGTTTGCTTTGTTTTGTTTTGTTTTTAGACGGAGTCTGGCTCTGTCGCCCAGGCTGGAGTGCGGTGAAGCGATCTCGGCTCACTGCAAGCTCCATCTCCCAGGTTCACGCCATTCTCCTGCCTCAGCCTCCCGAGTAGCTGGGACTACAGGTGCCCGACACCTCGCCTGGCTAATTTGTTGTATATTTTTTAGTAGAGACGGGGTTTACCATGTTAGCCAGGATGGTCTCGATCTCCTGACCTTGTGATCTACCCGCCTCGGCCTCCCAAAGTGCTGGGATTACAGGCGTGAGCCACTGCACCCGGCCTTGTTTTTGTTTTTTGAGACACAGTCCTGCTCTGTTGCCCAGGCTGCAATGCAGTGGTGTGATCTCAATCTCAGCTCACTGCAACCTCTGCCTCTGAGGTTCAGGCGATTCTCCCACCTCAGCCTTATAAGTAGCTGGGATTACAAGTGCACACCACCAGGCCCGGCTAATTTTTGTATTTTTAGTAGTGATGGGGTTTCACCATGTTGGCCAGGCTGACGTCAAGTGATCCGCCCGCCTCAACCTCCCAAAGTGCTGGGATTACAGTCGTGAGGCCACCACGCCTGGCTGGGAACTTTGTTATGATGGCTAGTGGAGGCTCACAAGTGGGCTCACAAAAGCCTGATTAAGGCCTTGTCAGCTCCTGCCTGGTCCCAGATTCTAAGCCTCTGCTCCCCCTGACCACGACCACTTTGCCCTGTGGTCTAAGCCTCTAAGACCAGCCGACTCTAGGCAGAAGAAAGTTTTATCATAATTATCTTATAGTAATACTACTACCAAGTAGTGTTAAGTATTTTTTCATTTGTTTTGGAGACTAGGCCTCACTCTGTCATCCAAGCTGGGGTGCAGTGGTGCAATCATAGCTCACTGCCGCCTCGAACCCTGGGCTCAAGGGACCCTTCCGCCTCAGTCTCCCAAGTAGCTGGAACTACAGGCCCACCTAGGTAACTTTTTAATTTTTATTTTTTTGTAGAGATGGGGGTGTCACTATGTTGCCAAGGTTGGTCTCAAACTCCTGGCCTCAGGCGATCCTCCCAACTTGGCCTCCTGAAGTGCTGGGATTACAAGCGTGAGCATACATACGGATATATAAATATGTGTGTGTATATACATATATGAATATATGTGGTTTTTTATATATATAATATGTGTAATATACACAGACACACTTTTTTTTCTTTTTTGAGACGGAGTCTCGCCCTGTTGCCCAGGCTGGAGTGCAGTGGCACGATCTTGGCTCAATGCAACCTTCACCTCCCGGGTTCGAGTGATTCTCCTGCGTCAGTCTCCCAAGTAGCTGGGATAACAAGTTTATGCCACGACACCCGGCTAATTTTTGTATTTTTCGTTGAGATGGGGTTTCACCATGTTGGCCAGGCTGATCTTGAACTCCTGACCTCATGACCCACCCGCCTCAGCCTCCCAAAGTGCTAGGATTATAGGCATGAGCCACCGCGCCTGGGCAGACACACTTTATAAAGACTGAAAAAGTCCACTAAAATGTTAGCAGTTAAAATGTTAATATATATGCGTGTGAATGTATATTTATACTATTATATGCATATACATATATCCACTGTGATGTAGGTCTTATTTTTCTAATATAAAGTTAGGACCTCACTATTTCGTTATGTGTTCTTTTCACCTAGCAACATGCCTTGAGCGCTCCTGCCTGTCCTTGGATGGTCTTCCTCGGCAGCAGCATGGAAGGCGGGGCGGTTTTCTATTTGTGGCTGTATCACGAAGCACTTAAGCAATCCACAGACATGTAGGTTGTTTCCTATTTTTTCCCCACTGTAATCATGAGGAAAAAAATGTAAGAATTATTTTCACCGTAAGAATGTTCCAGTGAAGAACGTTCTCAAAGTGAAAACTTCGCACACATCTACAGGGTTCCTTCGGGCTATGTTTCTAGGGTGAATGGCTGAGATATAAGTGATGTGCTATTCAAGGCCTTTGATCGGTAGTGGGGGAGACTCGGGGCAGGAGATGTTTTTGGCGTACCCTGAGACACCATCACATCATCTGTATCTGCTAATTCCTTCCACACCCGCCCCCAAGATGGAGCCCACCCCACACCTCAGTTCTACAAGGGCGTCTGTCTTTTTCCTTATACTCAAGGAATAATGAAAGTTGGTATACCTTATACCCATGATTTGGAAAGTTGTTCTCTTTTTCCTTTTTCTCTTTTTTTTTTTTGAGACGGAGTATCCCTCTGTTGCCCAGGCTGGAGTGCAGTGGCACAATATCGGCTCACTGCAACCTCCGCCTCCCGGATTCAAGCAGTTCTCCTGCCTCAGCCTCCTGAGTAGCTTGGGTTACAGGCTCGTGCCACCATGCCCAGCTAATTTTTGTATTTTTAGTAGAGTTGGGGTTTCACCATGTTGGCCAGGCTGGTCTTGAACTCCTGACCTCAAGTGATCAGCCTGCCTTGGCCTCCCATAATGCTGGGATTACAGGTGTGAGCCACCACACCAGGTCTTCTTTTTTCTTTTTGTAGAGATGAGGTCTCGCTATGTGGCCCAGACTGGTCTGGAACTTCTGGCCTCAAGCAATCCTCCTGCCTCAGCCTCCCAAAATGCTGGGATTACTTACAGGTGTGAGTCACTGTGCCCAGAGAAAGTTGTCCTGTTTCTACCTGTCCAACTGCCTTCTATGTCCTGGGGCCCTGGCCCTTGCACACGTGCACAGGGTTTAGGGCGCTGTGATTTGCAGGCTTCCCTGAAGTCAGTCCCTACCTGCTTGGATCTCTAGATAGAACAGCGCCCTCTTCTAGGAGTCCACCTGATGCATTTGTCCACCTGTGGGACTCTCCCGGCCCTGAGTTGTTCAGCAGACGTTGGATTCTCAGTAAATTGGAGTTCCTTTCCATTACCTACCCCGTGATGTGTCCGTTCCATGTGCCAAAATTATCTGCTTCCCCTCCACCAATCAAAACACCTTATTTTGCTAAAGAGACAGAAAGAAGGTAATTCTCTGGAGTTGATTCTCACATTGAAATGAATGGCCTCTCTTCATTCTCTCTGAGACAATTCCCCCTTTTTTTTTTTTTTTTTTTTTTTTTTGAGAGCAAGTCTTGCTCTGTTGCCCAGGCTGGAGCGTGGTGATGCAATCTCTGCTCATTGCAACCTCTGCCTCCCAGGCTCCAGCAATTCTCCTGCCTCAGCCTCCCAAGTATGTGGATCTACAGGCGCATGTCACCACGCCTGGCTAATTTTTTGTATTTTTAGTAGAGACAGGGTTTCGCCATTTTGGCCAGGCTGGTTTTGAACTCCTGACCTCAGGTAATCTGCCAGCCTTGGCTTCCCAAAGTGCTGGGATTACAGGCGCGAGCCACCGTGCCTGGCCTGACAACTCCCAGTTTTCAAGAGAAACAGTAACAAAGGCAATGGAAAAGGCCAAGCAATTATATGGGGAGAGGAAAATATTTGACCTGTCAGTCATCAGCCTATTGAAGATTTTCTCCTCTTTGAGTTCAGCATCTCAGAGCAATGTGTGCTTCTTTTATATTTTCAGGGAGCAACAATACTTCATGAAATAGATAAGTGCAGAACATAAATAGTGCAGAATCTGCTATTGGGTTGGAGAGGGGGTCACTGAACAACTGTATAAGTGGGAGGAAGAGAGTGGAGGTGGGTGAATGGGAAAAACATGAAATTGGAGAGATTCACAATCACCTCCTCCTTGCCTTCTAAAGATGGCGGGTCCCGAAGATTATCTGGCCACCTGGCCGAGCCTCTGCCAGGGAAGGGTGAAAAGGGAGACACAGTGGAGGGAGAGGAGGGAGTGTCAAAGAGAAGCAGGAAGGAGAGAGGTCAGAGGAGCCACCTCAGGCTGTGGCTTGGGGAGAGGGAGCGATGTCTGTTTGCAGAGGATTTGTAGGAAATGTCTCATGTGATGTGCTGCCTAAAGATCTCCTGGGGCCATCTGGTTATGCTTCAAGGCCCCTGGAATCCAATTTCGGGTCCTACTACTGTCCCTGACACCATGCTGTGGTGGCTCCTGGGATTGAAGCAGTGAGGACAGGCTTGAGAAAGGAGGGAAGGAGGGAGGAATAGGATCGAAATATTAATATTGGCTGGGCACGGTGGCTCACGCCTGTAATCCCAGCACTTTGAGAGGCCGAAGCGGGCGGATCACCTGAGGTCAGGAGTTCGAGACCAGTGTGACCAACACGGTGAAATCCAGTCTCTACTAAAAATACAAAACTTAGCCTGGCATGCTGGCAGGTGCCTGTAATCCCAGCTGCTTGGGAGACTGAGGCACGAGAACCACATGAACCTGGGAGGCAGAGGCTGCAGTGAGCCGAGATCATACCACTACACTACAGCCTGAGGGACAGAGTGAGACTACGTCTAAAAAAAAAAAGATAATTAATACTGAGTGCTACTGTGTGCTGTGATGCTACCAAGCTAGAAGACCAGCCTTACCAGATCAGATGGCCTGGGTTTGAGTTCCAGTTCTGCCCCTCCCTGGCTGTGTGGCCTTGGGGAGTTGGTTAACCTCTCAGCAGCTCTGTTTCTCCTCTGTAAGGGAGCCCACCACCCAAAACAGATGTGAGGGATGAATTACCCCGGCACGTCACGTTTAATATATGCTTGCAATTGCCCTCGTTATGACCGCCGCACCTGCTCTGCCCATCACCTCTTTTAATCCTCGCCATAAGCCAGCAAGTTCAGTAGGTTCTCATTTTCGCAAAGAAACAAAGGCTCAGCGCTGGCAAGGGAAAGAGCTGAGTCCAGGTCTGGCTTCAAATTCATGCTTTTTGACCCTCACAGCTGCCTCTGGTCCAGGCAGCTGTTCTAAGTCCGACACCCCCCATTCATTCCTATCTCAGAGTCAAGCGTGGTGCCATAACAATTCATGGCCAGTGGGGAGGCTTAAAACAAAAGGAATTTAATCTCTTGGAGTTCGGGAAGCCAGAAGTCGGAAACCAAGGTGTTGGCAGGGTCACGCGCTCTCCAGAGGCTCTAGGGATGGATCTTTTCTTGGCCCTTGCAGCCCCTGCTGGCTCCTTGGTTTGTAGTATTAGGTTGGTGCAAAAGTAATTACGGTTTTTGCCACTGGATGTAATAGCATCACTTCAACCTCTGCCTCTGTTTTCACAGGTTCTTCCTCCGGGTGGCTCTGTGTGTCTTCTTTTCTGTCTCATTAGATTTAGGGCCCACCCTAATCCAATGTGAGCTCATCTGGATCCTGATCTGAATTACCCCTGCAAAGACCTTATTTCCAAATAAGGTCACATTCTGATGTTTTAAGATGCACATGAACTTCAGGAGGCCACAAACCCACAAGAATGAATGGCCACAGCCTTGCAAGCTTCCTGACAACAATGTCACTCTCTCCAGGGGCTTGAGATCCTGCACACAGAGCACAGCCTTGGCTGGAAGCAGCAGGGGTCCCAGCGGGAGTCACCAGGGGGTGAGGGAAGTGCATGGGGGAAGTGGGGTCTGGCAAAAAACAGCTAGGCGGGGGCAGTGTCAGAAATCCTCATTTGACACTAGTCATCAGCCGCAAGACCTCGAATGAGTCCCTTTATGTCTTTGCGTCACTTTCCTCCTCTGTACAAGAATTCAATAGTTACCTGTGCTGGAGGCTTTCTGTGTATTATCTCATTTAATCTCTATTTTACTGAGATGACTCTGAGGCTTAGAGAAGGAAAGTGACTTGTTCAACATCACACAGCCAGATCATTGCAGAGATAGTATTCAAACCCAGCTTGTGCTCTCTCTCTCCCCCCCCACCCCCCTTCCACTCCACAACCACGTGACCTTAACCACGTAATCCAGCCTCCTGGTGAGGGCTGAATGCATTTGTGCCTGCGAAAGTGCGTAGTTAACCACCCCACGATATGAGTATCCTTGTTTTTCTCATCACAGTTCAGATGGGCAACCTGATTTCCATGGGACAGATGCTGAAAACGGCAACACACCCTGGGGCGAGGCGTGGGACGAAGAGAATTAATCACATCCCAGGAACTGGCATTTTACCTCCATCCCCGGGGGAGGATGGAGGCGGTGGTGCCAGGCTCCAGGTGCTTAGCTTGGATTTGGGGCAAAGAATGGAACAAAGACCTATGTTGAAAAGTCTTGCTCAAGGATGTTTTTCTTCCCCAAGAGAAAGGAACGAAGCCTAAAGCTTGAATCAGATACAAATCGTTAGAATCCTTTCTTGCCATGAGCTGTCTCTGCATCAGGCACTGTGTTGGGCTCATTGTAAACCTCATCTTTTTTTTTTTTTTTTTTTTTTGGTGGGGCAGGGTCTCGCTCTGTCTTCCAGGCTGGATTGCAGTGGCATGATCTTGGCTCACTGCAGCCTCAACCTCCCGGGCTCAAGCAATCCTCTCACTTCAGCCTCCCGAGTAGCTGAAATTACAGGTTCACTCCACCACACCCAGTGACTTTTTTTGTACTATTTGTAGAGATGGGGTTTTGCCATGTTGCCCAGGCTGGTCTCCCAACTCCTGAGCTCAAGTGATCTGCCCATCTCAGCCTCCCAAAGCGCTGGGATTACAGGAATGAATCTCATCTCATTTAGTCTGCACAATACCTTAGGCCAGGGGTTGATACCCTATGGCCAGGGGACCAAGCGCAGCCCCATGCTTGATGTTGTAAGTAGAGTTGTTCTGGACACTGATCACGCTCATTCATTTACATGTCATTTATGGCTGCTTTTGCATTGCAAAAACTGAGTAGTTGCCACAGAGACTCCCTGGCCCACGAAGCCTCAAATATTCACTACCTGGCTCTTTATAGAAAAAGTTGGCCAACCCCTTCCCTGGGTGGTATACTGTAATCTCTCCAGTTTAAAAGTTAGGAAAGCCAGGTTTACCCAGTAACGATAATAACTAACATTTATCGAGCATTTATCACATGCCAGCACCTGTGCATTACCTTATCTGATTCTCAAAACAGCCCTGGGTGGTCAGTGCTGTTATCCCATTTCATAGATGGGGAAGTCGAGGCTCAGGAAAGGGAGTAAGTGATGGAGGTGAGATTTAAAACAAGATCTCTCTTACTCCAAAGCTCTTGTTGTAATCAACCATATTCATGTAAGAACTACCTCCCTACGTAAGTACCATCATCATCATAACAAAACTGAGTAGACTGTATTGCTTTAGACACAGAGGGAGTAGTTATTCCCAGACATCAGTGGGCAAGGTGAATATCTAGGGAGGTTGTTTAAGAAACAATTCCCTGCCTCCACCTCCAAGGATTAGGATAAACCTGGGTTGGGGTGTTGTGTCCAGGGACCTTAATGAAGGAGGTCTTCAGATCAGAGTGAAAAATGCTGATACAGGACCTGAATAAATGAATATCACACACAGTCAGCTTCTTTCCAGTCTGAACTTGTGTGATAGAAATTAGCCTGCTAGACTGTTCCTTTCTTGATCACATTTTCCAACTAGAAGGCAGGCATCCGACAGCTGCCAAGGAATGTCTCCACGAGGAGGACAAATCACGGGAAGAAACGGGAGGAGCATTTCAAGCTGGCTAGAGACAACAAGTCTCTCACGCACACTTCCAAGCAAGAGCTTGCTTGCTGTGTGGAGACAGCAAAGCATGAAGGCACAGACGTCCCCAGGGCTCCAACTGCCACTGCTGTCATTGAGCTTCCAGGAGCTGAGTCACTTCTGGGGGAAGAGGCAGCTAAATCCATCTTCCCATCCCCAAATGCCACCCCAGGGAGATGCATGCTTCCTGAGCGGTGGCACCAGCAAACAAGAGCTGAGCACCCGGGCAGCCCTGGTATGCACCAGCAGGTTTAATCACTGATCTCAAAACAAAACAAAAAGTAAGGCTACCCAGGGACAGGAGTGGTGGAGGTGATAGAGGATGAGGGCTGGTGATCTAAAAACTTCTAGTTTAAATACAAGCTTGGAGGGTTAAACTGCTGGGGACCAGAGAGATACCTTTCCTAGCCCATCTTTTCCAATCAGGGGTCATGGTAGGAATTTAAGCTCAGGGTGCCCTGCACAACCTCTGCCTTTACTTCTGCTTTATAACTTTACGTGCCTAGTACTGGCCCCAGAGCTTGCTCATTTTGGGTGTTTACCGGAGCCATGATCTAGCTCATATCAACCTCTCTTTCTAGATTAATAAAATGAGGCTTAGAGAGGTCATAAGTGATTGGTCAAACTCACTCACTCAATTGTTGCAGCAACATCAAGGGTTCTGTCTAGATCCTGCTACTCGCTGCACAGAAAGCCAATCACTGAGGCAATGAGTATTGCCAGAGAAGGCTTTAATTGGGTGCTGCAGCTGAGGAGATGGAAAGAGACTCAAATCCATCTCCTCAACCCACTAAAATTAGAGGTAGCAAGGAAGAAACGCAACCATGTGTTACATTGTGATACATCCCTATTCTTTTTTTTTTTTTCTGGGAAATTATTAGGAAGGGGTAAGGAAGAGAATCTGGTCAACAGGATGCAGGTGGTTGGTTAGGCAATCGTGATGGTTGAGGAGTCTGGCATCTCATTGTCCACATATAGTGATCTGGTAAATTTCAATTCCTTAATACTATCTGGAAGGCCGAGAGGTCAGTTTCTTGAGAAAGGAACTCAGGTAAAATGAATGTAACTTTCTAAAATTTTAAGATTAGGAGGGGGCTGGGCACAGTGGCTCACGCCTGTAATCCCAGCACTTTGGGAGGCTGAGGCAGGTGGATCACAAGGTCAGATAGAGACCATCTTGGCTAACACGGTGAAACCCTGTCTCTACTAAAAATACAAAAAATTAGCCGGGCGTGGTGGCGGGCACCTGTAGTCCCAGCTACTTGGGAGGCTGAGGCAGGAGAATGGTGTGAACCTGGGAGGCGGAGCTTGTAGTGAGCAGAGATCGCACCGCGGCACTCCAGCCTGGGTGACAGAGCAAGACTCCGTCTCAAAAATAAAAGAAAAAAGAAAAACAAAAGATTAGGAAGGTAAATTTTTGTGTTTATTCAAACAAAACAAAACACCGTAAACATCAGTTCTAAGGGGCAATTGGGGCAGTGCTATAATGAGTGGTAGAAATGAAACTCAAACCCAGATCTATCTGATCCCAATGCCCATGCTCTAAGGTCAAAAGAGCTACAAAACAGTGTTTCCAAAACTCTCAACACTGCATAGAATTTACCCCAGCTACATATTCTGTACTCTGTCATATACCACTCAGTATGTCATGACATTCACTTTTTTTTTTTTTTTTTTGAAACGGCGTCTCGCTCTGTCACCCAGGCTGGAGTGCAGTGGCGTGATCTTGGCTCACTGCAAGCTCTGCCTCCTGAATTCACGCCATTCTCCTGCCTCAGCCTCCCAAGTAGCTGGGACTACAGGCGCCCACCACCACACCAGCCTAATTTTTTGTACTTTTAGTAGAGACGGGTTTCACCATGTTAGCCAGGATGGTCTCGATCTCCTGACCTCATGACCCACCCACCTCGGCCTCCCAAAGTGCTGGGATTACAGGCGTGAGCCACTGCGCTTGGCCGACATTGACTTTTTTTACTCAAACTCCCTAACGGAAATGTCCCATGACATCCACAGACAATAAATGACTCTTACTTGGCATAATTAGAAAATAGCCATGAAAATAAACCTGAGGAAACAAAGCAATACTGTTAAATTCTTGCTAAATACTATAGCCTGCTTAAGGTTCAGAATGAAGCTTGAATTTTCTTTCTTAACAAGGTGAATCAGCAAGTACTAGGGGCATTAAAGACAAAGCTAGCACCAAATTGTGGCTTTCTCCTTTAGGTAATCAAAAAGGTTGATAATTGGGGAGAAAATGCGTAGCTTTCCTGAAGGGAAATTCATTGCTGTTTGATGGTACAAGCATGAAAGTACCACTGGGGGTACCTATCCCATCCCCTGTTGTAGAATAGAATTCCAGTCCTTTGCGTTGGAAAGGTCTTAAACGACGTTTTGGTCAGCCTCATACCTGTGTTGGATAGGATGTAAAATGACTTGGCAAGATGTGGTTCCCAGGGTCCCTCAACAAACGGTTCTCATTCAAACTTCAGTGAGAACTCAAGCTAGAAGGACAATTCTCAGCCATGGGTTAAGTCCTACTCAAAGAGGAATCAGCCATTTTGAGCGATTATTTCAACCCAGCTCATATAACAAAGGCAATTAAATGAAGGGCTGGGGGTGGGGGTGCTATTCATTTCAGTCATTGGAATATACTTGGGTCACAGCCGCTGCATTTAGGGAAGGACATGAGGGACTCAGGTAGGGGGAGTCAGTGTTGGGGGAGAATCAACTTTCACCTAATATGTCCTTTTCTCTTGTTTGGGTTTTTAAATATACTTTTTTTTTTTAATACTTTTATATTTCTAGAAAATGTGGCTGGATGTGGTGGCTCATGTCTGTAATCCCGGAGCTTTGGAAGGCTGAGGGAAGAGGATCACTTGAAGCCATGAGTTTAAGACCAGCCTGGGCAACAGAGCAAGACCCCATCTCTACAAAAATAAAATGTAAACATTAGCCAGATGTGGTGGCACACAGCTGTGGTCCCAGCTACTTGGGAGGCTGAGGTGGGAGGATCGCTTGGGTCCAGGAGTTTGAGGGCTTCAGTGATCTATGATGGTGCCACTGCACTCCAGCCTAGGTGACAGAGTGAGACACTATCTTTAATAAAAAAAAAAAAAAAATTTAAGAAGAGTTGCAAAGAGCATAAAGAATTCCCCTCTACTCCTCATTAAATTTCCACTATTGTTAACATTACCAAGAAGTTGACATTGGTGCATTGTTATTAACTATATTCATTGAAATTTTAGCAATTTACCAATGGTCAGATGTTACATTTGCAAAATAGATTTAAAATTAAGAAGAGAGAAAAGAAAAGGGGTTGGCGTGTGCAGGCACCATGGGGAGCCAGGCCAGCCCTTGAAGAGGGCAAGAGAGGGGAGTGGTTCTGGGCATGGGCTTTTGGGTTTCAGAGTCCAGCTCTCACGCTTGAGCCATGCATCAGTGACTCTGGGCACCTCAGTTTCTTCATCTGCAACATTGGGGAACAAGCATACCCATCTCACAGGTGATTCATGTAAGTGACAAGCATACAGAAAGTTCTCTGTAACATATGTTTGCTCTTATATACATTTAATAACTATGCATTGAGAACCTGCTTCGTGGCAGACCCTGCTCTAAGCAATGGGGAAGGAGCAATGAGCAAAACAGACAAAAATCTCTGCCCTTGTGGACCTGAGCTTCTAGCAAGAGGCTTACACTGTTGTGGAGAACAGTTGCTCTAATAATCTGCAGGGGTCATTGGCTTAAGACAGACGTCGCTTCAAGCCCTGGCTCTATCACTAATTGTGCGACCTGGGCAAATTACTTGATCTCCCTAAGTCTCAGTTTCCTCTTCTGTAAAATGGGACTAATAACTCCTGCCTCATGAAGTTGCTGCTGTAGGGATGAAATGGGATGATATACTTGTCCCTCAGTATCCGTGTGGGATTGGTTCCAGGCCTCCCTTTGGACACCAAAATCCTTGGATGTTGGCCGGGCGCGGTGGCTCATGCCTGTAATCCCAGCACTTTGGGAGGCCGAGGTGGATGGATCACGAGGTCAGGAGATCGAGACCATCCTGGATAACACGGTGAAACGCCGTCTCTACTACAAATACAAATACAAAAAAAAAAAAAAAAAATAGCCGGGCGTGGTGGCAGGCGCCTGTAGTCCCAGCTACTCAGGAGGCTGAGGCAGAAGAATGGCGTGAACCCGGGAGGCGGAGTTTGCAGTGAGCCGAGATCGCGCCACTGCACTCCAGCCTGGGCAACAGAGCGAGACTCCGTCTCAAAAAAAAAAAAATCCTTGGATGTTCAAGACCCGGATATAACAGGGTGAAATATTTGCATAGAAGCCCCACACATCCTCCTGTAGACTTTAAGTCATCTCTAGATTACTTATAATCCCTAATAGGATGCCTACACATCACTTCATTTACACAGATTCAGCATAATACTCAAAGTTTTGCTTCTTGGTAATTTGTGGATTTTTTTCCTGAATATTTTCCATCCATAATTGGTTGAATCTAAGGATGCGGAACCCACAGATACAGAGGACCAACTGTATACAACATGTGCTTGGTGTAGTGCCTAGACATCACAAAGAGTGGTCAGTAGCATTATTCCTGCCATCACAGTGCCTTTCCCTGAAAGAAGCCAGACTAACACTGGGGAGAAAATAAAATTGGAGCCACCATCAAATTTGAAGAACACAGACTCATGGTCATGGGGACCATCTCTTGGCCCCTCTAGGTGAGACCACAGCCCCGCAGCTCCAACAGACCCATGCCTGCCCTGAGAAGAGAATCTAGAGGGGGCCCCCTCCAGCCTTTTGTCAAGAAGCCAGTTGCTGCTATTGACCCAAAAGAGAGTCTTGAATCCCAAGGGAATAGATCTGCGCCCCATGACCAGGGAGCCAATATCTGAATGCATTTCAAAGGCTCCTGGTGGCACTCTAGACTTCGTTGTCATCAATCATTCATGTAGGAAAGAAGCTCATTCCAACCCCCAAGCATCCTATTACGGGATGCACCAAGTGCCTCGCCTTCTTGCTATAACGTGAATGTAATGGGAAGCCGCCCGTTGCTTTTAATGAGTCACCGTTTCCCAAAGAGATGAAGTCACTGCTTTTAACCCAGAAGCTCCTGGCTGCTCGATTTCTCCCAGCCTGCCTCGTGGAGAGGATGCCACTGGGCCCCCAAGAGCGATCATACCTTTCTTTGCACTCCGCCGTCCCATACATCCCGTCTCTGTGAGGTCGCCCCACATGGAAGAATTTGCGGCTGAGGAAACTGACAGGCTTCACATCCTGGCTATGATTGTTATTCTCCAGTGGCACCTCAAGCACATTTTTTTAACTTCTGCGAGTTTCTGTTTCCCCAGCCACATCTGACGTGTCAAAGGACACAAAAGTAATTCAGGAGGACGCACCAACAGCACGTGAAGACGCAGGCATTGGCGTCAAGCAGACATGAGTAGATGGTCCGGCATCTTTCTAACGGCCGACCTCGGCAAATGCCCTAACCTCTTTGAGACTCAGTTTCCTTATCTGTAAATCGGGGGTCATAAAAGAGAGAATGTATAGATCAGTGCGGTCCAATTGAAATAGAACACTAGCCACATATGTAATTTTGAACATTCCAGGAACCACATTCTAAAAAATAAAAAAGGCTGGGTGTGGAGGCACATGCCTGTAATCCCAGCACTTTGAGAGGCCAAGGGTGGTGGGCATATCACTTAAGGTCAGGAGCTCAAGACCAGCCTGGCCAACATGGTGAAACCCCATCTCTACTAAAAATATAAAAATTAGCCGTGGCAGAGCACGGTGGCTCACTCACGCCTGTAATCCTAGCATTTTGGGAGTCCGAGGCGGTGGATCACCTGAGGTCAGGAGTTCAAGACCAGCCTGGCCAACATGGCGAAAGCCCGTCTTCCTAAAAATACAAAAATTAGCCAGGTGTGGTGGTGTGTGCCTGTAATCCCAGCTATTCAGGACGCTGAGGCAGGAGAATTGCTTGAACTGGGGAGGCGGAGGTTGCAGTGAGCCGAGATCGTGCCACTGCACTCCAGCCTGGGCAACAGAGGGAGACTCTGTCTCAACAAGAACAACAAGAACAACAAACAAAAAAAATTAACTGGGCATGGTGGCAGGTGACTATAATCGTAGCTACTCAGAAGGTTGAGGCAGGAGAATCGCTTGAACCTGGGAGGCGGAGGTTGCAGTGAGCCAAGATCGAGTCACTGCACTCCAGCCTGGGTGACAGAACGGACTCCATCTCAAAAAAAAAAAAAAAAAAAAAAAAGTAAAAAGAGCTGGGTGCGGAGGCACATGCCTGTAGTCTCAGCTACTCTGGAGGCTGAGGCAGGGGGATCACTTGAGCCCAGGAGTTTAAGTCCAACCTAGGCAACATAGCAACGAGACCCTGTCTCTTAAAAATAAAAAAAAAGATAAAAAGAAATGGGCGAGATTAATTTCACTAACATATTTTATTTAATCCAATAGATCTAAAGGATTATCAGTTCAAAATGTAATCAATATATTAAAGATACGAATGAGATGTTTTATATCCTTTTTGGAGGGAGTATGGAAGTCTTAAGTCCAGTATGTATATTTTACCCTTTAAATAGATCTCAATTCAGGCCAGGCACGGTGGCTCACGCCTGTAATCCCAGCACTTTGGGAGGCCGAGGCAGGTGGATCACTTGAGGTCAGGAGATCGACACCAGCCTGGACAACATGGTGAAACCCCATCTCTACTAAAAATACAGAAAATAGCCACGTCTGGTGGCACGTGCCTGTCATCCCAGCTACTTGGGAGGCTGAGGCACAAGGATCACGTGAACCTGGGGGATGGAGGTTGCAGTGAGCCGAGACTGCGCCACTGCACTACAGTTTGGGTGACAGAGTGAGACTCCGTCTCAAAACTAAATAAAGGAAGAACAGATCTCAATTTGGAATGGCCACATTTCAAGTGCTCCCAAGTCCCAAGTCATTGTTCACCATCCTGGGACCCTCCATTCATCTCCTTCTTTCTTTTCTCCCTGATACCTTCCCCTTCCTCAAAGATTCTGTCTCCCTGAGGTGTTTCTCCATTTCAGGACTCTTCTGCTTCCCTCTTAACTGCTCTCATGAAAGGACTTCTGATGGACCCTCTCGTCCCACCTCCAGCCCCTGGCAGCCTATGGGTGGCCCTGCCTTTGGTCAGGGCCTCAGCACGTTCAACCTGGGTGGAGCCACAGGTCACACGAGACCCTCCCCTTCAGCAGGGACTGTGAGGAAACCCTTAGAAGGAGTGTGTGCGGTGCAGGCCCCACAGGTCGGCTGCCCCCTAAATCCTAATAGGACTGGCTCAGCTGTGACCCAGAATCCCCTGCAGAATGAATGCCTGACTTCAGCTCTCTCAGGCAGTGTAGTCTGTTGGGAGCCAGGAAGGTGGGGAGAAGGACACAGGTATCTCTGTGGAGGGGACTCCACAGCAGCATCTGAGCAAAGGCACCAGAAAACTGGAGATGGGCAGTGATAAGTTGCAAAGAGCCAACAGAATTCCCCTCTACCCCCCTCACTCAATTTCCACTATTTGTTAACTTTACCAAGAAACTGACATTGGCACATTGCTATTAACTATATTGATTGAATATATTGATTGTGTGATAAGGGGCAGCTGGGATTTTCCTGTACCCTCATCCCTTTGTTTCCTTACTCCCTACCCCGACTCCTTATCTGGAGCTGGAAGGTCTTTGATGAGCTGAAGAAAGACACGGGTTATTAAATAATAATGCTGCGACATCTTCCCGCAAGAGGCGGTCAGTGTTGGCAAGAGAAAAGCTCGTCTTCCAAATGCTCTGAACAACCTGAATGATGAGCTGGAAGAAATGTCCAGGGCCTCAGAAATCAAACACCATCCCTCTAGGAAGGAACTGGGAGGAAGGAAAGGGAGGCAGAGAGAAGGTGTCCACAGATGCCCTTCCCAGGTGGACTCAAGGAGAAGCTGTGGTCCTTCCCCTCTCGTGAACCACAAGATTATGCAGAACTGGCTGATTGTAGGAATTTCTTTCTGGAAACATGCTCTTCCTCTGTGACCTCATAGAAGTCCAAGATCTAAGAGGTCCAAGTACAAAGAAATGACAAAGGGAGCAGAGGAGAGCATTTGATGCCGTTGACTTTTTTTTTTTGTTTTTTATTTTTATTTTTTTAGATGGAGTCTCATTCTGTCTCCCAGGCTGGAGTGCAGTGGTGTGATCTCGGCTCACTGCAACCTCCACCTCCCGGGTTCAAGTGATTCTCCTGCCTCAGCCTCCCAAGTAGCTGGGATTACAGGTGCCTGCCACTTCGCCTGACTAACTTTTGTATTTTTGGTAGAGACAGAGTTTCACCATGTTGGCCAGGCTGGGCCCTTGACTTTTGCAGTGAAATAGGAAATAAGGATGAAGGTGAAGAGGTGAGATTGAGGAGTAGAGGAGAAACTAAGATAGCCCATTTGGGGAGGAATCCTGGGAGGACCCAACACTTGAGACAAAGAGTTTCTTTCACAAGAAAGACAAATTCCAGCCTAATCCTCTGGAAGTGTAATCTGAGAACATCTGAAGACTCATTCTGAGTGCAGGAGCCAAGGCTAGAGCAAGAGCTTCATCTCACTGCTGCTCCATAGCCTGTGAGTGCTTTGACATTTGGAGTTGGACGCTTCTTTGTGCTGGGGGCTGTGCTAAACACTGTAGGCTGTGCAGCAGCATCCCTGGCCTCTGCCCACTGGCTGCCAGTAGCATCCTCTCCCCAACCCAAAATGTCCTCAGACACTGGCAAGTATCCCCTGGGGGACAAAATCACCCTTTGTTGAAAACCACGGGTTTAGACTCAGAGTCTTTCTCCTTCTTTCCTTTCTCTCTTTTCCTTCCTTTTTCTTTCTTTCCTCCTTTCTTCCTTCCTTAGTTCCATCTTCCCTTCCTTCCTTCCTCTTTCTTCCTTTCTCTTTCTTTTTTCCTTCCTTCCTTTCTCCCTTCCCTTCCCTTCCCATTTCCTTTTGCCCCTTTCCTTTCTTTTTTCCTTTCTTTCCTTTCCTCTTTTTATCTGAAACAAGGTCTCACTCTATTACCAAGTCTGGAGTTCAGTGGTGTGATCATACCTCACTGCATCCTCAAGCTTCTGGGCTCAAGCAATCCTCCCACTTCAGCCTCCTGAATAGGTGGGACTACAGGTGTGCACCATCACGTCCTTTTAATTTTGTAGAGACGGAGTCTCACCATGTCACCCAGGCTGATCTTAAACCGGCCTCAAGCGATCCTCCCATCTCAGACCCCCAAGCTGATGGGATTACAAGCATGAGCCACTGCACACAGCCTAAACCCAGAGTTTTTTTATTGTGCTCCCAGGGCACAGGTATGAGACTTACCTAGGTGTGATTAAAAAAAAAAAATCCATCTACCTGGGCTTCTCCTGGACCTACTGAATCAAAATCTCCCTGGAGGAGACCCAGCAAGCTGCCCTTCAAGCAGGTGATTCTTCATTAAACACTCTATGCCTCAGTTTCCTGAAATGGGAAGGATAATGATAACATCTATCTCAAGGGTTGGTATGGAGGTTAAGTGAGGGGATTCACACATTGAGCACAGTGTGCTGAATGTTAGCTATTATCACTCACATTAAAGGTGGAGAAGCACTGGTTTGGAGAGATATGCATTGAGTGCTCTTGAAGAGAGGGAAGAACAGGAACCCGGGGGCAGGAGAGTGAACGCTGCTGTGATAACCACTCTGCTCAAATGCCAGCCAAGTACTGTGGCTAATGATGAGGGGGCACAATGGGGATTATCCCGCCATCCTAGGGCTTTCCTCCCTGCAGATCATCATTGTTCCTGTTGACTTCATGCTCCAGCTGCCTCCCCAGCTAAAACAAATACTAACAACTGATGATACAAGGCAAGAGGGGTGACAGTGGAAAAAAATGCCAATCTGTGTCTCAGTTACAAATAAACACAAACTTAGTGGCTTAAAACAACACACATTTATTATAGTTCTGGAGGACAGAGGCCCAACGGACGTGAAAATCAGGGTGTTGAAACCAACACAAGTAGTCCCATAGACAGTTTTTTTCTTTCTTGATAAACATAGAAATTGACCTTTCTGGTCTTAACTCTTGAAACTTAAAGTTTGTTTTATCTGAGTTCCTTCCTCAGGAGGGAATTCCTTGCCTCTCAAATAAGTATCAAAGAACTGAAACTCACCAGATTACAGCATCCAGACAATGAGATGCCAGACCCCTCATTCATCGGGATTGCTTCCTTGCCCGTCCCAAGTTCCTGTTTTGTTACACATTGTTACATCTCTTCCCTGCTGTATAAACCCTTGATTTTAGTTGGTCAGGGAGATGGATGTGAGACTGAGTTACTGGCTCCTTGGCTGCAACACCTGAGTAAAGCCTCCTTCCTTAGCAATAATTGTTGTCTCAGTGTCGGCCTTCTGTGCAGTGAGCAGCAGGACCTAGACGAATCCCCTGGTGTTTTGGTAACAGTGTCAGCAGGATTGCCTGTCCTTCTTGGGGCTCTAAGGAAGAATGAGTTTCCTTGCCTTTTCTAGCTTCTACATTCCTTGGCCACCTACATTCCTTGGCTTATGGCCCCTTGCTTCATGTTCAAAGCCAGCAATGGTGAATGGTGAAAGGCTGGCTCTGCCCCTGCCTGGCTCTGCCCCTGCCTGGCTTTGTGCCCCTGGACAAGTTATTTAAATTCTCTGAGTTTCCACTTTAAAAAATTTCCCTTGTGGGCCTGGCACAGTGGCTCATGCCTGTAATCCCAGCACTTTGGGAGGCCGAGGCGGGCAGATCACGAGGTCAGGAGATCAAGACCATCCTGGCTAACATGGTGAAACCCCGTCTCTACTAAAAATAAAAAAAATTAGCCGGGCGTGGTGGCGGGCGCCTGTAGTCCCAGCTACTCGGGAGGCTGAGGCAGGAGAATGGCGTGAACCCGGGAGGCGGAGCTTGTAGTGAGCCAAGATCGCACCACTGCACTCCAGGCTGGGTGACAGAGCAAGACTGTCTCAAAAAAAAAAAAAAATTTCCCTTGTAAAGTGGGTCTATTAATCCTTAGCTTGTAATATTTGTTCATTTCATAATAGCTAGTTGTGTGGCTGGTAAGTGAGTTATGTAACTTTCCCAATCCTCAGTCTTCATTACCTGTTAACTGGGGATAATAATAGAGGGTACCCTTGGATGCAGTGAGGATTGAATGACAGATCGTATATAAGGCTCTTAATGTGGTGCCTGGTACATCATAAGGACAGTGAGGACTTGGTGAATGTCAGTTATCACAATCACTGTCTCTATCCT
The DNA here is from genome assembly GCF_000001405.40 of Homo sapiens. Lineage (NCBI taxonomy): Eukaryota > Metazoa > Chordata > Mammalia > Primates > Hominidae > Homo > Homo sapiens. The sequence goes on along the minus strand of NC_000016.10, from coordinate 15,496,271 downwards.
CACCATAATCACTATCACTATCATAATCATCACCACTATCACCATTATCTTTACCATCACCATCACCACTATCACTATCACCACCATCACTGTCATTATCACCATCACTAGCACATCACTGTCATCGTCACCATTATCACTATCACCATTATCACCATCATTACTATCCCCACCATCACCATCACCATCATCACGATCACTGTCATCATCACCATCACCACCATCATTACCACCCCTTTCATCATCACCATCACCACTATCACCACCACCACCACCATCAACATCACTATCATCATCATTGCCACCACCACCATCACCACCATCAACAAAAGAAAAAGCAGCCAAACTCAGAATTCCACATCAGCTGGAACTAGGGTTGGGGAAGCACAGAGGACATTAGCCCATGGGAATTCTTTGCCCCAACTTCACCTCCCTCCCAGAACTCCCTTGGCTGGGAATATCCCACCTCATACACCATCCCATTCTGTGCCCTCTTGGAAGATGAGAAGCACCAAAGGTCTTGTGTCCCACCTGCAATGTCCACAAATACTAATATTAGGCTTAGAGAAGAGAAATGAGAAGAGTGATATTAAGATAATAAAAGTAGGCCAGGCGCGGTGGCTCACGCCTGTAATCCCAGCACTTCGGGAGGCCGAGGTGGGCAGATCACGAGGTCAGGAGATTGAAACCATCCTGGCTAACATGGTGAAACCCCACCTCTACTAAAAAATACAAAAAATTAGCCAGGCGTGGTGGCAGATGCCTGTAGTCCCAGCTACTTGGGAGGCTGAGGCAGGAGAATGGTGTGAACCCGGGAGGCGGAGCTTGTAGTGAGCCAAGATCATGCCACTGCACTCCAGCCTGGGTGACAGAGCGAGACTCTGTCTCAAAAAACAAAAAACAAAAAACTTAGCTGGGCATGGTGGTGCACGCCTACAGTCCCAGCTACTTGGGAGGCTGAGGCAGGAGAATCGCTTGAACCCAGGAGGTGGAGATCACGCCACTGCACTCCAGCCTGGCAACAGGCAACAGAGCGAAACTCCGTCTCAAACAACAACAATAATAATAATAATAATAAAAGTAAATTAGGCCGGGCGTGATGGCTCACACCTGTAATCCCAGCACTTTGGAAGGCCGAGGTAGGCGGATCACTTGAGGTCAGGAGTTCGAGACCAGCTTGGCCAACGTGGTGAAACCCCACCTTTACTAAAAATACAAAAATTAGCCAGGGGTGGTGGCGCATGCCTGTAATCCCAGCTACTCTGGAGGCTGAGGCACAAGAATCACTTAAACCCGGGAGGCAGAGATTGCAGTGAGCTGAGATCGAGCCACTGCACTCCAGCCTGGGCAACAGAGCAAGACTCCTTCTCAAAAAAAAAAAAAAAAAAAAAAAAGATAAAAAAAAGGAAATTTACCAACATTTCTTGAGCCTTTTAAAACTTTTTTAAGGCTCCAATAAGATCATTAAGTCCTTTCTGGAATAAGGAGAGGTAGTAATAAACAAATTCTTTGTTGCTTTCAAATCAGTTTATGCGTTACTCAAGAAAAGCAGTTAAAATAACTTTACATTAAATTTCATTTGATCAACCACTTTATTCAAACACCTTGGCCCAGAATGACTTTGGTTATTCCAAAAAGCAAACTCCGTCTAAGGCAAAGTTTTATCACATTAAGGATATTCACAAGACTTTGCCACAGATTGGGACTGCAGTTCCCAGGTGGGACTTCCAGAAAGATTGCATTTGAATTACGTGTGTGTTATTTCCAGGGTGAGACTTTGAAAGAGATGACACAAGAGTTCCGGCAAATTATTTAACAAATTGTAATGTCATTTTACATTACTCAGTGTCCTCTCCCCAACACTTCAAAGTGACCTTCAATGAATCACCAAACCATGCTGTCATATTTCTTCCAATGACAAGCAGAAGGGCTCCGATTGCTTTCTAAGGCCCTTTGGGACCATATGAGAGAATAAAGTATATACTTCCTAATTCAAAGCAAATCATTAGGGCTGTGGAATTAAAATTGTGGAAATTGATAAACCTATAATAACAACAATTGCCCGGTTAAAATTGCATAAACAACAAATCTTTTTCGGCACTTCTGTAGGTTCATTCTGTTACTCAAGGTCCATTTGTTCTGAAATATCCCCCATCCCTGCAATCTCAGAATGAGTTCATGAAAACAGACAATTATAAATCTATCCTGAGCTATGATTCATGCATCTTAACCGACTCCCTAATTCTTCCAATTTACAAACCAATTCAGAAGTCAGTCAAGGGCCCAGGTCACGCAAGGATGGTTAGAGGAGCAGATGGAGCTGCTTAAAACCATGTGCTTGGCGGGGTTAAAATGATGAGAATCCAGAGGAAAATAAATTGGGCCTGTCTAAAGTAATATTTCAGTTTTTAAAAACTGCTTAGCCTGAAAATCATGTGCCTCATTTAATTCCCTGCAGGCTGGAAATTTGACAGGAGAGATAAATTGCACCAGGAACATTATTTTCATTCAGAAAGGTAAGCCCAAGAAATAGGGTGGGATATATCCTCATCTGAATGAGGGTGGTCTGCGGAGGGGGGACGCAGGGAAGAGCAGCCAGGGGAAAAACAGGATGTGTGCAGGCGTGAACGGGTCCAGTTCAATGTGAAGTCAGAGGGAGAGTCAGATCATGGCAGAAGAAGGAAGGAAGCAAATCTGGAAGCATTCATGTCGGACTGAAAATCCACACCAGAAGGGAGATGTGGCTCTAAACAGGGATCTCAAGCACAAAGGCAAAGCATCAGTACTGGAAATCCTTAGGGGATTTAAAAAAAGATTAAAATGCATACTCTGTTCAGATTTCCTTGTTTTTCCGCCAATGTTCTTTTTCCATTCCAGGATCCCATCGAGGACAGTGCATGACATTCAGTCCTTGTGTCTTCTTAGACTCTTCTACACTGTGACAGTTTCTCAGGTGCAGTAGCATGATCTCAGCTCACTGCAACCTCCGCCTCCTGGGTTCAAGCGATTCTCCTGCCTCAGCCTCCCGAGTAGGGGGCAGTACAGGCATGCACCACCACGCCTGGCTAATTTTGTATTTTTAGTGGAGACGGGGTTTCTCCATGTTGGTCAGGCTGGTCTTGAACTCCTGAACTCAGGTGATCTGCCCACCTCAGCCTCCCAAAGTGCTGGGATTACAGGCATGAGCCCAGCCTGCCCTTGACAGTTTTAAGGGGTACTGCACAGGTATTTTGTAGTGGAATACCCTTTAATTTTGAGTTTTTCTGATGGTGAGACAAGTTGTGAGTTTGGAGAGAAGACTGCAGAGGTAAGTCACCATTCTCATCACTTTCTTCTTTTTTTTCTTTTTTTTTGAGATGGAATCTCATATTGTCACTCAGGCTGGAGTGCAGTGGCATGATCTCAGCTCACTGCAACCTCCGCCTCCTGGGTTCAAGCGATTCTCCTGCCTTAGCCTCCCGAGTAGCTGGGACTACAGGTGTGTGCCACCATGCCTGGCTAGTTTTTGTATTTTTAGTAGAGACAAGGTTTCGCCATGTTGGTGAAGCTGGTCTCAAACCCCTGACCTCAGGTAATCCACCCGCCTCAGCCTCCCAAAGTGCTGGGAATACAGGTGTGAGCCATGGTGCCCGGCCACCATTCTCATCACTTCACATCCGTGGTACATCCCATCAAGATGAGTTGGCACTGTTGATGCTGACCTTGAGCCCCTGGCTGAGGGAGTGTCTGCCAGGTTTCTCCATTGTAAAGTTTCTCCTTTCACTTCCTCTTTGGAAGGAAGTCACTATACACAGCCCACACTTATAGGGTAGGGAGTTATGAGTGCTTCCTTGAGAGTGGAGTATGGTGTTATTTTTATAATTAAAGAAAAAGATGCCTGCAATGGAAGATGAAGAGGATCACCTGCTGGTGGAGCAAAAATCCAGAACCTCGTGTGTGTCTCAGCTAGAACTGGTGGTTTGGGAAGGGTCGACTGCCCAGCAGTGCAGCGGGAGATGCAAAACCTGAGGGTTCAAGTCCAAAGGTTGACCTGGCTTTAAAAGCCAATGATGTCGAAAAAACAAAACCAAAAACACTGAGCACAAAAGCTAGGCAATGGTGCAGCCAGTTGGGATACTTTTCATAGGCACTGATTTTTACTCTCTCTGGAATTCCTTTCAAAGACACAGGGTCTGCTGGTGGATGGTCGCTCCTCTGCAGGGACTGGGGCACATGGCATGGCCTCCTATGTCATTTGGGGGCTCTTTGTTTATTCAACATGCCCGCCACACACCAGGCAATATTCTAGGAGCTAGGCATGCAGAAATGAAACATCCATCCTCCTGATGAAGACAGACAGCAAGCCAAAAGATAAACAAACAACATCATTTAGGTGGACAGGGCTAGGAAGAGAGTAAAATGCCATTACGGGGGTAGACAGTGATTGATCCCGGGGACTCCTCCAGATAGCGGGGTCACAGAAGACCTCTATGAGAAAGTGGCATTTGAGCTGACACTGAATGACCAGCAGAAGCTGGCCTGGGAAGACGGAGGGGGAAGAATGCTTCAGATAGAGGATCCACGAGTGCAGAAGCTGTGAGAGGTGACAACACAGTGAGATCCTGTCTCTAAAAGAAAGAGAAAAGGCAGATGTGGGTGGAGCAAAATGAGGAAGGGAAGGGGTGTTCCAAGATGGAGAGACAGGAAGTGGCCCCATGATGCCCGGCCTATAGGCCACACTGAAAAGTTTGGATTTTAGTCCTAGTGGTCAACCTATTGATGGTATTTCAATTTTAATTTTAAAAAATACAATCAGGCTGGGCGTGGTGGCAGGTAATCCCAGCTACTTGGGAGGCTGAGGCAGTGAGCCAAGATCTCACCATTGCACTCCAGACTGGGCAACAAGAGGGAAACTCTGTCTGAAAAAAAGAAAGAAAGAAAAAAAAAAGTCACTGTGTTTCCCATGAGAGTGTGATCTACTAAGGGAGCAAGTATAGAAATAGGAAGACCTGCTACTGCCTCAAAGAATTGTTAAAGGATCGAACGCCTACTAATGTGTGCAAAGCCTGGGACATAGCAGGAATGCAGTAAATGCAATAAAAGAAAATAGCTGCAGTAAGTGCTATCAGTAAATGCACTACTGGACTGGGCGTGGTGGCTCACGCCTGTAATCCCAACACTTTGGGAGGCCGAGGCGGGAAGATTACTTGAGCTCAGGAGTTCGAGACCAGCCTGGGCAATATATCAAGACCTCATCTCTACAAAAAATACAAAAACCAAAATAGCCGGGCATGGTGGGTGTGCCTCTGGTCCCAGCTACTCGGGAGGCTGAGGTGGGAGGATTGCTCAAGCCCAGAAGGCGGTGGAGGTTACAGTGAGCTGAGATCATGCCACTGCACCACAGCCTGGGTGACAGAGCAAGACCCTGTCTCAAATAAATAAATAAAAATAAAAAATAAGAATAAAAATCAATAAATACACTACTGCACTTATGCAGATGAACTTCACTTCTTCCGACTTAGCCACACACAACTTTCCAGCATCACAGATCTTTGCAGAGGGTGGGACAGCCGGGAAGGTGCTGTTCGCACAGAATTGGCTGAATGACCAGGTGTTTGATGGATGAATCCCAGGTAGCCAGGGCGTCTCTGGGCACACGCACCCAGGATCACACCTGGACAAGAAAGTGGGGTCTAAAGTAGCAGTCCGAGGCTGGGTGCAGTGGCTCATGCCTGTAATCCCAAAACTATGGGAGGTTGAGGCAGGAGGGTTGCTTGAGACCAAGAGTTGAAGATCAGCCTGGGCAACATAGCAAGACCCCATCTCTACAAAATTTTGAAAAATTAGCTAGGTGTGGTGGCATATGCCAGTGGTCCCAGCTACTCAGAAGGTTGAGGCAGGAGGATCACTTGAGCCTAGGAGTTAAAGGCTGCAGTGGGCCATGATCACGCCACTGCACTCTATTTTGAGTGACAGAGATCCTGTCTCCAAAAAATACATATGCCAGTGCAGGCCTGGTATGTGTCCTGAGAGTTCCCTGCCTGGCATCTCTTGAAGTGGGCACCAGTAACCAGAAGCTGAAGTCCTGGTTTGGCAAAGGATGGAGGAAAAAGATATTGGATCTGGAGGGCTGGGTGCAGGTGGCTTACACCTGTAATCCCAGCACTTGGGGAGGCCGAGGTGGGCAGATCATGTGGTCAGGAGATCGAGAGGATCCTGGCTCATACGGTGAAACTCCGTCTCTACAAAAAATACAAAAAATTAGCCGGATGAGGGCGGGCGCCTGTAGTCCCAGCTACTCGGAAGGCTGAGGCAGGAGAATGGCGTGAACCCGGGAGGCGTAGCTTGCAGCCAGCCGAGATCGAGCCACTGCACTGCAGCCTGGGCGACAGAGCAAGACTCCATCTCAAAAAAAAAGATATTGGATCTGGAATGGATCGCTGAAAATAAAAGAAAACTGGGGTGAAAAAGAAGTGTACATGGGATAAACTGGAGGTAATGAGTTATGTTTGGGGGAAGATAGAAAAAGTTAGACTCTGTGGCGTGGGAGGAGCAGAGTAAATGTCAACAGTCCCCTCGAGCCTGGAAAACTCCACCATGAGTCATGGAGGACCCACGTCAGAAAATAGCTATTTTGAGCCCAGCTAGAAAGTTTGGCTCTGTCTGCTTTTCCTGAGAGTGGTGAGTGGTTGACCCAGGCTGTAAGCTCTTCAGGTCATTGCTTCCCCAAACAAAATTTCAATCAAGCGAGTGCCATGACCCTGCACAGAAGTCCAGAACTAAACCTCGATGTGGGACTGGGCTTGCCAAACCAGAAGGTCTGTTCTAAGAGAAAGAAGCTGGAACCTGCGAGGGGAATTTTGCCAATGGGAGGAACAGCAATTTCTCCAAAAAGAGGGGGTAGGAACAGCAATTTCCCGTTCCTGGAAGGTCCCCTATACATTTTGTTCAGAGCATTTAGATTCTAAATGTCACAGTGTGATGTCCTCATGTGCAATGGACATTTGTTGATTTGCCTCCCAGTATCCATTCACCTTTCTTAGGTAATAGGACCTGTTTCCTTTGGGGAACCAACTGGCACCACCGCTCCCAGGACTTGCAAATTTAATGGGGCTTACCCTACCCAGGTGTGGCCTAAGGTGCTCACTGTGTTCCCTTCCCGTTCAGATTCAGATAGATATAGGATCAGATACACACCAGAAGTAGTCAGACCCAGAACTTTGCTGTGAACCCCCCTGGGGGAAAAGAAACCCTGAATCCTAAGAACAAAGCCCTCATGGAGGGGATAAAAGCTGAGGGATAAACAGATAGACTTTGGACTCCTGCCTCAACCACCCCTAGAGTGTAGAAACCCCGGTTAGTACATTCCTTTTTTTTTTTTTTTTTTTTTGCATATGCAGTTTGGGTTGAGTTTTCTGTTGCACAAAACCAAGAAAGTCACACAAATACTATATATCTTTGTTTTTTTTTTTTTTGAGACGGAGTCTCGCTCTGTTGCCCAGGCTGGAGTGCAGTGGCGCGATCTCGGTTCACGCCATTCTCCTGCCTCAGCCTCCGGGGTACCTGGGACCACAGACACCCACCACCACGCCCAGCTAATTTTTGTATTTTTTTTTTTTTTTTAGTAGAGATGGGGTTTCACTGTGTTAGCCAGGACGGTCTTGCTCTCCTGACCTCGTGATCCACCCGCCTCGGCCTCCCAAAGTGCTGGGATTACAGATGTGGGCCACCGCGCCCAGCCCCACAAATACTATGTATCTTTTAAGAGAAACGCATGATGAGAAGCAGCAGGGGGTCAACATGCATCTGGGGTGTTAGAACCCAAGAGGCAGTAGACAGTCATCTTGTACCTCCCCTGCCTGCTGTCAGAATGCTAATGCACTGTCTCCTAAAGCAGGGTATGAAAAATATGGCCCCAAGGCCATCTCCAGCCCATCACTTCTTTTTGTGCAGCCTGTGAGACAAGAATGGCTTTTACATTTGTGAATATTTGGACGGGGGGCAAGGGGTCAGCGTGGAATCAAATGAAAACTGCAAAAAATTCAGATTTCAGCATCTATAAATAAAGCTTTATTAGAACACATCCATGCCCATTTGTTTAGGTACTGTTGATGACTGCTTTTGTGTTACAGCAGGGCTGAGTAGCTGGGACAGAGACCATACTGTCAGAAGCGTTTGAACCAGAACAACACCATCTTGAATAGGGGCTGGGTAAAATGAGGCGGAGACCTATTGGGCTGCATTCCCAGGAGGTTAGGCATTCTAAGTCACAGGATGAGCTAGGAGGACGGCACAAGATACAGGTCACAAAGACCTGACCGATAAAACAGGTTGCGGTAAAGAAGCTGGCCAAAAGCCACCAAAACCAAGAGGGCAACGCACATGATCTCTGGTCATCCTCACTACTCATTCCACACTAATTATAATGCATTACCATGCTAAAAGACCCGCCCACCAGCGCCAGGACTGTTTACAAATGCCATGGCAATGTCAGTTACCTTATATAGTCTTAAAAGTGGAGGAACCCTCAGCTGTGGGAATTGCCCACCTCTTTCCCAGAAAACTCATGAATAATTCGCCCCTTGTTTAGCATATAATTTAGAAAAAACTGTTAAGCATTATGAGTTGAGCAGTCCAAGCTGCTGTTCTGGCTGTGGAGTAGCCATTCTTTTATTTCTTTACTTTCTTAATAACTTAAGAAACTTAATAAATAAACTTGCTTTCATTTTACTCTATGGATTCGCCTTGAGTTCTTTCTTGCACAATATCTAAGAATCCTCTCTTGGGGTCTGGATCGGGACCCCTTTCCTTTAACAATATGGCCCTCAAAGACAAAAATATTTACCATGAGTCCTTTAAGCAAAGGTTCACAGACTCCTGCCCTAAAAGATACTGTAATTCTAAGACATCCAGGAAAGAGACATTCTGTAACTTGTCTTTTATAAACTAAGATATTAAAGGCTTTAAATTTCAATCTTATGCTGGCAAACTTGATAAAACAATTGGTTTTTCCTGCTAGGTAAGATGGCAAGAATTGCTATTATTTTATATAAGGCTGTTTAGAAGAAACCCTTACTAAAGCTTTTAAGGTTATAAATCAAAAGTACCGTCTAGAATTCAAATAATATGAATTCAAATTATAGAATTCAAGGGCAATAGCAATGATATATTCAATCTTAGTAATGGTTATTCAGCCCTATTTTCCCATTATCATAGAAATTCCCTTTTAAACATCTTCTATATTTTGAATAATCTGAAAAACAATCTGTCATAATGAAATGAACTTTACAGTAATAATAATAGCTATTTGTTAAATCTTTACTATTTGCCAGGCAGAGTTCTGAGCATTTTACTTACATTAACACATTTAATGGCTCCAACCATGCTGTCAGGTAAGTAATATTATTATACCCATTTTGTAGATGACAAAACGAAGGCACAGAGACAGGTTAAGTAATTTGCCTAAGATCACACAGCAAATATTGGGGCCAGGATTCAAACCCCAGTAATCTAGACCCAGAAACTGAACTATGCTAGGGGTTAGACCATCTCAGATTTATTTAAAAGAGGTGGAAATGACAATAATATTTCACTATAGTTTAGAATTTAATTGATATCACTGTGTAACATACACCTTTTTTTCCCTCAGAAGTATTTCTGGACCACTAACACGATCATGTTGATACAATGGAACTCACATCCCCTCTCCATATTTGATTGGATCAGGTGTCAACATCTGGCCCAAGCTGGACCAATAGGCTCCTTCCCTGAGCTTTTGGTGCTGAGATTAAGATTCCAGTCTCAACCTGACTTCTGTCACTCTCCCATGAGATAGAAGAATAGAGGAGACATGGAGAAAAACAGTCAAGAGGTAGAGGTGGTGGGAGGGACCTCCTTGATTCACAATGGACTCTATCCCCTTCCTGAATTCCAGTGGAACCATGGCCCTGTGTTCTGTGAGACACCCTAGAATCCTTCAACAATATCCACTTTTGGCTGAACCCAGTGGGTTTTGGTCACCTAGAACCAAAAGAATCCTCAAACGTAACCCGATTAAGAGCAAAACAACCTGGCTTTTTTTTTTTTTTTTTGAGATGGAGTCTTGCTCTGTTGCCCAGGCTGGAGTATAGTGGCACGATCTCGGCTCACTGCAGTCTCTGCCTCCCAAGTTCCAGCGATTGTGCCACCACACCTGGCTAATTTTTGTATTTTTAGTAGAGACAAGGTTTCACCATGTTGGCCAGCCTGGTCTTGAACTCCTGACCTCAGGTGATCCACCCACCTCAGTCTCCCAAAGTGCTAGGATTACAGGCATGAGCCACTACACCTGGCCAACCTGCCATTTTATATATTCTCTGAGTCATCAGCATGGGCCTCTCAAATGATGGACTTGCTGGATTTCTGTTTATTTCCTTTGCTGTGCACTAAGTAGGTCAGCTCCCAAGAATGACTAGTTTGGAGATGGAGGGACTAGTGGAATATGCTTAGAATGGTGCCTAAGCCAAGCTGGGAACCAACAAATTGGTTTTGGGCTCTACTTTAGTTTTTCTTGTTGTTGTTTGTTTGCTTTTTTTTTTTGGCCTGGGGGGGAAAAAACCCACAAATGTCTTTCCCCAGTTTCCTCCAGTAACACAGATGGAAATAGTAGTTTATACTTGGGATGGTGCTCGGGGAAATAGTGTCTCAGAACCAATTACTGAAATGACCAGAATGGATATAAAATGTGGCTGCATAATTTCCTAAGTCCCATTTCTCAGGGTAAAAATGGTTCAGAGACCATCCAAATGCTTCTCCGAAGAAATTACACAAGCGAGATGGAAAAAGAAAGTATTGGTTTCTCAGCGCTGGTAATAATTAGGACTTGAATGAGTGGTGATAAACCCATTTACAGACAGGAAGTGTGAAGGCCTGAATGGCCAGGAGATTTGCTAAGTGATGACAAGATCAAGATCAGGCCTCTGGCCTCTGAGCCCAGCTCCCTAAGCCTAGTGAACTTTGAATGACACCTGATTTTTTGCCCCATCCAGCACCCATTTTCTGAATGCAATTTGGAGGAATGAACATACGACCCAGAACCTGGCCAATCAGAATATTCTACCGCCACCTCTTCCCCTCTCCCCCACCATGGTAATCAGTTCAGCCATGGGCAAATTATCCAAGTTGAGGCAATAATACTCAGTCCCATGACTTCCATTGAAACTTCTAATGAAACGATCTCTCTCTGTTGGGATTGCTACCTGATGGCTAATGTAAGCTTAGAGCCACTGGGATTGCCATATGGAAAGCATCTGCCCGAGAGTGAAGCCAACACAAGTAGATGCAGAAAAACTGAGTCCTACTGATGGCATTTGATCCCTTGGATCCAGCCACGCTGGATATGGGATATGGGAAACCTTGAAGTACAGTGACTACTGTGGATAAGGGGTCAATGGGTAAGTGGTTTCCTTGTGGGATGATGAAAATGTTTGGCATCTAGAGGTGATGGTTGCACAAGACTGTGAATGTACATAAAGCCACTGAAGGGTACACTTTAAAATGATGAATGCTATGTTATGTGAATTTCGCCTTCTTTTTTTAAAAAAGGGGAAAGAGGCCAGGTGCGGTGGCTCACGCCTGTAATCTCAGCACTTTGGGAGGCCAAGGTGGGCAGATTACCTGAGGTCAGGAGCTCGAGACCAGCCTGGCCAATATGGTGAAACCCTGTCTCTACTAAAAATACAAAAATTAGCCGGGTGTGGCGGTGTGTGCCTGTAGTCCCAGCTATTTGGGAGGCTAAGGCAGGAGAATCGCTTGAACCCAGGAGGCGAAGTTTGCAGTGAGTTGAGATTGCACCACTGCACTCCTGCCTGGGCAGCAGAGCGAGACTCTTTCTCAAAAAAAAAAAAGAGGTTGGGGGAAGAGCATAATTTTAACCACGCAGATATCAGAGATTTCACAAAAGGAGTGTCACTGAAGCTAGATATGGTGGTCAAGAGGCAGGAGAAGGGGGAGATGCTTTCTAGGCCTAATAACAAGGTGCTAAGCCCTTTTGATGTGGTCTGAACATCTGTTCCCTCCAAATCTCATGTTAAAATTTGATCCCCAGTGTTGGAAGTGGGGCCTGTTGAGAGGTGTTTGGATGATGGGAGCAGATCCCTCGTGAATGGCTTCATGCCATGTTTGCAGGATTGAGTGAGTTCTCACCCTTAATTCCCAAGAGATCTGGCTGTTAAAGAAGCTGGCATCTTCCTCTTTTCTCTTCCTCTCTCTTGACATGTGATGTCTGTTCCCCTTCACCTTCCACAGTGATTGTAAGATTCTTGGGCCCCTCACCAGAATCAGATGCTGGCACCATGTTTCTTGTATAACCTGCAGAACTATGAGCCAAATAAACCTCTTTTATTTATAAATTACCCAACCTCCGGTATTCCTTTACAGCAACATGAAATGGACTAAGATACCTCTACCTACAGTAATTACATCGTTAATCCTCACAGCAACCCTTGAGGTAGTAAATATTACTTTAGCCTTGTTTTATAGGTAAGTATGCAAGGGCCAGAAAGGGGACATAACTTGCCCAAGTTTACATAGTTGTAGATCAGCAGAGAGCTGGGACTCAAACATAGATTTTTCTGGCCAGGCACGGTGGCTCATGCCTGTAATCCTAGCACTTTGGGAGGCCGAGGCGAGTGGATCACCTGAGGTCAAGAGTTCGAGACCAGCCTGGCCAACATGGGGAAACCTCATCTCTAATAAAACTACAAAAATTGGCCAGGTATGGTGGTGGACATCTATAACCCCAGCTACTTGAGAGGCTGAGGCAGGAGAATCACTTGAACCCAGGAGGCAGAGGTTGCAGTGAGCTGAGATCATGCCATTGCACTCCAGCCTGGGCTTCAGAGAGAAACTCTGTCTCAAAAATAAATAAATAAATAAAAATAGGTTTTTACAACTCTCAACCACTCCGTTCAAGTGCCTCCTAGTAGAGGGAAGAGCATAGAAACACAGAACATTTCTTTAGAAGAATGTATCATTCCATGTTCTTCCTAGAGGAATAATCGGAGTTTAGCCCACTAAGATAACTCACAACAGCAACCTTTATAACAGTGGAAAAATTGGAAACATACAATGTTTGGCCATATGGACTAGTTAAGTTATTGAAGAATATGTGATGATTTGGGACTAGGATCATAATTTAGAGCTGAGTGAAAAAGGCAGGATATGGGAAAGTAAAATAGTTGGATATTAGCTACACAGGAAAAATATTAAAAGGTTACTAGAAAAACACGCATCAGGATGTTGGTTGACTTTGGCGGGTAGAATTGTGGGTGATTTTTTTCTATGTGTTTTACGCGCGTGTGTGTGTGTATAGACTCAGTTTCCATATCTGTAAAATGGGTATAATAACAGATCTCCCCCACTGAATGGTCAGAAACACTAAGTGAGACAACGCATGTAAAGCTTGAAGCATCAGTACCTGACATAGGATAAATGCTGAATAAAATAACTAACTACAACAATTATTATGTACATGTATTAATTTTATAACTAAGAACACAGGCAATAAATGCTATGTTTAAATCCTGTACAATCTTTTTTTCTTTTTTAAACATGGGAGAATCCTACACGGCAGCCCCCAGAAGTCGCCTTGCTTTGCTTTGTCAGTGATTTCCTCCTCCAGATGTGAAACTGAAGGTAGCATGAGTCATGGCTGCTTCCACAGGTGCCCTTGGATTGTCGAGTGACTCAACTCCAAGCTGCTCTGCATGGAAAGTAACCAGCTGCTGCCTCCAACTCACCAGGCTCAACCCTCCACACCAGGCTCCTCCTCCAAAGTCTCCCAACAAATCAATGCAGGATTCAGAGCCACCCACTGGATGGTTCTGGTGGCCACTAGGATGTTTTCTCACTTCCCAACTCCCAGCCCCAGGCAGCAGGGAAGTGTCTCTGCTCACCTCATGGCTTCCTGTTTAGGACACTGACCTCAAAGCACACAAGTCAGTTCATACTCAGGGCAGATTCTTTTTCTCTTAGACACAGAGAAGATGTTGCCTTAACATCATCTACACCCCTGGGGATCCCTATGATTAGGGCCTGGCTCTCCTTTCCTCTTCTCTCAAGGCTGGTTCTACTCAAGGTCAATCTGGTACCTACAGCAGGCTAAGGAGCAGCAGGCACCTTGCCAATATCAATGGCAGTGGACCCTATCCTGCCAGGAAACATCTCTGTCTTTCACAGATGGTCAGGTTCATGGTCCTGATGATTATTTAGAATTACACAGCAGGCCAGGCGCGGTGGCTCATGCCTGTAATCCCAGCACTTTGGGAGGCTGAGGTGGGCAGATCACTTGAGGTCAGGAGTTCAAGACCAGGCTAGTCAACGTAGTGAAACCCCGTCTCTACTAAAAAAAAAAATACAAAAATTTGCCGGGCATGGTGGCAGGCACCTGTAATCCCAGCTACTTGGGAGGCTGAGGTAGGAGAGTTGCTTGAACCTGGGAGGTGGAGGTTGCAGTGACCCGAGATCATGCTATTATTGCACTCCAGCCTGAGGGACAGAGAGAGACTCCATCTCAAAAAAAAAAAAGAAAGAAAAGAAAAAGAAAATAAGTACACAAGCAATATGTTAATTAATTCTTGTTATAGAAAATGCAGACAATCTAGAAGTAGGTTTTAAAAAGGAAAGAAAAGAGTTCCCTTGACATCTCTCTTCCAATCCCACTCCTCTTCTCAGAGGTGACAAATCGCTGGTAGTAGTTGGGCATGCACCTGGGTGGGTTTTTTTTTTGAGATGGAGTCTTACTCTGTCGCCCAGGTTGGCATGCAGTGGCACAATCTCGGCTCACTGCAAGCTCCGCCTCCCGGGTTCACGCCATTCTCCTGCCTCAGCCTCCGGAGTAGCTGGGACTACAGGTGCCCACCACCACACCCAGCTAATTTTTTTGTATTTTTAGCAGAGACGGGGTTTCACCGTGTTAGCCAGGATGGTCTCGATCCCCTGACCTCGTGATCCACCCGCCTCGGCCTCCCAAAGTGCTGGGATTACAGGCATGAGCCACTGTGCCCGGCTGAGTTTTTGTATTATTATTTTTTTTTTAGCAGAAATGGGAACATGCTCTACATATTCTGTGACTTGTTTTTCCACTTGGTGACTTTCTACTTAATATCTTGAAGACCATTCCATGATGATACAATTAGATCTTCTGCATTCTTTTCCAAATAGCTACATAATATTTTGCTCTAAAGTTCTACCATAGTTTAGCCACTTCTCTATGGATGGACTCTTAGACTGATTCTAATTTTTTATTATTAGACACAATGCTCTAATGAAATTCTCTTATACAGATCTTCATGCATTCCTGCAAATATCTGTATAATACAAATTTCTAAAAGTGTAATTCCTGGCCGGGCACAGTGGCTCATGCTTGTAATCCCAGCACTTTGGGAGGCCGATGTCAGTGGATCTTGACGTCAAGAGATCGAAACCATCCTGGCCAACATGGTGAAAACCCATCTCTACCAAAAATAGAAAAATTAGCTCGGTGTGGTGGTGCATGCCTGTAGTCCCAGCTACTTGGGAGGCTGAGGCTGAAGAATCACTTGAACCTGGGAGACGGAGGTTACAGTGAGCCGAGATCGTGCCACTGCACTCCAGCCGGGGTGACAGAGTGAGACTCTGTCTCAAAAAAAAAAAAAAAAAAAAAAAAAGACAGTGGAATTGGCATATGGATGAACAAATAAATATATATAATAGAAAAAGAGTCTAGGCACACAATCAAATGAATATGGAAACATACTAATGGCAAGAGGTTATATTACAAATTAGTAGGGATAGGATAGACTACTTCAGCTACTGGAGAAACTGGTTATTCACATGAGAAAATGAAAATAAAATCAGATTGGCCAGGTGCAGTGGCTCACGCCTGTAATCCCAGCACTTTGGGAGGCCTAGACGGGCGGATCACGAGGTCAGGAGATTGAGACCATCCTGGCTAACACGGTGAATCCCCGTCTCTACTAAAAAATACAAAACAAATTAGCCGGGCATAGTGGCGGGTGCCTGTAGTCCAGCTACTTGGGAGGCTGAGGCAGGAGAATGGCATGAACCCAGGAGGTGGAGCTTGCAGTGAGCCGAGATCGTGTCACTGCACTCCAGCCTGGGTGACTGAGTGAGACTCCATCTCCAAAAAAAAAAATTAATAAAATCAGATCTCTATTTCATGCCATAGATCAACATTTCCTGGCCATTTAAAAAAATATGGAGGACCCAAAGAGCTTTTTAAATATATATTATATATATATTATATATATATATGAAAACTATATGATAAATTGAAACTGAGAAATTTTAGAAAAAAATTTTTGAGACAGGCTCTCATTCTGTTGCTCAAGCTCGAGTGCAGTGGCGTGGCATGATAATGGCTCACTTCATTCTCAATCTCCCAGGTCCAAGTGATCCTCCCACCTCAGCCTCCCAAAATGCTGGGATTACAAGTGTCAGCCACCACACCTGGCCTTAATAATTTATTTTTTAAATTCACTATAAATTCATTACATGGTAACATAGGTAACATGTTATTTAATTTTAAAATCTTCTATTTTTCAAAACAAAAAATTTTTAGTGACATTGTTTTAAATTTTTGCAAATCGTTTCAATGTCTGGCTAGATTCTTATATCTGCTTCTATGTTCGGTCTGTTTTAATATATATTGTTTTGGTTGGAGTATATAAGGAAAATCTAACCTCACAGAAATGTGTGGTTAGCAAAGGCAGGAGTAGTTTAATAGCCTTTTCAGATTATTGTGAATATTCTTATTTTCTATGACACCCAAACTCAAGAAGTAGTCATTTTTAAGGTTTACTTGCAATGTGGAATCTGAAACTGTATCAATTCATACTCTGTTACATGAGAATTCATTGGTCTATCTTACTCTTTGAAAGATCTTTTGCTCAAGTATGATTTTGGAATATCATGTATTGGTCATTTACAAAACATTAGGCCACTGATTTACACTGATCTTCCACATTTGACACATTTCATCCCCAAAATCACATTCATTAACATTACGACCAATCACATCAAAAAGTCTTCTATTGGAAACCATCAAGCCCATGGTAACAGATACAAGTGTTCCAGAATTCTAATTGTTTATTTGAAAGCTCAAGTTTGATCACCAGCAACAAACACTGTCAGTTGTTTTCCTTGAAGTGACAGGCTTATTTACTCATTTTTGAGAGAATGTCTGACAAATACCCAAGGCTGAAAAATCAGAGTTTCTCAGTATTTCTTTCAATGATGTTCTACGCAAACAAAAAACAAAAGACAAAAGGCAGCTAGTTCAGTTCCAGCCACTGCATAAGTGCTTTTCCTTGAGACAACCATTGTGCTTCAGAATCCAGAAGAAGTGCTTTTCGTGTATTTCCCATTCCATCATCCAGAAGAGCTCAAAGACATACTTGGGATCAGGAGTCAGTAACAATAATAACTCTCACTGCTTCATCAAGAACATTCTTAAATGAAACTGGTGCATGTTTGTTTAACTGTGAATACATGGCCATGAAGAATATGAAGATGAGTAGAGTGGGGTGCCCTGCCTTCTTGTGCTAAGGTGCAAAAAGTGTTACCCACCAATGCTTTGGCACTGTCATTGGGAATGTCAACACAATAAAGAAAAATTACATCTTGGCATCATTAGGAAAATAGTTTGACCTCATCGTCCTCCTGACAGAGTCTCAGTCACCCAGGGTCCTTGGATCATGCTTTGAAAATCACTGTCACACCCAAAAATAAATTCCAATTAGACTAAATACCTAAATATGGGAGTGGGGAAAGCACTTTAAAACTAGAGAAAAAGGCCAGGCGTGGTGGCTCACATCTGTAATCCCAACACTTTGGGAGGCTGAGGTGGGAGGATCACTTGAGGTCAGGAGTTCGAGACCAGCTTGGCCAACATGGTGAAACCCTGTCTCTACTAAAAATACAAAAATTAGCTGGGCATGGTGGTGTGTGCCTGTAAATCCCAGCTACTTGGGAGGCTGAGGCAGGAGAATCGCTTGAACCCGGGAGAGGCAGAGGCTGCAGTGAGCCGAGATTGTGCCACTGCACTCCAGCCTGGGCAACAGAGTGAGACTCCATCTAAAAAAAATTAAAAACTAGAGAAAAAGTCTGAGCTATCTTTATGACTTGAATGTCGAGAAGGATTTCTTAAACAGACACACACACAGACACACACACACAAACCTTAGAGGAAAAGGTCAATGCATTTGACTCATTAAAAGTCAAAACTAAATACAGTATCATAAGCAAAGTGAAAGTCAAGCTACAGGACTTCTGGTTCTGGCCAAGATGCAGTAGTGTCATTCTTCCCAGGTCCTCTCTCTTACAACTGATAACTCACAGACATAACACAGCAGACAAGCATAAGGAGATTCTGAAAGGTGAAAAGGAGAAGACATACTACCTCTGGATCCTGGGACTTTGGGCACTCGTGGCAGTGAGCAGCCTGAGTTTTCTTATTGTCTTCCATATACCCCAACATCCCAGACACAGTAAAGGAAAAGCCTCTGACCTGGAACCACTACCAAGCACAGAAAAAAAAAAACGCTCTAAGAAAAGCCAGTTCCCCTGAATCAAAAGAAAAGAAAGAAAACCAGCAACAGGATTTTTTATTCATTTTTGTTTTTAAGCCATGATCTCACTTTGTTGCCTAGGCTGGAGTGGAGTGACACGATCATGGCTCACTGCAGCCTCAACCTCCCAGGCTCAAGTAATCCTCTTGCCTCAACCTCCTGAGCAGCTGGGACTACAGGTGTGCATCAACACAACTGGCTAATTATTGTATTTTTTGTAGAGCAGGAGGTCTCACTATGTTGCTGATATGGTTTGGCTCTGTGTCCCCACCCAAATCTCACCTTGAATTGTAATTCCCATAATCCCCACGTGTCAAGGGCGGGACCAGGTGGAGGTAACTGAATCATGGAGGTGGTTTCCCCCATGCTGTTCTCGTGATAATGAGTGAGTCTCATGAGATCTGATGGTTTTATAAGTGTCTGGCATTTCCCCTGCTTGCACTCATTCTCTCTCCTGCCGCCCTATGAAGAGGTGCCTTCCACACACAATTCTAAGTTTCCTGAGGCCTCCCCAGACATGTGGAAGGGTGAGTCAACTGAACCTCTTTTCTTTATAATTACCCAGTCTCAGGTATTTCTTCATAGCAGCATGAGAACAGACTAATACAGTTGCCTAGGCTGGTCTTGAACTACTAGCCTCAAGCAATCCTCCCACGTTGGACTCTCAAAATGCTGAGATTATAGAGAAATTTTTTTTAACCATATCTGCCCTGCCAGCCAAAGACTGATGGAAAAACTGCAACCCCTTCCCTGTCATTTCAGCAGGGCCAACTGGGGATCTGGTCTTGTAGCTTCCACATGGCAGAAGCAGGTGGTGATGCTCTGATTCCCCTGCTGGGGTACATAGATGGGAATGAGTGGGAAGCTGATCCTGTATCCCCCACCCAGTGGAAGAAGGTGGTACCCTGATTTTCCTGCCACAGCCATGTCATCAGGGTCTGGTGATGGGTCTCCCGTCTCTCTCCCCTCCCCTTCAGCAGACTTAATGAGCTGGTGCAAGGTGAGGCTACTCACCATGACTCTTCTTTCCTTCTCACCCTGGTGTTGGCAGAGCCCGGCAGAGCCGGAGTCTCCATCCCAATCAGCATCACCAAGATTGGACAAGTGGCACAAGTCATGGCCAGCCAGGCCTGCATTTTCCACCTACACTGGTGTCAACAAAGCTCACTGTGAAGCTGAACCTCCACACCCACCTGGCAGCAATAAAAGTGAATGAGATGTGGGCTGGGCACAGGGGCTCACGCCTGTAATCCCAGCACTTTGGGAGGCTGAGGTGGGTGAATTGCCTGAGGTAAGGAGTTCGAGACCAGCCTGGCCAACATGGTGAAACCCTGTCTCTACTGAAACTACAAAAATTAGCCGGGTATGGTGGTGGGCGCCAGTAACCCCAGCTACTCAGAAGGCTGAGGCAGGAGAATCACTTGAACCCGGGAGGCGGAGGCTGCAATAAGCCAAGATCACGCCACTGCACTCCAGCTTGGGCAACAGAGTGAGACTCCATCTCAAAAAAAAAAAAAAAAAAAAGTGAATGACATGTACAAAGTAGGATATGCAGTAATGAATTTAAACTTCAGCTCCTGGGAGGTCATCTCTCAGCCTTTGGAATGTCCTGCTTAATAAAAGTGTGTTTGTTCACAGGGGGGCTTTAGACCACATCAGAAAGTCAAGTGATGTGATTCAGGATGGGAGCTTTGGGTCACATGGCATCAGCTCCACCTTCAGAGGGGCTGGAGAATGAGGTCAGCAATGTGGGCAGTCAACCAGGTCTACATGACTGAGCCCCAATAAAAACTCTGGACACCAAGGCTTGGGAGAGCTTCCCTGCTTGGCAATACTTTGTGTGTATTTTCACACATCATTGACAGGAGATTAAAGTTGATTTTCCAACTCCCATGTGGCAGAAGCAGGTGGTAACAGTCTGATTCCCCTGCTGGGGTAGCATGGGTGGGAACAAATTGAGAGCTGATTCTCCATCCCCCACCCAGTGGAAGGAGGTGGCACTCTGATTTCTTTACCAAACAAGTATCAGGAAGGTCTAGCAGTGACACCAAGGCTTGAGTGAGCTTCCCTGGTTGACATACTCCATTCATTTTGTCACATGTTATTGCCAGGACAATTAAAGCTGCCCATTACTCCACTGTCATCTCTGTGTTCAGAACTTACCTGTATTCTGCCCTCCAGGCTTCTTCCCTTGCCTGATTTTAATCTGAACTCTTTCCCTGTAATAAACTGTAACTGTGAGTACAACAGCTTTCAGGGAGTTCTGTGAGTCCCTCTAGCAAAGCATGAAAGTTGAGGACAGTTTTGGGGACCCCCAAACTCGCAGCTGGTGTCAGAAGTGAGAGTGGTCTTTTGGACTGTCCTCTGACTTTGTGCAAGGCTAGTCTGTACTCCTGCCTCACTCCCCCACCTGCTGGTGTCAGTGGGACCCATTGGGGAGCTAAGTTTCTGCCCTCACCCTGCATCAACAAAGTGGTACGAGTCAACTCATCATTTCTCACTCCCCAGCAGCAGTAGAGCGCAGTAAGGAACTAAACGTACACCCCCTACCAGGAAGCAATGCAGCACTGTCAGGTTTGTTCCTCATATTTTCTAGGAAAGTGGCCCCAGCACCAAGGGGGAAAGTGAATATACATCCCAACCACCCCTCATACTATAGCTCAACAGGAAGGCTACCTGCTTAAAAAGAAAAGAGAAAGGCTGGGTGCGGTGGCTCACACCTGAAATCCCAGTGCTTTGGGAGGCCAAGCGGGTAGATCACTTGAGGTCAGGAGTTCAAGACCAGCCTGGCCAACATGTTGAAACCCCATCTCTACTTAAAACCCAAAAATTAGCTGGACGTGGTGGTGCATGCCTGTATCCCAGCTACTAGGGAGGCTGAGGCAGGAGAATCGCTTGAACACCGGAGGCAGAGGTTGCAGTGAGCTGAGATCATACCATTGCACTCCAGCCTGGGCAATAGAGCAAGACTCCATCTCAAAAAAAATAAGAATAAAAAAGAGAAAGGCCAGGCACAGTGGCTCATGACTGAAATCCCAGTGCTTTAGGAGGCTGAGGCAGGAGGAACGTTTGAGGCCAGGAGTTCAAGATCAGCAGAGCAACATAGTGAGACCCTGTCTCTACAAAAAGCACACACACACAAAAAAATTTAGCAGAGTGTGGTGGCACATGCCTGTAGTTCTAGCAACTCAATTCAGGAGGCTGAGGCAGGCAGATCACTTGAGCCCAGGAGGTTGAGGCTGCAGTGGGCTATGATTGTGCCACTGCGCTCCACCCTGGGCAACAGAGTGAGACCCTGTCTCAAAATAAATAAATAAAAATTAATTTGTATTCCTAGAAGGAGAAAAGAAAGAATATGGTACTGAAAAATTATTTGAAGAATCAATAGCTGAAAACTTCCCAAATTTGAAGAAAGATAACCTATGGATTCAAGAAGCTGAGAAAATCCCAAATAAGATAAAACTAAAGAAATCCATACCAAGACATGTCCTTAAACTCTGACAAAAAAAAAAGAAAAATCTTGAATGGATTCAGAAAGAAATAAAACTTTTTTTTTTTTTTTTTTGAGACAGAGTCTCACTCTGTCACCGAGGCTGGAGTGCAGTGGCATGATCTCTGCTCACTGCAAGCTCCACCTCCTGGGTTCACGCCATTCTCCTGCCTCAGCCTCCCGAGGAGCTGGGACTATAGGCACCTGCCACCACGCCCGGCTAATTTTTTTGTATTTTCAGTAGAGACGGGGTTTCACCATGTTAGCCAGGATGGTCTCGATCTCCTGACCTCATGATCCGCCTGCCTCGGCCTCCCAAAGTGCTGGGATTACAGGCGTGAGCCACCGCACCCAGCCATAAAACATTATTTGAAAGGGAACATCAATTTAAATGACAGTCAAGTTCTCCTTTGAAACCATGGCAACTAGAAGGAAGTGACTCAATATTTTTCAAGAAGTAAAAGAAAAGAATTATGAATTGTGAATTCTATATCTGGCAAAAATAGATGTCAGGAATGAAGAGGAAACAAAGACATTCTCAGGCGAGAAAACACTAAGAGAATTTGTTGTTAGTAAACCTGCCCTTAAAGAATGGCTAAAGGGGCCAGGCACGGTGGCTCACACCTGTAATCCCAGCACTTTGGGAGGCTGAGGCGGGTGGATCACCTGAGGTCGGGCATTCGAGACCAGCCTGGCCAACATAATGAAACCCCATCGCTACTAAAAATACAAAAATTAGCTGGGCATGGTGGCAGGAGCCTATATAATCCCAGCTACTCAGGAGGCTGAGACATGAGAAGCACTTGAACCTGGGAGGTCGAGGTTGCAGTGAGCTGAGGTGGCACCACTGCACTCCACTCCAGCCTGGGCAACAAGAGCAAAGCTACAACTCAAAAAAAAAAAAAAAGGCTAAAGGAAATTCTCCAAACAGAAAGGTAATGATAACAGAAGAAGGCTTGGAACTTTAGTTTTATCTTATTTGGGTACTTATGTACCCACAAAAATCAATAATAATTTTTTTTAAAGATGGAATCTGGCTGGCCTCAGTGGCTCACGCCTGTAATCCCAACACTTCGGGAGGCTGAGGCAGGTGGATGACCTGAGGTCAGGAGTTTGAGACCAGCCTGGCCAACATGGCGAAACCTCATCTCTACTGAAAATACAAAAATTAGCTAGGCATAGTGACGCATGCCTGTGATCTCAGCTACTTGGGAGGCTGAGGCATGAGAACTGCTTGAACCTGGAAAGTAAAGGTTGCAGTGAGCCAAGTCATCATGCCACTGCACTCCAGCCTGGGCAACAGAGCGAGACCATGTCAAAAAAAAAAAAAAAAAGATGGAATCCTTAAAATATGTCAAGTAACCTGTAGGAAAGTAGGAAAAGAGAAGCAGAGAAGGAAAAACAGGAGAAACAAACAATAAAATGGCAGACTTAAATCCTAACACATTAATAATTGCCTTAAATGTAAATGGTCTAAATATATCAGTTTAAAGACAGATTGGCAAAATGAACATGAAAACATTATCCAGCAATATGTTATCTAGAAGAAACTCACTTCAAATATAATGATATAGGCAGATTCAAAGTAAAATGATAGAAAAAGATACACAAATGTTAATCAAAAGAAAAGCCAGGATGGCTCTACTAATACCAGATAAAGTAGACTTTAAAGCAAAGAAAATTACCAGAGAGACATTACATCATGATAAAAGGGTCAACCTATCAAGAAGACATAGCAATCCTGTGTATGCACCAAACAACAGAGAGTCTGAAGATGCATGAAACAAAGATTCATAAAGCCGAAAGGAGAAGTACACAAATCTACAGTTACAATTGATCACTTCAACATCCCACTGTGAGCAACTGGTAGACTTACTAGACAGAAAATCAGCAAGGATATAGAATAACTGCATAACATTCAACTTAATTGATATTTAAGTTGGGAACACTTCACCCAACAACAGTGGAATACATATTTTTTTCCAAGTGTTCACAGAGCATTTACCAAGATAGACCATACCCCGGCCAAAAAACAATCCCCAACAAATTCAAAAGAATTAAAATTATGTGTTATATTCCCTGACCATAATGGAACAAAACCAGAAATCAATAACAGAAATATAACAGAAAATCTCCTGACACTTGGAAATTAAACAACATACTTCTAAATAATCTCTAGGTCAAAGAAGAATTCTAAAACAAAACTTAAAGAATAGAACCAAATGAAAATGAAAATACAACATATCAAAACATATGTGATACAGAGACTGTACTCAGTGTAAAATTAATAGCACTAAATGCTTATATGAAGAAAGAGGGCTGGGTGCAGTGGCTCATGCCTTTAATCCTAGCACTTTGGGAGGCTGAGGTGGGAGAATTGCTTGAGTCCAGAAGTTCGAGACCAGCCAGGGGAACATAGCAAGACCCCATCTCTACAAAAAATTAGCCAGGCGTGGTGGTGCATGCTTGTAGTTCCAGCTACTTTGGAGGCTGAGACAGGAGGATCTCTTGAGCCCAGGAGGTCAAGTCTCACCTAGGTAATGCAGCAAGACCCCTATCTCTAAAAAGAGACAGACAGAGAGAGAGAGTGAGAGAGAGGACACAAAGCACTAATATCAGAAATGAAACAGGTGATAATCTCTACAGATTCTATAGCCACTGAGTAGATAACAAGGGAATACTGCAAACAACTTTTTACGCAGAAACTTGACAACTTAATGAAATGGACCAATTCCTCAAAAACAACACTCTACCAAACTCATCCAAGACGAATTAGAAAATCTGCATAGTTCTAAAACCATTAAGGAAAATGAGTGCATAATTTAAAAACTCCCAAAAGAGAAATCTCCAGGAGAAATCTCCAGAAATTGCCTGGATATTTCTCTTTGTGAGCTTTCAAATTATTCCTTTTTAACAAACAACGCTGGACAAATTGGACATCCATAGGCCAAAAAAAATGAATCTCTATCAATTCTTCATTGAAGAATTCTATCAAATCTTTAAAGAATTAATACATATTTTACACAATCTTTTGTGGAAAATAGAAAAGGTAACACTTGGCCAGGCACAGTGGCTGACGCCTGTAATCCTAGCACTTTGGGAGGCCGAGGCAGGAGGATGACTTGAGGTCAGGAGTTCAAGACTAGCTTGGGCAACATCGTGAAACCCCATCTCTACTAAAATACAAAAAATTAGCTGGGCGTGGCAGCAGGCGCCTGTAGTCCCAGTTTCTCGGGAGTCTGAGGCAGGAGAAGCACTTGAACCTGGGAGGGAGAGGTTGCAGTGAGCCGAGATTGCACCACTGCACTGCAGCCTGAGTGACAAAGCAAGACTCCCTCTCCAAAAAAAAAAAAAAAAAAAAAAAAAAAAGAGGCCAGGTGCGGTGGCTCATGCCTATAATCCCAGCACTTTGGGAGGCCAAAGTGGGCAGATCATGAGGTCAGGAGATTGAGATCATCTTGGCCAACATGGTGAAACCCCGTCTCTACTAAAATACAAAAAATTAGCCAGGCGTGGTGGCATGTGCCTGTAATCCCAGCTACCTGGGAGTCTGAGGCAGGGGAATCGCTTGAACCTGAGAGTTGGAGGTTGCAGTGAGCTGAGATCGCGCCACTGCACTCCAGCCTTGCGACAGAGAAAGACTCTGTCTAAAAAAAAAAAAGAAAGAAAGAAAGAAAAAGGAACACTCCATCACTCATTTTATGAATCTTGTATTACCGTCATACCACAACCAGAGAGAGACAGTACAACAAAGGAAAACTACAGACCAATATATTCCTCATGAACTTAGAGCAAAAATTTTCAACAAAATACTAAAAATACTAGCAAATCAAACCCAATGATGGATGAAAAGAATTATACACCACAACTAAGTGGGACAATCCAGGTATGCAAAGCTAGTTTGAAAATCAATCAATGTGTGATCCACTATATTAACAAGGTAAAAATAAAAAATCATACAATTGTATCAATTGATGCAGAAAAAGCATTTGACAAAATCCAACACTCATGTAGTACAAAAAGTCTCAGAAAGTAGGAATAAGGGAGAACATTCTCAACTTAATAAAGTGTATCTACACAAAACTACAGCTAACATCCTAATGGTGAGAACCTGATTTTTTTCTCCCTAAAATTGGGAAAAAGCCAAGAATGTCTGCTCTCACTACTGTCATTCAATATAGTACTGAAGTTCTAGCCAGTGCAATAAAACAAGAAAAAGAAATAAAAGGCATACAAATTAGGAAGGAAGAAATAAAACTGTCCCTATTTGCAGATGACTTAAGTGTCTACGTAGATCTCCAATAACTTACCAAAAAACTATTAGAGCTAATACAAGAGTTTAGAAAGTTTGCAAGATCCAATGTCAAGAGACAAATATGAACTGCATCTATATATACTAATAATTAACATGTGGAAACCAAAATTAAAGACACATTACCATTTATAATTACTCCAAAGAAAATGAAATACCTAAATATAAATTTATCAAAATATGTAGAGGATATGTATGCTGAAATTTACAGAATTCTGAAGAAAGAATTAAGAATATCTCAATAAATCGGGAGACATATTGTGTTCATGGATTGGCAAACTCCACATAGTAAAGATATCAGTTACACTCAAAATGACCTGTAGGTTTAATGCTATTCCTATCAATACCCCTGCAAGGTAATTTTTGAAGACATAAACGATATTACTCTAAATTTTATATATAAAGGCATAGGACCTGTAAGAGCTAAAATAATTTGAGAAATATGAATAAGCTGGAAGGAATCACAAATGATTACATATACCTACAGCTTACTTTAACAAGACTGTGTTACTGTGTTACTGGTGGAAGAATACACATATAGATTGAGGGAACAGAACAGAGAATCCAGAAATAGCCCCAAACAAATGTGCCCACATTATTTTTCACAAAGGTGCGAAGGGTGGGTGCAGTGGCTCATGCCTGTAATCCCAGCACTTTGGGATGCTGAGGTGGGAGGATTGCTTGAGTCCAGGAGTTCAAGACCAGCCCGGCCAGCATGGTGAAACCCTGTCTCTACTAAAAAAATACAAAAGTTAGCCAGGTGTGGTGGCACGCACTTGTAGTCCCAGCTACTTAGCTGAGACACAAGAATCACTTGAACCCAGGAGGTGGAGGTTGCAGTGAGCTGTGACTGCACCACCGGACTCCAGCCTGGGCAACACAGCAAGGATCTGTCTCAAAAAAAAAAAAAAAAAAAAGTGTGAAGATGATTTATTGGAGGAAGTCAAGCCTTTTCAACAAACAATACTGGACAAATTGGATATCCACAGGCCAAAAAAATAAATCTCTACCTAATTATCATGCTTTACACAAAAAATAAAATGATTCACAGACTTAGTGTAAAATGTAAAACTATAATACTTTCAGAACAAAACAAGGGAAAATCTTAAGAACCTAAAGGGGGGCAAAGAGTTCCCAGATTTGACACCAAAGCATAATCTATAAAAGGGAAAATTGATAAATTAGACCTCATCAAAATTAAAAACCTTTGCTCTGCAAAAGAGTCTGTGAAGAGTATAAACCAAAAACAAAATTCTAAGGCCCCCCAACCATCTGAATGGAGCCCTCCTCTCAGCCAAGGGCATGTCAAAGTTAACCTGAAAAAGTCATTCAGACCATGATTGGAAGGGAGAGCCAGACATGCCTCATTATACCTGCCTTCCTTTTGGAATTATTAATAGAACAGACTCTTTAAGTCTGATTGAAACATTTACAATCAGGTCAGGTGTGGTGGCTCATGCCTGTAATCCCAGCACTTTGGGAAGACAAGTGGGTGGATCACTTGAGGCCAGGAGTTTGAGACCAGTCTGTCCAACACAGCCAAACCCCATCTCTACAAAAAATACAAAAATTAGCCAGGTGGGGAGGTGCACACCTATAGTCCCAGTTACTTGGAAGGTTGAGGTGGGAGGATCACTTGAGCCCTGGAGACAAAGTTTGTAGTGAGCTGTGATCGTGCCACTGCACTCCAGACTTGGTGACAGACTGAGACCCTGCCTCAAAAAAAAAAAAAAAAAAAAAAAAAAAAGAAGAAGAAAGAAAGAAAGAAAAGAAAAGAAAAAGTAAAAAAAAAGAAAAGAAATATTTACAATCTGTTCTCTCTGAATCCTGCTACACAGAGGCTTTGACTGCAGAATGAAACCTTGGTCTCCACAACCCCTTATCTTAACCCAGACATTCCTTTCTATTGATTCTCAGTCTGTAGACAATAACTTAACTCCTTCAATCAATTGCCAGTCAGAAAATCTTTGAATCCACCTATGACTTGAAAGTTCCTGCTTCCAGTTGTCCTGCCTTTCTGGACCAAATCAATGTACATCTTACATATATTGGTTGATGCCTTGTATCTCCCTAAAATGTTTAAAACCAAGCTGTGGCCCAACCACCTTGAGCATATGTTCTCAGGATCTCCTGAGGGCTGTGTCACAGGTCATTATTCACTTCCATTTGGCTCAGAATAAGTATCTTCAAATATTTTACAGAGTTTGACTCTTCATTGACAAGAAAGTGAAAAAACAAGCTACGGACTAGGAGGAAATATTTGCAAACCACATACCCAACAAGGACCTGTATTTAGAATACATAAAGAACTCTTAAAAGTCAACAGCAGAAAAACCCCAAATAAACCAATTAGTAAGTGGACAAAGGACATGAACAGGCATTTCACTGAAGAGATTATACAGATGGACATACAAATAAGCCCATAAAAAGATGTGCAACAGCATTAGATATAAAGAAAATGCAAATTAAAACCACAAGATGTCACTGCACACCTATCAGACTAGCTAAAATAAAAAATAATGATAACACCAAATGCAGGTGAGGATGGGAAGAAACTGAATCCCTTGTGCACTGCCAATGGGAATGTAACATGGTACAACCACTCTAGAAAATAGTTTGGCAATTTCTTATAAGGCTAAATATGCATTTGAAGCAACTCAGTAACTGCACTCCTGAGCGTTTATCTCAGAGAAATGAAAACTTATGTTCACACAAAAATTTGCATAAGAGTATTCATAGCAGCATTAAGCATAATAGCCTGTAACTGGAAATAATCCAGATGTCCTTCAATGGGTAAAACAAACCATGGTACATCCATACAATGGAATATTACTTGGCAATGAAAAGGAATGAATGGCTGATACACACAGCAACTTGGATGGATCTTGAGAGAATTACGGTGAGTGAAAAAGCCAATCTCAAAAAGGTTATATACTGCATGATTCCATTTCTTTAATATTCTTGAAATGACAAAATTATGGAAATAGAAAACTAATTGTTGTTGCTAGGGGTTGAATGGGGCAAGGTAACTGTAACTATACAAAAGTAGCAGGAGGAACCTTTGTGATGGAACTGTTCTGTATCTTGACTTTGTTGATAGTCACACAAATCTAAATATATGATAAAATTGTATAGAACTAAATACACACACACACACACACAGACACACACATAAATCTGGTGAAATCTGAATAGGATGAATGGATTGTATCAATGTCAATTTCCTGTCTTTGATACTGTATTTAGCTGTCCAAAATGTCACCATTGGGGTAAAATGGGTGAAAGGCATACATAGATCTCTGTATTATTTCTTACAACTGCACGCAAACTACAATAATCTCAAAATAAAAAGTCTTTTTTTAAAAGACAGGCCACAAGCTGAAATTTATAATACACAAACATACAAAACAATCGGGAACAAAATACAAAAAATACCTATGACAATGACAACACAATAGAAAAAAAAAGGGCAAAAGGGTACGACCTCAGGATTCACAGAAGAGGAAATTCCAGCTAATAAACCTATGAAGAGATGTCTAACCTCATTGGAAATCAGGAAAACACAATAATAAAATAACAATGAAATACTACTTTACATCCATCAGATTGGCAAACTTTTAACAGTCTGGAAAGATCAGGTTGGCTGGTGAAAATATAAGGAAATGGTGATTATTACCACCTGCTGGGACAGCCATAAATTTATAGAGTCACAGTTGGATAGCAATTTCTCAATGTTTACTGAAGTTTAGTATGTGCATACTGTCTGCTTAGCACTTTCAATTCTAGATAAAAACCCTGCAGAAACTCTTGACCCAAAAAGGCATTTATACCTGGATGGCCATGATAGCAATGTCTGGTAATACTGAAAAATGGAAAACAACCTATTATCAGTGGAAGATTGGTTGAAGAATTTGTGGTATATTCACCTATTAGAAATACTTTGAGCAGTTAAAAAATTAAAAGAATTGATCTACATGTTTCAACATGCATAAATCCTGAAAACATGTTTAGTGGCAAAATAAGCTACCAAAGGAAATGTATAACAGGATATCACAGATTGTTTATGACTATGCACATAATACAGTAAAAGCAAATGTGGAAAAGATAAATACATATTAATTCCATGACAAGGGTCATTTCTGGAAAGAAAAAGGACTGAGTAGGAGTCTCCAGCTGAATCTTTAAGGTTTTGTTTTATTTTTCTAAAAAGGACTAATACAAAGATCTTAGGGCTGGGTGCGGTGGGTCACAGCTGTAATACCAGCACTTTGGGAGGCCAAGGCAGGCGGATCACCTGAGGTCAGGAGTTTGAGACCAGCCTGGCCAACGTGGTGAAACCCTGTCTCTACTAAAAATACAAAAATTGGCCTGGAATGGTGGTGGGTGCCTGTAATCCCAGCTACTTGGGAGGCTGAGGCATGAGAATCGCTTGAACCCAGGAGGCAGAGTTTGCAGTAAGCCGAGATCATACCACTGCACTCCAGCCTGGGTGACACATTGAGACCCAGTCTCAAAAAAAAAAAAAAAAATATATATCTTAGCATTGACCAAATTTGGATGATGGATACAAGGTGTCAGTGTTTGGGGTCGGTTTTGTTGTTTAGCTTTTTATTTGGAGAGAATTGCTGATTTATATCCGTTTGTATGTCAGAGAGGTCCTAAAAAACCTTCACCCAATGTTCCCCAGTGATGACATTTTGCATAACTGACCTTATTCAGATTTCACCAGTTTTACATCCAATTCATTGGTGTGTGTGTGTATGTGTGTGTGTGGTTCTGTGCAATTTTATCACATGTACAGATTCAGGTAACCAACCACCCCAATCAAGACACGCAACTGTTCCATCACACAGATCTTTCATTTGCTCAAGGGTGTTAGGTCTTCATCTATGCTGGCTTTGTCAGAGGCATTTGAACCAGAGTGACTCCATCTTGAATAAGGGTAAAATAAGGCTGAGACCTACTTGGCTGCAACCCCAGGAAGTCAGGCATTCTTAGTCCCAGGATGAGACAGGAGGTCACAAGATACAGGTCACAAAGACCCCACTGATAAAACAGGGTGCAATAAAGAAGCTGGCCAAAACCTGCCCAATCCAAGATGGTGTCAGAAGTGACCACTGGTCATCCTCACTGCTCATTATACACTAATTATGATGCATTAGCATGCTAAAAGACACTCCCACCAGCACTATGACAGTTTACAAGTGCCATGGCAACTTCTGGAAGTTACCCAATATAGTCTAAAAGGAAGAGGAATTCTCAGTTTCAGGAATTCCCTGTGCCATTTCCGGAAAACTCATGAATAATCCACCTCTTGTTTACCATACGATCAAGACATAACCACAAGAATTGTCAACCAGCAGCACTCGAGACTGCTCTGCCTACAGAGAAGCCATTTTTTTAGTTTCTTCTTTTTTAAAAAATTAGAGACAGGGTCTCTCTATGTTGGCCAGTGTAGTCTTGAACTCCTGGCCTCAACCAATCCTCCCGCCTTGGCCTCCCAAAGAGCTGGGAGGTATGAGCCACCATACCTGACATTCTTTGGAATCCTTTTTTTTTTTTTTTTTTTTAAGATGAAGTCTCACTCTGTCGCCCAGACTGAAGTGCAGTGGACCAATCTCAGCTCACTGCAACCTCAGCCTCCTAGGTTCAGGTGATTCTCCTGCCTCAGTCTCCTGAGTAGCTGAGATTACAGTCGCCCACCACCACACCTGGCTAATTTTTGTATTTTTAGTAGAGATGGGGTTTTGCCATGTTGGCCAGGCTGGTCTCGAACTCCTGACCTCAGGTGATCTGCCCGCCTCGGCCTCCCAAACTGCTGAGATTACAGGCATGAGCCACTGTGCGCGGCCTTGATTCTTTACTTCTCTAATAAACTACTTTCACTTTACTCTATGGAGTTGCCCCAAATTTCTTCTTGCACAAGATCCGAGAGCCCTCTCTTGCAGTCTGGATCAGGACCACTTTCCAGTAATAGTTTTATGCTTCAAGTTTTTTTTTTTTTTTTAAAGCATACACAAAAAGAACCCCAATTTTGCTTGATGATGCTGAGGCATCCCAACATTGGAAAGTCCCAGGTTCCAATGGATGGCACAGCCTCACAGCTAAGGCAGTTGTGTCAACAGCAGCAGGAGCTGGGGTGGGGATGGGGGTCAGGATTGGGGAGGGTTCCTTGAATATGTTCTCCCAAAGTGACATCTTTTGGGGAGCATGTAAGGTGAGAAGTTACTACGATTCATTGTTAAGGCTACACTGAAAATATATTAGAGGAGGCCACGTGAAAGCTACAGTCTCAGAGTGTGAGTAAGACCTCAGCAGTCAAACGACGAGGCAAGGGAAGGTGGTTAAAGTGGGGGGCATCTTTCTGTGTGTCTCCACAAAGCCCAACTCGCACAGGCTCCTGCCCAGCTTCTCATTCACTCTCCACACTGAACCTGACCACACTTCTGTGATAACAGTGGTTCAAAGGATGCCTTCAAGCGTATTTCAGGCCAGGTGATGTAGCTTATGCCTGCAATCCCAGGGCTTTGGGAGGCCAAAGCAGGAGGATTGCCTGGGACCAAGAGTTCAAGACCAACCTGAGTAACATAGTGAGATCCCCGCCTCTACAAAATATATATATATTTAATTGATTTAATTGGCCAGACATACTAGTGCACACCTGTGGCCCCAGCTACTCAGGAGGCTGAGGTGAGAGGATCCCTTAAGATGAAGAGTTCAAAGCTGCAGGGAGCCATGGTCGCACCACTGCACTCCTGCCTGGGCAACAGCAAGACCTTGTCTCCAGAAGAAAAAAAAAAAAAAGAAATTTATCCCAATGTTCTCTCTCTGACAGATCATTTTTGCTGCACTTTATATAAATGGAAACAAACTGGCCACCTGTAATGCTTTCCAGTTTTTGAAACTCTCCGCGGTTTACAGGCAAAGTCAGATTCATTTGCGGGAGGACTCTGCATTGTTGAAGGATCTAGTGCTGGTGGCGTTGGACTTCCTTGACAACAGAGGGACTGAGTAAGTCCAGCACATGTCTCCACTGACTAATCTTTCAAATCAATAACCTGAGTCACTGTACCTGACATTTACTTGTACAGCATGCCTCCTTAAAAGCATGATATATTTACTCATTTTCCAATTGCTTCTCCTCTCTCCATATCCCAGTAAACTAAATGTCTGTGCTCAAGCCCCAGGAGCCTTCTCTCAGACTCTTGAACGCTCTGTTGGGGCCAATTTCTGTTCGCATTCAGGCTGTTCCCTTCTCCAGGTCACTCCCCTCTCCGGCCTCCTCTCCCAGGTGCAGCTCCCTGTTCTGCAGATGTCAGGCTTTCTCCAATCACCTTCTCCCACTGCAGCCCAGGTTAACTCAGGTCCCCTAGTCATGTGAGCTCATGGGATCTTGGACTTAAGGCTGCCAGGTTTACAAATAAAAATGCAGGCCAGGTGTGGTGGCTCACACCTGTAATCCCAGCACTTTGGGAGGCCAAGGCGGGCGGATCACAAGGTCAGGACTTCAAGACCAGCCTGGCCAACATAGTGAAACCCTGTCCCTACTAAAAATACAAAAAAATTAGCCAGGCGTGGTGGTGGGCACCTGTAATCCCAGCTTCTCAGGGGGCTGAGGCTGGAGAATCTAGTAAACCTGGGAGGTGGAGGCTGCAGTGAGCCAAGATGGCGCCATTGCACTCCAGCCTGAGCAACAGTGCGACGCTCCACCTCAAAAAAAAAAAAAAAAAAAAAAAAAAAAAAAAGGCAGGACATCCAGTTAACTTTGAATTTCACAGAAAAAACAATTTTTGTGTAGGATAAGTATGTCCCAAATATTGCATGGGACATGCTTATACTGCAAAATCATATATGTTGTTTATCTGACATTCAAAGTTAACTGGGCACCTGTTTGGGGGAGTTTTTTGTTTGTTGTTGCTGCTGCTGTTGTTGTTGTTGTTGTTGTTTTGGTGAAACAGGGTCTTCCTGTTACCCAGGCTGGAGTGCAGTGGCCCAATCACAGCTCACTATAGCCTTAACCTCCTGGGCTCAGGTGATCCTCCTGCCTCAACCTCCCAAGTAGCTGGTACTACAGGTGCACACAACCACACCTGGCTAATTTTTGTGTTTTGTTTTTGTATTTTTGTAGAGATGGGGTTTGCTGTGTTGCCCAGGCTGGTCTCAAACTCCTGGGTTCAAGCAATCCACCTGCCTTGTCCTCCCAAACTGCTGGGATTACAGGCATGAGCTACCACATCCGGCCACATCTAGTATTTTTACTGGCAGCCTAACTGGATTTTTTCTGTCTGAGCACTTGCCACAGGTTAAAATTATATTTTTATTTGTATGATTAATTCTATGAGGACAATGGCTAGGTTGGTTTTGCCCGTTTTATTCCGGGCTCTTAGCACTGTGCTTTGGGTAGAGATCACATAGAATGAGTTCTGAGAGGTGAGTGGAGGGCGTGTGAGAAGGAAGCAGGGAAGAAAGAAGAAAGGAAAGAAGGTTCGGTAAGATGGGAACCAACGCAAAGTATGTTTTATTGATAACGAATTGCTTTTTGGTCCCAGGAAGCACCACACTGCTTTGTACTTATGTGACTTTGCCTGTTCCTTTCACCTGGTGAACTGAGCCCGGGGGTCGCTCCTGCCAGGAGTGATTTTGCTCCTCCCACAGCAAAATGTCTAAATGTCCCCTTGAATTGTGCTTCTCCCTGTTCCCAGGCTGGGTCAGAAGGCTCAAAGCCCCTGATGCGCCTAGCTTCTTTTTTTTTTTTTTTGAGACAGAGTCTTGCTCTATCACCCAGGCTGGAGTGCACTGGTGCAATCTTGGCTCACTGCAACCTCTGCCTCCTGGGTTCAAGCGATCCTCCTGCCTCAGCCTCCCGAGTAGCTGGGACTACCGGCATGTGCCACCACTCCTGGTTAATTTTTTGTATTTTTAGTAGAAAATGGGCTTCACCATATTGGCCAGGCTGGTCTCAAACTCCTGACCTCAGGTGCTTGCCTTGGCCTCTCAAAGTGCTGGGACTACAGGTGTGAGCCACTGCGCCCAGCCTGCACCCAGCTTTTTTCCTCTGATAAAGCACTTAGCATATTACATAATGATCTGTTACTGTGTCTGTCTCCTTTACCAGCCCACAAATTCCTTGAGGGGAGGCAGAATGTCTCATCCATTTTGGAAACCCTGTAACTAGGCAGAACTAATTAACGTTCAGCCAATATGTGTGGATGTGTTGAGCTGTGAAGTTCACTACCTAGTGTCAACGTAGCCTGCAAATAACAACCTCTGCTTTTGCCCTTGGCCACCTTCAGGCTGGTCTTGGCACATCATCACATCAAACACAAATGAATTAAAAAAATTAAAAAACGAAATCAACAGATCCTGCTCCGATAATGAGTAATGTCTTACTTTTTATTAAATGGTTTGTTGGGAGATGAAAAAGAGGGTGATTTTGCTCATCCCAGAGCAAAATGTCTAAATGTCCCCTTGAAGTATGCATCTGTTCCGTATATATCCACCCTGATACTCTCTCCCATGAATTTCCTCTGTATTTTTCCTCTGACCCTTCTCTAGCCAAGATGGTTCCCGAGTCCCTACCTACGTACCCAACTCCCATAACTTTAGTTTGGAAACTGTCTTTCTTAGGTAGGGTCATTTAGTCCTCATAGTACTTCTCTAATTTGAATCTCACCCATCCTCCCACTCAGAGAATCTTCAACCTACTCCAATAATTCCTGAGTTAACTTCCATAGAAGTTGGAGAAGGGTAGGGGAATTTTAAATTAATAATTAAGGCTTCCTGTCACATCAGAAGATGGTTCTTTCCATCCAACAGTAGAACTGGCACTAGAGTAGAAAACCATGCTAAATCAATGAGAATGTGAGATTTCTGAGATCAAGACCAGGATGACTAAGGAATGAGGTATGGCAAGAAGAAGACCAATTAAAGGAAAAGAGAATTGAGAAGAAAAGAAACTGTCTCTGGGCTGACAAAATTCCAAAGACCAGAAGCTCAGATGTTTAAAACGGGCTCTTAAACATCTTCCCTACACCTAAAAATGACAGTGCCTCTTCCCTCAGGATGTTTCCTGTTAGTGCTACTGTGATTTCTTTTCCCCATCAAGACCACCACTATGGTGCACTTCAGTATGATAACACCTTAGAATGGAGTGGACAGGAGGCCACAAGGTAAAGAATCTGGAGAGGTTCCAAGGTATGGTTCTGAAAACACACTGTAATTTACACACTGTAAGTTACAATATTCACACTGTAAAGGTTCTATAATTCATTCTACAATTCCCTTCTACTCTTGTTATTGGACACATATATAATTGTTGTATTGTTGTTTTTATCACTATAAAATGTCCCTCTTTGTCTCTAGTAACATTTTTTGTCTTAAATTTTCTTCTGTCTGATATTAATATAGCCACTCCTGCTCTCTTATGCTTGCAGGCTATACATTTTTCCATCCTTTTCTTTTCAACCTATTTGTGTCTTTGAATCTGAAGTGTGTCTCTTATAGACAATACATAGTTGGATCCTGGTGTTTTTTTTTTTTTAATCCAGTCTGACGATCTTTGCCTGTTGATTGGAGTATTTAATCCATTTGCATTTATGTAATTATTGATGTGGTTGGATTTACACCTGACATTTTGCTATTTGTTTTTTATATCCTTCATGTCTTTTTTGTTAGTCTGTTCCTTTTTAATAGCTTTCTTTCATGTTATTTTCCAGTGTGCCATTTTAATTCCTTTGTTTGTTTGTGTGTGTGTTTTGTTTGTTTGTTTGTTTCTTGAGACAGAGTCTCACACTGTTACCTGGGCTGGAGTGCAGTGGCGCGATCTTGGCTCACTGCAACCTCCACCTCCCAGGTTCAAGCAATTCTCCTTGCCTCACCCTCCCGAGTAGCTGGGATTATGGGCGCCCGCCACCACGCCCGGATAATTTTTTTGTATTTTTAGTAGGGATGGGGTTTCACTATGCTGGCCAGGCTGGTCTCAAACTCCTGACCTCGTGATCCACGCGCCTCAGCCTCCCAAAGTGCTGGGATTACAGGCGTGAGCCACCGCACCTGGCTTTGTTTGTGTTTTTTTTACTGTATTATTTTGAGATGTTTCCTTAGTAGTTCTGAGGTTTCCTTGAACTTTTAATTCTCATAAACTTCTACTTTTTTTTTTTTTTTTTGGACACACGGTCTCACTTTGTTGCCCAGGCTGGAGTGCAGTGGTGCCAACACAGCTCACTGCAGTCTTGACCTTCTGGGCTCAAACAATCCTCCTGCATCAGCCCCCCAAGTAGCTGGAACTACAGGTGTGCACCACCATACTCAGCTAATTTTTTCATATTGTTTATAGAGATGGGGTTTCACCATGTTGCCCAGGCTCGTCTCAAACTCCTGAGTTCAGGTAATCCACCCACCTCAGCCTCCCAAAGTGCTGGGGTTACAAGTGTGAGCCACCATACTTGGCTGCAATTTTGTATTACTGAATCCAATCACTTATTTTATAGATCAATTGTTTTATTCCACAAAGATTCAGCAAACATCTGTATGTGTCAGACACTGTGGTAGATACTATAAATTCAAAGATGAACAGGTCACGGTTTCTGCCCTCAAAAGAATGAAGTGACCCAGATAAGAAAGTCAGCCGTTGTAATACAGTGTGTGCTATTTACAGAGGATGTGTAAAGTAATATGCTGCCTTCACAAAAGCCAAGAGAAGAGGCATCAGTTCAACCTGTAGGTGTCAGGAAAGTCTTCTGAGAAGGTAAGAAGTCTGATATGGTTAGGCTTTGTGTCCCCACCCAAATCTCATCTTGAATTGTAATCCCCAGGTGTTGAGGGAGAGACCTAGTGGGAAGTGATTGGATCATGGAGGTGGTTTTCCCTATGCTGTTCTCGTGATAGTGAGTGAATTCTCGAGAGACCTGATGGTTAATTAAGGCAGTTTTCCCTGTTCTTGCTCGTTCTTTCTCTTCTACTGCCCTGTGAAGAAGGATATGTTTGCTTTCTCTTCCACCATGATTATTAGTTTCCTGAGGCCTCCCCAGCCATGCGGAACTGTGAGTCAATTAAACCTCTTTCCTTTATAAATTACCCAATCTTGGGTATTTCTTTATAGCAGCGTGAGAATGGACTAATACAAAGTCCAAGCTATTTCTTGAAGAATGAGTAGAAGTCAGCTGGTCAGAGAAGGGACCAGATATTCCAGAAGGAGGGAACAACCTGAACCAACATCTGGAGGCTTAGCAAACTGTGAGCATTGAAGGCAATGAAAGGAGGTGAGAACAGGTGGATCAAAGGTCCTGGCTGGGCACGTGGAGGGAGAGGAAGCTACAAACACAGACTGCTGCATGGTTAGCTAGGAGTTTTAGCTTCACCCCAAAGGCAATGGTGAGCTCCTGATGGACTTAAGCAGAGGTCATATTCGCATTGTAGAAAATGACTCTGTCAATTATTTGGAAGATTCATGAGACCAGATACAACTGGAGGCAAGAGTCAGACGTGCAAAAAGGTTAAGAAGCTTGTCAAAGGTCAACCAGTTAGCTGGAAGGTGAACAAGCTCTAGAACCAAAGTATTCTAACTCCTACTCTGCTACTTTTTCCACAGTATCATTTGAATTACGATATTTTCTTTCTTCCTCAAGTTAATTAGTTTTAATTTAGTCTCAAATATGCACCCCATAAAGTGAATTCAGATTTGTGTATCTTCCACATTCTAAACCTAGTTGAAAGCTTTTAACTCAGCAATTCTACTTTTAATTATTTGTATAGAGGAGGCTGGGCACAGTGCCTCATGCCTACAATCCCAGCATTTTGGGAGGCCAAGGTGGGTGGATAACTTGAGGTCAGGAGTTCGAAACCAGCCTGGCCAACATGGTGAAACCCTGTCTCTACTAAAAATACAAAAATTAGCCAGGCATAGTGGCGCGTGCCTGTAATCCCAGGTACTCGGGAGGCTGAGACACGAGAATTGCTTGAACCCAGGAGGTGGAGGTTGTAGTGAGCCGAGATTGCGCCATTGCACTCCAACCTGGGCGAAAGAGTGAGATTCCGCATCAAAAAAAAAGTGAATTTATATAGAGGAAATAATTGGACAATGTGCAAAAATGACAAAAGATATTTATTGCAGCATTCTTTATCAAATTGTTAAATCACCTAGCTGTCCATCAATAAAGAATTAATTAAGAAAAAATAAGGTATAACCAGACACTGAAAAATTATGCAGTGATCAGAAAAGGAAGACATAGGCCAAATTAAACACAAGATACTTTTTTTGGCTGATGCAGTGTCTTCCCAGCATTTTGGGAGGCTGAGGCAGGCAGATCACTTGAGGCCAGTAGTTCGAAACCAGCCTGGATAACATGGCAAAACCCAGTCTCTACTAAAAAATACAAAAAGTAGCTGGGTGTGGTGGCATGTGCCTGTAGTCCCAGCTACTCCTGTGACTGAGGCATGAGAATCACTTGAACCTGGGAGGCAGAGGTTGCAGTGAGCTATGATTATACCACTGCACTCCAGCCTGGGTGACAGAACTAGACTTTCTCTCAAAAAAAAAAAAAACAAGGAAAAGATAATGCTGTATTACTGACTTAGAAAGATGGTCATGATATATAGTTTGAATAAAAAAAGAAGACTGATTAGTACACATATCATCCAATTCATTTTTTAAAATCCATGTGTTAACATATGTCCAACAAAACACTGAGAAGATACACATCAAACTTGTGACGGAATGACAATTTGAGGGTGGGAAATTTTCTTCCTGAAGTAGAAAGTACTTTCTACTTTCTACACTTTTGTATTGTTTGAATTTTTATAATGAGCATCTATTACTTTAAAAAGATTTTTAAAAGCGTACTGACAGTATCTATGTGGCCCCTGCAATGAATACCACCAAATTACTTCACTCCCTTAAGTCTCAGCTGCCTGAAAAGAAAGGAAAACGTCAACCTGATAAGCCACAAATTGTCATTAAGAATAGTCAAACATTAACGACGGACCTTTCAAAGAACACAGTGGCAAGTCAGGCCAAGGTTTCCTGGCTTCCGAGTACAGGTTAAATGCCTTGCTACTGTAGACTGTTTTAAAGCTGCACCCCTTGAAAGAAAGCTGTTTCGTATCTTAATATATAGTTAACATGGCCAGGCGCGGTGGCTCATGCCTGTAATCCCAGCACTTTGGGAGGCTGAGGCTGGTGGATCACCTGAGGTTGGGAGTTTGAGACCAGCCTGACCAACATGGAGAAACCCTGTCTCTACTAAAAAAATACAAAATTATCCAGGTGTGGCGGCACATGCCTGTAATCCCATCTGCTTGGGAGGCTGAGGCAGGAAAATGGCGTGAACCCGTGAGGCGGAGCTTGCAGTGAGCCAAGATCATGCCACTGCACTCCAGCCTGGGCAACAGAGCGAGACTCCATCTCAAAAATAAATAAATAAATAAAATTTTAAAAAGACTTTTCAGAGCTAAAAATAGGATAGTCCCAGGCAAACCAGGATGGCTGGACACACTAGTAGTTGTCATACCCAACACACTGTTGGGTATGACATTTTCTTTTCTTTTCTTTTTTTTTTTTTTGAGACAGAGTCTCCATTTGTTGCCCAGGCTGGAGTGCAGTTGCGCCATCTCGGCTCACTGCAACCTCCATCTCCCGGGTTCAAGTGATTCTCCTGCCTCAGCCTCCTGAGTAGCTGGGATTATAGGTGCACGCCACCACGCCCGGCTAATGTCTGTATCTTTAGTAGAGACGGTTTTGCCATGTTAGCCAGGCTGAACTCCTGACCTCAGGTCACCTGCCTCTGCCTTCTAAAGTGCTGGGATTACAGGCATGAGCCACCACGCGCGCCCTCAGATGACATTTTCTACACTTCTCCTCTTCATTTCAGCTTTCTCTGTTGCAAGAGATTGTTAATGCTACTCGGAGACCACAGAGTGTGATTTCTCACAAAGTATTCATTACCTGTATAGCCAAATTTCACCAAGTGAACAGTTGCTATGTTCAAAGGAGGTCTTTCAGGTGGAACTTACTGAGCATTGATCTCCATTTTTCCTGCTCAATCTTTCAGCAATGTTCACAGCATAAATAGAACAGCAATCTTTTTTTTTTTTTTAGACTGAGTCTCACTCTGTCATCCAGGCTGGAGTGCAGTGGCACAATCTTGGCTCACTGCAACCTCCGCCTTCTGGGTTCAAGCGATTCTCCTGCCTCAGCCTCCTGAGTAGCTGTGACTAAAAGCATGTGCCATCACACCGGCTAATTTTTGTATTTTTAGTAGAGATGGGGTTTCACCATGTTGGCCAGGCTGGTCTCGAACTGCTGACCTCAAGTGATCCACCCGCCTTGGCCTCCCAAAGTGCTGGGATTACAGGCGTGAGCCACCATGACCAGCCCTAATGATTGCATTTTAATCGCCTCTGTGTCCCCATCACACTTGGCTCATGCATTTGCCACAGGCTGGTCTGTGCTGTAATCTCTTTGAAATTCTGTCCCCAGTGGATGGGGGGAAAGGAAGCAACTCTGTCTTCCTCGAAGGAAGCAACACTGCCTCGGTTTCCTTCCCTTCCAAGTCACCTAGCAGAGCCATCTGCACAAAAGTAATGAAAACGTGTGTTTGCTGAATCACATTAGACTTTATGTTACATCCTATTCTCGTGACTGTAGCTCCAGATTATACAAGCTACATCTAATTTGTCCAACATTATTTTCTCTTAATCTTCCACTTCTCTGCAGCTCTGTGCTGTGTACAGTTCTGTCTGAAGTCTTCCTCCATTCAAACTCTAAAAGGAAAAAAACTCCCTGTGATATCCATAGGGAGGGAGGTGCCCCCCTAGAGAGCAGAGATGTGTGAGAAAAGAGACCAGATCCCAAAGTACAACTTGTCTCTCCTTGAGAAACATGACTCAGAACAGGAAGAAGAGGAGGAGAGGAAGGAAAGGGGAAGGGAGGAAGGGACATCTGAAGGGATGCTCTCAGTGGTTATTGGAGGTTGGTGGCATTCTGTTGGTTTGCTTTATTTTATTTTATTTTTGAGACAGAGTTAGCTCTGTCACCCAAGCTGGAGTGCAGTGGCGAAATCTCGACTCATTGCAACCTCCACCTCCCAGGTTCAAGTGATTCTTCAGCCTCAGCCTCTCGTGTAGCTGGGTGTACAGGCACGTGCCACCACACCTAGCTAATTTTTTTGTATTTTTAGTAGAGACAGGGTTTCACCACGTTGGCCAGGCTGGTCTCGAACTCCTGACCTCAAGTGATCTGCCCGCCTCGGCCTCCCAAAATGCTGGGATTACAGGTGAGCCACCTCGCCCAGCCGGTTAGTTTTAGAACAGGGTCTCACTCTATTGCCCAGGCTGGAGTGCAGTGGCACAGTCTTGGCTCACTGCAGCCTCATACTCCTGGAGTCAAGT
This sequence comes from Homo sapiens, assembly GCF_000001405.40. Classification (NCBI taxonomy): domain Eukaryota; kingdom Metazoa; phylum Chordata; class Mammalia; order Primates; family Hominidae; genus Homo; species Homo sapiens. Next base: position 15,453,496 of record NC_000016.10, on the reverse strand, counting down.
GATCCTCCTGCCTTGGCCTCCCAAGTAGCTAATAATAGAATTAGAGGTACACCACCACACCCAGGTAATTATTTTTATTTTTGTAGAGACAGGGTCTTGCTGTGTTGGCCAAGCTGGCCTTGAACTCCTGGGCTCAAGCTCCTGCCTTCTGCCTCAGATTACAGGTGTGAGACTCTACCTCGCTGCAGCATTCCTTTAAATGACATTTGCCCTCTTTTATAACTTTTGGTATTTTTTTAGTTTTAAAATTTCGAGCATTAACCCTGTTTTATTATCAGAATAAAAGCAACGGTGTTTTGGTTTTTTCTTTGTTGTTGTTGTTTTTGAGACAGAGTCTCGTGCTGTTGCCCAGGTAGTTGTGCAGTGGTGCGATCTCAGCTCACTGCAACCTCCGTCTCCCGGATTCAAGTGATTCTCCTGCCCCAGCCTCCCGAGTAGCTGGGATTACAGGCACCTGCCACCACGCCCAGCTATTTTTGTTGTTGTTGTTGTTATTTTTATTAGAGAAGGAAAACCAGTGTCATTCCTTAGTGGTCATCTGCGGGTTCTGTTCTGCAAGCATCCATTGTTCTTTCTCTCATGATAGCACCTCCAATGTCTTGCCATGGGAGAATACACCTCACCCGTGAAATGCTGTCTTAGGGAACTGGCATTCAAGATGCCCTCCTTCCTAGTCAAGGGTTGGGTCTTGATCCTAGCTGGTCCGATACACTTAGGCTAAGTTCTCGCTGTGTTTGGCTTTGACCTTAGCTTAGCTTCTCCCAACCACCATTGTCCTGAGACTGGAGAGGTTCCCTTGCCCGCGAGCAGCAGTTGCAAAGCTGGCAGGAGGCCTTAGGACACAGGGAAAGTTTGTACGAGTCAGCGTTTCTTCTAAAAGTGCTTATTTTAGGAGTTTGCACACACAGGAGATGGGATGATTTGCAAGCAACAGAAATGGACTCTGGTTAACGCAGAGATCTTCTCTGTGTTCTCCCCCAGGTACTTGAATCTTGGGCACAGTGGCTCAGAGATGCAAAAGAGTGGGACTGATTCAGCCAGATGACAGTACCCGGAATTTTCTGCCATCTGGAAATTCCTAGTCACCAAGGTTCCTCTTCTCTCTAAGGTCTGGCTGTTTAGCTTTTTCTTTTTCTTTCTTTCTCTCTCTCTCTCTCTCTCTCTCCCTCCCTCCCTCTCTCTCCCTTCCTTCCTTCTTTTCTTTTTTTTTTTTTAAGAGACAGGGTCTCACTCTGTCTCCCAGGCTGGAGCGCAGTGGCCCAATCATGGCTCACTGTAACCTCAAACTCCTGGGTTCAAGCAATCCTCCTGCCTCAGCCTCTCAAGTAGCTAGGACTACAGGTGCACGCCCCATGACTGGATAATTTTTAGAACTGTTTTGTAGAGATGGGATCTCCCTGTGTTGCCCAGGCTGGTCTCAAACTCTTGCCTCTAGCAATCCTCCCGCCTCAGCCTCCCAAAGTGCTAGGATTTCAGGCGTAAGCCACTGTGCCTAGAGCTATTTTTTGTTTTAAATTCTGGAAGGATTTCCAGATACATTCCTTTTCCTTAAGTTCCTGTACTTTGCAAACTTATTTAAATAAGTTTACTTACTGTGGATCACAGTAAGAAATACTCAGAGAGCCAGATGCAGTGGCTCATGCCTCTAATCCCAGCACTTTGGGAGGCTGAGGCAGGAGGCTCACTTGAGCCCAGGAGTCCAAGACCAGTCTGGGCACTAAAGTAAGACCCTGTCTCTACAAAAAAAAAAAAAAAAAAAAAAATTAGTTAGCTAGCTGGGTGTGGTGACACCCACCTGTAGTCCCAGCTTCTCAGGAGACTGAGGTGGGAGAATCGCTTAAGCCCAGGAATTCAAGGCTTCAGTGAGCCATGATTGCACCACTGCACTCTGGCCTCGGTAACAGAGTGAGCTCCTGTCTCAAAAAAAAAAAAAAAAAAAAAAAAGAAATACTAAGAGTGACCCAGTATGTACATACACACATAGGCATAAGTAAAACAAACGTTGGACAAAATAGGCCGGGCATGGTGGCTCATGCCTGTAATCTCAGCACTTTGGGAGGCTGAGATGGGTGGATCACTTGAGGTGAGGAGTTTGAGACCAGCTTGGTCAATACAGTGAAACCCCATCTCTACTAAAAATTAGCTGGGCATAGTGGCATGCACCTGTGGTCCCAGCTACTCAAGAGGCTGAGGCAGGAGAATCGTTTGAACACGGAAGGTAGGGACTGCAGTAGCAGAGATCACACCACTGTACTCCAGCCTGGGTGAGACTCGCTCCAGAGAGGGAGACTCTGTCTCAGAAAACGAACAAACAAAACAAACAAACGAAAGGTTGCACGGAAATAAGACTTAACTTTAGCAGCATAGATGCAGCTTTCTATTTCCTATTTCCTTCTATTTCATTTTTTTTATGCTGGTTACGCCCCCTTAAACTAATTTAAAGTTTCATGCATGAGGCTTTAAATCTCACACTTGGAAAACCTCTGAGTTTTCCAAAGTTCATTGCTGTTGCTTGCAATAATCCTGTCTCTTGTGTGTGAAAACCCTAAAATGATCATCGATATGATGGAACGTGGAACCTCACAAACTTTTTCTCTTGGGCAATGCAGCAGCATGACAAGCTCTGGCAGCAAAAAGCCACAAATGGTGGTTGGAAGAGCCAAGCATAGCATCGAAGCCAAGCAGCCAGAACTTTCTCCTCCCACAGCAAGCAAAAAGCCAGCTATGGCCGGGCGTGGTGGGTCATGCCTGTAATCCCAGCACTTTGGGAGGCTGAGGCAGATGAATCCTGTGAACCCAGGAGTTCGAGATCAGCCTCAACAACATGGTAAAACCCCATCTCTACTAAAAATACAACAATTAGCCAGGCATGGTGGCTTGTGCCTGTAATCCCGGCTACTCGGGAGGCTGAGGCAGGAGGATTGCTTGAGCCCAGGAGGTGGAGGCTGCAGTGAGCCAAGATCATGCCACTGAACTCCAGCCTGAACAATAGAGCAAGACTCTGTTTCAAAAAAAAAGCCAGCTGTGATGTGAATACCTTTTACATGCCTATTATTTGTCTAGGGTAGGGATCCATGAGCCTTCAGACCAAACCCAGACCAATGCCAGTTTCTCTATGGCCCTTGAGCTAAGGATGACTTCTACATTTTCTTTTCCTTTTTTTTCTTTTTTGAGATGACCTCTACATTTTCAAATGGCTGTGGGAAAACATCAAAAGAATAATAATATTTTATGACATGGGAAAGTTATATAAAATTCAAATTTCAGTGCTCACCAATCAAGCTGAAACAAAACATAGCCACATCCATTCACTTAGGTGCCTGTCTATGGCAGCTTTAGGCTACAGCTTTGGAGTACGGTGGTAGAGCTGAGTGGTCGCAACAGGGGCCATATGACCTGCACACCCTAAAATAGTATCTATCCTTGTACAGAAAAAGTGTATCAGGGCTGGGTGTGATGACACACACCTGTAATCCCAGCACTTTGGGAGGTCAAGGCAGGAAGATCACTTGAGGCCAGGAGTTCAAGACCAGCCTGGGCAACATAGTGAGACCCCATCTCTACCAAAAAAAAAAAAATTTTAAAGAAAACAAAAAAGAAAAATTTGCCCATCTCTAGTCTAAATACTAGATGGAGATTAAAAATAAAGTAGGCTGGGTGCAGTGGTTCATGCCTGTAATCCCAGCACTTTGGGAGGCCGAGATGGGTGGATCACCTGAAGTCAGGAGTTCGAGACCAGTCTGACCAATATGGTGAAAGCTTGTCTCTAGTAAAAATACAAAAATTAGCCAGGTGTGTTGGTGTGCACCTGTAGTCCCAGCTACTCAGCAGGCTGAGGCAGGAGAATCGCTTGAACCTGGGAGGCAGAGGTTGCATTGAGCTGAGATCACACCATTGCACTCCAGCATGGGCGACAGAGCGAGACTCCCTCTCTTAAAAAAAAAAAATTAAAGAAAAAGAAAAAAAATTCAACTTTTATTTTAGACTAAGGAGGTACATGTGCAGGTTTGTTACAAGGGTGTATTTCATGATGCTGAGATCTGGGGTCTGGGTGAAACCATCAGCCAGATAATGAGCAAAGTACCTAACAGGTAGTGTTTCAACTCTTCCCTCCCTCCTTCCTCCCTCTTGTAGTCCCCAGTGTCTGCTGTTCCCACCTTTGTGTCCATTTGTACCCAATGTTTAGCTTCTACTTATAAGTGAGAACACGCATTAGTTCACTTAGGATAATGGCCTCCAGCTGCATCCATGTTGCTGCAAAGACCATAGTTTTACTTTTTTTGCTAGCTGGTGGTATTCCACGGTATATATGTACCATATTTTCTTTATCCAATCCACTGTCAATAGGCACCTAGGTTGATTCCACATCTTTGCTATTGCAGGTAGTGCTAAACGGACCAGTTATTTAACGGGGCCTTATCGTTTTTTTGTTTCTGTTGTTTCAGAAAGACGTGACTTACTCTGAAATGTTATACCTCACCTATGCTGGCATCTAAGAATCAAAAATTTAAGGTGTGTAAAGTACCTAGCCCAGCCTATACCCATCACAACACTGTCACTTGGCTGCCGGTTCCCATTCATGGTACCTATTCCTGTTACTTTGTATCTGATCTGAAAATCTCACATCTTTCCCTCAAAGCAGAAGGCGAGGATGCTAATCTCACGGCAGCATCAGGAACAACTCTTTGTTTTTTCAGTTTTTTTTGAGACAGATTCTTGCTCTGTCGCCTAGGCTTGAATGCAGTAGTGCGATGTCAGCTCACTGCAACCTCTGCCTCCCAGGTTCAAGCGATTCTCATGCCTCAGCCTCCTGAGTAGCTGGAATTACAGGCTTGCACCACCATGCCCAGCTAATTTTTATATTTTTGGTAGATGGGATTTCGCCACGTTTCCCAGGCTGGTCTTGAACCCCTGAACTCAAGTGACCCACCCGCGTGGGCCTCCCAAAGTGCTGCAAATACAGGCGTAAGCCACTGCGCCTGGATGCTGATATTTTTAACTGGTTAAGACCTCAGGCTAATGACAGGGTTTTTCCTTGCCTATCACATTGAGAGCACTTAGAAGACCTTCTTTCCTTCTGAGACATAATAACTACTATGGGTTTCTCCCTTCAAGATTTCTGATCAGCCCCTTCTTTCAAACCCACTGCTCCTGCAGACTCCAGCCCTGCCATGGATATTTGGACATACAGCCCTCATCATGGGATAATTCCAAACCCTCCTAGCTGACCTTCTTATCCCCAGGGCCCCTGACTTTGCATCCAGTTGGTCACCATTGCCAGACAAGCCTTCCTAAAATGCTACTTCCGGCCAGGCGCAGTGGCTCATGTCTGTAATCCCAGCGCGTTGGCAGGCCAAGGCAGGCAGATCACCTGAGGTCAGGAGTTTGAGACCAGCCTGGCCAACAGGGTGAAACCCCATCTCTACTAAAAGTACAAAAATTAGCTGGGCATGGTGGCGGGTACCTGTAATTCCGGCTACTCAGGAGGCTGAGGCAGGACAATCGCTTGAACCCAGGAGGTGGAGGTTGAAGTGAGCCGTGATCACGCCACTGCACTCTAGCCTGGGAGACAACAGCAAGACTCTGTCTCAAAAATAAATAAATAAATAAATGCTACTTCTTTCCCTCCATCCCTTGTCCTCCAATGGCCCCATATTGCCAGTCCTTTTTTAATCCACCAAAGTCTAGTGGTCCTGCTTAACCATCCTTTTTATCTCACAACTCCTCCAATGCAGCGAAGCTCATGCACGCCTCCAGAAATCTCCACGCTCATCGTCACCTCCATTCTTCCTTGAGGTTCACCCACTTAAATTTAACTTCTCTCTCTTCCTTCTCTCCAACTATTCAGATACTATCAGGTCAATTCCCACTTCACATCCTCTTCTATTAACATGATCGCCACCATTTACTGAGAGCACCAGACTCTGTGAAGGGCTTTCATGTATTATTTCATTGAATCTTCTTAATTAGCCTTTGATACGGTTTGGCTGTGTCCCCACCCAAATCTCATCTTGAATTGTAATCTGAATTGTAATCCCCATGTGTGGAGGGAGGGACCTGGTGGGAGGTAATTGGATCATGGGGGCGGTTTCCCCCATACTGTTCTCATGATACTGAGTGAGTTCTCACGAGATCTGGTTGTTTGATAAGTATCTGGTGCTTCCCTCTGTCACTCTCTCCTGCCACCTTGTGAAGAAGGTGCTTGCTTCTCCTGTGCCTTCCGCCATGATTTTAAGTTTCCTGAGGACTCTTCGGCCAGGTGGAACTGTGAGTCAATCAAATCTCTTTTCTTTTCAAATCACCCAGTCTCAGTCTCAGGTAGTATCTTTATAGCAGTGTGAAAACGGACCAATACATCCTTTGGGGCAGATCCTGTTATTATCCCCATTTTACAGATGAGAAAACTGAAATTCAGAGAGGTTAAGTAACTAGCCCAAGATCACGCAACTATTATGAAGTGGTAAAGCCAGGATTCAAATGCAGGCAGAGCTCCTGCTGCCAAACGTTACAGTAATATGCCCCTATATTGACCTAGAAATCCTTCTTGATCATTCAAAGAAAGCCTTTCTTTGTGAAGCTACAAGTCTTCAAAACAGAAAGGCTCTCCCTCCTCCATTTTTGTGAACGTCTTCAACTTCCACTCCAGTTTGACACTGAAGGCACTTTGAAGTGGTGAGATGTAGTCCTCAAGCTTACAAGAGGCATGTTTGTAATGGAAAAGGAAATTAATGAGCCAGAGAACAGAATCAGTTCTAAGAAACACAGAGATGTGTCTAGTTGACATTAAGCATCTATATCAATGGCAGCTTCAACTAATCCTGGGAAATTAGGAAGGTAGCAGAATTAAGTCAACCTGTGCTAGGTTCAAATCTCAGCCCTACCACTTATCAGTGGAGTGACATTGGGCCAATTGCTTAACCTCTGTAAGCCTCAGTTTGCTCCTCTGTAAATAGAACAATAAATGCAATAGATGGCTATATTGTGTCTCATCTCACAGAACGTTTTGTAAGGAGCGGAGGATGCATGTAAAACATGCACACAGTGGCTCATAGGAAGAACTTCATGCATGTTATTTCTTATAATCATTTTCTTTATTTTTTTAGAGACAAGGTCTCACTTTGTTGCCCATGCTGGAGTGCAGTGGTGCAGTCATAGCTCACTGCAGCCTCAAACTCCTGGGCTCAAGAGATTCTCCCACCTCAGCCCCCGGGTAGCTAGGACTACAGGTGCACATCATCACACTCAGCCAGTTTATTTTTTTATTTTTTTGTAGAGATGAGGACTTGCTATGTTGCCCAGGCTGGTCTTGAACTCCTGGGCTCAAGCCATTCTGCCTCAGCCTCCCAAGTAGCTGGGATCACAAGCGTGGGCCACTATGCCCAGCTAACTTTTTTATTTTTATTTTTGTAGAGTTAGAGTCTCGCTTACTTTCTGTCTGTATACAATAGTTTAAGTTTTTAAAATAATTTCATGTCAGCGGACTCATACAGTATGTACTCTTTTCTTTCTTGCTTGCTTCTTTCACTCAGCATGATGATTTTGTGATCCATTTACATAGTGTGTCTTTAGTCTGTTCCTTTTTACTGCTGAGAAGCATTCTGTTGTATGATTATACCATATTTGGGTTGTTTCCAGTTTGGGGCTATTCCTAAAAAAGCTGCTATGAACATTTGTGTACAAATATTTGTAGAGACACTTGCTCTCATTTCTGTTGGGTAAATACCCAGAAGTGCACCGTCTGGGTCCTATGATTGGTGTATGTTTAAATTTTTAAGAAATGACCAAGCCATTTCCCCCCATGTGACATTCCTACCAGCAAGGCATGAGGGTGCCAGTTGATCTACATCCTCTCCAGCACTTAGTATGATCAGTCCTTTTAATTTTAGCCTTTCCAGTGGCTACATATCTCAGTAAGGTTCCAATTTGGTTTTTCCTAACAATTAATGGTGATTCCACATATGTATTTCCTTCTATTCTTTCTTATTAAGGCTCAGCTCTTCCAGAAGTTTTCAGAAGCCCCAGGGTTGGCTAAGCCCCTCCTCTTTGCTCCATTAGCTACCCTGCTGCCAGCCCCCTACTTACTCACACACCCTTATTAAATCAAGTTTACCTTTTTATGTACCTGTTGCCATAGCTGTAAAGCCAATAATATAATAATTAACATTTACTAAACATGTATCATGTACTGACCTCTGTATTGAATGATTTCCAATCTGTGTCTCAAGGAATTCTCAGCTATCCTAAGTAGATACTATTACTGTCACTGTTGTACAGTTGCAGAAACCAAAGCTTAAGAGGTGAAATAACCAGGCGTGGTGGCTCATGCCTATAATCTCAGCACTTCGGGAGGCCAAGACAGGAGGATTGCTTGAGGCCAGGAGTTCAAGACCAGCCTGGGCAACATACCAAGACCCCACCTCTACAAAAAAATTGTAAAAATTAGCCACACGTGGTGGTGTGCACCTGTAGTTCCAGCTACTTCGGAGGCCTAGGCGGGAGGCCTAGGCAGGAGGTTGAGGCTTGCAAGAGCTGTGATTGTGCCACAGCACTCCCATATGGGCAATGGAGCAAGACCCTGTCTCAAAAACTGACTTTGAGAAACTTCTTCAGATTTATATAATTCCTCATGGTTATTATTGAGAACAGATACAGATAGCAAAAGATTGAGGTGGGGGAAAAAAAGGTGAAATAACTCATTCAAAGTCCAGAGCCAGGACATGGCAGAGCCAGGCCTCAAAATAAAAGCTCTCTCGAAAGCCCACACTTATAACCAATAAACTAGAAACCATCTGCTCTTCCATGCAGGACCACCATGTACTCATACTATGAGGCCAGCTCCTCCCACCCAGCCTGGCAGGCATTTCTCAATAAATATCGTCTGCAAAACAGAGCTGAGCCTTCACACTGCTACCATCAATAACATTTAGTGACATGTATTTGTCACCATGCTTTCCTGGCATTATTCTGTTTATTTCTCAGGGGATTAAAGAAATCACTATACCCATTTTACAGATGAGGAAACTGAGGCTTAGGGAAGTTAGGCCAATTGTCCAAGATCACAGTGCTAGGAAGCAGCAGAGGAAGAAATGGACCACAGTAGGACGGAATTCTTAAGGGTGGGGTCAGGACCCATCTAGCTCTGTTCCTCTAAAACAAGTGCACAGGAGACGCCCACAACAAGTGAATAGTGAAGAAATGAATTGATTCTATCTTTTGGGGGAACTTGTGAGTGAAGTACTAAAAGAGGGCCTTTACCTGTGCTGGCTTCCAACCAACCCCCAAGCCCATTCATATAAGTGAACCAGGCAGTCCCAGGATCCATTAAGCCAAGGGGAAAGAAACAGCCAAAAAAAAAAAAAAAAAAAAAAAAAAACAAAGCTGGTGCCTGGACCCTGGCCTTTGGAATATTCACCTCTGTGCCTGGGGCAGACAGCTTACCTGAAATCCCCTTCTCTACACTCTTCCTCTTTTGAAACCCTGTTTAGCCTTCAGGCCCAATGCAAACACCCCTCTTTGCTGTTGGCCTGCAGCTCCCCAGTCACAGCCAATTTCTTTCCTAATTTCACACTTTTTTTTTTGTTTTTGGAGACAGAGTCTCGCTCTGTTGTTCAGGCTAGAGTGCAGTGGTGCAATCTCTGCAACCTCTACCTCCAGGGTGCAAGCGATTCTCGTGTCTCAGGCTCCCGAGTAGCTGGAATCACAGGTGTGCACCACCACATCTGGCTAATTTTTTGTATTTTTAGTAAAGACAGGGTTTCACCATGTTGGCCAGGCTGGTCTCGAACTCCTGACCTCAGGTGATCCTCCCACCTTGGCCTCCCAAAGTGCTGGGATTACAGGCTCGAGCCACCATGCCTGGCCCACACTTGTACTTTTCATTTAGCATGTGTTTCATTATACTGCTTTATAAGTTGCGGTGGATTTTTTGTTTTTGTTTTTGTTTGTTTGTTTGTTTTTTGAGATAGGGCCTCACTGTCGCCCAGGCTGGAGTACAGTGGTGCCATCTTGGCTCACCACAGCTTCCGGGCCCCCCAGGCTCAAGCGATTCTCTCACCTCAGCCTCCCAAGTAGCTAGCACCACGTCCAGCTAATTTTTTGTATTTTTGGTAGAGACAGGGTTTCGCCACATTGCCCAGGCTGGTCTCAAACTCTGGGGCTCAAGTAATCCTCCCTGCCTGGGCCTACCAAAGTGCTGGGATTACACATGAGAGCCACCGCACCCAGCCTGTGGTGTTTTTTTTTGAGACAGGGTCTCAGGTCTTGCTCTGTCGCTCAGGCTGGAGTCCAGTGGTGCAATCTCAGCTCACTGTAACCTCTGCCTCCCCGGTTCAAGTGATCCTCCTGCCTCAGCCTCCAGAGTAGCTGGGATTACAGATGCATGCCACTATGCCTGGCTAATTTTTGTATTTTTGGTAGAGATGGGGTTTCACCATGTTGCTCAGGCTGGTCTTGAACTCCTGATGTTAAGTGATCCACCAGCCTCGGCCTCCCAAAGTGCTGGGATTACAAGTGTGAGCAACCACGCCCGGCCCTGTGGTGTTCTTTATGGCTGTGTCTCTCACTCCAAATCTGTAAACCTTTTAAGAGTGAAGGCTGGGATTCTGTCTTATTCCATCTCTAATCTCTACAGCACCCAGCACTGAACCAAGAATAACAGACAGTGGATAGGAACATCCAGAGGCAGAGAGGGCTTAGAATCAGGCTCCAGCCCTACCACCTTCTAGCTTTATGCCTTTCAGCAAGTTTCTTAACCCCCTGAAACCTCGGTTTCCCCATGTTTAAATGGGAATAATAATTCTCCTTATGTCATAGGGCTGTTATGAGAATTTAATAAGCTCAAGTTCATAGCTAAAACTCATTGAATGGATATTATTATTAATATGTGTTTAATAACTAATCAGTCCAAGAATAGGCATGATTAATTTTTTCTTCAATTAACACAGGAGGAAACTCTTGCAAAAATAAAACATAATGTTATGAGCAAAGTTATGAGCAGACATTACTCAACTGTGTAAATAATTGGGCTTGTTCAAAGTACATTCTAGATACTATCATATTTGTAATATTTATATCACTGCTATAATAGTTTTGCAATAACTTACATAGTTGCCTGTCAAGAGACAGTGCAGAATCTATCCCTCTCCTAATTCTTTTTTTTTTTTTTCTTGAGACAGTGTCTCACTCTGTCGCCCAGGCTGGAGTGCAATGGTGTGACCTCAGCTCACTGCAAGCTCTGCCCCCTGGTTCAAGTGAGTCTCCCGCCTCAGCCTCCCGAGTAGCTAGGATTACAGGCATGCGCCACCACGCCCAGCTAATTTTTGTATTTTTGGTAGATGTGGGGTTTCACCATGTTGCCCAGGCTGGTCTCAAACTCCTCACCTCAGGTGATCCACCTGCCTCGGTCTCCCAAAGTGCTGGGATTACAGGCTTCAGCCACTGTGCCCGGCCTCCCTCTCCTAAGTCTTAACCAGGTGCTTGATCTTCCAGAGGACAACCCATGGGGCCCTTGTCACACCTTTCACACTCAAGGAAACTGCCACCACTTCTCCAAAATAAAATTGATTAGGAAGGAATCACGGACTATATCAAATGCTGCTTGCATTGATCATCACTTGCCCCGCTATGGACTTATTCCCCATCTAGTACCCAACATGACCCTTTAAAAACAAAAACCAGGCTGGGCGCAGTGGCTCTTGCCTGTAGTCCCAGCCCTTTGGGAGGCTGAGACAGGCAGATTGCTTTTGAGCCCAGGAGTTCAAGACTAGCCTGGAAACACAGCAAAACCCCATCTCTACCAAAAATTCACAAACTAACAGGGCTGCTGGGCATCGTGGCTCACGGCTGTAATCCCAGCATTTTGGGAGGCTGAGGCAGGTGGATCACTTGAGGTCAAGAGTTCGAGACCAGCCTGACCAACATGGAAAAACCCCATCTCTACTAAAAATACAAAAATTAACCAGGCATGGTGGTGGGCACCTGTAATCCCAGCTACTTGGGAGGCAGAAGAATCGCTCGGACCCAGGAGGCAGAGGTTGCAGCAAGCCAAGATCACACCACTGCACTCCAGCCTGGGCAAGAGAACGAGACTCTGTCTTAATTTTTTTTTTTTTTAATGGGCTCTAGAGGCATGCGAACTTGTAGTTCCAGCTACTCAGGAGGCTGAGGCGGGAGAATCCATTGAGCCCAGGAGGTTGAAGCTGCAGTGATCCGAGATCTCACCACAGCACTCTATCCTGGGTGACAAGCGAGACCCTGTCTCAAAAACAAAAAACCTCAAAAAACATAACAGTTCATGTTAGTCCCTTGATTAAAATTTTTTAGCAGTTTCTCCTGCAATGAGAATAAATTTCAGACTTTTTGTTTGTTTGTTTTAATCACAACCTAAAAGGCCCTACCTAGTCTGGCTTCCCTCTGATTCATCTGCCCTTCACCCTGACTCACTGGGTTCCAGCCACCCTGGCCTTCTGTCTCTTCCTCTAGCACAAGGCCTTTACGTTTACTGCCTGGATTCCTGCTATTGATACAGCAAAATGTCACCTCCTTAGAGAAGCGCTTCCTGAACACCAAATGAAAAGTACCCCTTCCCTATTAATGCCCATGAAACATTTACTATGACCTAAACCATCTTACTTGTTTGCTTATGTAATATTTGACGCCTTCACTCTCAACCCAGGTCTTAACTTCCCCTAAACAGAAGCTTTATGTGGGCAGGGACTTTGTCGAGAAATCTCAAGACTGTACCTGCAGCCCCTAGAACACTTCCTGGCACTTGTAAGGCACTCAGTACCTATTTATGGAGTGAATAAATGGGATCTGGGGAGCAAATGATGGTCGTTTTTTACTTTTTATTTTCATATTTCAGATGAATTCAAATTTTTTATAAAGTACATGTATTACTTCTAGAATCAGAAAAAAAGAAATGATGCAAAACCAAAATAAAATAATAAAATGAGCATATGTAACCAAACAGAAGATAGTTCAAACCTTTCCCCAAGAATCTATTATATAGATTGCCAGCAATTTGCATTATTTCAGCCTCCACACTGTTTATGAAACCTGAAACGCTGGCCAGTTTTACGATCTGCTTGTTAGTCAGTACACAACTTTGAACTTTTAAATAGTAGTCATCTCCCCCGGGCTTATGGAAAGATTGCAGTTTGAGCTCTCTACTTCATTCCAATCTCCTACTCATAGAGCATTTATTTCCAGCACTATGTCTGTGTTGATTTTTTTTTTTTTTTTTTTTTTTTTTGAGATTAAGTCTTGCTCTGTCACCCAGGCTGGAATGCAGCCGTCCAATCTCGGCTCACTGCAACCTCTGCCTCCTGAGTACAAGCAATTCTCTCACCTCAGCCTCCCTAGTAGCTGGGACTATAGGCGCCCATCACCACGCCTGGCTAATTTTTGTATTTTTAGTACAGACAGGGTTTCACCATGTTGGGACAGCTGGCCTCGAACTGCTGACCTCAAGCGATCCGCCCACCTCAGCCTCCCAAAGTGCTGGGATTACAGGCATGAGCCACCACACCCAGCCAGTTGATGCTATTACCTCTCCTGGCATTCCCCTCTCCCGCCTCCAACTCCTCCATTTCCCCTGTCCAAAATCTTGATCATCCTTTAAGACACATACAAATCTATCAAGAAATGGCCACAACAGAGACAACTGTGTTTCTGAAAAGCTCTGCGCTTTTTCAAAAGGCACCTTGTCTGCATGTCTCCCTCAATTAATTACACTTGGTTGAAAGCAGTATTTTTATATATCTAACCACGCTGAAATGTCACTATACATTTTCCAGCTGAGCGGGGAAAAAACCTCCCTGCTAGTGGAAAAACGCTGTTGAAGGTGGCTGGGAGCAATTACTTTGAACCTTTCTCAAAGGAGAAAATACTAGATGGTTTGTAAGGGTGCAGAAGCCTTTCTCCACATGTTCCCATGAGGAAGGCAGTATGTACAGAATCATTAACCAGAATTTACTAAGAAATGGAAGCAATGAAAAGCTGTAACTGGTGAGTTTGGGATAACCTCTGCAAATATTGCTGGGGCAATCCCCTTCTGTCCTCCTATGACAACCATTCAACCTTGATTGAGCGCTTTCAGCATGTGAGGCCCTGTGCTAAATGCATTATATACATTATCTCATCTAATCTTCCAAGAGTCCGAAGTGCGCATTACTACAATTATCCCCATTTCACAGATGAGGCAACTGACACACAGAGACCTTGAGCAATTTTCCCAGGGTCACAAATCTACCAAGTGACAGCTGAATGAGGCTGGTTTGAACTCATTCAGCCTAACTTCAAAACGTTCCTTCTTTGCTACTCTGATATAGCACATTACATATCTTTTATCTAAAAACTATAGTTGAAATTTAAAATAGCAGTCAACACAATCTTAACTAAAAAAGACCAGTTCTGCAGTCTCCCTCCCCTCTTCAATTCTGTTTAATTTACACCTACTCAGTGTTTAACATAAAATATTTTAAAATGTGTGGAAGTTAAACAGAGCATGTCTTCTTTTTAAGGGGACTCTTCTTTTCTCCAGCATTTCATGTGTTACAACATTGGCTTGGCAATTGTCATGCCATAGAAACAAAAGTACTAATTTTCACACTTAATAAATAAATGGAGGGCCCAGGCTTTATGGAATGGATCCATAGATACCCTGAGAGTTGAAAGAGTGTTCCAAAAAAGGTTTAATCAAACACCCCCTGCGTGCAAACACGCATCTAGAAAACAGGCCCAGGCATGGTAGCTCACATCTGTAATCACGGCCCTTTGGGAGGCCAAGGAGGGCAGATCACTTGAGGCCAGGAGTTCGAGACCAGCCTGGCCAACATGGTGAAACCCCATCTCTAGTAAAAATACAAAAATTAGCCGGACGTGGTGGTGCATGCCTGTAATCCCAGCTACTCGGGAGGCTGAGGCGGGAGAATTGCTTGAACCTGGGAGGCAGATGTTGCAGTGAGCTGATTGTGCCACTGCACTCCAGCCTGGGCGACAGAGCAAGACCCTGTCTCAAAAAAAAAAAAAAATAGTCTAGAAAATAAAACTTGCCAGATTCAAGTTTCAAAAGTTAGACTCTGGATCCACGTTTTAAGAATTTCAGCTTTCGCCAGGTGTGGTGGCTCATGCCTGTAATCCCAGCACTTTGGAAGGCTGAGGTGGGTGGATCACCTAAGGTCAGGAGTTCAAGACCAGCCTGGCCAACATAGTGAAAACCCCTCTCTACTAAAACTACAAAAATTAGTTGAGCGTGGTGGCAGG
The DNA here is from genome assembly GCF_000001405.40 of Homo sapiens. Classification (NCBI taxonomy): domain Eukaryota; kingdom Metazoa; phylum Chordata; class Mammalia; order Primates; family Hominidae; genus Homo; species Homo sapiens. The sequence goes on along the minus strand of NC_000016.10, from coordinate 15,438,232 downwards.
CGCCTGTAGTCCCAGCTACTTGGGAGGCTGAGGCAGGAGAATGGCTTGAACCTGGGAGGCGGAGGTTGCAGTGAGCTGAGATCATGCCACTGCACTCCAGCCTGGGGGACAGAGTGAGACTCCATCTCAAAAAAGAAAAGAAAAACCAGATTTGAGGATCCACGCAAGTACAGATCAGGAGCTGTTCCTCTTGCCTTTGACTAGGAAGCAAGACTGAGTCTTTGATGGTTTGAAACAGAGGGTAAGAAGGACTTTATACCAGACTCTTTTTTTTTGAGAGGGAGTCTCACTCTGTCACCCAGGCTGGAGTGCAGTGGTGCAATCTCGGCTCACTGCAAGCTCCGCCTCCCAGGTTCACGCCATTCTCCTGTGTCAGCCTCCCCGGCAGCTGGGACAATAGGCGCCCACTGCCACACCCAGCTAATTTTTTGTATTTCTAGTATAGATGGGGTTTCACCGTGTTAGCCAGGATGGTCTTGATCTCCTGACCTTGTGATCCGCCCGCCTCGGCCTCCCAAAGTGCTGGGATTGCAGGCGTGAGCCAATGCGCCTGGCCTTATACCTGACTTTTAACAGTGTGCAGCATAGGACCCAGAAGTACAAAAATTTCAGGATTGAAACTGCTGTAAATTGGGTGCTTGCTGCAATTTTCCTGCATGTTTCAAATTTTTTCTCATAAAATGTTAAGATATAAAAAGCTACAAGGGCATTATTGAAGAATTGACCAATATTTACATAATTCCTTGCAAAGAGTAAAAGCAGGTTCTGTCTATAAATGTTGTGCAGTAACCGAATGGAAGTGAACAATACGTATTGAGCACTTAACCTTGAGTACTATATGTATCATCTTATTTAGTATACACAATAAAGACATAATCTCTATTTTCAGAAAATGAAGGCAGAGTGAGGCTTAGCAATACTCCTAAAGTCACATAGCCAGCAAGGCACAGAGTGAGGATTCAAAGCAGCACTCTTGTGAACAGCTTCCATTCTGCGTGGACCCAGCATTTTTTTAAGGCCTCTGTGAGCTTCAGAGAGCAACAGGGCTGCCACATAATTATAAAATCACTGAGCATGTTCTGTGACTATCTCAATAGACTTAGGAAGTTTTCTGAAACCATGAAAGCAATAAACCTTCATGTTAAAAGCAGGCTCTGGGGTCCAACAGACCGGGGTTCAAATCCTGGTTCTGCCACTTAACTGTCAGATCACCTAACAAGTCCCAGTTTTGTTTTGTTTTTTTAAATCTATGCAAGATTTTAAATTTATATTTAAATTTTTTATTTTAAAATGTTTTGTTTTAAAATTTTTATTTTAAAATGTTTTTTTAAATCTAGGCAAGATTTAAATTTATAAATCTTAGTACTGCAGGAGGTTGTTGAGGGGACTAAATGAAATGATGCATTTAGAGTTCTCAGCACATGGTCATCTAGCAATAAAAGGCAGCCATTGTTGAGATTATTTTGAGCTTGTAAGAAACAAGAGACCCTCATGGAGATACAGAGTAGAATGATGGTTACCAGAGGCTGGGGAGGGTATTGGGATGGGGGGACACAGAGATGGTTAATGGGTACAAAAATATAGGTAGATAGAATGAATAAGATCTAGTATCTGATAGCACAACACGATGACTACAGTCAACAATTTATTGTACATTTAAAAATAACTAAAAGAGGGCAGGTGGGGTGCCTCACACCTGTAATCCCGGCACTTTGGGAGGCCAGGGCAGGCCGATCACCTGAGGTCAGGAGTTCGGGACCAGCCTGCCCAACATGGTGAAACCCCATCTCTACTAAAAATACAAAAGTTAGCCAGGCATGGTGGCGAGCACCTGTAATCTCAGCTACTCTGGAGGCTGAGGCAGGAGAATCGCTTGAACCCAGGAAGTGGAGGTCGCAGTGAGCCGAGATTGTGTCATTGCACTCCAGTCTGGGCAACAAGAGCGAAACTCCGTCTCAAAAAAAAAAAAAAAAAAGCTAAACTAAAAGAGTATAATTAGTCACACAGCTGGGCTTTTTTAAAAAAGGAGTGTAATTGGATTGTTTGTAACACAAAAAAAAGGATAAATGCTTGAGGTTTTGGATACCCCGTTTACCCTGATGTGATTATTACACATTGTATGCCTGTATCAAAATATCTCATGTATTCCATAAATATGGACACCCACTATGTGCACTTAAAAATTAAAGAAAGAAACAGAGACCCTCAGCCCTGACGCCCTGATATTATGCCAAAGCACCAAGTCATTGGGTCTTGAAAGGATGAACTAGAAAGAAAGACCAAGGTTAAAAAGGGAGAAAAAAAAAGAAAAGGAAAGAGGTTGGCAGTGCTATGACATCCATCCTAGCCCATGAACCACTAAGACATTGGATTGTGATTTCAACTTCAACCCGTCAGAATCAGAACACAGTTGAGCCCTTCTAGGAAGATTTTCTAAATCCATAATTACAGGTATAGAGAAAGAAAGCGCGCACACACAATTTTCCACCAGGTGAGGACAGAATAAGATCACATTCACAATACTTTAGCCCTACATCGCTCAGAGATCCGTGCTGGGGCAGAGCGCGGAGCAGTGACCCAGAGCCGAGGCAGGAAGCTGCCGGGTCCCTGAGAAGGACCTCTCCTTCCCAGCCTGGTGGGCAAGCCATGTGAGAGCAGCGGCTTTGGGGAGCCCCCGGGTTTGCAGGGACCTCCAGTGACCCTGGAGCCCCTGACGCTGCCTCTACACTTTGAGGGCAGGAGTTTCAACTATTGTATCCTATTAATGAAAAACAAAATCCTTCGTTTACTTAGAAATGTTGACATCCAAACACCGCAGAGAGAACCAGTAAATAAATACAGCCGGTCTATTTCGAAACTGCCTTCTAGAGTTGTGCCCAAGCAGACTTTAACTGAGTCAAGAGAGAAAAGAGAACGGTGTGTGCCTTTTGACCCTTTTGCCGCCCCAAGCCTCCCACCCCGACCCAAGGAAGGCGAGGGAGGAAAAGCTGGGAATTTCAGGTGCGCTCCGAAACCTCACGCAGGGGGTAGGAAAGCAAGCGGAAAACCAGCAGACACTCCCCCCTCTCCAGGGACGTGGGCGCTTTCCAGGACGGTCCCGCGTCTCCAGCGCCCTGGCGCATCCCAGGCGGAGAGAGGATCCTCCTCCCTGGGCTGTGGGAGAGACCCGACTTCACAGGACCAGCTGCGAGCTGACGGATCCGGGACTCCTAAGTCGAGCCCAGGCTCCTGCCTTAGCTGCCTGGCCATCTCCCAACCCTCCCAGTGAGGCTCAGCCCGGAGGGTCCCCCCCTTTTGTTCGCGGGGAGAGCGCGTCGCTGCGCAGAGCTGCGTATCCCCCTGAGCTGCCAGCCCCGCTGCGGGGGCGCTTCCCTGGGTCCACTGCTGGCGTTCCTCGCGCTCCCGCGACCACCCGCGCAGGCGCATGGATCCCCAGCTGTCCCCGGCCCCCCGCCCCCCGCCCCAGTACTCACTTCTCCCCAGTCTCTCCGTTTTCCAAGCCGTCTCCTCCACCGCCCCATAGCGCCTCAGAGGCTTCTCGGCTTCCAGATGGGTGGACAAAGATTGCTTTAATTCCATCGCTGATCCCCGTGGCCAGGTCGACGGGTCTCCCTTTACTCCATTCCCGTTGCGGGCTGCAGGGAGGGAGGTGGCTCCAGCCAGCAGCGTTTTAACGGGCCGGGCGCCCGTGACGCTGCTCCCTCTCCTCCGCCGCCGCCAGCGCCCGGGAGCGCCTACGGGTACCCAGAAGGGGCAGGGATGCACGGCACATGCGCAGTGGAGGCTTGGAGGGGAGGCTTGGGGGCTGGGTAGGGAGACAGAGGGGCAGGTGATAACTCTAAGAAAAACAACAAACAAAACAACTAAAATAAAAGCAACACAAAGGAAGTGAGAACAAGGCCCCTGCCTATTCTAGAGCCCCTAGTGATGCTTGGCATGGGGCTGGCACTGTGGGCGGCTTGCGAGCTGTAAGCCGGCAGCGGGTTTTGAGTGGGATTGGTGAGCCCGTCTCTACCTGCGGGCGATGCATCCGTCTTTCTGGGGAGCATGCAGAGGCGTGAGTGTGGACCTAGATCTATGGGTTCTGGGCTTGGCTGACTGCTTTTCTGTGAGAATATCTGTCGTGTGCGTCTGTTTAATTTGAAGTGCGACAGTGGATGCCTATGTCAGTTCCATATGTGTTTGCATGCACTTTGGGGAGAGAGAGAGAGAGATGAAAATATTTTGCACACAGGTATAGCAGAGCTGTTTGGAGCATGGGGCTTTACTTTCCAGAAACCCCAGAGGTTTATCTTTAAAAACAAACAAACAAACAAACAAAAAACACCATGGCAGTGCCTGGGCACGATGGCTCATGCCTGTAATCCCAGCACTTTGGGAGGCCGAGGTGGGTGGATCACTTGAGGCCAGGAGTTTGAGACTAGCCTGGCCAACATGGTGAAACCCCATCTTTACTGAAAATACAAAAATTAGCCAGCTGTGATGGCGCAGGCCTGTAATTCCAGCTACTCGGGAGGCTGAGGCAGGAGAATCGCTTGAACCTGGGAGGCAGAGGTTTCAGTCATCCGAGATCATGCCATTGCACTCCAGCCTGGGCAACAAGAGGAAAACTCCGTCTCAAAAAAAGAAAAGAAACGAAAAAAAGAAAATGATATCCCAGTAGGAAACAGGGAAAGAATATGAATAGTCATGTCATGTGGGCAGAGGAGGAAGGCCTAATGTGAGAAGCTGCTCAACCCCCTTAGTAATAAGGAAAATGAAAATGTAAATAAGAATATATCATCCGATAGGCAAAAACTAAAAAATCTAACAATCATGTGTTGTAAAAGATGTGGATTTTTTTTTTGAGACAGAGTCCAAAAATGCTGGGGTTACAGATGTGAGACACCATGCCTGGCATAATTTGAACTTTTATCTAATGCTAGTGGGAGTATAAATTGGTACAACTGTTTTTTTCTCTCTGTCACCCAGGCTGGAGTGCAGTGGCATAGTCTCGGCTCACTGAAACCTCCACCTCCTGGGTTCAAGCTCCTGAGTAGCTGCGACTACAGGCGTGCCACCATGCCCAGCTAATTTTTTGTATTTTTAATGGAGATGTGGTTTCACCATGTTGGCCAGGCTGGTCTCGAACTCCTGAGCTCAAGTGATCTGCCCGCCTTGGTCTCCCAAAGTGCTGAGACTACAGGAATGAGCCACTGTGCCTGGCTGCATGAATGTAATGTTTATTGTTCTCAGGTATATATGTATAACTCTACAAATTATATATAATAGCGCTATTTAACATTTTCTTATAATTTATACAAATGATATCATACTTTATAATTCTGCAAGTTGCTTTTTTCTGTTGTTGTTCCACAATATGCTTTTCTTCCTTTTAAAAAGATAGAGACAGGTTTTCACTGTGTTGCTCAGGCTGGTCTTGAATTCCTGGGCTCAAGTGATCCACCTGCCTCAGCCTGCCAAAGTGCTAGGATTACAGGCGTGAGCCACCGTGCCCGGCCCACATTATGCTTTTGAGAAATACGAATTCTGATTCATGTAACTCTGGTTCATAGTCTACTGTATAGTATTCTACATGAATGAACCATAATTGGTCTATTTTTTCATTGATGAGGTATAAAGATTATTCCCAATTGTCCACAATTACAAACATGGCAGCAGCAAATGTTTTTATACTCATTTCCCTGTACGACTGAATAGGAGTTTTTCTAGGGGGAAAAATTACAATGGCATGGGGTATGCACATCTGCCAGTTGGACTAGAGTGTCAACCTGCTTTTAAAATTAGTTGTACCAGGCCAGGCACAGTGGCTCACGCCTGTAATCCCAGCACTTTGGGAGGCTGAGGCGGGCGGTTAGTCTGAGGTCAGGAGTTCGAGACCAGCCTGGCCAACATGCTGAAACCCCGTCTCTACTAAAAATACAAAAAAAAAAAAAAAAAAAAAAATTAGCCGGGCCTGGTGGCGCACACCTGTAATTCCAGCTACTCAGGAGGTTGAGGCAGGAGAATCACTTGAACCCGTGGGACGGAGGTTGCAGTGAACTGAGATCATGACACTGCACTCCAGCCTCAGTGACAGTGAGACGCTGTCTCAAAAAAAAAAAAAAAAAACAATAAACATTACATTCAGGATAGTAATTACTTTAGGAGGCTGGGAAAGGGTAAGTAGTTAGTTTCAGCTATATCTAAAATTTATATATTTTTAAACTATTTACAGTATTTTGAAAATTTTTAAATCTACAGAAAAGTTGCAAGTTTAGTACAATAAGAAAAATACAGACCTTGGCCAGGTGCGGTGGCTCATGCCTATAATCCCAGCACTTTGGGAGGCTAAGGTGGGAGGAATCCTTGAGCTCAGGAGTTCGAGACCAGCCTGGGCAGCAAAGCAGTTTTCCATCTCTACAAAAATTAAAACATTAACCAGGTGTGGTGGCACACACCTATAATTCCAGATACTCAGGAGGCTGAGGTAGGAGGACTGCTTGGGCCTGGGAGGTCGAGGCTACAGTGAGGCAAGACCACACCACTCTACTCCAACCTAGATGACAGAGTGAGACCCTGTCTCCAAAATACACACACACACACATATATATATATAGTTTGTGTGTGTATATATACAGTATGTGTATATATACGTTATTTTATATAATATGTATGTTATTTTCTTGTATATGTGTGTGTATATATACAATATATATATATATACACACGCACACACATCCCTTACTAGATTCACTAATGAATATTTAAATTTATATTTCTTAAAAGAGATCTGAAGCATATATGTTAAAATCTGTTGGAGATGGCTGGTGGGCACTACACCCTTACCAGAATGACTAAAATTAAAAAGACTGACAATACCAAATGTTAGTCCAGATGCTAGTAAATAAATGAGTTAGCAGTTAGTAAGAATGTAACTACAATTTATTGCTGTTCGGAGTATAAAATGGTACTACCACTTTAGAAAATGAGAGATAATGGCTGGGCGTGGTGACTCACGCCTGTAATCCTAGCACTTTAGGAGGCTGAGGTGGGCGGATCACCTGAGGTCAGGGGTTCAAGACCAGCCCAACATGGCAAAACCTCGTCTGTGCTAAAAAAATTCAAAAATTAGCCAGGCGTGATGGCACATGCCCGTAATCCCAGCTACTCAGGAGACTGAGGCAGGAGAATCGCTTGAACCCGGGAGGCAGAGATTGCAGTGAACTGAGATTGCGCCACTGCATTCCAGCGTGGGCGACAGAGTGAGACTGTCTCAAAATAAAAAAGAAAGAAATAAAAAAAGACTGGCAATACCCTCTAAAGCTACAAATACATATATATTTTTCTGTCTGGCAGCAATTCTATTCCTGGATATATCCCTAAGAGAAATACATACTTGTGTCCACCAATGTTAAGAGCTTTACTCATAATGACAAGAAATGAAAACAACTCAAATGTCTATCAACAATAGAATGGACAAAAATTATGCTATATTCATACAACTGAATCTGCACAGCAACGAAAAAGACCAAACTACTGGCCAGGCACAATGGCTCACACCTGTAATCCTAGCACTTGAGGAGGCTGAGGTGGGCAAATCGCTTGAGCCCAGGAGTTCGAGACCAGCCTGGGCAACATGGCAAAATCCCTTCTCTACAAAAAATACAAAAATTAGCCAGGCATGGGTGGTGTGTGCCTGTAGTCTTAGCTACTCAGGAGGCTGAGGCAGGAGGATCACTTGAGCGTGGGAGGTTCAGGCTGCAGTGAGCCGTGATCATGCCACTGCACTCCAGCCTGGGCCACAGAGTGAAACCCTGTCTCACAAAAAAAAAAAAAAAAAAACAAACAAATTACTACCAACAAAATGGATGAATCTTACAGACATAATATATAAATAAAAGGGTGTGTATCCCTTAAAAGACGGTTGGTGCATTTAGGGATCTTTGTCATGTAATTATCTCTACATTAAAATATTTTATAATTTAAAAAAGAAAAAATACATCTATTGGATCTAAAAATTCAACTCATGGAAATCTACCCGAAGGAATATCTGAATTACTAAAAATACATTCACACAATATATTTTTTTTACAATTTATGTAAACTGTAGAAAAAATTAGAAAAGGGTCAGTATCTTACAAAAGGGAAATGGCTAAACTTATGGTATGCCTGCAATGTAACACTGTACACTTATTTAAAATGATGTTTACAAAGAAATGTAATAGGGAAATGTCATAGGGAAAACATAGCACAATTTAATCAAAATATCAGGAAAAGTAGAATACAAATTGTAATATAAAGTGTGAGCTGTCATTCTGGATCTTTTGGCTAAGATCAAGTGCACACTGTAATCTCAATCATATTTTATAGAATGATAATGGTAGAAATTTAAAAATACTGTGATTCCTTTTTTTTTTTTTTTTTGAGACAGAGTCTCGCTCTGTCACCCAGGCTAGCGTGCTGTGGTGGGATGTCGGCTCACTGCTCACCTCCCGGGCTCAAGCAGTCCTCCCGCCCAGGCCTCCTTAGTAGCTGGGACTACGGGTATGCACCACCTTGCCCAACTAATTTTTGTATTTTTAGCGGAGATGTAGTTTTTGCCATGTTGCCCAGGTGGGTCTTGACCTCCTGGCCTCAGGTGATTCTCTTGCCTCTGCCTCCCAAAGAGCTGGGATTACAGGCATGGGCTACCACACCCGGCTACTGTGATTCCAATTTTACCTGTTTACGTATATACAAACATGTATACACATCCAGGGTGAAAAAACACTAAAATGTCATACACCAAAATATTGATAGTGACTACCTATGTATGTCATGATAATAAATGTTTTGTTTGTATTCTCCAATGTTTCTACAAAGTATACGTATTACTTTTATTTATTTGAGATAGTCTCACTCTGTTGCCCACCCTAGAGTACAGTGGCACGATCTTGATCTCGGCTTATTGTAACCTCCACCTGCCAGGTTCAAGCAATCCTCCCACTTCAGCCTCCTAAGTAGGTGGGAGTGTAGGTGCCCACCACCACACCCAGCTAATGTTTGCATTTTTAGTAGAGATGAGGTTTCACCATGTTGGCCAGGCTCGTCTCAAACTCTTGACCTCAAGTGATCTGCCCACCTTGGCCTCCCAAAGTGCTGGGATTACAGGCATGAGCCACCAAGCCCGGCCTGTATTACTTTTATAATCAGAAAAGAAATCAGGCTAGGTGCAGTGGCTCACACCTGTAATCCCAGCACTTTGGGAGGCCGAGGCAGGAGGATTGCCTGAGGCCAGGAGTTCAAGACCAGCCTGAGGAATACAGCAAGACCCTGTCTCTACCAAAAAAAAAAAAAAAAAATTAGCCAGCTGTTGTGGCATACACCTATAGTCCCAGCTACTCGGGAGGTTGAGGTGAGAGGATTGCTTGAGCCCAGGAGGTTGAGACTGCAGTGAGTGAGCTATGATCGTGCCACTGCACTCCTGCCTGGGCTACAGAGTGAGTCTCTGTCTCTAAAATATAAATAAATAATGGTGGTTTGTTTTTTTTTTGAGACAGAGTCTTGCTCTGTCGCCTAGGCTGGAGTGCAGTGGTGCTATATTGGCTCACTGCAAGCTCTGCCTCTCGGGTTCACACCATTCTCCTGCCTCAGCCTCCCGAGTAGCTGGGTCTACGGGCACCCGCCACCACGCCCGGCTAATTTTTTGCATTTTTAGTAGAGACGGGGTTTCACCGTGTTAGCCAGGATGGTCTTGATCTCCTGACCTCATGATCCGCCCACCTCAGCCTCCCAAAGTGCTGGGATTACAGGCGTGAGCCACCACGCCCAGCAATAAATAATGGTTTTAAGGTATGAAAAATAAAATGACTAGCAGTAAATACAAGAGAATATTAACAATGGTTGTTTCTAGAGTTGAAATTTGGGAAAGATTTTTTTTTAATTTTATGAATTTTCCAACCATCTATATTGAGCCCATATTGTTTTAGAATTCAAAAACGAATACATTTCATTTCTAAAAGTGTGTAATACAATTCCACAATCCTAGAGGACAAACTATCCCTGCCACCACAGTCCCCAGAACCCTGTCTGTTTGCATTAGCATAGGGTGATAATGCTTCAAGTTCAGTAACTGGCTGAAGTCACCATCTGCATGGAAGTATTAAGCAGCAACACCCCCCCACACCCTCCCCTTCACCCCCTCACCCCCCCGCCACCGCCCCCGAGCCCTGGCTGCTTGTCCTGGCTCAGTGCCTCGGCTTTGCTGGGAATGCCAAGGACTTGGAGGGATCCTGGGTGATTATAAAGAGCCAAGGCAGCAGGGGCCAGTGCAAGACACTTTTATAACTGTCATTTTGCTTGATTGAAAGGAAAAATAATGCAATCTCATCCTGGTAATTTGATACTTCATCCAGCATGTTGAGAATTTCAAACGTCCATGACACTGAGCTTATGAGAATCGCATGGTTTTCAAAAATGCGGGCCGTGAAATCCAGAGGATCTGAGTTTGAGCCCTGACTCTGCCACCTGCTGGCTGTGTGACTCTGTGTGTTGTGTCCCTTAATTTCTTTAATCTTCACTTTCTTTCAAATGCTAATGACATTATTATCTATTCTGAGGACTATTATTATTATTATTATTTTGATGTGGAGTCTCACTCTGTTGCCCAGGCTGGAGTGTAGTGGTGAGGACTATTATTATTATTATTATTATTATTCTTTTGACATGGAGTCTCACTCTGTTGCCCAGGCTGGAGTGTAGTGGTGAGGACTATTCTTCTTCTTCTTTTGACATGGAGTCTCACTCTGTTGCCCAGGCTGGAGTGTAGTAGTGTGATCTTGGCTCACTGCAACCTCCACCTCCCAGGTTCAAGTGATTCTCCTGTCTCAGCCTCCTGAGTAGCTGGGATTATAGGCGCACATCACCAGGCCCGGCTAATTTTTGTATTTTTAGTAGAGACGAGGTTTCACCATTTTGGCCAGGCTGGTCTGGAACTCCTGACCTCAGGTGATCCGCCTGACTAGGCCTCCCAAAGTGTTGGGATTATAGGCATGAACCACCACACCCAGCCCCAGAGGACTATTATGATTAAATGAGATAAAGTATGGCAGCCCATAGGAGGTCCTCAGTACAAGTTAGTATCATCATCATGATCATCATCCTTCTTGGGTTGAAGCAACGTGTTAGCTGATATTTTGAGTGCTGACTCTTTGAGAATTTACCAAATGAAGTCTCCAAATCAAAACCAAAAACCTATTAAAATGACATTGACCTGTAATCCTAATGTGTCTGGAATGTATTCCTTCTGGTGGGTTCTTGGTCTCTCTGACTTAAAGAATGAAGCTGTGGACCCTCGCAGTGAGTGTTACAGTTCTTAAAGATGGTGTGTCCGGACTTTGTTTCTTCAGATGTTCAGATGTGTCTGGAGTTTTTTCCTTCCGGTGGGTTCACGGTCTCGCTGACTTCAGGAGTGAAGCCGCAGACCCTCGCAGTGAGTGTTATTGCTCACAAAGGTGGTGCAGACCCAAAGACTGAGCAGCAGCAAGATTTATTGTGAAGAGCGAAAGAACAAAGCGTCCGCAGCGTTGAAGGGGACCCAAGCAGGTTGCCACTGCTGGTTGGAGGTGGCCAGCTTTTATTCCCTTATTTGTCCCTGCCCATGTCCTGCTGATTGGTGCGTTTTTACAGAGTGCAGATTGGTGCGTTTACAAACCTTTAGCTAGACACAGAGCGCTGACTGGTGAGTTTTTACAGAGTGCAGATTGGTGCGTTTACAAACCTTTAGCTAGACAGAAAAGTTCTCCAAGTCCCCACTCCATACAGGAAATGCAGCGGGCTTCACCTCTCACTAACACTTTGGGAGATTGAGGCAAAAGGATTGCTTGAGCCCAGGAGTTCAAGACCAGCTTGGGCAACATAGGGAGATCCCATCTATACAAGTGATAATTAAAAAATTAGCCGGGAGTGGTGGCATGTGCCTGTGGTCCCAGCAGCTCAGGGGGCTGGGGTGGGAGGCTTACTTGAACCCAGGAGGTTGAGGCTGCAGTGAGCTATGACTGGATCACTGCCCTCCAGCCTGAGTGGCAGTGAAATCCTGTCTCAAACAAAACAAAACAAAACAAAACAAAACAAAACAAAACACCACACCATTAAAATGACATTGAGTAGAAAAATTAGATCTCTCATACCATGAATATACAATGTTGCAACCTCTTTGGAAGATGGTCTGGCAGTTCCTCCCGGGAGGTGGAGGTTGCAGTGAGCTGAGATCGCACCGCTGAACTCCAGCCTGGGCAACAGAGCGAGACTGTCTCCAGAAAAAAAATAGAAAATATCCGCAATCTTGGGGAAAAAAAATCGTAAAAGATATAAATGGGTTTGGAAGGTAGAACAGAGTTCCAGAAAGCATAGTATGTATTCCTCTTAAAGGAGGCTTGAGAGAGAGAAAAGAAGTTGAGGAAATATTTGCTCTCAAGACTTAGGACCTGAAATCCCCTATCTGTTATAGAGCTGGGAGCTGCTGCTTCTCCATGAAGTGCTTGAGGAGTGGGATCAGGTGTGTGAGTTTTGCAGGGGCATGAAGCTTTTACCATAGGAGCTTAGAGCACATGCTATTTGAGAATGGGTAGGGTATCTGAGAAAAATCCCTGGGTTGCATGCGTATTCTCCCTCTATTATAGAATTGTCTGAGTTTTTTTGTGGTTTTCTTTTCTCTTTTTGATGGAGTCTCAATCTGTCCCCCAGGCTGGAGTGCAATGGCGCGATCTCGGCTCAGTGCAACCTCCGCCTCCCAGGTTCAAACGATTCTCCTGCCTCAGCCTCCCAAGTAGCTGGGATTACAGGCATGAACCACCACGCCTGTCCCAAGTAGCTGGGATTACAGGCATGAACCACCACGCCTGGCTAATTTTTCGTATTATTGGTAGAGATAGGGTTTCACCTTTTGGCCAGGCTGGTCTTGAATTCCCAACCTCAGCCCAATCTGCTCACCTCAGCCTCCTAAAATACTGGGATTACAGGCAGCATTGACTGTTTTTTGTTTGAGAGGGAGTCTCGCTTTCTCGCTTTGTCGCCAGGTCAGAGTGTAGTGGCGTTATCTCGGCTCACTGGAATCTCCGCCTCCCAGATTCAAGCGATTGTTCTGCCTCAGCCTCCCCAGTAGTTGGGATTACAGGCATGCACCACCATGCCCAGCTAATTTTTGTATTTTTAGTAGAGACGGGGTTTCACTAAGTTAGCCAGGATAGTCTCGATCTCTTGACTTTGTGATCCGCCTGCCTCGGCCTCCCAAAGTGCTGGGATAACAGGCGTGAGCCACTGCGCCCAGCCCGCATTGTCTGTTTTTTTAAAGCTGATGTTTATTGCGTGGTTACTATGTGCTGGGCACTGTACCAGATTTATCCTTCTTCATTCTATGCTGTAGTATCCTGTGAGACAGGGGCTGTAGCTCAGAGAGTTTGGGTAAGTAAATTACTTGCTAACACATGGCAGAACCAGCATTCAAACTCAGCCAGCCAGTCTCAAAGCCTAAACACTTCGCCACATCCCACATCACCTCTCAAAGGTGTTTCAAGAAACCACCATGGCAGTGCCCATGAAGAGGGATTTATAACCTCAACCTGATCATATTCAAAGTCAGATTCACTATATCAGCCCCCATACCTGCTCCATCCGAGTTGGAAATCTCAGTATATCCTTGGTACCTTATTCTGCAACATCCCAACACTCTCTGCCACAGTCAGTCAACAAATCCTATTGACTCTATTTTGGAAATAGCTCCCAAATCTGATTCTCCTCCTCCTTCCTACTGCCTAAGTTAGCTCAATTTTGCATCATCTCTGACCTACACTGTGGCAAAAAACATCTTTTCTGGGTTTTTTTTCTCCCTACTGAAAACCATTCTCCACACGACTTCTAAAATTAGATACACACACACACACATCCAATGCCACTCTCCTGCTTAAAAACCTCCATTGGGAGGCTGAGGTGGGAGGATCGCTTGAGCTTAGGAGTTCGAGGTTACAATGAGCTGTGATCACCACACCACTGCACTCCAGCCTGGGCTACAGAACAAGAACCTGTCTCTGAAAAAAAAAAAAAAATTAAAAAGAAAATCATCCACTGGTTTCCTGCTAGCTATAGAATAATTTATATAACCAATCTCCTTGGTTCTGGGGACAAACAGGTTATTCCTAAATTCTCGAGATTATCAGCAAAATATGAGGAGCAGTCTTGCAGTTAAAGCTTTGTAGATATCTTATTCTTTTGGGAAAAATTCCTTGATGTGAAATTGCTGAATCAAAGGATATGCACATTTTTAAAGGCATTTTATATTATCAAGCCATCCTTCAAAAGTGTCATGCCAAGTTATACTCACCAGAAGTGTGTGTGAGGGCTGGGTATGGTGGCTTATGCCTGTAATCCTAGCACTTTGAGAGGCCGAGGCAGGTAAATCACTTGAGGCCAGGAGTTTGAGATCAGCCTGGCCAACATGGTGAAATCCCATCTCTACTAAAAATACAAAAATTAGCAAGGCGTAGTGGCGTGTGCCTGTAATCCCAGCTACTCAGCTACTTGGGAGGCTGAGGCTTGAGAATCGCTTGAGCCTGGGAGGCAGAGGTTGCAGTGAGCCGAGATCACACCACTGCAGCCTGGGCAACAGAGTGAGACTCTGTCTCAAAAAAAAAAAAAAAAAAAAAAAGAAAGAAAAGAAAAGAAAAGAAATGTGCGTGAGTAATACAACTCATTTATAAATCACATATTTACATGAGGATACCCATGAAGTAGAAATGTGTTCTATTTACTTTCAAATCATCAGAGCTGAAATATTGAAAGGCACGTGGTAGATACCCAGCCAATGCTTGTTGAACGTATGAATGAACTGAGTAAGCAGAAGAAAAATTCTAAAGTGCCCCCTGATCTGTGTATGGCTCAAATAATAACATCCTAACATAACTGCTAGTATGCCTTGTCTATTTCATGTGGAATTGATTCAACAGCATCCCCTTGCATACAGGGCTGATATTTCTGGATGCTCCAAAATGCTGCTCCATCCAGGAAATAAAATCCTTGCATCTGGCCGGAGGTGGTACCCCATACCTGTAATCCCAGCACTGTGGAAGGTCAAGGCACGAAGATTGCTTGAGCCCAGGAGTTCAAGGCCAGGCTGGGCAACTTGGTGAGATCGTGTCTCTCCAAAAAAAAAAAAAAAAAAAAAAAAAAAATTCCTTGCATTCTACCTATATTTACTGTGTATTTATAACCCCAACCTTAGTCTCTACAGTTTTTTACCATCATCTATGCAGGGGAGTTACCCTCTGGAAAAAGGTTCACCTAAACTAAACAGTAAAGTGAGTAAAGACATGCTAAAAGTTTACGAACTTATATTTCCAGATGTGTCTATACAACTCTTTGTTGGGCAGCACCACTAGACTAGATATCCCAGAAGCACTTCAAATTTAATATCTTCCTCCAGATCCTATCTTGTGTATTTCCTATGACAGCTGATGACACCTTTGTTTGAGCTAGTCATTGAAACCAGTAAATTTGTACTTTGTTTTTGTTGTTGTTGTTTTTGAGACAGTCTCACTCTGTGGCCCAGGCTGGAGTGCAGTGGCATGATCTCAGCTCACTGCAACCTCCACCTCCTGGGTTCAAGCAATTCTCTTTCCTCAGAATCCCTAGTAGCTGGGACTACAGGCAGCGCCACCACACCTGGCTAATTTCGTTTTGTATTTTTACTAGAGACAGGGTTTCACCATGTTGGCCAGGCTGGTCTTGAAGTCCTGACCTCAAGTGATCCACCTGCCTCACCTTCCCAAAGTGCTGGGACGGTGCCCGGCCGTAAATTTGTACTTTGACCTACAAATCTGGCTGATACTACCTAGGTAAATCTAAATTTATTAACCTATACTCTGTCCCTTACTCTCTACTAGCATTGAACTATTTTGGTCTCAACTTCTCTCTCCCCTAGACAATCCATTTTTATTTAATGTTCACGGTCTCGCTCTGTTACCCAGGCTGGAGCACAGTTGCAGGATCTCGGCTCACTGCAACCTCCGCCCCTGGGCTCAAGTGATCCTTCTACCTCAGCCTCTTGTCTAGCTGGGACCACTGAGGTGCACCACCACACCCAGCTAATTTTTTGTATTTTTGGTGGAGATGGGTTTCGCCACGTTGTCCAGGCTGGTCTTGAACTCCTGGGCTGAAGCGATCTGCCCACCTCCACCTCTCAAAATGCTTGGAACAGCTACTTAGGAGGCTGAGGCAGGAGAATTGCTTGAACCCTGGAGGCAGAGTTTGCAGTGAGCCAAGATTGCGCCACTGCACTCTAGACTTTGTGATAGAGTGAGACTCTGTCTCAAAACAAACAAACAAACAAAAAAACTAGAGGCAGGGGCCCAGCGCAGTGGTTCATGCCTCTAATCTCAGCACTTTGGGAGGCCAAGGTGGAATGATCTCTTGAGGCCAGGAGTTCGAGACCAGCCTGGAAAACATAGTGAGACCCTGTCTCTACAAAAAGTAGAAACGTAGCTGCATGTAATGGCATGCATGTGTAATCCTAGCTATTCAGAAGGCTGAGGCAAGAGGATCACTTGAGCTCAGGAGCTGAAGGCTGTAGTGAGCTATGGAGTGCACCACTGCACTCTCAACTGGGTGAGAGAGAGAGAGAGAGAGAGAGAGAGAGAGACCCTATCTCTGAAAAAACAAAACCAAACTAGAGTCGGGAGATCATTGGAAGACTCTAGTGAAAAAATTTATTAGTGCTTGTCAAATTTCAGTGTGTTAAAATGCACATTCTAATCCAGAGAGTCTGAGGTGGGTATCTAAGATTCCTAGATGTTCCCAGGTGATGTTGAGACTCTGATCCATGGACCACACTCTGAGTATCAAGGGTCTCCATGAGAAACAGCAATGATCTGAAATAAGCAATGGCAGTGGAATCAAAGACAGGATGGACTAAACCAATATAAAAATGATAGAATGTGGCCAGGCGCGGTGGCTCACACTTGTAATTCCAGCACTTTGGATGGCCACGTAGGGCGGATCACTTGAGGCCAGGAGTTCGAGACCATCCTGGCCAACATGGCAAAACCCTGTCTCTACTAAAAATAGAAAAATTATTATTATGTACCACCGGGTGTGGTAGTGGGCACCCATAATCCCAGCTACTCAGGAGGCGGAGGCAGGAGAATTGCCTGAACCCAGGAGGCAGGGGTTGCAGTGAGCCGAGATTGAACCACTGCACTGCAGCCTTGGTAACAGAGTAAGACCCTGTCTCATTAAAAAAAAAAAAAAAAAAAAAAAAAAAAAGAACTTGTTGACAAAGCAGCGTGAGATGGCCACACTGAGTTGACAAAGATCTCATCCATGGTAAAGAAGTCTGGGCCTGTCTGGGCCAGGCACAGTGGCTCATGCCTGTAATCCCAATGCTTTCAGAGGCCGAGGCAGGAGGACTGCCTGAGGCCAGGAGTTCAAGACCAGCCTGGGCTATATGGTGAAACTCTGTCTCTACAAAAAAAAAAAAAAAAAAAAAAAAAAATTATGCAGGTGTGGAGGCCTGTAGTCCCAGCTACTCCAGAGACTGAGGTAGGAGGATTGCTTGAGCCTAGCAGGTCAAGACTACAGTGAACTATAATTGTACTGCCTCACTCCAGCCTGAGCAACAGAATGAGACACTGTCTCAAACAAACAAACAAAAGTCTGAATTCATCTGCACAACCTGTTTTAAAATACTAGCTTTTTGAAAGTAACTCTCAGTCCCCTGTGTTACTTTTAAGGACCCATTAGAGACATTTGGAACCTCCCACTAAGATTCCCTAGCACAGCAAATTTCTCAGAAGCGCAAAGGAAAATAAAATAGAAACATTTATTTAGCATATACCATGAGCCCTTCACTTCATACTTTTGTCCATGTCTGGTGCCCTGGAATATCTCCATGGCCACCAGACACACACACACACACACAATGAGCTGATCATTCCTTTATGTCACTATTGTATCCCTTTTATTTATTTAGTTGTTTATTTATTTTGAGATGGAGTCTCGCTACGTTGACCAGGCTGGAGTGCAGTGGCACCATCTTGGTTCACTGCAACCTCCACCTCCCCGGTGCAAGTGATTCTCCTGTCTCCCAAGTAGCTGGGATTACAGGTGCCTGCCACTATGCCTGGCTGTCACTACTGTATCTTTGATATACCTCTTAAACTGCACTGGAGTTACTAGAAGCATGATCATAAGAGTGTGGGTTTGGAAATCAACCTGACTCTGCCATGTATTGGCTTAGTGGCAAAGGGCAAGGACCTTTGTTTTCTCAACTATAACAATGAGAGTGAATGCACTATAGCAAAGATGTGGACTCAATCTAAGTGTCCATCTTCAGATGAGTGGATAAAGAAAATGTGGGCCGGGCGCGGTGGCTCACGCCTGTAATCCCAGCACTTTGGGAGGCCGAGGCGGGTGGATCATGAGGTCAGGAGATCGAGACCATCCTGGCTAACAAGGTGAAACCCCGTCTCTACTAAAAATACAAAAAAAATTAGCCGGGCGCGGTGGCGGGCGCCTGTAGTCCCAGCTACTCGGGAGGCTGAGGCAGGAGAATGGCGTGAACCCGGGAAGCGGAGCTTGCAGTGAGCCGAGATTGCGCCACTGCAGTCCGCAGTCCGCCTGGGCGACAGAGCGAGACTCCGTCTCAAAAAAAAAAAAAAAAAAAGAAAATGTGATACATATACGCAATAGAATACTATTCAACCATTAAAAGAATGAAACCATGTCCTTTGCAGCAATATGGACAGAACTGGAAGCCATTATCTTAAACCAGCCAGACACAGAAAGACAAATATTGCATGTTCTCACTCATAAGTGGAAGCTAAAGAATGTGTACACAGAAATGTAGAGTGTGGAATGATAGATGATGGAGATTGAGAAGGGTTAGGGTGTGGGAGGTGGGTGGATGATGAGAAGTTACTTATTCAGTACAATACACGTCATTTAGGTGATGGACAGCCTAAAAGCTCTGACTTCTCCAGTATGAAATCTATGCATGCAACAAAATTGCACCTGTACCCCATAAATTTCTGGAAATGTTTATAATGGGAGTTTGCAAGTTGTTGGTTTGTATGGCAAAAAAAAATGAAAATAAATGAATCAGCTGAGTGTGGTGGCTTACACTTATAATCCCAGCACTTTGGGAGGCCAAGGTGGGTGGATCCATTGAGGCCAGGGGTTCGAGACCAGCCTGGCCAACGTGACAAAACCCTGTCTCTACTAAAAATACAAAAATTAGCTCAGCATGGCGGTGCGCTCCTATAGTCCCAGCTACTCAAGAGGCTGAGGCACGAGAATCGCTTGAACCCAGGAGGTGGAGGTTGCAGTGAGCTGAGATGGCGAGACTCTGTCTTAAAAAACAAAACAAAACAAAACACACAAAAATAAAATGAGAATAATATCTACTGTGTTATAAAAAAGGTCCTGTGTATCCTTTATGATGCTTTCCTTCAAGTAACAGAAAACCTAATTCCCAGTGGTTTGAAAAATAAAGGGAATCTCCTAGCTCCTATAACAGAAAAGCCCAGAGCAGGCTTTGGGCATAGGCTATATCAGAGGTTATGAAATCATCAGGGTTTCTCTGAGATTCTTTCAGTGATACCCTCTTGCCTCCATGTCTTTCACGGTAACAAAAAATGGCTATGGTAGTCCTAGGCCTTACATCTATATTAACATCTCTATGACACAATGAGAGAATATGCCTTTGTCCTGGTTTTCCATCAAAGGTTATGAGATTCACTCTAATTGGGCAGCTGCAGATAACATGATTGTCTCTGAACCCTGTAGCAAGGGGCATGAAACGCCCTGATTGGCTTAATCTGTCATGTGCTCCACCTCTTGAGCCAAGTAAAGTCATCTTCTGGGAAGATCCCCAAAAAGGAACTGGGAGCTGTTGGGAAGTGGGGGAGGTAAGGAAATCGATGGTAGAAACCACTCAACTACACCATATCAATTACCACATGATGTAAAGGGCTTGGCATAGACCCTTATCTACAGTTAGTGAGCATACAAAAAGTGGTAGCTGTAATTTGCTTAGAAGTCTGTCTGCTGGCCAGGTGCGGTGGCTCATGCCTGTAATCCCAGCACTTTGGGAGGCTGAGGCGGGTAGATCACCTGAGGTCAGGATTTCGAGACCAGCCTGACAACGTGGCGAAACCCTGTCTCTACTAAAAATACAAAAATTATCTGGGTGTGGTGACACACACCTGTAAGTTGCAGCTACTCAGGAGGCTGAAGCAGGAGAATCACTTGAACCCTGGAGGCAGAGGTTGCAGTGAGCCACGATCGTGCCACTGCACTCTAGGCTGGGAGACAGAGGGAGACTCCTATCAAAAAAATAAAAATAAAAAATAAAAAAGGTGGCCAAGCGCAGTGGCTCATGCCTGTAATCCCAGCACTTTGAGAGGCCAAGGCGGGCGGATCACGAGGTCAGGAGATCTAGACCATCCTGGCCAACACAGTGAAACCGTGTCTCTACTAAAAATACAAAAAATTAGCCAGGTGTGGTGGTGGGCGCCTGTAGTCCCAGCTACTCGGTAGGCTGAGGCAGGAGAATGGCGTGAACTGGGGAGGCGGAGCTCGCAGTAAGCTGAGATCGCACCACTGCACTCCAGCCTGGGTGACAGAGCGAGACTCAGTCTCAAAAAATTAAAAAAAAAGGTCTGTCTGCTAGACCGTAGGCAAATAGCCGGGTCCTCACCTTATTCACCTTGGAAATCTCCAAAGGCTAGCATAGTGTCTGGGACAGACAGCTTAAATACTGTTGAATTAATGTTGGCAATTGAAATTGTGAAATAGTTATAGAAATTATTTCAACAACCAAAAAAGAGGATTGCATGGCCTCAGGTGATATGAAAACATAAACTATTGCTGATTCATAGCATTAATAAGACAAAGGAGCTGCATATAGCTGAGTTATAGACTGGGGATATAATTGGGATATATTCCAGTACACATTTTAAGTGTCTATTATAAATTTTGGTCACTTTAGAAAAGAAATGCTAAGCAAAGTGTTCTGGTGTGTTTTGCCTGTCTTGGTAGTGGAAGGGAAGAAAATCAGTCTTTTTCTTTCTTCTCCCCCTTAAAACTATTTAAGAAGGGAACTGGGCGAGGTGGCTCATGCTTGTAATCCCAACGCTTCGGGAGGTCAAGGTCGGAGTCCAGGAATGTAAGACCAGCCTGGGCCACATAGTAAGACCTCATCTCTACAAAAAAAAAAAAAAAAAATACCAGGGCTGGGCACGGTGGCTCACACCTGTAATCCCAGCACTTTTGGAGGCCGAGGTGGGCAGATCACAAGGTCAGGAGATCGAGACCATCCTGGCTAACATGGTGAAGCCCTGTCTCTAGTTAAAAAATACAAAAATACAAAAAAATTAGCCAGGCAAGATAGCATGCGCCTATAATCCCAGCTACTCAGGAGGCTGAGGCAGGAGAATTGCTTGAACCTGGGAGGTGGAGGTTGCAGTGAGTCAAGAACATGCCACTGCACTCCAGCCTGGGTGACAGAGTGAGACTCCTTCTCAAAAAATAAAATAATGGGGTGTGGTGGTGCATACCCATGGAGCTACTCAGGAGGCTGAGGTGGGAGAATCTTTTTAGCCAGTGAGTTCAAAGCTTCAGTGAGGCATGGTAGTGCCACTGCACTCCAGCTTGGGCAACAGAGTGAGATCCTGCCTCACAAAAAAAAAAAAAAAGGCCAGGCCCAGTGGCTCATGCCTGCAATCCCAGAACTTTGGGAGGCTGAGGCAGCTGGATCACCTGAGGTCAGGAGTTTAAGACCAGCCTGGCCAGCGTGGCAAAATCCTGCCTCTACTAAAACTACAAAAATTATCCGGGCATGGTGGTGCACACCTGTAATCCCAGCTACTCAGGAGGCTGAGGCAGGAGAATTGCTTGAACCAGGGAGATAGAGGTTGCAGTGAGCCAAAATGGTGCCACTGCATTCAGCTTGGGGGACAGAGTGAGACTCTGTCTTAAAGAAATAAAAATTATTAAAAAAAAAAAAAAGGATCCCCTGGACATACAATAAGTAATCTACTACTACTTAGGCAAATAAATAACAATTCTATCATTTGGGAATCTTAAGATCTGTTCTACCACTTTATGAACCTTCAGACTCAATCTCTATTTTAGAGATACTAACATTGATTGATCCCACTATGTGCCAGGCACTGTCCTTCACACCTTCACATATATGATCTCATTTAATCCTCATTTAATTTTGGCAGAGAAAGGTTGAGCTCCTTACCCAGGATCGTATAACTAGGAAATAAAGACCAAAGCACATGCCTCACTCTTCTTGTTATTAGAAAAAATTTCCTTCTGTAAACCTCAGGGACTTTACAAGTGAAATATTGGATTACTGTAATATGATTCATCAGCCCAATTTAATATTACCTATTCATTATAACGTAATGCTGCTCACACAACTGAGAAAACGCTGTTGCTTTACCCCCTCTGGCTCAGTAGCAGCCACACATAAATCACAAAACTATAAACATATGCTAATTACATAACCTATGTAGGCAATCAATATTAAGAAAAATGTTTACTGCCCAATATTTCTGTGGTTGAAAATGTACAGTCTAATTTTGATCTGCAGTAACATCTAGGTTAATGCTGATTCAGAAGGAAAACATTTGTTGTTGCCATGAGAAGAGGCATTGAAACTCTGAATCACCACCTCAAATGCTACCACTATTAATATAAGTAGATACATAGGAAGATCGAATTAGACCATCTCGGACCACCAGGTTTACAATTCTACCAGCAGATACATGCAAGAAGTATTGTCACAGTACTTATGTCACGTTATTCCATTGAGGTCATCACCAACTAAGCTTATAATTAATGTGTGGTCAATTTGGTCAATGTCACCAGCGTAGCATACTAACAAAAACAAGAGTTGCAAACACAAATGCCTATAAGGCAGAATGTAAGATGGTAGGAAGCAAAGTCTATAGGGAACTATACAATAGAGGCTGCAGATTCAAGGCACATTCTAAAGCACAGCAGTCCCCAACATTTTTGGCACCAGGGACTGGCTTTGTGGAAGACAATTTTTCCACAGGCAGCAAGGGATGGAGCGCAGGATGGTAATGGTCTTGGGATGAAACTGTTCCACCACAAATCATCAGGAATTAGATTCTCATAAGGAATATGCAACCTGGATCCCTTGTGTGTGCAATTCACAACAGGGTTTATGCTCCTATGAGAATCTAATGATGCTGCTGATCTAAGAGGAGGCAGAACTCAGGCAGCAATGCAAGCAATGGGGAGCGGCCAGAAATACAGATGAAGCTTCAATTGTCCACCCACTATTCACCTCCTGCTCTGTGGCCCAGTTCCTAACAGGCCACAGACCAGTACAGGTCCATGGCCCAGGGATTAGGGACCCCTGCTGCGGCACATTGCTTCATAGAGGACTGTAGCAGGCATGTGCCCAGACGTTTCCTTTTTTCTTTTCTTTTTTCTTTTCTTTTTCTTTTTTGAGACAGTCTGGCTCTGTTGCCCAGGTTGAAGTGTGTGAGTGTGATCGTGGCTCAACCTCCCAGCCTCAAGCAATCCTCTCGCCTCAGCCTCCCAAGTAGCTGGGATTACAGGCGCACTCTACCACACCCAGCTAATGTTTTTGTGTTATTTGTAGAGATGGCGTTTTGCCATGTTGCCCAGGCTGGTCTGGAATTCCTAAGCTCAAGCTGTCTGCCCATCTCCGCCTCCCAAAGTGCTGGGATTGCAGGAGTGCACCACCACACCTGGCCTGAAACCCAGATTTTATATATTTATTTATTTGTTTATTTATTTATTTTTGAGATGGAGTCTCGCTCTGTTGCCAAGGCTTGAGTGCAGTGGCGCAATCTTGGCTCACTGCAACCTCCACCTCCCTGGTTCAAGCAATTCTCCCACCTCAGCCTCCCGAGTAGCTGGGATTACAGGCACATGCCACCACGCCTGGCTAATTTTTGTATTTTTAGTAGAGACAGTTTCACCATGTTGGCCAGGCTGGTCTCGAACTCCTGACCTCAGGTGATCCACCTGCCTCAGCCTCCCAAAGTGCTAGGATTACAGGCATGCACCACCGCACCCAGCCTGAAACCCAGATTTTTACTATGAAATCAAAGTCTTCAAACCTTCTAGGTGTCATAAAAAGCACGCTGTGGACCATTAGTTTGCAACTGCCAACCTAAAATATCATAGACAGATAGGCAGATCACTTGAGGTCAGGAGTTCAAGACCAGTCTGGGCAACATGGTGAAATCCCATCTCTACTAAAAATACAAAAATTCGCTGGGTATGCTGGCACATGCCTGTAGTCCCAGCTACTCGGGAGGCTGAGGCAGGAGAATCGCTTGAACCTGGGAGGCGGAGGTTGCAGTGAGCCAAGATCATGCCATTGCACTGCAGCTTGAGCAACAGAGTGAGACTCCATCTCAAAAAAGATAAAAATAAAAATAAATTCTCCGTAGGATGGTCCTTTCTCTTTTCTTCTCACAGAGACCAGAGAGGATCCTCCGCTACCATCCTCTCTAAAGCAAGGCTGTTGAGTCCTTAAGTGTAAGAAGTGTAATAAGCCCTTAGCCTTATTACAATTATTCTGCCCTCCTGGAATGTTCAAGTGGTCATGGCACGGGCAGGGGGTGAGAGGAGAGAGCAGTGGGTTTGGTTGGGTTGTGGACAAAGAAAGAGGAAGGAAGAAAAGGATGAATAAAGATGTAGTTAGAGAAGGATACACTTAACAAAGGAGAAGAGAACTAGGAAAAGACAAGCTTTTACTTGATATATACCAAAAATGTTACTCAGTAATTACTGCCTTCTATTCACAAGGTTAGCTACAGTTCACAGATCTTCATGTGTTCCTAACCTTTCAACTCCAGCACATACTTTATCTTCAAATTCCAGATTTCCCTTTTTATGTATCAGCTGTTGAAAGTATTAAAAGAAACTTTTTCAGTCATTTTAATTGCATTAGCAGTGATTTAATTTTTTTAGATGCTAAACCTTATGGGTGAAAGTGGATTAAATGTAGCCAAATGCAACATCAAAATCTTCAGGCACAAAAACCCATTAACTTTTTAATACTCTCAGAAGATGAACCTAATTTCAAATGAAAGCTGCCTCCAGAATATATTGTTAAGCATATCCTAGATATAATTCATTCTAGCAAACATTCTGTAGAAATTCACATAACATTTTACTGTACTAAAAGTAAATTTCCCATGTAACAAAAACTATCTTTTCATAACTTCAAATGAATTTTAAAGGATGACTGACCGTCCTTGGAAGAGAAACAGTAAACAAATAAGGTTTATAGCAATGATGTATGAGTTAGAAATTGCAGTTCCAGGCCGGGCGCGGTGGCTCACACCTGTAATCCCAGCACTCTGGGAGGCAGAGGCAGGCAGATCACGAGGTCAGGAGGTTGAGACCATCCTGGCTAACACAGTGAAACCCCGACTCTACTAAAAATCCAAAAAAAAAAAAAATTAGTGGGTCATGGTGGCGGGCGCCTTTAGTCCCTGCTACTTGGGCTGAGGCAGGAGAATGGCGTGAACCCGGGAGACAGAGGTTGCAGTGAGGCGAGATCGCGACACTGCACTCCAACCTGGGCTACAAAGCGAAACTCTGTCTCAAAAAAAAAAAAAAAATTGCAGTTCCAGATAATCTCTCTATTAAAGAGACTGTCTACACTTAACTTGGTCAATTGTAGTGAACATAGTTGATGTGAAGTCCCCATATAAATACAACCTGAAATACCAAAGTTAATTTACTTTTCTTTCTTTTTTTTTTTTTTTATAGACACAGTCTTGCTCTGTTGCCCTTCCTGGAGTGCAGTGGCGTGATCTCGGCTCACTGCAACCTCCACCTCCTGGGCTTGAGTGATCCTCCTGCCTCAGCACCCCCAAGTAGCTGGGAGGACAGGTGCAAGCCACCACACCCGGCTAATTTTTGTATTTTTGGTAGGGATAGGGTTTCACCACATTGCCCAAGTTGGTCTCAAACTCCTGAGCTCAAGTGATCCGCCCGCCTTGGCCTCCCAAAGTGCTGGGATTACAGGCATGAGCCACCGGGCCCAGCCAGAAAATTATAAACACGCACAAACTCTCAAGTGGCCTAATTCCCTCTCATCAAACCAATCACAATACAAATAAAAGAGAATAACTTATATTAGTTTTTGTACAAACAAAAAAGACTGATAAATTGTGAATGATGCATGATTTTTAATTACAAGTAAACTGGGCATATGCTTCTGCATTATTTAAAGCTAAAGGGTGATCAGTGGAAATTTTCTTCTGTTAGTACTTTAATACTTTTTATATTTATCGGCTCACTACAACCTATGCCTCCCAGGTTCAAGCGATTCTCCTGTCTCAGCCACCTGAGTAGCTGAGACTACAGGACGCACTACCATGTCCGGTTAATTTTGTATTTTTAATAGAGACGGGGTTTCACTGTGTTGGCCATGCTGGTCTTGAACTCCTGACCTCAACCGATCCACCTGCCTTGGCCTCCCAAAGTGCTGGGATTACAAGCATGAGCCACCGCGCCCAGCCTTCTTATAATTGTTATTATTTAAATCTCTTTTGCTCTCTCCTTCAAGAGAGACCTCATCTCATTCAGTTGCATCCATTTATTTATTCATCTTCTGCCTCCTGAGCTCGAGAGATCCTCCTGCATGAGTCTTCCAAGTAGCTGGGACTACAGGCTCACACCACCATGCTTGGCTAATTTTTGTAGGTTTTGGAGAGACAGGCTCTTGCCATGTTGCCTAGGCTGGTCTCAAACTCCTGGGCTCAGATGATCCACCTGCCTTCGCCTCCCAAAGCACTTGGATTATAGACATAAGCGATCATGCCCAGCCCCAAGTACTTTTATACAAAATGCAAACACTATTCTTCTATCATAAAAGTGATACCACAGCTTCTGTAAAGTTTTGCACCAGGTAGTACTTATAATTAACTTGGGTACAGTTTTTTGTTTGTTTGTTTGTTTTGAGACAGATTCTCGCTCTGTCGCCTAGGCTGGAGTGCAGTGGCCTGATCTCTGCTCACTGCAAGCTCCGCCTCCCGGGTTCATGCAATTCTCCTGCCTCAGCCTCCAGAGCAGCTGGGACTACAGGCGCCCGCCACCATGCCCAGCTAATTTTTTGTATTTTTAGTAGAGATGGCGTTTCACCATGTTAGCCAGGATGGTCTCGATCTCCTGACCTCGTGATCTGCCCGCCTCGGCCTCCCAAAGTGCTGGGATTACAGGCGTAAGCCACTGTGCCCGGCCTACGTTTTGATGTTAAAATGTATCTTCTTATTACGAAACCATTTTTCCATTGTATTAACTACTTTTACAACAAAGCAAATAACAAGTTATTTTACAAACCATTTAGAAATTTCTGTACTATGGTCCCAATAATGTAAAATATATTAATGCCTTTTACATTCAGGTAAATTATCCACTTGGAAACTACATATTTATGACTTACAGAAACTTACATAAACAAATTATACAAATTATATGCTCAATTTTTAGGTATATAGTCTTAAATTAAGCTTAAATATACATTCTCAGGATAAATTAACAGTTCAGGGCTTCACAACTTGAAATCTGTGGAACATGACATTGGAGATGACAGAACTCTGGTGGAATTCTTAGGTGGAATTTACTGAAACTTTTTTTTTTTGAGACGGAGTCTCACTCTGTCACCCAGGCTGGAGTGCAGTGGCACAATCTCAGCTCACTGCAATCTCTGCCTCCCGGGTTCATGCCATTCGTCTGCCTCAGCCTCCCGAGTAGCTGGGACTACAGGCGCCCACCACCACGCCTGGCTAATTTTTTGTATTTTTAGTAGAGATGGGGTTTTACCATGTTAGCCAGGATGGTCTCGATCTCCTGACCTTGTGATCCAACCGCCTTGGCCTCCCAAAGTGAAACTTTTCTTTAAAATAGAGATGGGATCTTGCTGTATTGCCCAGGCTGGTCTCAAACTCCTTGCCTTAAGCAATCCTCCCACCTCAGCCTCCCAAAGTGCTGGGATTACAAGCGTGAACCACTACGTCCAAGTGAAACTTCTTGAGATAGTTACATAATTTTTAAATCTGCTGGTGTAGAAGTTAATAAAGTGTAGAACTGAATAAATATTAAATATTAGATCAAGTTTCTCATGTTTACCTTAAAGTATAAATATTTATCTTAAAGCACTGATTTTCACAAAATAACATCAGTGTGAAATTGGAAAAGAAACCAAGTATTTTATTTCATGTATCTGGGAAATGAGGTGCTTTAGTCAACTGAATCTGCCCAAAACTAAAAAGCATTCATTAAAAATTATAAAAATAGAAGACATCAATAAAATACATTCTACACAGAATACGCCAATCATACACTACTCTGTTTTTGATAATAAAAAATGTACTTACTGAGCCAGGTGCGGTGGCTCATGCCTATAATCCCAGCACCTTGGGAGGCCAATGAGAGTGGATCAGTTGAGGCCAGGAGTTGGAGACTGTCTCACGTGTCCGTGTGAAGAGGCCACCAAACAGGCTTTGTATGAGCAACATGGCTGTTTATTTCACCTGAGTGCAGGCGGGCTGAGTCCAAAAAAGGAGTCAGCAAAGGGTGGTGGATTATCATTAGTTCTTACAGGTTTGGGGATAGGTGGTGGAGTTTGGAGCAATGTTTTGCGGGCAGGGGTGGATCTCACAAAGTACATTCTCAAGGGTGGGGAGAATTAAAAAGAACCTTCTTAAGGGTGGGAGGATTACAAAGTACATTGATCAGTTAGGGTGGGGCAGTAACATATCACAATGGTGCAATGTCATCAGTTAAGGCTATTTTCACTTCTGTGGATCTTCAGTAACTTCAGGCCATCTGGATGTATATGTGCAGGTCACTGGGATATGATGGCTTAGCTTGAGCTCAGAGGACGGACAGAGACCAGCCTAGCCAACATGGCAAAACGCCCTCTCTACTAAAAATACAAAAATGAGCCAGGCATGGTGGCACCTGCCTGTAATCCCAGCTACTCCGAAGGATGAGGCAGTAGGATCGTTTGAACCCAGGAGACAGAGGTTGCAGTGAGCCGAAATCATGCCACTGCACTCCAGCCTGGGTGACAGAGCGAGTCTCTGTCTCAAAAAAAAAAAAAAAAAAAAGTCGGTTGTGGTGGCTCACGCCTGTAATCCCAGCACTTTGGGAGGCCGAGGTGGGTGGATTATGCGGTCAGGAGATCAAGACCATCCTGGCCAACACGGTGAAACTTCATCTCTACTAAAAATACAAAAAATTAGCTAGGCATCGTGGCAGGTGCCTGTAGTCCCAGCTACTTGGGAGGCTGACGCAGAATGGCGTGAACCCGGGAGGCGGAGCTTGCAGTGAGCCGAGATCTCACAACTGCATTCCAGCCTGGGCGACAGAGCGAGACTCTGTGTCAAAAACAAAAGCAAATGAACAAAAATACAAAAATCAGCTGGGCCTGGTGTCACGTGCCTGTAATCCCAGCTACTCAGGAGCCTGAGGCAGGAGAATTGCTTGAACCCAGAGGATGGAGGCTGCAGTGAGCCGCGATCGTGCCACTGCGCTCCAGCCGGGGAGACAGCAAGACTCCACCACAAAAAAAAAAAAAAAAAAAAAGGTATTTACTAAAATAACAAATTGTGTATGTTTTGGAGAAAGAAATCTGGTTATTAAATCTTCATTTCGATTGAGTTCTATGTAAATTAAAATTCACTCTAAGAACTATTTTTTGGTATAAAACTTCATCTGCCCAAAAGTGTTCAGGAGATAACCTGAGATTTTAGAATAGAAATGTGAACAATCAAAACCAAGTTTCCTGAAACTTGTGTTAAAATATTAGAAATATTAATAATTCTAAAATGCCATTTTGCCACTATTATTCATATTAACCAAAATATTAGAGAAGTAATATTTCAGACTAGAACAGGAAAAAAGTCTGAATACAATTCAAAAATAATCATTGATAATTTTTTAAAAAGTGGGTCTATAAATAGTAGTAATTCCTCAAAATGAAGTGCATAATTGGCACATCAAATATTTTGTCTGCAGGCAATTCTGTGCATTTTAGGTAAAAAATGTGGTCCCTTTAAGAGAGTCCTTGACTTCTCATTTCTTCGGGTACCCTTCTGTGGCACTGGTCCCCTTTGTATATAAAATGGTGAAAGCTGACTTGAATGTGCCGTCACCACTCTGCTGGGAAAAACAGATGAAGGTGGCCCAGAGAAAACCACAGACTCCAGCGTAAGCTGTTCTCCATTGAACAGGAACAAGGCTGAAGTTGGTCAGCTGGAACAGAGAGAGAGTCCGTTAGGGCCACATGGAAACCAAAGCCCTGAGTTCATATTACTGAGTAGGTGGAACTTACCTGTACAAAGGGCCAGTACATCAGTCCACTCTGGAATTGGGAAAAAAAAAAAGCAACAACTTTATTAGATTGCCTTTTATTTTTTATTTATTTATTTTGTTTTTTATTTTTTGAGACAGGGTCTCACTCTGTTGCCCAGACTGGAGTGCAGTGGTGCAATCTTAGCTCACCGCAACCTCTGCCTCCTGGGTTCAAGCAATTGTCGTGTCTCTGCCTCCTGAGTATCTGCGATTACAGGCACACACCACCTCACCTGGCTAATTTTTGTATTTTTAGTAGAGACGGGTTTTCACCATGTTGGCCAGGCTGGTCTCGAACTCCCGACCTCAGGTGATCCACCACCTCGGCATCCCAAAGTGCTGGGATTACAGGTGTGAGCCACTATACCTGACCTAGAATACCTTTTAACCACACAAAACAATTGCACAGTTCATTCCATAAAAGAGTAAGAAATACTAGGCCAACAAGATGCCTAGGTAGTATTATATTTCAGACTAAGCTGATTAACTTAGACTACTTAAGGCCTCTAGAGTGAGGGGGTTGGGGAGTTGTGGGGAAAAAAGCTATTAGGTAGAAGACATTCCTATATTAATTATATTTTTAACACCAGAATGAAAAGTCTACTAGAATCAGTACCAATTCTGGAAGACAGCGGCTTTGGAAATGACAGCATGTATATATGCATTGCAATTTCCTGGTTACCATGAACAAATGATGCAGGAATATATTTGTAAATACAGAATCATCAATGAATTCTTTTTTTTTAAATTAATTTTTTTTTTTCTGAGACATGGTATCTCTATGTTGCCCAGGCTGGTCTTGAACTCCCAGGCAAAAGCAGTAGTCCCACTGCAGCCTCCCAAAGTGCTGGGGTTATAGGCATGAGCCACCTCATCCTGCTGAATTATTTTATTTATTTATTTTGTTTGAGATGGAATCTCATTCTGTCGCTTAGTCTGGAGTGCAGTGGCAAGATCTTGGCTCACTGCAACATCTGCCTCCTAGGTTCAAGCAGTTCTCCTGCCTCAGCTTCCTGAGTAGCTGGGATCACAGGTGCCTGACACCATGCTCGGCTAATTTTTGTATTTTTAGTAGAGACAGGGTTTTACCATGTTGGCCAGGCTGGTCTTGAACTCCTGACCTCAGGTGATTTGCCTGCCTCGGCCTCCCAAAGTGGTAGGATTACAGGCATGAGCCACTGTGCCCAGCCTTGAATTGTTGAAACTATATACCAAACCATTGTTTATGGAATGATTTTCTAATAATATATTGAAACCATGTGATGCTATAGAACAAGTTTAGCTGAAATTTTCATATATTACAAAATATGTTAGATAGACATTTCACAAGCTTTATCCTACACAGTCCTATGAAAAAGTCATCATTATGATTTTTTAAAAAAAAGTCTTGGTATGTAAATTTATCTCAAAAAACAGCTAGAGGTTTTCAAAATAGTCCTTAAAAGTGGTATTACAGACTTATTTTCTTCTTTTTACTAATTTGTATTTTCTGAAGTTTCTAAAATGAACAATTGCAATAAAAGCTTTATAATATTTATGTTTATATTTAAAAGTAGATATTACATATAATGTGTGTATACATATACATATATACGTATATATACACATATATACGTATATGTGTATGTATATATATATATTTTTTGAGATGGAGTTTTGCTCTTGTTGCCCAGGCTGGAGTGCAATGGTGCGATCTTGGCTCACTGCAACCTCCACCTCCTGGGTTCAAGTGATTCTCCTGCCTCAGCCTCCGAGTAGCTGGGATTACAGGTGCACACGACCATGCCTGGCTAAATTTTGTATTTTTAGTAGAGACAAGGTTTCATGATATTGGCCAGGCTGGTCTCGAACTCCTGACCTCAGGTGATCTGCCCGCCTTGGCCTCCCAACGTGCTGGGATTACAGGCGTGAGCCACCATGCCCGGCCATAATGTATATTTTATATTTATTTATTTTTTTTGAGACGGAGTTTCGCTCTTGTTGTGCATCTCAAATTCCCGAGCTCAGGTGATCTGCCCACCTCAGCCTCCCAAAGTGCTGGGATTACAGGCGTGAGACACCGAGCCTGGCCCTTAATTGTTAAATATGCTTTAAATATAAAATATACCCCTGTAATCCCTGCACTTTGGGAGGCCAAGGCAGGCAGATCACCTGAAGTCGTGAGTTTGAGACCAGCCTGACCAACATGTAGAAACCCTGTGTCTACTAAAAATAAAAATTAGCAGGACGTGATTGCAGGAACCTGTAATCTCAGCTACTCAAGAGGCTGAGGCAGGAGAGTCGCTTGAATTCGGGAGGCAGAGGTTGCAGTGAGCTGAGACTGCACCATTGCACTCCAGCCTGGGCAACAGAACGAGACTCTGTCTCAAAAAAAAAAAAAAAATTAAAACTTTAGCAAAAATAATCAGAAGACTAAACTTATCCAAACATGGCTTTCCTTCTTTCTTTTTTTTTTTTTTCTTAATACAGACGAGGCCTCACTATGCGGGCCAGGTTGGTCTTGAATTCCTGACCCCAAACAATCCTCCAACCTCCGCCACCCAAAGGGTTAGGATTACAGGAGCCACTGTGCCTGGCCATGGCTTTATTTCTTATGGCTGTGTTTTTTTTCTTGTCAGAATGTAGTATCATGTAGTAGTATATTTTGTTCTCAAATCATTCCCCCACTAAAAGGAAGCAGGATGCCTCAAAGAATTGGCTGATTCTAGGGCCAGGGCAGGGCAGGTGCAAGTACAAGATGATCCTGGAACACGCTGTCATGCCAGAAAGGAAGTGGCTTAAGAAAGAAGTAAAGGAGAAAGAAGATGGGTGATGCACAGGACACAGGAACCAGCTTGGGGGAACTCCCACTGGCCGAATCTGGGACATGTGAGCGCTAAAAATAATTAAACCCTGCCATGAACTCTCCTCTGTGCTTCGGCAATCTCCCTCTGAATAGGCCAAAGGCATCTGACATTCAACATTTCCCAAGCTGAACTCACCTCATTTCTTTTTTGTTTGTTTGTTTGTTTTGAGATGGAGTCTTGCTCTGTCACCCAGGCTGGAGTGCAGTGGTGCAATCTCAGCTCACTACAATCTCCGTCTCCCGGGTTCAAGTGATTCTCCTGCCTCAGCCTCCCGAGTAGCTGGGATTACAGGCACTCACCACCATACCTGGCTAATTTTTTGTATTTTTAGTAGAGACAGGGTTTCACCATGTTGGTCAGGCTGGTCTCGAACTCCTGACCTCATATGATCTGCTCGCCTTGGCCTCCCAAAGTGGTGAGATTACAGGCGTGAGCCACCATGTTTATTTTTTTAAATACAGACAGGGTCTTGCTATGTTGCCCAAGCTGGTCTTGAACTCCTAACTTCAAGGGATCCTCCTGCTTCAGCCTCCCAAAGTGTTAGGATTACAGGCGTGAGCCACCACACCTGATATGCTTCCTTATTTCTTATGTGAACTTGGTCACGATAACCACCCACTTTGGTTTCCTTTGCTGCCATTACCTAACTGTGAAGTTCAAGATCCTCAGCTCTGGGTGTTCAACAGTCTCCAGGATCCAAACTCATTCCAAGTTGCTCAACAAATACTCTGTGAACACCAAACTGCCTGTGGTTTCTCCCCTCCAGGCATACCATGGTGCTTTACGCATTGTCAACTGTACTCAGCTCTTCTGCCCCTGGAATGACCTGTCCCCCAGTATGTGCATAACTTCAGATCTTTATTTTATTTTATTTTTTTATTTTGAGACAGGGTCTCACTGTGTTACCCAGGCTGGAGTGCAGTGGCACAATCGTAGCTTACTGCAGTCTCGACCTCCTGGGCTCATGCTAATTTTTGTATTTTTAGTAGAGAGGGGATTTCATCAAGTTGGCGAGGATGGGCTCGATCCCTTGACCTCATGATCCGCCTGCCTTGGCCTACCAAAGTGCTGTGATTACAGGCGTGAGCCATCCTGCCTCTTTAAAGGAAATCTTCCCAAAAAATCTCCAGATGGGCTGGGCTTCAGACTACTGGTTTGCCCTCTTTCTTCTCCTGAGGGTAGATGAGACTCACTCATTGTAACCAGTTTTTTTTTTTAAACAGTATGCAAATGTTCCTGTGGTTTTGTTCATTTACAAATCCCTGCCTGAAGCTTCTTTCCCAATTCTACTTCCTGCTCTCTTTTTTTTTTTTTTTGAACCATGGTCTCACTCTGTCACTCAGGCTGGTGTGCAGCGGTGCAATCACAGCTTACTGCAGCCTCGACCTCCCAGGCTTGCAATCCTCCCATCTCAGCCTCCCGAGCAGCTGGGACCACAGACACTTGCAACTATGCCCAGCTAATTTATTTTATTTTTGTAGCGATGGGGTCTCACTATGGTTGCGCAGGCTGGTCTCAAACTCCTGGGCTCTAGTGATCCTCCTGCCTTAGCCTCCCAAAGTGCTGGGATTACAGGTGTGAGCTGCCTACTTCTTGCTCTTTTTTTTTTTTTTTTTTTTGAGACGGAGTCTCGCTCTGTCGCCCAGGCTGGAGTGCAGTGGCGCAATCTCAGCTCACTACAGTCTCTGCCTCCCGGGTTCAAGTGATTCTCCTGCCTCAGCCTCCCAAGTAGCTGGGACTACAGGCTTGTGCCACCATGCCCTGCTAATTTGTTGTATTTTTAGTGGAGACACGGTTTCACCATGTTAGCCAGGATGGTCTCGATCTCCTGACCTTGTGATCTACCCGCCTCCACCTCCCAAAGTGTTGGGATCACAGGCATGAGCTACTGCCTCCGGTCCTTGCTCTTTAAAAAAAAAAAAAAAAAAGTTAGATGTACATATCTCCATAGACTTTACAACATAATGGAAAAACTTGTTCCTTTTTCTAAAGTAAAACAGAAGAAGTGGCTGGGTATGGTGATTCATGCCTGTAATCCCAGAACTTTGGGAGGCTGAGGGAGGCGGATCACCTGAGGTCAGGAGTTCAAGACCAACCTGGCCAACATGGTGAAACCCTATCTCTACTGAAAAATACAAAAAATTAGCTGGATGTGGTGGTGCAAGTCTGTAATTCCAGCTACTCAGGAGGCTGAGGCAGGAGAATTGAGAATTGCTTGAACCCGGGAGGCAAAGGTTGCAGAGTGCCACTGCACTCCAGCCTAGGCTACGGAGCAAGACTCCGTCTCAAAAAACAAACAAACAAACAAAAAAACCAAAACACACAAACAAAAAACAAAACCAGAAGAAAATCACATTTGGTTGTCACCATGGGGTCCTCAATTTCTGCCCTAAGAGAAATCACAAGAGTTCTGAACACACTTATAGTTACTGTTCCTGAGTATAGAGGCTCAGGGGAAGCCTCTGACTTCAAACCTCTCCATCCTCTGCCTCTAGCCATCAAGTAATGCTGGCTCAGGGGCCTGGTACCATCCAACAGATGATGCTAGAAGCTGTGGAGGTAATAGCTGGGTGTGGCTCAACACTGCTTTTGATAGGGAAGGAAGAACATGTGAAGCCCTAGGCCAGTCTGCGAACATTCTGTAATCCCAAAGATTTACCTCCTTGTGATGAATGCAATCAAACATGCTCTAGGGCAGAGATGAAAACCATCCCTGATTTTGCCAGGCCTTAAGGACACTGTTCAATAAATATTAACTGAATCAATGAATAAATATGTATTGGACTGGACTGTATATATTTGTGCCGAGCAAACAGTAAAAATGCTGATTTGCTTCAAACCTTGGAATAACCCTTGGAAACCTTCTCCTTCTCTATCAATACCTTTGTGATGTTAAAGTTCTTTTCACCAGGACTCCGCAGGATGCTCACCTGAAAACATTGGCTCTGAATGTGGGAATGATTCCATTAAGCCACTCACAATCTATAATCTCTATTTTGCAAATAGAATCCCAAATTTACAGAATAAATTGTTGTCCCTTTGGCTGCAAAATTTACAAAGTAAATTGTGATCATTACTAAGAGTTAATATAATAAAGTCAGAAATCACTGAGAACATGGACTAAAATTCAGAGATATTATTTCTTTTCTTTTCTTCTTTTTTCTCTTTTTTGAGATGGAGTCTTGCTGTATTGCCCAGGCTGGAGTGCAGTGGTGCGATCTCGGCTCACTGCAACCTGTCTCCAGGTTCAAGTGATTCTCCTGCCTCGGCCTACTGAGTAGCTGGGATTACAGACATGCACCACCGTGCCTGACTATTTTTTGTATTTTTAGTAGAAACAGGGTTTCACCATATTGGCCAGGCTGGTTTCAAACTCCTAACGTCAAGTGATCCGCCTGCCTCAGCCTCCCAAGTGTTGGGATTACAGGCATGAGCCACTGCACCGGGCCCAGAGACATTATTTCTTTCCAGTTCATGAGAAGTACAGATACTCTTAAAACCTCTCCTCATACATCTATCAAAATAACTTTAAGATTTCTATGTCAAAATATTGGACCCTTCTGTCAACCAAACTGGAGCTCTAATTTAGGAATAGTTTAATAAAAATGTACTTAATGTTGAGGTGGGAGAATCACTGGAGCACAGGAGTTCAAGGCCAGCCTGTGCTACATAGTGAGACTCTGTCTCTACCAAAAAATTTAAAAATAATTAGCTGGGTGTGGTGGCACATGCCTGTAGTCTCAGCTACTCAGGAGGCTGAGGTGGGAGGATCGCTTGAGCTCAGGAGGTCCAGGCTGCAGTGAGCCATGACCATGCCACTGCATTCCAGCCTGGGTGCCAGAATGAGACCCTGTCTCGAAAAAGGTTTTTTTAATTAAAAAAAAAAAAAAAAAAAAAAAAATATATATATATATATATATATATATATACACACACACATACAAAAAAATCCTGATGTGATTAAACACGTGTCAAATTATCACATGTATATGAAAATATGTACTTATATGTGTCAATTAAAAGATTTTTTAATCTTTATAAATATAAACACAAAACATATATTTTTATACACATATATATACATATATACACAAAAATATAGTGATTACATTTTCAAACGCCTATCTTACCAGATAGGTATTCCAGAATTTCTGTTTCAGGTCCAAAAATATGTCATCCTTTCCTTGGAGAATGCTCATACCTATTTGCAAAACCCAAAAAAAATTTTAAAAGATTCAGTAGAGTACCGTATAACAGTTCATGTTTAAGTTTCCCATTCCAAAATGCAAAGTAACCATCACTATCATCCAACAATATGACCCTCTGACCCAACAGTGAAAAGAGAACATAGACAGGCGCCGTGGCTCAAGCCTGTAACGGGAGGCCGAGGCAGGCAGATTGCTTGAGTCCAGGAGTTAAGAGACCAGCCTGGGCAACAGGGCAAAACCTCATCTCTACAAAAAATACAAAAATTAGCCAGGTGTAGTAGCGTGCCTGTAGTCATAGCTACTCAGGAGGCTGAGGTGGGAGGATCGCTTGAGCCTGGGAGGTGGAGGCTGCAGTGAGCTGTGATCATGCCACTGCACTCCAGCCTGGGCAACACAGCAAGACCCTGTCTCAAACAAAAAAAAAAAAAAAAAAGAAAACATAATCTCCACTCTAAAACTAGATAAATTTTAAAGGAATGATAAATACGAAGTGAGAATAGCAGAGTATAAAAATTATAGCAGAACGATTATTTTTTCAAAAACTAACAATTCACAAAAACAATCAGGTTACAATAGTGGGTCTATTGGTTACTTTCTCTACCTTCCAAACATTTTGTGAAATGTTGAACATTTGAACATTTTGAAATTTTAATTTCTGTCTTTTTAAAAAAGCTAGTGGGCTGGGCGCGTGGCTCATGCCTGTAATCCCAGCACTTTGGGAGGCTGATCTGGCAGATCACCTGAGGTTGGGAGTTCAAGACCAGCCTGACCAACATGGAGAAACCCCGTCTCTACTAAAAATACAAAATTAGCCAGGCATGGTGGCATATGCCTGTAATTCCAGGTTCTTGAGAGGCTGAGGCAGAAGGATCGCTTGAACCCAGGAAGTGGAGGTTGCGGTGAGCCAAGATTGTACCACTACACAACCCAGGATTTGGAGGTTGAGGTGAGCCGAGACTGCACCACTGTGCTCCTGACTGGGTGACAGAGCAAGACTCTATCTCAAAAAAATAAAAATAAAAAAAGGCCAGTGGACCCAAATACTCTGGCGACTACAAATTTTCCATCAGTATTACCCTATTCAAAATTTGAAAGTGGAACACCAATTCACCCTTCCTAAAAACACTTTGATCTTCAATATCCCTGAAGAGAAATTCACAGCCTGGGCAATATATCAAGACCTTGTCTCTACAAAACTATTTAAAAACCAGCCAGGTATAGGGGTGCGTGCCTGTAGTCCCAGCTACTCCAGAGGCAGAGGTGGGAGGATCGCTTGAGCCCAGGAGGTCGAGGCTGCAATGAGCTGTGATCACATCACTGCACTTCAGCCTGGGGAATAGAGTGAGACCCTGTCTCAGAAAAAGAAAAGGAAAAAAGTAACAATAAATTCAGGTAGCAAGGCAAAGCTCTCCTATTTTAGGAAGGTTGTAAAACTGAGAGTACTTTAAAAATTCTTTCCAATCCCTGATTAGGAGGGAGGGAATATAAGAGCTTTATTAGTTAATTACAGACGATTCTTACATGACCCAGCAAAATATTGGTAATACTGTGTTCCACTTACCCAGCATTAATTAAATGCTATGTAGTTTACGTGCCTCATTTCATGTGCCCCTCCTTACAATTCGCTAAGGTGGGTAGAGTTACAAAGGAGGAAAAGAGCTTAGAGAGGTTAATAGCGGACAGAGTTCAACCCAGGTGTCTGATTCCCAAGCCAGAGTTGTTAATCTGTTACGACTCTGGTTCCCCAAGGTAGCCCCAGCACAAAGATCAATTGATTCCTGCAATTTCCATGTAAAGCCTTACGCAAACCTCCACTCTATCCCCTTCCACTTCCCCTTTCATTGAAATGTGAGGTAAGGGAAACTGAACCAGAAAAACTGAAAACCGGCCAGGTGAGGTGGCTCACACCTGTAATCCCAGCACTTTGGGAGACCGAGGTGGGCAAGTCACTTGAGGTCAGGAGTTCGAGACCAGCCTGGCCAACTTGGCGAAACCCCGTCTCTACTAAAAACACAAAAATTAGCCAGGCGTGGTGGCGGGCACCTGTAATCCCAGCTACTCAGGAGGGGCAGGAGAGGCAGGAGAATCGCTTGAACCTGGGAGGCTGAGGTTGCAGTGAGCTGAGATTGTGTCATTGCACTCCAGCCTGGGCAACAAGAGCAAGACTCCGTTTCAAAAAAAAAAAAAAAGAAAGAAAGAAAAGAAAAACTGAAGACCAAAGCAAAGCTGCAATCTGGCCAGGAATCTGTATCAGAGAGCTTGGCCTGGACTTAGGTTCAAGTCTTGTTAGTAACTCAGCATCTTTCAGTTTCAGGCAAACTGTCAAACTTCCCACCATGAGAGCATCAAGTGCCTGGATTGTGTTGTCTTTGGGTGAGTCACAGAACCCCTTTGAGACTCAGTTTCCTCATTTGTAATATGAGAGTATTAAGAACAATCTCAAGTGTGAGGGCTCACGCCTGTAATCCCAGCACTTTGGGAGGCCAAATGGGCAGATCACTTGAGGTCAGGAGTTCGAGACCAGCCTGGCCAACATGGTGAAACCCCATCTCCATTAAAAATGCAAAAATTAGGTGGGCATGGTGGTGTGCATCTGTAATCCCAGCTACTTGGTAGGCTGAGGCAGGAGAATTGCTTGAACCTGGAGATGCAGGTTTCAGTGAGCTGAGACTGGGCCACTGCACACTCCAGGCTGGGCAATAAAGCGAGACTCTGTCTCAAAAAAAAAAGAAGAAAAAGAGAACAATCTCACTAGTTGTTTGAGGATTAAATAGCATTCTGGTCCCCTACCCCTTCACCAGTGTACCAGGTTCCTGTAACAGGTGCTAGGAAGCTGTTTGCAAATCTAGTCTGCAAATCACACACCGGGCACAGGCACAGACCTTCTGATAAAACAGGAGGCCCTAGCTCTCAGGCTGCCTGCTCTCCTGACCCACTGACCCCGTCAGCCATGTAGTTGGCCGCAATGACAACAGGCAACCAGGTGGTTTGTGTTTCTGGTGGGGTCTGTAGGGAAAGGAAGTGAATCCAACTCTTAAAAATAAGGCACACGGGGCAGGGTAGGTTTCTTCAAGATGGTGGCTTGTCTGACTTCAACCTGGTTTAGAAAGCACCAACAGCCCTTAGGAGAAGTTCCCTCCCATTTGGGGGGAGATCTGTGATCCCCAATCCCAAGGTCAGGCTTGAGACCCGTAGAGATTTTCTCCCCAGTTACCCACCCCATCCCCTTCAAGGCTCTAGAAATCGCAATGATGCTAGAGGCCACAGGGCCCCTCCTGTGAGCAGACGGGGGATCTCCAAAGATGACAAGAATTTAACCAACTTGAGCGATCAGCCTGTTTTACAGCCTCCTGACCTCAACCTGTTCTTCCCCAACCCTGGGCGGAATGAGGTCACCCTGTTTGTTTAAATCAGCTCCTAAGTGACCCCAGGTTACTTGTAGATGAACCCAAGTTAACTCTCCTCATTACCATGCTAAAGTCTTCACCCCGGGAGAAGCTATAGCTTCACGACTATAACCTATGCAACCTATGCAGCCTATGTGCTAGCATCATGACTCACTGGGACCCCTACTCTACATGCAGTCATGCACCCTCTCCTTTCTCCATCACCTTATAAAACCCTCCTGTCTCTTTCTCTGGGGGACACACTACTTGGGAGAATACGCCCAGTGTCTTCCTTTCTTGTGCCAAGTAAAACTCCCATTGATCAAAATCCGCCTCTTGGTGGAGTCCTTTGTGACTCGTTAAGGGAATGAACCCCGGTATTTTTCAGGTACCATTTCCATTGTTCTTATTGTATGCAGTAGAGAAGGTTTCCACAGTCAAGCCCCTGTCCCCCACACCCCAGGCCCGGGTCGGATTTTCTAAGGAGAGGGTTCCCTGAACCCTCACAGGTATATAGTCCTCCATGGCAAGGATCCAAGGTCCCTTGATGTTTTCCGTGAGACCCCAGGGGAAAATCTTGTTACCAAACCAGGACTAGGCCCCTGGGCATGAATTTGCTGAAGATCCAGGCCCAACCTCAGATTCCACCTGCTCTGCCCCTCAGGGTCACTGATCCCCTTGCATTTTGTTCCTGTGTTGGCCCCGGGGCCCCAGGCGTGGATTTTCTGAACAGCAGGTCGGTTCCTTCCCTGTCCCACGACTGGTTCACGGTCATTGCAGCTGCTACGGCCTTGAACTGGGATCTCCTTTATTTTCCCGTGGGCCTTTTTCAGGGGGCAAAGACCTCCGCAGCCCTGCCTACCTCCAGCCTTGGTCTACACCCAACCCCAGAGTCTGAGCCCCGACCCTAGTCCTCTAAATTCCTGACCTGGTGGACCTCTGGCTCCCCAATTTCTCGGCTCCCCAGCCAGTGCCTCCTGCAAATTTTCGCAATCAAACACCCCAGCCTCTAGCCTTTGCCCTGGCCCTTCAGGCCTCTGAAGCAGCTCCGGTCTCAGAGCCCCGGCTCCTGCCCGGGTCCCCAGGCTCCTGCAGCGCCCTCCCTCCAGCCGCTTGATCCCCGAGTCCCAGCCTCCAGTCCCCCAATACTGGGTCCCACCCCCCAGGTCCCCTCCCGGCCCCTCACCGACATAGAAGGCCGAGACCGCGATGGGCGCACCGACCACCTGGTCGCACAGCAACTTGGCCAGCAGGGCGTGCGGCGCTCGGCCCGGGAGCGCGCGCTCCAGCAGGCGCAGCCACACGTAGTTGAAGTTGGCGTGGAAGGTCACCACCAACGTGGCCACGCGCCGCGTCTGGCGCCAGTTGGCCTCGCGGCCCTGCAGCCGCTGTTGCAGCGCGTCCCCGGCCGAGACGAGCGAGCCGTAAAGCAGCACGTTGGTGGGCCACGGGTGGCGCCGGGCCGCGCGCGACAACGCCGGCCACCAGCCCGCCATGTCCGCGCTGTGGGCGCCCGCGATCAGGAGCCCGCGTGGTCGGCGTCTTCCTGCACCGGGTCCGGGCCTCCCCAGCCTCCAGCAGCTACTGCACTGCAGCAGCCGGCACCTGCATCTGCCCCCTCCAGAAGCTCCGGAGCGATTGAGCGACCCACACACACCCAGCTCGCGCCGTCCAATCCGGAGGCCACGGGCCGTCCTGGGGGCTGAACGTTTGAAAGGTGCCCGGCCCACCCCCATGCATGGGTCCATTGACACAAAATACCGAGAACAGGCAAAGCCACAGAGGCAGAAGGCATGGGGTTATTTATTTATTTATTTTATTTTTATTAATTAATTAGATATTTTTGAGACGGAGTCTCGCTCTGTCGCCCAGGCTGGAGTGCAGTGGGGCGATCTGGGCTCACTGCAACCTCCGCCTCCCGGGTTCAAGCGATTCTCCTGCCTCAGCCTCCCGAGCAGCTGGGACTACACGCGTGCGCCATCACGCCCGACTAATTTTTGTATCTTTAGTGGAGACGGGGTTTCAATATGTTGGCCAGGCTGGTCTCGAGTGACCTGCCCGCCTCGGCCTCCCATATGGGGTTATTTTTTGGAGTGATGAAAACATTTTGAAATTAGATAGGTGTGATGGTTCCATGACTTTGTGAATCTATTAAAAACCATTGAATTGTACACTTAAAAAAAGGGGGTGCATTTGGCCAGGCGCGGTGGCACATGCCTGTAATCCCAGCACTTTGGGAGAATTAGACAGGAGGATCCTTTGAGGGCAGGAGTTCCAGATCAGCCTGGACAAAATAGGAAGACCCCATCTCTACGGAAAATCAA
This sequence comes from Homo sapiens, assembly GCF_000001405.40. Lineage (NCBI taxonomy): Eukaryota > Metazoa > Chordata > Mammalia > Primates > Hominidae > Homo > Homo sapiens. Next base: position 15,395,069 of record NC_000016.10, on the reverse strand, counting down.
GAAAAGGAAAAAGAAAAAAGTATTGTAATTACTCAGGCTTGGTGGTGCGCACTGATAGTCTCAGCTACTGCTACTCGGGAGGCTGAGGTGGGAGGATCTCTTGAGCCCAGGAATTCAAGGTTGCAGTGAGCCACGATAGGGCCACTGCACTCCAGCCTGCAAAAAAAAAAAAAAAAAAGAAAGAAAGAAAGGAAGAAAGAGAAAAGAGAGAGAAAATAAAATGGTAAGTTTTATGGTATGTGAATTTATCTTAAAAAATGATGGGACGGCCAGGCACGGTGGCTCACGCCTGTAATACCAGCACTTTGGGAGGCCAAGGCGGGCGGATCACGAGGTCAGGAGATCCAGACCATCCTGGCTAACACGGTGAAATCCCGTCTCTACTAAAAATACAAAAAATTAGCCGGGCGTGGTGGCGGGCACCTGTAGTCCCAGCTACTCGGGAGGCTGAGGCAGGAGAATGGCCTGAACCCAGGAGGTGGAGCTTGAAGTGAGCCAAGATCGCCCCACTGCACTCCACCCTGGCTGACAGAGGGAGACTCTTTCTCAAAAAAAGAAAAGAAAAGAAATGCTAAGCAAAGTGTTCTGGTGTGTTTTGCCTGTTTTGGTAGTGGAAGGGAAGAAAATCAGTCTTTTTCTTTCTTCTCCCCCTTAAAACTATTTAAGAAGGGAACTGGGCGCGGTGGCTCATGCCTGTAATCCCAACAATTTGGGAGGTCAAGGTGGGAGGATCACTTAGGTCCAGGAATTCAAGACCAGCCTGGGCCACATAGTAAGACCTCATCTCTACCAAAAAATAAAACATTAGGTCTGGGTGCGGTGGCTTACACCTGTAATCCCAGCACTGTGGCAGGCTGAGGGAGCTGGATCACCTGAGGTCAGGAGTTTAAGACCAATCTGGCCAACATGGCAAAACCCTGTCTCTACTAAATATACAAAAATCAGCCGGGCATGGTGGTGTGCACCTGTAATCCCAGCTACTCCGGAGGCTGAGGCAGGAGAATTGCTTGAACTGGGTAGGTAGAGGTTGCAGTGAGCCAAAATGGTGCCACTGCACTCCAGCTTGGGGGACAGAGTGAGACTCTGTCTCAAAATAAATAAATAAATATTATTTAAAAAAAAAAGATCCCCTGGGCATACAATAAGTAATACCATACTACTTAGGCAAATAAAGCACAATTCTATTATTTGGGAATCTTAAGATCGGTTCTACCACTTTGTGGATCTTCAGACTCAATCTCTATTTTAGAGATACTAACATTGATTGATCCTGCTATGTGCCAGGTACTGTCTTTCACAACTTCACATATATGATCTCATTTAATCCTCATTTAATTTTGGCAGAGAAAAGTTGAGCTCCTTACCCAGGATCGTATAACTAGGAAATAAAGACCAAAGCACATGCCTCACTCTTTTTGTTATTAGAAAAGATTTCCTTCTGTAAACCTCAGGGACTTTACAAGGGAAATATTGGATTACTGTAATATGATTCATCAGCCCTATTTATTTATTTATTTTTATTACACTTTAAGTTCTAGGGTACATGTGCACAACGTGCAGGTTTGTTACATATGTATACATGTGCCATGTTGGTGTGCTGCACCCATTAACTCGTCATTTACATCAGGTATATCTCCTAATGCTATCCCTCCCCGCTTCCCCCACCCCATGACAGGCCCCAGGGTGTGATGTTCCCCGCCCTGTGTCCAGGTGTTCTCTTTGTTCAATTCCCACCTATGAGTGAGAACATGCGGTGTTTGATTTTCTGTCCTGATGATAGTTTGCTCAGAATGATGGTTTCCAGCTTCATCCATGTTCCTACAAAGGACATGAACTCATCCGTTTTTATGGCTGCGTAGTATTCCATGGTGTATAATTGCCACGTTTTCTTAATCCAGTCTATCATTGATGGACATTTGGGTTGGTTCCAAGTCTTTGCTATTGTGAATAGTGCCGCAATAAACATATGTGTGCATGTGTCTTTATAGCGGCATGATTTATAATCCTTTGGGTATATACCCAGCAATAGGATGGCTGGGTCAAATGGTATTTCTAGTTCTAGATCCTTGAGGAATCGCCACACTGTCTTCCACAATGGTTGAACTAGTTTACAGTCCCATCAACAGTGTAAAAGTGTTCCTATTTCTCCACATCCTCTCCAGCACCTGTTGTTTCCTGACTTTTTAATGATTGCCATTCTAACTGGCATGAGATGGTATCTCATTGTGGTTTTGATTTGCATTTCTCTGATGGCCAGTGATGATGAGCATTTTTTTCACGTGTCTGTTGGCTGCATAAATGTCTTCTTTTGAGAAGTGTCTGTTCATATCCTTTGCCCACTTTTTGATGGGGTTGTTTGATTTTTTCTTGTAAATTTGTTTAAGTTCTTTGTAGATTCTGGATATTAGCCCTTTGTCAGATGGGTAGATTATGAAAGTTTTCTCCCATTCTGTATGTTGCCTGTTCACTCTGATGGTAGTTTCTTTTGCTGTGCAGAAGCTCTTTAGTTTAATTAGATCCCATTTGTCAGTTTTGGCTTTTGTTGCCATTGCTTTTGGTGTTTTAGACATGAAGTCCTTGCCCATGCCTATGTCCTGAATGGTATTGCCTAGGTTTTCTTCTAGGGTTTTTATGGTTTTAGGTCTAACATTTAAGTCTTTAATCCATCTTGAATTAATTTTTGTATAAGATGTAAGGAAGGGATCCAGTTTCAGCTTTCTACATATGGCTAGCCAGTTTTCCCAGCACCATCTATTAAATAGGGAATCCTTTCCCCATTTCTTGTTTTTGTCAGGTTTGTCAAAGATCAGATAGTTGTAGATGTGTGGTATTATTTCTGAGGGCTCTGTTCTGTTCCATTGGTCTATATGTCTGTTTTGGTACCAGTACCATGCTGTTTTGGTTACTGTAGCCTTGTAGTATAGTTTGAAGTCAGGTAGCATGATGCCTCCAGCTTTGTTCTTTGGGCTTAGGATTGTCTTGGCAATGCGGGCTCTTTTTTGGTTCCATATGAACATTAAAGTAGTCTTTTGCAACTCTTATCAGCCCAGTTTAATATTACCTATTCATTATAATGTAATGCTGCTCGCACAACTGAGAAAACACTGTTGCTTTACCCCCTCCAGCTCTGCAGCAGCCATGCACAAATCATAGAACTATAAACATATGCTAATTACACAACCTATGTAGGCAATCAATATTAAGAAAAATGTTTACTGCCCAATATTTCTGTGGTTGAAAATGTAGAGTCTAATTCTGATCCGCAGTAACATCTAGGTTAATGTTGATTCAGACGGAAAACGTTTGTTGTTGCCATGAGAAGAGGCATTGAAACGCTGAATCACCACCACAAATGTTACCACTATTAATATAAGGAGATACATAGGAAGATCGAATTAGACCATCTCGGACCACCAGGTTTACAATTCCACCTGCAGATACATGCAAGAAGTAGTGTCACAATACTTATGTCATGTTATTCCATTGAGGTCATCACCAACTAAGCTTATAATTAATGTGTGGTCAATTTGGTCAATGTCACCAGCGTAGCATACTGACAAAAGCAAGAGTTGCAAACACAAATGCCTATAAGGCAGAATGTAAGATGGTAGGAAGCAAAGTCTATAGGGAACTATATAATAGAGGCTGCAGATTCCAGGCAGATTCTAAAGCACAGCAGTCCCCAACATTTTTGGCACCAGGGACTGGCTTTGCGGAAGACAATTTTTCCACAGGCGGCAAGGGATGGGGCACAGGATGCTAATGGTCTTGGGATGAAACTGTTCCACCACAAATCATCAGGAATTAGATTCTCATAAGGAATATGCAACCTGGATCCCTCGTGTGTGCAATTCACAACAGGGTTCATGCTCCTGTAAGAATCTAATGATGCTGCTGATCTGACAGGAGGCAGAGCTCAGGCAGCAATGCAAACAATGGGGAGCGGCCAGAAATACAGACGAAGCTTCAGTTGTTACCCACCATTCACCTCCTGCTCTGTGGCCCAGTTCCTAACAGGCCACAGACCAGTACAGGTCCATGGCCCAGGAATTAGGGACCCCTGCTGTGGCACATTGCTTAATAGAGGACTGTAGCTGCCCTGACCTTTCCTTTTTTTTTTTTTTTTTGAGATGCCAGAAACCCAGAATTTTTTTTTTTTTTTTTTTTTTTTTTTTTTTAAGAGTAGTTCTGACTCTGTTGCCCAGGTTGGAGTGTAGGAGTGCGATCTTGGCTCACTGTAACCTCAACCTCCCAGGCTCAAGCAATCCTCTCACTTCAGCCTCCCAAGTTGCTGAGATTACAGGCACACTCCACTACACCCAGCTAATTTTTTTGTATTATTTGTAGACATGGGGTTTCGCCATGTTGCCCAGGCTAGTCTGGAATTCCTGACCTCAAGCTGTCTGCCCATCTCAGCCTCCCAAAGTGCTGGGATTGCAGGAGTGCACCACCACAGCTGGCCTGAAACCCAGATTTTATTTATTTATTTATTCATTTTTTGAGATGGAGTCTTGCTCTATTGCCTAAGCTTGAGTGCAGTGGTGCGATCTTGGCTCACTGCAACCTCCACCTCCCTGGTTCAAGCAATTCTCCTGCCTCAGCCTCCTGAGTAGCTGGGATTACAGGCACATGCCACCATGCCTGGCTAATTTTTGTATTTTTAGTAGAGACAGAGTTTCATCATGTTGGCCAGGCTGGTCTCGAACTCCTGACCTCAGGTGATCCACCCACCTTAGCCTCCCAAAGTGCTGGGATTACAGAAGTGCAGCACCACACCCAGACTGAAACCCAGATTTTTAATATGAAATCAAAGTCTTCAAACCTTGTAGGTGTCATAAAAAACCCGCTGAGGACCACTAGTTTGCAACTGCCAATCTAAAATATCATAGACGTTTTATCACTTTAACCACGAAAAAAAAGTGTGTGAGGCAGAAAATGGAAGCAACCATGCCTAATTTATTGTTGAATACTTTTTCCGTATACCAAGAACTTCCTTTGCACTAGCATCTGAAACTACATTCAGAATGACGTTGGTTTTCATAAAAGTGTTGATCCTCACACCTCTTTATAGTCTTGCACCTAGCACAGCAGAGTGAAACACTTTAAATAGCACTTGTTCCTTGAGTATATATGGAAAAAAGTGAAGTATTGGTAAGTGTTCAGCTAATATGAGCAGCATCTCAGGAGTCTGCAATTCTTGAATTACCAGGGAGTATTTTTACCATTTTCCCCCAGTGAAAGGCCCATTTTGAGAGACTTGCCCTCCAAAATGAATGTATTAAGTCATATTAGTTTTTTTTGTTTTGAGACAGGGCCTTGCTCTGTTGCCCAGGCTGGAGTGCAGTGGCATGATAGTTACAGGAAAGGGGTCCCAATCCAGACCCCAAGAGAAGGTTCTTGGATCTTGTGCAAGAAAGAATTCAGGGTGATCCTGCAGTGTGAAGTGAAAGCAAGTTTATTAAAAAAGTAAAGGAGGAGGGGCACGGTGGCTCACGCCTGTAACCCCAGCACTTTGGGAGGCTGAGACAGGTGGATCACGAGGTCAGGAGATCAAGACCATCCTTGTTAACACAGTGAAACCCCGTCTCTACTAAAAATACAAAAAGATTAGCCAGGTGTGGTGGCGGGCGCCTGTAGTCCCAGCTACTCTGGAGGCTGAGGCAGGAGAATGGCGTGAACCCGGGAGGTGAAGCTTGCAGTGAGCCGAGATCACGCCACTGCATTCCAGCCTGGGTGACAGAGGGAGACTCCATCTCAAAAAAAAAAAAAAAAAAGAAAGTAAAGGAATAAAAGAATGGCTACTCCACAGACAGAGCAGCCAGGAGGGCTGCTGGTTGCCCATTTTTATGGTTATTTCTTGATGATATGCTAAACAAGGGGTGGATTTTTCATGCCTCCTCTTTTTAGACCATATAGGGTAACTTCTTGATGTTGCCATGGCATTTGTAAACTGTCATGGTGCTGGTAGGAGTGTAGCAGTGAGGATGACGGGAGGTCACTCTTGTCACTATTTTGGTTTTGGTGGGTTTTGGCCAGCTCCTTCACTGCAACCTGTTTTATCAGCAAGGTCTTTATGACTGGTATTTTGTGCTGACCTTCTATGTCATCCTGTGACTTAGAATGCCTTAACCATCAGGGAATGCAGCCCAGTAGTTTCAGCCTCATTTTTCCCAGCTCCTATTTAAGATGGAGTTGCTCTGGTTCACATGCCTCTGACATGATCACTGCTCACTGCGGCCTCCACCTCCTGGGTTCAAGAGATACTCCTGCCTCAGCCTCCCAAGGTGCTGGGACTACAGGTGTGTGCCACCACGCTCAGCTAATTTTTGTATTTTTTGTAGAGACTGTGTTTTTCCATGTTACCCAGGCTGGTCTCAAACTCCTGGGCTCAAGCAATCCTTCTGTCTCAGCCTCCCAAAGTACTGGGATTACAGGCATGTCCCACCATGCCCAGACTAATATTTACTTTTAATCAGACTAAGATAGGGTTACTACTTGAGTTGCTATGGCTCCAGCTGAAAGCCTGTGCAGTCATATCATGGGTAAACATTTGCTTTATGCTAAAAATATGGTGGACCTGGCATTACAGCTGTTACAAATCTCCTAAGGTGTCTCGGGTAGTGTATTAGTTACTTTTCATACTGCTATGAAGAAATACTTGAGACTGGGTAATTTATAAAGAAAAAGAGGTTTAATGTACTCACAGTTCCACAAGGCTGGGGAGGCCTCAGAATCATGGTGGAAGGCAAAGAAGGAGCAAAGGTACGTCTTACATGGCAGCAGGTAAGAGAGCATGTGCAGGGAAACTGCCCTTTATAAAACCACCAGATTTAGTGAGATGTATTCCCTATCACGAGAACAGTATGGGAAAAACCTGCCCCCATGATTCCATTACCTCCTACCAGGTCCCTCCCACGACACATGGGGATGATGGGAGCTACAATTCAAGATGAAATTTGGGTGGGGGCGCAGCCAAACCATATCGGGTAGCAACTAACTAGGGTCAGTTTTGCAGGTGGTAAAGCTATTTACCAAGATAGTTGTAGGTAAAGAAAGGCAGATTTATTAGAGAAATTATGAAAATATGTTGCAGTGGGCAGCTCAGCAGAGAAGGAGCTACCTGCAAAGAGGCAAGGGCTGGAGGAAAGTTTTACAGGGTCATGCTTAAGGGTGCTACATGTGGAATGAGGTCATTGTACCCACAGGTTGTTTGTGATTAGCTGTCTCTAACAATTGTTCATACAATAATTGTTCATTATTCTCCTCAACTTGGGGCTCTCCCCAACCTGGGGACCCTTCCTTATTTTTGCTTACTTATCAGGGCTCCACATAAGGGTGCGGAAACTTCATTCATTCATATCTTCAACACAAATTTTAGGTAGGCTGTTTTTTAAAAAATTTATTCAACAAATATTTAGTCCAAGCCACTATTACTTATTACCTTCTCTACTTCTGTATGGACCTTTAACTATCTCTGACACTATTCACTATTCTTCCACATTCTCTATTATTTATACCTATGGTAAAATTTGCCAGTTTGACCATGCAACTAATACTGACGGGGAATATATAGAGTCTAGAAGAAAATATACAGGTCCTTAAAGGCTGCCCTGCCAACAAAACCATAATGCAGCAACAAACATCACAGCTATGCCAAATAATCAATCCTACAATGTCCAAAATTTTACTTTAAAACTGGAATTTCCAGACTTCCTTTCCGCATTAACCAGTTTAACTAGACAGTAATGAAATATCCCTCCTACTTTATGCTGTGATAGTTTATGTATTTATTTATTTATTTATTTGAGACAGAGTTTCACTCTTATTGCCCAGGCTGGAGTGCAATGGCGTGATCTCAACTCACCACAACCTCCGCCTCCCAGGTTCAAGCAATTCTCCTGCCTCAGCCTCCCGAGTAGCTGGGATTACAGGCACGTACCACCACGCCCAGCTAATTTTGTATTTTTAGTAGAGATGGGGGTTTCTCCATGTTGGTCAGGCTGGTCTAGAACTCCTGACCTCAGGTGATACCCCTGCCTCAGCCTCCGAATGTGCTGGGATTACAGGCATGAGCCACCGTGCCTGGCCAGAAAATTTTAAACACACACAAACTCTCGAGTGGCCTAATTCCCTCTCACCAAACCAGTCACAATACAGACAAAAGAGAATAACTTATATTAGTTTTTGTACAAACAAAAAAGACTGATAAATTGTGAATGATGCATGATTTTTAATTACAAGTAAACTGGGCAAATGCTTCTGCATTGTTCAAAGCTAAAAGGTGATCAGTGGAAACTTTCCTCTGTTAGGACTCTAATACTTTTTATATTTATCGGCTCACTACAACCTATTCCTCCCAGGTTCAAGCGATTCTCCTGTCTCAGCCACCTGAGTAGCTGAGACCACAGGCAACGCACTACCATGTCTGGCTAATTTTCTATTTTTAATAGAGACATTGTTTCACCGTGTTGGCCATGCTGGTCTTAAACTCGTGACCTCAACCGATCCTCCTGCCTTGGCCTCCCAAAGTTCTGGGATTACAAGCGTGAGCCACCGCGCCCAGCCTTATTATAATTGTTACTATTTAAATCTCTTTTTCTCTCTCCTTCAAGAGAGACCTCATCTCATTCAGTGGCATCCATTTATTTATTCATCTTCTGCCTCTTGGGCTCAAGAGATCCTCCTGCATGAGTCTCCCAAGTAGCTGGGACTACAGGCTCACACCACCATGCTTGGCTAATTTTCATAGGTTTTGGAGAGACAGGCTCTTGCCATGTTGCCTAGGCTGGTCTCAAACTCCTGGGCTCAGATGATCCACCTGCCTTCACCTCCCAAAGCACTGGGATTATAGACATGAGCCACTACTCCCAGCCCCAAGTACTTTTACACAAAATGCAAACACTATTCTTCTATCATAAAAGTGATACCACAGCTTCTGTAAAGTTTGCCAGGTAGTATTCATAATTACCTTGGGTAAACTTCTTGATGTTAAAATGTATCTTCTTATTATGAGTTTTTCCATTGTATTAACTACTTTTACAACATTGCAAATAACAAGTTATTTTACAAACCATTTAGAAATTTCTGTATTATGGTCCCAATAATGTAAAATATATTAATGCCTATTACATTCAGATAAATTATATACTTGGAAACTACATACTTATGACTTACAAAAACTTACATAAACAAATTATACAAATTATATGCTCAATTTTTAGGTATATAGTCTTAAATTAAGCTTAAATGTACATTCTCAAGATAAATTAACAGTTCAGGGCTTCACAACTTGAAATCTGTGGAACATGACATTGGAGACAACAGAACTCTGGTGGAATTCTTAGGTGGAATTTGCTGAAACTTTTTTTTTTTTTTTTTGAGACGGAGTCTCGCTCTGTCGCCCAGGCTGGAGTGCAGTGGCACAATCTCAGCTCACTGCAAACTCTGCCTCCTGGGTTCACGCTATTCTTCTTCCTCAGCCTCCCGAGTAGCTGGAACTACAGGTGCCCACCACCACGCCTGGCTAATTTTTTGTATTTTTAGTAGAGATGGGGTTTTGCCATGTTAGCCAGGATGGTCTCGATCTCCTGACCTTGTGATCCGCCTGCCTTGGCCTCCCAAAGTGAAACTTTTCTTTAAAATAGAGATGGGATCTTGCTGTATTGCCCAAGCTGGTCTCAAACTCCTTGTCTTAAGCAATCCTCCCACCTCAGCCTCCCAAAGTGCTGGGATTACAAGCGTGAACCGTTACACCCAAGTGAAACTTCTTGAGATAGTTACATAATTTTTAAATCTGCTGGTGTAGAAGTTAATAAAGTGTAGAACTGAATAAATATTAAATATTAGATCAAGTTTCTCATGTTTACCTTAAAGTATAAAGATTTATCTTAAAGCACTGATTTTCACAAAATAACATCAGTGTGAAATTGGAAAAGAAGCCAAATATTTTATTTCATGTATCTGGGAAATGAGGTGCTTTAGTCAACTGAATCTGCCCCAAACTAAAAAGCATTCATTAAAAATTACTTAACTCAGAAATTATAAAAATAGAAGCCATCGATAAAATACATTCTACACAGAATAAGCCAATCATACACTACTCTTTTTTGATAATAAAAAATGTACTTACTGAGCCAGGTGTGGTGTCTCATGCCTATAATCCCAGCACCTTGGAAGGCCAATGAGAGTGGATCAGTTGAGGCCAGGATTTGAGACCAGCCTGGCCAACATGATGAAACGCTGTCTCTAGTAAAAATACAAAAATGAGCCAGGCACGGTGGCACTCACCTGTAATCCCAGGTACTCCGAAGGACGAGGCAGGATAATTGTTTGAACTCAGGAGGTGGAGGTTGCAGTGAGCCAAAATCATGCCACTGCACTCCAGCCTGGGTGACAGAGTGAGTCTCTGTCTCAAACAAACAAACAAAAAAAAATTCAGTTGCAGTGGCTCATGCCTGTAATCCCAGCACTTTGGGAGGCCGAGGCAGGCAGATTACAAGGTCAGTAGATCGAGACCATCCTGGCCAACATGGTGAAACCTCCTCTGTACTAAAAATGCAAAAATTAAGCTGGGCGCGGTGGCTCACATCTGTAATCCCAGCACTTTGGGAGGCCGAGGCGGGCAGAGCACGAGGTCAGGAGATTGAGACCATCCTGGCTAACACAGTGAAACCCCGTCTCTACTAAAAATACAAAAAATTAGCTGGGCGTGGTGGCAGGCACCTGTAGTCCCAGCTACTTGGGAGGCTGAGGCAGGAGAATGGCGTGAACCCAGGAGGCAGAGCTTGCAGTGAGCCAAGATCCCACCATTGCACTCCAGCTTAAGCGACAGAGCCAGACTGTGTCTCAAAAACAAGAAAGAAAACAAAAGAAAATTTGGACTATTGCCAATTACAAATATTTTTAGAGAAGAATTCAAAACAGTAACTGTGGATGATGGAAACAATAGTTATGATAAAAGTCTGATGAAACTTCCCAGTTCACAAGGAAATTTAATTACTTATGTGCAGCATTTTAAGACAGTAATCAGAATCATGACTGACAGCATCACATCAGGACCACCAGACTTTTATAAATTTCATATAATCTTCAGAAATAATTAATAACTTTTTTTTTAGATAGATTCTACCTCTGTTGCCCAGGTGGGAGTGCAGTGGCATGATCTCGACTCACTGCATCCTCCGCCTCCTGTGTTCAAGCAATTTTCCTGTCTCAGCCTCCCGAGTAGCTGAGACTACAGGCATGTGCCACCAGGCATGGCGAATTTTTGTATTTTTAGTGGAGACAGGGTTTCACCCTATTAGTCAGGCTGGTCTCGAACTCCCAACCTCAGGTGATCCACCTGCCTTTGTCTCCGAAAGTGCTGGGATTACAGGCATGAGTGACGGTGCCCAGCCATTCATAACATGTTTATACAAATATAACTTTAACAAATATTTAGTATAACTATCAAAATTACAAATCATAACATATTAAATTTGTATAAATGTATGTAATTTTTGGAACATGTATATCAACAACATACCCATAAATATAACTGAGATGAGATCTAATGTCACCTCACTTGACAGTGCCCTCCCATGCAGTATCACCACATTTGACAATGCCCGCCCATATAATCTACCAAATAAATCGAATCACTTAATATCTCTACAAGATGAGAGATGCATTCTTCAGACTCCCGAAGGGACGCAGTGGAAAAATCCCAAAGTTAATTTTAAGCCAAAAAGACCTGATTTAGGATTTTGACACTGGAGAAACCCATCAAAGATGTCAAGTTTGAAAACACTTGATCAAAACAGAATCACAGGTCACTATTAAAAAGGGTGTTCATTTAACCAGAGACTTCCAAAGCAATACAGAAACTTACATGGATATAAAAACCTTAACCCTTTTAAAGGTCAGATTTGCTAAGTGATCAAAAGGGGTACTTGAATTGAATCGACACAGGAAGAGTGTGTACAGGGTTATGAGTGTAGGCAAAGGGTTACTTTGGTCATATCTCCATTTGCCACCTGATTACACATGAGAATGGCATCTTTACTCACCAGAAAGCCAGTATTATGGCTTTCTTGGACTTGAGACAAGAACATTGTTGTGTAGAAATTTCATTGACTGTGTTAAAATTATTCTCCATGGGCTGGAGAACACATAACGTGGTGTTTAGAATGAGACGGGCATTGATTGGATGCAAGGTCTCCACACTTACTAGCTGTGTGACATTGGACAAAGTGCTTCATCATTCTGAGACTCAGTTTTTAAAGGAAAAACAACTAACTACCTTGCAAGCTTGCTAGCAGGTTTAAGTGTAATAATGTGTGGGAATGACTGCACCGTGACTAACACGTAGTGACAGCTTAATTAATGTTAACCCTTATCATTATCATATAAGAATGTGAGTTACATAAGAGAGGAATCCTGTCAGTTCGTTCTCTGCTGTGTCCCCAAGACCATGAATCATGGCTGGCACGTAGTAGGCATTTAATAATATTTGTTCAACAAGTATTTGGCAGTCTTGGAGGGCAGAAAAGGAGGTGGGGAAGATGTTTAAATAACATTTTTTAAAAAGTCACATTGTCCTACAATACCAATTTTTCTTGCATATTTAGGAAATTGAGGGTTTTTTCCTAAAACATGCGGACATATGGGAAATAGGATGCAACATTTGCACTAATGTTTCCGACACAGTTAGAGGTTTCCAAGAGATTTTGCGCTGGGGAGGCTGCTTGCTACAAGCTCCCAAAGCTCTGGGAGGACATAGTATTCATTCCTCCCTCAGCAGAAGTGGTGAGGCAAGAAGCTCTGGGGAGCACCCAGCCTTGGACTTTTAGCATAGTGTGTCAGGTCTTCATAGTTTGGGCCCAGGGCACAGAGAAGTCACAGCTCTCCGGCATCCTGTGACCTTTACCCTCTTTGCCAAGGGAAAATGTGGCCCTCCAAAGCAAGAAACTTGAGGGCATGGGTCACCCCAGCCCTGGCATCTGCCCAGAGCCTGAGAAGGAAGGAGCAATGATCCTCCAGCTACCTCACAGGGCTGGCACAGGTGGCCACTGCCCTGGCATCACCCAGCTGTGTTCGGCAGCCTGAACCCCTTCTGTGGGGATGTGAGGAGGAAAATACAAAAGTCCTTAGGTGAACACTGAGAAGGCAGATGCAGCAGAAGCCTCCAGGCCAGAACTACCCAGTCTTGGACCTATGGTGGAGATAGAGCATAGCTGGCGATCATGTGTACTTACACTCTAAGGTCACCTGGTTGCACTATGGCCTCATCTGTGGCTCTGAAAATGAAGATTTGGAAGGAGATCATCACAGCTAATGTTAACAAGCCCCTCCTGTGTGCCAAATCATTCACCCCTCACCACAACCGAATGAGCTAAGGATTCTCGTTATATATAGTTTATGGAGAGGGAAGTGCAGACATAAAGAGGTGAATTATCTTACCCAGATCACACAGCTGATAAGTGGTGGAGGCAGAATAGAATCTAAACAGTGTGGCTCCGGAGCCCACATGCATTGATTCGACAAGTGTTTATTGAGCACCTGCCGCGGACAAGGCCTTGTGTGATTAAACAGGGTTATAATTAGTAATGTAAAAATGAGAAATCACTAATGCTTTTTAGACTTAACATTTTCTTTTTTTGTAGGTTTCAGGCACAGAACTGTATATCCAATAATAGTGAAATGGATCCCACTAATTATGACCGAAATGATGATACATTTAAATGACTTGGATGTTTTATAGGTATGATCTCGTGAAACCTTGAGAGAAACTGAATGACGAATGAAACTATTGTTCCTGTTTCACACAGAAGAAAACTGAGGTTAAAAGGGGTAAAGTAATTTTGCATGGCATGAAGTAGAAATTCAAAGTACAGGAATTTGAACTTGGTTCTGTCCTTTTCTGAAGCCCTTGACCACTATAGACTCAAACATCACCTTGTTTTTCCACTCATTCAACACTTTTTTTTTTAAAATTGTCTAATAGGTTGGCACTCATCATGAGCCCCTGTTCTCATTCTGCAAATGGTGAAGCTCTCTATTGTCCTGACCCCACGGTTCCTGTCCCATGACCAGGGCCAGCTCACCAAGGAGCTGCAGCAGCACGTAAAGTCAGTGACATGCCCATGCGAGTACCTGAGGAAGGTGAGTGAGTGCAGACAGATGGGGCCTGGTGCCCTTGAGCAGTTCCCGGGTCTCAGCTGCCACACATCTCATAGCGGGTGATGCTGGGGGAAGCTTACGCAGTCTCAGTACTGGCTTCTTCCTCTTTTTCTTTCCATACAAGTGGCTTAGGGATGGGGTAGAGTAGTTGACTTATTTGGATGAAAACCACTATCTTCTGTCAGAAACTCAAAAGGAATCATTGCTGGCATGGTAACCTAAAGAAAAACAACCAGACAAGTGCCCAACGACACTTAAAAAGGTTATTTATTATCTTGCCAAGTTTAGGCTGGGCATGGTGACTCATGCCTGTAATCCCAGCATTTTGGGAGGCTGAGGCTGGTGGATCACCAGAGGCCAGGACTTCGAGACCAGCCTGACCAATATGGCAAAACCTCGTCCCTACTAAAAATACAAAAATTAGCCGGGCATGGTGGTGTCAGCCTGTAGTTCCAGCTACTCAGGAGGCTGAGACAGGAGAATTGCTGAAATTCAGGAGGTGGAGGTTTTAGTGGGCCGAGATCACGCCATTGCACTCCAGACTGTACGACAGAGCGAGACTCTGTCAAAAAAAAAAAAAAATTATCCTGCAAAATTTGAAAAGGAAATTCAAATCAACAGCTTCTAAACTACTTTTTAACATGACTCATAATAAGAAATACATTCTACAGTACATATATATGTTCTATAATTTTGAATAAAAGAATTAACCACATCACATTTATTTTACAACATGTAATACATATTTTTTATTCTCCTTCATTTGTTTTGAATGCTCTGTGCAGTCTACAAAAAGTCCAGTAGTAATAATTAAATTATTCATTAAGTTGAACATTATCTTGTCTTTTAAAATGATAATCTCAAAAATGATCTTTTATTTTTGAGATTTATAGAGATACACACACACACACACACACACACACAGACACACACACACACATATATATATATTTTTTATTTTTTTTTGAGACAGAGTTTCACTCTGTCCCCCAGGCTGGAGTGCAATGGCACAATCTCGGCTCACTGCAACCTCCGTCTCCCGGGTTCAAGCAATTCCTCTGCCTCAGCCTCTGAGTAGCTGGGACTACAGGTATGCGCCACCATGCCCAGCTAATTTTTGTATTCTTAGTAGAGATGGGGTTTCACCATATTGGCCAGGCTCGTGTCAACCCCTAACCTCGTGATCCGCCTGCCTCAGCCTCCCAAAGTGCTGGGATTACAGGCGTGAGCCACCATGCCCAGCCAAATCTAGGGCTGGAACATGGCTGCAGCATATAAAAAGAATTGAATTCCATACTTTTGTTAACCCTGTTTTTTGTTTGTTTGTAGTTGTTGCTGTTTTTGAGACAGAGTCTCGCTCTGTCGCCTAGGCTGGAGTGCAGTGGTGCAATCTCGGCTCACTGCAGACTCTGCCTCCCGGGTTCAAACTATTCTCCTGCCTCAGCCTCCCAAGTAGGTGGGACTACAGGTGCCCACCACCACACCCGGCTAATTTTTGTATTTTATTAGAGACAGGGTTTCACCATATTGGCCAGGCTGGTCTGGAACTCCTGACCTTGTGATCCGCCCACCTCGGCCTCCCAAAGTGGTGGGATTACAGGTGTGAGCCACCACACCCAGCCCCTGTTTTCTTTTGTTTTGCTTGCTTCTTAGGGTTGTTTTTCTATTTATGGTAAAGGCATTGGCTTTCCATTTGTAGCATCAATAGAATATTTCCTGTTTACAATAACCTTATGTCATAGTAAATGGTAAAGGGATTTAAAGCAGTGCTTTTCAGCTGCCAGAGGCCTGAGAGAGTTTGGGCACACTCTGTGTGATCGGGCAGAAGGCCTGTGGGAAGTTTAGCTGAGGACAGGGCCAGGAAAGGTGATGGACAGTGGGGGTCTGTCCTGGTCACCAGGCCCCTGGGTCCTGCCCACCTGCTTGGAGCTCCCCACCCATCACACATGATGCTGCCAAGCCCTCTGGGTATTGTGGGCAAATACCTTAGGAGAGAAGCTGATGAGCTTTGTTTCTTGAAATGCACAGATTCCTTGGACATCCCTGAGAGGCCAGTCATGAAAGTCAGCTTGGTTTTCTCCCCCTCATTTGGGTTCAGAATTTAAAGTCCACACACACGGGCAGTAAGATAATATAGATAAGGACATCATCACTCGGTTTCGGATGTTAAAATGTCTAGGTGGGTTAGGGGTGATTTGAGATCACGCAACCTTGTGCCACAAAGAGGAATTCCCAGGCCAGAGGGAGACATTTTATTGCCATGTTATGATCTCATCATTGAGTTGAAAGGCAATCTTGTTTCATTTTGGATTCTTTCTTATGTTTATGTCTTATAAGGGCACTTTGAATTTCCAAGCAAATAATAATTTTGAATTAGCTTTTAATCATTGACTTCTAGCACAGTTTTATGATCAGAAACATGCTGTGTGATTTGATTGCTCTCAAATATATTGAGATTTGCTGGAACAAAATAAGTCAGGTTAATTTTTGTAAATGTACCATGCATGCTTAAAATGAATGTATGTACATTTGTTCCTGAGATACAGGTTGATGGACGGATGGCTACATGGTTGTGATGGAGATGGTTTACTATCGGGACCTTCCGCATCCTGCTGATGTTTTGTTGCTTAGGATATGAATGGCTGAGCGGAGGCTGTAAAACCTGGCACTCTGCTTGGGTATGAGGTTCTTCCTGCCATCCTGCCATCATTTGTTTTTTATGTTTTGTCGCCAAAAGTGACCTTGAGGAACCCTGGGAGCTCAGGAAGGAAGGAGCGCCCAGAAGCAGGGACAGGGAGCTGGTTGGGGAGGACCAGAAATCAGGTTTGTGAAGGTTCCAGAGAGGACCTGGCCTTGGGAGGAGCGTGGGGGACTGAGATGGGGGAGGGGTCATTGGGATGATGCGGGCACTACTTGGAATGTCCATTGTGAGGCACCACCGGGGTCATCAGGGATTGGTGGAGAGAGAGTCTAAAGCCCCAGGGTTGCTAAGGGAGGGCCCAGACCGAAGAAGGTTTGGTGGAAAGCAGAACCTTTGTCTCCTAATTGCTCCTAAGCCTCACGCTCCCTTGCCCCGCCTGTCCTGTTGCTTCCCTGATCTTCTCCGTGACCTGTAGCTAAACCTTCCACCAGCGCTTGAGAACTTAATTTGAACCGGATCCTTTCCCAGACCCCTTTCTTCTCCTCCTCCTCCTCCCCAACAGCCCCCTTCTCCTCCTTTCCCTTCCCTTACTTCTCCCCTTCCCCTCCCCTTCCCCTTCCCCTCCCCCTCCCCTCCCCCTCCCCAACTCAGATCCGGCCCCGGTCCCCGTCCCCTTCCCTCCGCCCTGCCCTAAGCCACCTCCACCTCTGTCCTGGCTGCCTCAGGGAGCCCTGAAAGGACCAGGACATGCGGGTGCGGTGGCTGCTCTTTTGGCTCCTCTTTTGGCTCCTGCTGGGATTTATCAGCCATCAGTCCACCTGTGTGAGTAGATGGGTGCTGTGGCTGCTCTTTTGGCTCCTGCTGGGATTTATCAGCCATCAGTCCACCTGTGTGAGTAGACGTTGGACCCGCGGGGTTTCTTCCTTTTTACTGGGCTGTGTCACGCGGCATGAAATTACACAGCTCAGGCCTGTAATCCCAGCACTTTAGGGGGCCGAGGTGGGCAGATCACTTGAGTCCAGGAGTTGAAGACTAGCCAGGGCATCATAGCGAAACCCCATCTCTACAAAAAATTCCAAAAAAGATTAGTCGGGCCTGGTGGTGCGTACCTGTTATCCCAGTTACTGGAGAGGCTGAGGTGGGAGGATCGCTTGGGCCCAGGAGCTGGACGTTGCAGTGAGCCGAGATGGCCCCGCTGCACTCTTGTCTCCAACAAACAAAACGGACCAAAACAAAGTGAAATGTCATTTGATTTGTGTCATCTGGTTTGATGACTTTTTTGTTTGTTTGTTTTTTAGACAGAGTCTCACTCTGTCGCCCAGGCTGGAGTGCAGTGGCAAGATCTCGGCTCACTGCAACCTCCGCTTCCGGGGTTCAAGCAATTGTCCTGCCTCAGCCTCCTGAGTAGCTCAGATTACAATGCCTGGCTAATTTTTGTATTTTTAGTAGACCACCACGCCTGGCTAATTTTTGTATTTTTAGTAGGCCACCACGCCTGGCTAATTTTTGTATTTTTAGTAGAGACTGGGTTTCACCATGTTCGCCAGGATAGTCTCCATGTCTTGACCTCGTGATCCGCCTGCCTCAGCCTCCCAGTGCTGGGATTACAGGCGTGAGCCACCGCGCCTGGCCAAAATATATAACCTTAAGTGTAAGTTTACTAACTTTGGAAAGTACATACACCAGCATAAACCAACCCCCTTTCAAGATCTACATTATTTTATTTATTTATTTATTTATTTGAGACAGTTTCTCCCTTGTTGCTGAGGCTGGAGTGCAATGGGCCAATATCAGCTCACCGCAACCTCTGCTTCCCAGGTTCGAGCGATTCTCCTGCCTCAGCCTCCCGAGTGGCTGGGATTACAGACATGTGCCACCACTCCCAGCTAATTTTCTATTTTTAGTAGAGATAGGGTTTCTCCATGTTGGTCAGGCTGGTTTTGAACTCCCGACCTCAGGTGATCCGCCCGCCTCGGCCTCCCAAAGTGTTGGGATTACAGGCGTGAACCACCGTGCCCAGCCAAGATCTACACTATTATGTCACCCCAGAAAGTGAACTCTCACTCTTCCCAGCCAGTCTCTTTCTTATCATAGGTTAGCTTGCTTATTCTGGAATTTCACGTATACAGATGCATGCCATGCCATAGGTACTCTTTTGTGTCTGCTTTATTCTGCTCAACACCGTATTTCTGAAATCATTACCATTGTTGTATGCTTCTCTAACTCCATCATTTCCATTTCAGACTCAGCATATGCTGAGTTCAACCTGTTGAAGGGCTATCTCTGTTTAATTCACCATCTTGAAAGAAACATTTAAAATTGAGATGTTTTCAAGAATATATAGTTAAATCCTGAGGAATTGATGTAGAAATGTTATCACAAGCTGTCTGAACTTACTCAGGGGAAGTCTTTGTCTTCACTCACATAAGAGTCTAATGGAATTAATATCAACAATCTTAGAGAAATCCCACACTATTCATGCCATTTTCATGATCTCCACCTTGGTAATTTTTTTTTTTTTTTTTTTGAGACAGAGTCTCGCTCTGTCACCCAGGCTGAAGTGCAGTGGTGCGATCTTGGCTCACTGCAACCTCTACCTCCCAGGTTCAAGTGATTCTTCTGCCTCAGCCTCCCAAGTAGCTGGAACTATAGGCGCGTGCCACCATGCCCTGCTAATTTTTTGTATTTTTAGTAGAGATGGGTTTCACCGTGTTAGCTAGGATGGTCTCAATCTCCTGATCTCGTGGTCCACCCACCTCGGCTTCCCAAAGTGCTGGGATTGCAGGCGTGAGCCACCACGCCCGGCCCACCTTGTTACTTTTTAAGAACTAAAATTCGATACTTATTTGTGAATGAAATAATCTCTTCATTGTATTTTTTTTTTTTACTTATGCTGAGCTTTAAATGACAAAGATTCATATAATCCAAGAGAGAAGTATTATTTAGAGGGATTCTTTTACCATGTGATATATAATAAATGCATCCAATGTTATACATCAATTTAAAAAACAAGTAAATAACTAAAGAAAAGATAACTACTGGCCAGGTGCAGTGGCTCACACCTGTATTCCCAGCACTTTGGGAGGCCGAGGCAGGTGGATCATGAGGTCAGGAGTTGGAGACCAGCCTGGCCAAGATGGTGAAACCCTGTTTCTACTAAAAAGACAAAAATTAGCCGAGCGTGGTGGCAGGCGCCTGTAATCCCAGTTACTCAGTAGCTGAGGCAGGAGAATCACTTGAACCCGGGAGGCGGAGGTTGCAGTGAGCTGAGATCATGCCACTGCAATCTAGCCTGGGTGACAGAGCAAGACTTTGTCTCAAAACAAAAATAAAAGATAAGATAATTACTTTATACTTAGCTTGTCTTACCCATGAGTGACGGGCTGCATGTGGCCCAGGACAGTTTTGAATGCAGTTCAACACAAATTTGTAAACTTTCTTAAAACATTAGGAGATTTTGGCCAGGTACAGTGGCTCATGCCTGTAATCCCAGCACTTTGGGAGGCTGAGGCGGGCAGATTACCTGAGGTCAGGAGTTCGAGACCACCCTGGCCAACATGGCAAAACCCCATCTCCACAAAAAATACAAAAATTTGCTGAGTGCACTGTCAGGCACCTGTACTCCCAGCTACTCAGGAGGCTGAGGCAGGAGAATCACTTGAACCTGAGAGGCAGAGGTTGCAGTGAGCCGAGAGCACACCACTGCACTCCAGCCTGGGTGACAGAGTGAGACCCCATCTCAAAAACAAACAACAAACAAAAACAAAAAAAATGGCTGGGCACGGTGGCTCACACCTGTAATCCCAGCACTTTGGGAGGCCGAGGCAGGCAGATCGCCTGTCAGGAGTTCAAGGCCAGACTGGCCAACATGGTGAAACCTCATCTCTACTAAAAATACAAAAATTAGTCAGGCATGGTGGCAGAGACCGGTAATCTCAGCTGCTCGGGAGGCTGAGGCAGGAGAATGGCTTGAGCCCAGGAGCTGGAGGTTGCAGTGAGCCGAGATTGCACCACTGCACTCCAGCCTGGGCGACTGAGTGGAGCAGAACTCTGTCTCAAAAAAAAAAAAAAAATTTTTTTTTTAGATCATCAGCTATTGTTAGTGTTAGTGTATGTTATGTGTGGCTCAAGACAACTTTGCTTCTTTTAATATAGGCAGGGAAGTCAAAAGATTGGATATCCCTGCTTTATACCAAGAAAGACAACACCCCACATTTGCAATGCCTAAAAACACTACCAGCCATCTGAAAAACATGAGACTTCTCTAACTTCTGTTCTTTTTTGTAGCAGTGGAATCCCACGGTGATATCTGAGGGATGTGGTTACCTTTTGGAGGAGGTTGACGGTTTCTAAGGATGATTCTTTCTGAGTGAAATATTGTCAGTGTCATTGACCTTTTCATTATTTCAACTATTATTATTCCAGGTTATCAATACTCTGGCTGACCATCGTCATCGTGGGACTGACTTTGGTGGAAGTCCTTGGTTACTTATCATTACTGTGTTTCTGAGAAGTTATAAATTTGCCATCTCCCTCTGCACAAGTTACCTTTGTGTGAGTATACTAACTTTCTGTAGAGGTATACTTGTAATCACAAATAAGAATAAATTATATGAAACAATTCACGTTTCTGGACTTCATTATGAATATGTGGTTTTACCCAAAAAATCAGGGAAATGATTTATTAGCATAAGAATTATGAAAATATCTGCCATTTACATTATGAAAATTAAATAGGTCGGTGTTTAATAGAATGTCAACAGAGCTTTTGGTCAAAAATAAGTTTTTTTAACCTTTGTGCTATTTGTCACAAATGGAGTATGAGGTTTCGTCACTTAAATGGGAAAGTCTTTCTAAACTCTTCTGCTTTATAGTTCTATCGTATGGGTGGAAGGAAAGCTTCCAATCTCCTCTCTGAAGATTCACTGCAGAAATGAGCTGACAACAGACAGCTTAACAGGAAAAGAAAAACATAGAACAGGCATAAACATGGGAACCAGCTGAAAAATGAGACTGCTAGAAGGGCTGGATGGTTGATGCTTAAAGAGCACCCTCTTCTGAGGGTAGAGGGAGATAGATGGAGATGTAGGCCATTTAGAGGGGCAGCAAATGATTTTTAGGGGAAATGAAAGAGCCCAAGGAACAAACAGTTGGCCTGAGACAAAGTTCCTCTGAGGTCATAGGGACGAGGTGACAAACTGCCGGAAGGTGAAGGGCAGAACTGCACTGCGTCTCATGATGCAGAGAAAGCCCCAGAGAATCTCTTAGAACTGCCCTCCAAGAGAATCAATGAAAAGTGTGTCTGGGCAGGGTAATTTTGAATGACATCATTCAAAGTGCATGTTCCCACTTGCAACTGGAGAGAGATCCGTATGTCAAAAGTCTGTACTTGGTAAGAATTTGGCTGCTAAGTTGTGCCATAATTTGTCTTTTGAGCCTTTTTTCCTTTGGGTAAGTTGAGCTCTACATTTTGTCTTGCCATTCATGACAGTAAAAATGTGGTTGTCTGGGGGCTGAACCTCCTTCTGAACAATGATCCAAGATAAAAGTACTAATACCACAATGCTTTTTGATATTCAAGGGAAGAGGAAGTATGTTTCAGTTTTACTGCCTAGATAATTACACGTCATTTGGCACTGCCTTTCAAGATATGTAGAAAACAGAAAATATATGAGTTATGAAGATATCTAGGCACATTTAACATTCTCTATGCCACTTAGTCCTGAACAGAGAATTTTTGGTATAAATTGGAGGAAGCTTTTTTTTTTTTTCTTTTCTCACCCCCAAGAGGAGTCTCCCTCTGTTGCCCAGGCTGGAGTATAATGGTGTGATCTCGGCTCACTGCAACCTCCACCTCCTGGCTTCAAGTGATTCCCCTGCCTCAGCCTCTCAAGTAGCTGGGATTACAGGTGCCCACGACCATGCCCAGCTAATTTGTGTATTTTTAGTAGAGTCGGGGTTTTACCATGTTGGCCAGGCTAGTCTCAAAACCCGACCTCAAATGATCCACCCGCCTCAGCCTCCCAAAGTGCTGGGATTACAAGCGTGAGCCACCACGTGAGCCAGGGGAAGTTTTTAAATTTACCACTTTTTAACAATTCCATTTAGGAAAGTTCAGTTGAGCTGTTGGACTTGGACAACTTTGTACCTCTCATCTTTGTCCTTGTCATCTAGTCATTACCTCCTAAGCAGGGACATCATGGGTGTCATGAAGCATTCATGTGTGATGGCATTTCTTTGCTTCTCATTTCTTCATGTGTTTGACATTTCTCCTAGCTCCAAACTGGGCCAGCTACCTTTCCTATGAAATCTAGCAGTAGCTGTGGGATAGACGTGGTTGCTCTTTTCATCTTTTTAGATTACCCATTGCTTCTCTTGAAATCCTAGTACATGATTTTTTTTTTATCCTATGTGCAGAAATCAGGAAAAAACAAATTCTACAAAGAATTTGAAAGATATTATTTCAGGCCAGGTGTGGTGGCTCATGCCTGTAATCCCAGCACTTTGGGAGGCTGAGGCAGGTGGATCACTTGAGGTCAGGAGTTCAAGACCAGATGGGCCAACATAGTGAAACCCCATCTCTACTAAAAAGACAAAAATTAGCCAGGCATGGTAGCAGGCACCTGTAATCCCAGCTACTTGGGAGGCCGAGGCACAAGAATCGCTTGAATCTGGGAGGTGGAGGTTGCCGTGAGCCAAGGTAGCGCCACTGCACTTCAGCATGGTTGACTGACACTCCGTCTCAAGAAAAAAGTCATTTCAATGACTACCTCAGGAGATTCATAGGTATCTGACCCACATCTCAGATGGGATTTGCGTTGCATTTTAGCTATGATGAGAACAAATATTTAATATCTTCGAAGATTAAAAGCATACTGTGATAATATGGAAATCTTGGTGGGAATTCAATCATTAGTGAGAATGTTTTGCATTAAGTTCAAACCAGCCTCAACGAAGCTGATGTGAGGGAAGGGAAAGTGAACTCTGAGTAGAGCAGGGACAGAAGAAAGATGCTCCAGTGCAGATCAGGAAGGAGCAGGGGGTGAAATGTTACAAATTCTAGAACTCAGAGAGCTGAAGGTAATTAATTACTTCCTTTTCAAGTTGTGAAACATGTTAACCTGTGGTAAAATACTTACAAGATGATAATTACCATCTAACCATGTTGAAGTGTACAGTTCAGTTGTGTGAAGTATATTCATGTCATTTTTTTTTTTTTTTTTGAGACGGAGTCTCACTCTGTCACCAGGCTGGAGTGCAGTGGTGGGATCTTGGCTCACTGCAACCTCTGCCTCTTGGGTTCAAGCAGTTCTCCTGCCTCAGCCTCCGGAGTAGCTGGGACTACAGGCGTGCGCCACCATGCTCAGCTAATTTTTGTATTTTTAGTAGAGACGGGGTTTCACCATGTTGCCCAGGATGGTCTCCATCTCTGGACCGTGATTCACCCGCCTCGGCCTCCCAAAGTGCTGGGATTACAGGCGTGAGCTACCGCACCTGGCCTATTTTTTTTTTTTTTTGAGACAGAGTTTGAATTTTGTTGCCCATGTTGGAGTGCAATGGCACAATCTCAGCTCAACACAACCTTTTCCTGCTGGGTTCAAGTGATTCTCCTGCCTCAGCCTCCCGACTAGCTGGGATTACAGGCATGCACCACCATGCCTGGCTAATTTTGTATTTTTAGCAGAGACAGCGTTTCTCCATGTTGGTGAGGCTGGTCTCAAACTCCCGACCTCAGGTGTTCCGCCTGCCTCGGCCTCCCAAAGTACTGGGATTACAGGAGTGAGCCACCATGCCAGCCTCATGTCATTCTTGTGTGTTTGTGTGTGTGTGTGTGTGTGTGTGTGTGACAGAGTCTCATTCTGTCACTCAGGCTGGAGTGCAGTGGTGTGATCTCGGCTCACTGCAACCTCCACCTCCCAGCTTCAAACGGTTCTCTGCCTCAGCCTCCCGAGTAGCTTGGATTACAGGCGCCCACTGCCATGCCCGGCTAATTTTTGTATTTTTAGTAGAGATGGGGTTTCACCATCTTGGCCAGGCTGGTCTTGAACTCCTGACCCCGTGATCCACCCTGCCTCGGCCTCCCAAAGTACTGGGATTATACGCATGAGCCACCGTGCCTAGCCGTCATTCTTATATTATTATTTCCTAGGTGTCTTTCCTGAAGACTATCTTCCCGTCTCAAAATGGACATGATGGATCCACGGATGTACAGCAGAGAGCCAGGAGGTCCAACTGCCGTAGACAGGAAGGTATGGCTCTGTTGGAGTCCCCATAGTGTGGAAATGAGTTTGCCCTGGAAAGGGAAAGAACAGCTTCTTGCCCTCAGGTTTCTCACCTTCTCCTCTCCTCACTCTCACCAAGGGCTGAGGTCCGTTTGTATGCACACAAAGAAAAGAGTTTCTTCCTTTCCAGGAATTAAAATTGTCCTGGAAGACATCTTTACTTTATGGAGACAGGTGGAAACCAAAGTTCGAGCTAAAATCCGTAAGATGAAGGTGACAACAAAAGTCAACCGTCATGACAAAATCAATGGAAAGAGGAAGACCGCCAAAGAACAGTAAGATGTGCCTTGACACAAATACTGTTGTATGAACCATGTGCCAATCAAAGTAGACAACTGTAAAGTCCTTGAGAATATTTTCTACAATATTTGTGGCAAATTCAGTGGGTTCAAAATTGAGTTTGTCCTTTCTGCTTCATTAGTTTAAGCTGTATAATTCCTTTCCCTTCCTACAATCTTGTTTGTCATTTTTTCAGGGGAAGAGGAGTTGCTAGTACTGGCATTGGTTTTCCTTTCTCTCTCTCTTTTTTTTTTTTTCCTGAGACGGAGCTTTGCTCTTGTTGCCCAGGCCGTAGTGCAATGGCACAATCTCAGCTCACTGCCTTTTGGGTTCAAGCAATTCTCCTGCCTCAGCCTCCCAAGTAGCTGGGATTACAGGTGCCCACCACCACGCCCAGCTAATTTTTGTATTTTTACTAGAGATGGGGTTTCACCATGTTGTCCAGACTGGTCTCGAACTTCTGACCTCAGGTAATCCACCCGCCTCAGCCTCCCAAAGTGCTGGGATTAGAGGCATGAGCCACCACACCCAGGCTTTTTTTTTTTTTTTTAATTTTGAGATAGAGTCTCGCTCTGTCGCCCAGGCTGGAGTGCTATGGTGCAATCTTGGCTCACTGCAACCTCTGCCTCCCAGTTTGAAGCAATTCTGCCTCGGCTTCCCGAGTAGCTTGGATTACAGGTGTGTGCCACCACATTCGGCCAATTTTTTTTTTTTTTTTTTTTTTTTTTTGAGACAGAGTCTCACTCTGTCACCCAGGCTAGAGTGCAGTGGCATGATCTTGGCTCACTGCAACCTCCGCCTCCCAGGTTCAAACGATTCTTATCCCTCAGCCTCTTGAGTAGCTGGGACTACAGGCATATGCCACCATGCCCAGATAATTTTTGTATTTTTAGTAGAGGCAGGGTTTCACCATATTGGCCAAGCTGGTCTAGAACTCCTGACATCATGATCCGCACACCTCGGCCTCCCAATGTGCTGGGATTACAGGCGTGAGCCACCGTGCCCAGCCCAATTTTTGTATTTTTAGTAGAGACGGGTTCACCATGTTGGCCAGGCTAGTCTTGAACTCCTGACCTCAGGTGATCTGCCTACCTCAGCCTCCCAGTGTGAGCCACCGCACCCAGCCTGGATTGTTGAATTCAATGCTTGGGTCACCTCCAGATTCATTTTCACAGTCTTTCATGTTTTGGTCATATTACATTGTATTTTGCTGCCATATGACTGATCTTTTTTTGTTAAATGTGAGATACTTTTTAAAAAATATTTAGCAATGAACTGAGACCTAGTAGCATGTTATCTTGCTGCAGAAGAGATGGGAGTCTACTTCTGGGGGATGGTCAGGGGTCCTCCATACAGGCTGCAATTGAGGTCGTCTGTGCAGGCTCAGTCCCTACAAAGGCCAGGGTATTTCCTGTCCACCTCTATTCTGATGCATGACTCTTCTGGGTCTCAACCAGAGCCAGTGGACTTCAGTATGGGTCGCTTTCATTGGCAGACCCTCAATCCACTTGTTTTCCATCTAACCCCACGCATGTGTGCAAAAGCTGCTGTGCTTCTTTGCATCTCAGTAGTTCCTTCTGGAATTCAGCAATGAAACTCAGGGAAATGGGTTCCAAATGCGAGGCTGACTTTCGTCCTGGGTTTCCTTCTTCTCCATCTTCACCTCATGTCTGTTTACTGCCATGTTAGCAATTTGATGTATTCAATCATGGGTTTTATATTCTGTTTGGTGTCCCCCATTGTTCTCATCGGAGATCAGAAGCTTCAGATGCACTTATGTCAACTCAAGAGTAGAATGCTTCCTTAGCTTCCCTCCAGAGTCAGGTTTTGTGTTTCTAGTTCCCAAGTGCACAGCAGGAGTAGTGATGTCCTCACTGGCTTCTCATTTGCATTAAACTGTGAGCTTCTTTAGCGTGGGGACAGGACCCTGCTCCCATTGCATTGTCAGCACCTCACCACACACTCCTTGTTTGAGGCCACTCCAGACAGCATGTGCTGAAGGATGCCCTGTGGTCAGAAACAAGTTCATTAACTTTCTCTTTGAAGTGTTTTCGTCCCTGTTTCCTAGCGTTCTGGGAATTTTACACATCCTTCCTATAAAACCAAGTATCAGGTGAGATCCTTAGGATCACGACCATGAATCAAGTGGTGTGAGGGCAACACAGCAAACTTACCCTTTTGAGGCCGTTTCCTTTTTCTGCCCTCAATCTCTGTGAACTGAACCTTGTTAAAGTCAGTCAACACCAGGGTGGATGGTTTGCCGTTGTCACCTATTTTCAGGACATAACACCCTGACTTAGGAGCCATTCCCATCATTTCTAATTCAATAGATGCGCCCAGCATTCAGATTGCCTTTTCAGGATCTTTAAAGTCGATGACAAGAGTTCCAGTCCTGAATCATGGCAAAGTGCAGTAGTGAACTGCAGGGTTAATGACACCATATTCTGGAAGGATCTCTCTATGGCTGATGGTCTCAGTTCCGGCATCAGCCTCTGACTGAGAATCAGTCTCACACAGGAGGAGTCAGATGAGGAGCAATCCTCTGCTTCCGATGGAGTTAGTTGTGATGAATTGGTGAGGTCTGGTTTTTCACACTGAACTAAAATGAGCTTTTGCTGTGTCAAGCACAAGACTGACCCCAGAGACGCACATAGTGCACCTCATAGAAGCTTTTAATAGTCTTTATATTTACTAAAGAATAGGACTAACTATGGAACTATGAAGATGAGCTGGAAATGACAGGTGACTTGCCAGCAGGCCAGAGTGTGATTTTTTTTTATCCCTCAATGGGAGGTGTCCATTCTCCCTTCGGTTGTGAGAATCAGTTGGTTCATTTGTGGGAAGGTTGCAGGGGGGATCTTTGAATCACAGCCTTCAGATGCCAGAAGGGCAGAGGGAATCCCACACGGGCTGGTGGATCATGTGTGTGCATTTCTCTCCCTTCTAGTCTGAGGAAACTAAGCATGAAAGAACGTGAGCACGGAGAAAAGGAGAGGCAGGTGTCAGAGGCAGAGGAAAATGGGAAATTGGATATGAAAGAAATACACACCTACATGTGAGTTCAGAAACTGAACCCCACCCTCTTGGGAAACGCCCATTGGAGTGTTGTTTTTAACCTTTGTACAATGTTTAGACCCAGTAAATGCAGAAATAGAAACAAATGGTCAGAAGACATATCGTGAGAGAGAGAGAGAGTTCACAAAACAGAAAACAAAGTACCTTAATATTTACCAGTGACCAAAAGATGTGAAGTAGCAAAACGGCTCCTGACCCCATTGCCAGCTAGACTGTGTGGAAACTCGGTTCATACCAGCCATTCTAGGGGTGGGGTGAGTTGTTGTCATCCTTAGGAAAGTGTGTTGTTGTAGGATCAACCACATCCTTCAAAAGGACTATGCCTGTTTATAAGCCCAGCTGTTTCTGCCCTGTGAAACACGGTAAAGATATTAATACAAAGAGAATACAGCTTTATGATAAAAGATGCTCAATGAAGGATGAATTAGGGATATACTGAGAATGGGGAAGGAAGCTATCATCTCAGAAGTCAGCAGGCAGTAAGCAAGAGGAGGAATCAATACAGCAACAGTTTGGATCAGACTGTACAGTTTTTTTTGTTTTTGTTTTTGTTTTTGTTTTTCTGAGATGGAGTCTCGCTGTGTCACCCAGGCTGGAGTGCAATGACGTGATCTTGGCTCATTGCAACCTCTGCCTCCCAGGTTCAAATGATTCCCCTGCCTCAGCCTCCCGAGTAGCTGGGATTACAGGTGCCTGCCACCACCCCCGCCTAATTTTTTGTATTTTTAGTAGAGACGGGGTTTCACCGTATTAGCCAGGATGGTCTCAATCTCCTGACCTCGTGATCCATCCGCCTCGCCCTCCCAGAGTGCTGGGATTACAGGCGTCAGCCACCGTGACCGGCTCAGACTGTACTCTTACAGCCATCTGAAATACGTTTTCTAGGTAGAGATAGATTGTGTAAGGGTACAGTTGTGAGGATAACAGAAACATGGCAGATTATTTAAAATCATCCTGAAAGTGGTGCTTTATCTGATGAAAGTGATTGTAATCCATAGGGAAATGTTTCAACGTGCGCAAGCGTTGCGGCGGCGGGCAGAGGACTACTACAGATGCAAAGTAAGGAGCTTCCTCCCCGCAGTTGCAGGATAGTTCAGTGCTGATGCAGATGATGCCACGGCCCTTAGACTCTCTCAACATTCAATTTCTCATGTGTTGGCTTTTTCAGATCACCCCTTCTGCAAGAAAGCCTCTTTGCAACCGGGTAAGTTTGCTTGTTTTCCTTGCTTTTGGACATAGTCTGCCAGGTCAGGACATGGATACATTTTTCTCCCTACGGCTCTGTGCTCAAGCCCTGCAGAGGGAGATGGCAGAGAGGAAGGCTGCCTACAAGCATCACAGTCCCATCCCTGTTGGTAACCGTGTTGCGCAAAAACACCTTCATCCCCACCCAGTGGGGCCCCCATCTAATATTCTAAGTGTCAGAGGTTCCATATTTGTAATAGCAAATGGGCCCTGACTGTAAATTAGTGAAGAGTGAATGTAACTTATTACCCACAGGGACAATTCCAAATGAAGGCCTTAAATGATGCTCAGCTAAGCTGGTTCTTGTGTGGCCTCTGTACCTTCAAAAGCTGCCGAGTCCTATGATTACACGCGATGGGACTTCTACACTTGAAGTGAAACACAGTTTTAAAACTTGCTTTGTTTAGAATTCCCACCTCATTTTTCCATGGACAAAAGTATTCTTTAGGTCCTAGTGCACTTACAATTTGGTATTACCTGGGAGTGAAAAGAAATATTACAGCCATGCCTAACTGACTTCTTGAGGTAAGATTGTTCTGTCAGAAAACCCTCTCCCAGTTCCCCTGCAGCTCTTCAGGAATCCACATCTCTCCAGAGCTCTTTGTTCTCATGGGTGGCACCTCCAGAGTGAAGAAGATCCTTTGTCAAGAAGGGAAACAGAGGGGAAATGAGAGGGTCCTGCAGGCAGAGCTGGAATCAACTTCCACTCTGCCTCTTGCAAGCTGTGTGACCCTGGGCACAATTTCTCCTTCCTCTGGAAACCTCTGTTTTCTTAGATTTGGAGCAGGGTGGTCACACTGACCTTGCAGAGTTCTGAGAATCAGAGACAGAACATAAAAGGCCTGGAAAACATTCTCCAAAAAGAAGCTGCAACATGTGTGGACAATGGGCTTTTCATGCCTCTCTTACTGTCTCTTACTGTCTATTGACCTGGTGCAAGAAACATGCTCTGGTGATGGCTGTGAGGGAGGAATGAGGATAGACATAGACACTCCTGTGTCTCAAACATGCTTCTTTATTACTCTGTTATGACTCTGTCTTCCCTGGGGCAGGACCCCAGCCTGCCTACATTTGCAGACAGACACAGTGGCATGTGGAGACAACAGTGTGTCCCAATGACTTTTCTTTACCCCCCAGTTGTCGGCAGTACTCAGTGGAAGGGTGATATTATGACACTGACACTGCTATTTTGAAACCTGGAGGATGGAAAGGTGCAAAAATCTATCACCAGCAACAGAAGGTGCAGACTGTGTTGGTGGCGGTAATTTTGTCCATCAAATGAATATGTGTGAAAACATTCCCTCCTTTGGCCCTACAGGTCAGAATGGCGGCAGTGGAGCATCGTCATTCTTCAGGATTGCCCTACTGGCCCTACCTCACAGCTGAAACTTTAAAAAACAGGATGGGCCACCAGCCACCTCCTCCAACTCAACAACATTCTATAATTGATAACTCCCTGAGCCTCAAGACACCTTCCGAGCGTCTGCTCTATCCCCTTCCACCCTCAGCGGATGATAATCTCAAGACACCTCCCGAGTGTCTGCTCACTCCCCTTCCACCCTCAGCTCTACCCTCAGCGGATGATAATCTCAAGACACCTGCCGAGTGTCTGCTCACTCCCCTTCCACCCTCAGCTCCACCCTCAGCGGATGATAATCTCAAGACACCTCCCGAGTGTGTCTGCTCACTCCCCTTCCACCCTCAGCGGATGATAATCTCAAGAAACTAATGAAGAATAAATAAATAATATAAAAATAAAATGAATACTGCAGTCCTTATGTTATTGCTTTGTTTCAATATCTGGTATGATTGCCTGAGGGACCTGAGGTTTTTAATCATAGGGGTTTTTTTAATCTTTAGAAGTGGTTGGTTATGTAAAATATTATTATTTGTTTTTTTTTTGAGACTGGAGTTTGCTCTGTCACCCAGGCTGGAGTGCAGTGGCTCGATCACAGCTCACTGCAGCCTCAACCTCCTGGGCTTCAAGCAATCCTCCTGCCCCAGCCTCCCAAGTAGCTGGGATCACAGATGTGTGCCACCACGCCTGGCCAATGTTAAAAAATCCTTTAACTTTTTTGTAGAGATGCACTCCTGGACTCAAGCAATCCTCCTACTTGTCCCGACCACCAGCCTCTTTCTGATAAACATTTACACTGTTTATTATCTGATGCCATTTCTATCTTCTTCCTTGTCATCCAGACATCAAAGAATTAGGTTTCTTCAGGGTTTTCTTTTTCAAGTGCTCAGTGTTAAAGATCACTCACATTAGGGCCAGACACCACGGCTCATGCCTGTAATCCCAGCACTTTGGGAGGCCGAGGCGGGCAGAGCACTTGAGGTGGGGAGTTTGAGACCAGCCTGGCCAACTTGGTGAAACCCCACCTCTACTGAAAAAATACAAAAATTAGCTGGGCATGATGGTGCATGCCTGTAGTCCCAGCCACTTGGGAGGCTGAGGCATGAGAATCGCTTGAACCCAGGAGGCAGAGGTTGTAGTGAGCCGAGATCACATCAGCACACTCTAGCCTGGGTGACAGAGCGAGACTGACTCAAAAAATAAATAAAATAAATATCACTTACATTAGATATACCCAAGGGGTGGTCTATAGAGACTTGGAAGCAGTGGTTATTGCAACAGGGGCACGGAAGTCATCTGGCTATGTCAGGGTGCCCAGGGGATACTCGGGGTGGGTGGCATGGTGCTGCTGGGGACTCACCGCACAGGACGCTCTGATTGACGCACTGCCAGGAGTAGCGCTCTGTCTTGGGGCTGCAGCCGGCCTCCTCAGCTCGAGTGTAACAACAGTCGTGGCCATGGCAGCACCTGCGGATGTCACATGGGCAGGACAGCAGGTGGGTGAAGCTCTCTCCTGGCCCTCCTCTCTTGCCAGGACTATGGGTGACTGAAGACCCCCAGGGAGGCACAGCATCCTCTTATCTAAGATTTTTTTTTTTTTTTTTTTTAAGAGACAGGGTCTTTCTCTGTCGCCCAGGCTGGACTGCAGAGGCACAATCATAGCTCACGGCAGCCTTGAACTCCTGGGCTCAAGCGATCCTCCCACTTCAGTGTCCCAAGTAGCTGAGACTACAGGCACACGCCAGCATGCCCGGCTGGTTTTTTAATTTGTATTTCCTTTGAGACAGCGTATCTCTCTGTTGCTCAGGCTGGAGTGCAATGGCTCAATCAGCTCACTTTAGCCTTGAACTCCTGGGCTCAAGTGATACTGCCACCTCAACCTCCCAAGTCTGCTACTACAGGAACACAAACTCCTTTTTTAAATTTTTTATGGATATGGGGTCTTACTATGTTGCCTAGGCTGGTCTCGAACTCCCAGGCTCAAGCAGTCCTCCTACCTCAGCCTCCCCAAATGCTGGGATTACAGGTGGGAGCTACTGTACACCTGGCCTTATCTAAGCTGTTTCCCTGAAAATCCCCGTCTTGGGTAATGATTCCATTGGCCCCACCATGCCCTCTGCCTTCCTGGCTGTGCCCAAGCTTGGTCCCTGCCTGCCTGCCTGCCTCCCTCTCTGGGTCTCGAGCTCCTGTGACACATGACTCCTCTCTCTTCCTGGAGTGATCCAAGCCCTGCCACTTCCTGACTTTGCCCACACTGTACCCTCTGCCTGGGGCAACTTCATGTCTGCCCATTGTCCCTTAGGCCTCAGCCCAGGCACAAGCCCCTGCCTCCGGAGGTCATCCAGGCCTCACCAGGCTACACCCTCTCGTAAAATTGGATTCCCTCCCTTCAGGGCAGGTTTATAATGAAATCCTCCTCAGAGGCCAGGTGCGGTGACACCCATCTGTAATCCCAGCACTTTGGGAGGCTGAGGTGGGAGGATCACTTGAGGCCAGGGGGTCGAGACCAGCCTGGGCAACATAAGAGAGACTCTTGTCTCTATAACAAATTTAAAAATTAGCTCACCAGGCCAGGCTCAGTGGCTCATGCCTGTAATCCCAACACTTTGAGAGGCCGAGGCAGGTGGATCACGAGGTCAGGAGTTCGAGAGCAGCCTGACCAACATGGCGAAACCCTGTCTCTACTAAAAATACAAGATTAGCCAGGCATGGTGGCACGCACCTGTAATCCCAGCTACTCGGGAGGCTGAGGTAGGAGAATTGCTTGAACCCAGGAGGTGGAGGTTGCGGTGAGCCAGGATCACGCCATTGCAGTCCAGCCTGAGCAACAGAGCAAGACTCTGTCTCGAGACAATAAAAACACACAAAAAATTAACTCGCCATGATGGCACATGCCTATAGTCCTAGCTACTTGGGAGGCTGAGGTGGGAGGATTCCCTTCAGCCCAGGAGTTTGAGGCTGCAGTGAGCCACTATGATTGTGCCACTGCACTCTAACCTGGGCAAAAGCGAGACCCCAGGCTAGAGTGCATGATTTTGGGTCACTGCAACCTCCACCTCCCAGGTTCAAGTGATTCCCCTGCCTCAGCCTCTTGAGTACCTGGGACTACAGGCATGTGCCACCACGCCTGGGTAATTTTTGTATTTTTAGTAGAGACAGGGTTTAGTAGAGACCATGGTGAAACCCCGTCTCTATTAAACAAATCTCTACTAACCCCATCTCTACAAAAAACAGCTGGGCGTGGTAGTGCACACCTGTAATTCTAGCTACTTGGGAGGCTGAGGCACGAGAATCATTTGCATCTTGGAGGCAGAATTTGCAGTGAGCTGACATCGCACCACTGCGCTCCAGCCGGGATGACAGAGCAAGACCCTGTCTCAAAAAAAAGAAAAAGGAACAAACAACAGCAACGACAACAAAAAAACCTCTGTGTCAATCACAGCCTTCAAGCTAGGGGAGAGGCGGCCGAATTCTGCCCTCTGCTAACTAACTATAGCTTTGTGGAAATGGGTGAGTGGCGTGCCCTTGTGAGCCTCAGGGCCCCATCTGTAAAATGGGCATAACTGTCATGCCCGTCTTTAAGAACAGCCTTGGGGGTAAATGAGTGGAAGTCATGGAAACATCTCAGCCCACAACCTTCCACAGAACAGACGCTTCTCACACAGTAAGTAGCAGGAGTGCAGAGGCTGCAGGCATGAATCCAGCCAGACTGCCTGGGTTCAAGTCCCAGCTCCCACGTCTTGGTAACTATGTGGCCTCAGACAAGTTACTTAATATTTCTTTTTTTTTTTTTCAGACGGAGTTTTGCTCTGTCACCCAGGTTGGAGTGCAGTGGTGTGATCTCAGCTCATTGCAACCTCTGCCTCCCGGGTTCAAGCAATTCTCCTGCCTCAGCTTCCTGAGTAGCTGGAATTACAGGCACCTGCCACCACACACAGCTAATTTTTGTATTTTTAGTAGAGACGGGGTTTCACCATGTTGGCCAGGATGGTCTCGAACTCCTGACCTCGTGATCTGCCTGCCTCAGCCTCCCAAAGTACTGGGATTACAGGCGTGAGCCACCGCACCTGGACACGTTACTGAATATTTCTGTGCCTAGGTTTCTTCATGTGAAATGGGATTGTTGTGAGAACACAAAGGGATTCCCAGGGCAGTTCCTAGTGCATAGTCTGGCTGCCTTTGTATGTGTGTGTGTGTGTGTGTGTGTGTGTGTGTGCACGCGCGTGTGTGTGTGTGTTTAATATAGAGACAGGGTCTCACTCTGTTGCCTAGGCTCGTTTCAAACTCCTGGGCTCCAGTGATCCTCCTGCCTCGACCCAAAGTGGTGGGATTACAGGCATGAGTCAACACACCTGGTCACTTTATATTATTATTATTTTTTTCTTTTGAGACAGGGTTTGGCACTGTTGTCCAGGTTGGAATACAGCGGTGCAATCTCAACTCACTGCAAACTCCGCCTCCCGGGTTCAAGCAATTCTCCTGCCTCAGTCTCCCGAGTAGCTGAGATTACAGACGCCTGCCACCACACACAGCTAATTTTTGCATTTTTAGTAGAGATGGGGTTTCACCATATTGGCCAGGCTGGTCTTGAACTCCTGACCTCAAGTGATCTGCCGGCCTCGGCCTCCCAAAGTGCTGGGATTACAGGAGTGAGCCACCGCTCCTGGCCAATTTTTTAAGGCAACGTTTTCAGCCCATGGCCAGGGTAAGGCACAGCTAGTACCAAGATCTGGCTTCACTGGCCATGTTATCCAAGAGGCCTCTGCCTGCCTGCAAAGTAGTACTGCACACTGGGATCTCCCTGGACCAAACCCCAGCTTCAGTTTTGGGTACTTCCTCATAAGCCTTGACTACCCCAGAGTGTGAGGGATTTTGCAGCCTGGTCCCAGGCATGCACTCACCAGTCAATGGCATCGCGGGGCTGGCCATGGCCTCCCAAGCCACAAAAGCAACCATATTTCACATAGGCGATGGGAGTTCAGGGACCAACACAACCCACAATTCCTGCCAGTTCCAGGATCCCACGCCGGTGCACACATAATATCCTGGAGGCTGGGGGGTAAACAAAGGTGACAGGCTGCAGGTCAGGGCTTCCCAGACCCCTGGGAAGGGCATGAGCCTGAGAGGAGCCCAGGTGTTACAGCCTGGCTGTCTGGGTTTGAATCCTACTTCCTGGCTGTGTGACCTTGGACAAATTCCTAACCTCTCTGGGCCTTGGTTTCCTCATCTGTGAAATGGGGGATAAGCTGACTTCAACTCATATGAATGAAATGAGATAATGAGTATAAAGCCCCTGGTGCATGAAAAGGCTATTATAATCCGGCTGGGCTCAGTGGCTTACACCTGTAATCCCAAGATTTTGGGAGGCCCAGGCGGGCAGATCACCTGAGGTCAGCAGTTCAAGATCAGCCTGGCCAACATGGTGAAACCCCATCTGTAGTAAAAATACAAAAATTAGCCGAGCATAGTGGTGCACGCCTGTAATCCCAGCTACTAGGGAGGCTGAGGAAGGAGAGTCACTTGAACCTGAGAGGCGAAGATTGCAGTGAGCCAAGATTTTGCCACTGCATTCCAACCTGGGCGACAGAGCAAGAGTCTCAAAAAAAGAAAAAAAAAAGGCTAACTATTATAATCAAGGTCCTCAAGGTAGCCAAGGAGGGAAAAGAGTCGTGCATGAAACCTTTGTCCAGTTCCCTGTGTTGGGCACTCGGCATCATATGAGCCTACAGGTGTCTGTCACCAAGGTGGGCTCCTCTGTGGCAGCTCCCAGGCCCTGGCACTGCCCTGTGCTCATGACTTTTCCTCCAGACTCAGGCTCAGGGCCCTTGGTATCTCCTCTTATTTTCACTGCCAGATAGGAAGGCCCCTTGGACTGAGCCCAGCCATTTATCTAGATCCTGGCACAGCTTGGACATGTAATGGTGCCCAATGCATGTGACTGGAACCCCTGCATTGGACATGTAGGAAACGAGGCCAGCCGGGAAAGGTAACCCCACATTCCCACAGCCAGCAGGAACTCAAGCAGAGGCTTCAACCCAGGCTTCTGACTTGCAAACCAGTGCTCCTTCCTCCTTACACAGTAACAACAGGGGAAGGTGGCCTTCCAGGTTGCCAGAGCCGAGTGGTACCAGCAATAGAGTGGAAACTCACACACAGGCTTGCCTGCTTCCTGGTTTAGGTTTAGGGTTTATACGGCTCCGGGAGGTTGATGCATTGTGTTTGATCATCGCTTTTTTTTTTTTTTTTGAGACAGAGTCTCATTCCTGTTGCCCAGGCTGGAGCACAGTGGTGTCATCTTGCTCACAACAGCTCCGGGAGGTTGACGCATTGTGTTTGATCATCCCTTTTTTTTTTTTTTTTTTTTTTTTGTTTGAGACAGAGTCTCATTCCTGTTGCCCAGGCTGGAGCACAGTGGTGTCATCTTGCTCACAGCAACTTCTGCCTCCCAGGTTCAAGCAATTGTCCAGCCTCAGTCTCCCGAGTAGCTGGGATCACAGGCGTGCCCCACCACACCCAGCTGATTTTTGTATTTCTAGTAGAAACGGGGTTTCACCATCTAGGCTGGGCCGGTCTCAAACTCCTGACCTCATGTGATCCACCTGCTTTGGCC
Organism: Homo sapiens; assembly: GCF_000001405.40. Taxonomy (NCBI): domain Eukaryota; kingdom Metazoa; phylum Chordata; class Mammalia; order Primates; family Hominidae; genus Homo; species Homo sapiens. The sequence continues at coordinate 15,357,420 of NC_000016.10, read as the reverse complement.
TCCCAAAGTGCTGGGATTATAGGCGTGAGCCACTGCGCTCATCCTGATCATCTTGTCTCTCTTTTTTTAAATAGAGACAGGGTCTCACTCTGTCACCCACACTGGAGTGCAGTGGCACAATCATAGCTCACTGCAGCCTCCAAATCCTGGGCTCAAGCGATCCTCCTGCCTCAGCCTCCAGATCCTGGGCTCAAGCGATCCTCCTGCCTCAGCCTCCAGACATACGGGCACGCACCACCATGCCCAGCTAATTTTTAAATTTTTAGTAGATCTGCGGTCTCACTATGTTGCCCAGGCTGGTCACAAACTCCTGGCCTCAAGTGATTCTCCTTCCTTGGCCTCCCAAGGCGCTGGGATTCCAGGCATGAGCCACCATGCCCAGTCTCATTTCTGTTTTATCTAGAACATGTTTTCATCACACTGACTTTTTTTGAGAAGTCCAGGCCAATTTTAAATTCCATTTTGTCTTTTTATCAGTGGAAAAGTAGCATATTTATGTTGCACGACAAAGATGAATCAAATAGGAAGAAAATGTAAAACACATTTGGGGCCGGGCACAGTGGCTCATGCCTGTAATCCCAGCACTTTGGGAGGCCAAGGCGGGCGGATCACCTGAAGTCAGGAGTTCCAGACCAGCCTGACCAACACGGAGAAACCCTGTTTCTACTAAAAATATAAAATTAGCCACGCATGGTGGCGCATGCCTGTAATCCCAGCTACTTGGGAGGGTGAGGCAGGAGAATCGCTTGAACCCGGGAGGCAGAGGTTGCAGTGAGCCGAGCTCGTGCTATCACACTCCAGCCTGGGCAATAAGAGTGAAACTCCGTCTCAAAAAAAAAAAAAAAACACACGAAAATAAAACGGCATTTAGAGTTGAAAGCTTCACCTTCCTCTCTGGATGGTGAGTCCTCACTCTCCCAGCAGCCCACACCTCTGCCTCAAACCTCCATGGCTCCCATGAGTCTGGTTAAAGCTAAGGAGTCTCACTGCACCTCAAGTCCTGGGGGTAGTCAGCCCCTCTCACCCCTCCCTCATCCTCTCACACAAGAGTCATTTACTGTCCCTCCAGTTATGCCCGGTCACGCAGACACTCTGCTGCTCAAATGCCCTCACCCCATCCTCAGCCTGCTCCCAGGCCACCTCCCTCCAGAATCCACCCTGCCTGCCAGGTGGTCATAGGGACCCTCGCCATACTGTCTGCTTGTGGCAGTGCCCTCCAGCCTGGGGGGTCTTCCAGAGCAGATCTCTGGCCAAGCGCAGTGGCTCATGACTGTAATCTCAGCACCTTCAGAGGCCAAGGCAGGTGGATCACCTGAGGTCAGGAGTTCGAGACCAGCCTTGCTAACATGGTGAAACCCCGTCTCTACTAAAAATATAAAAATTAGCCAGGTGTGGTGGTGGTGCATGCCTGTAGTCCCAGCTACTCAGGAGGCTGAGGCAGGAGAATCTCTTGGACCCGGGAGGTGGAGGTTGCAGTGAGCCGAAATGGTGCCACTGCACTCCAGCCTGGGCAACAGTGAGACTCTGTCTTAAAAAAAAAAAAGAAAAAGAAAAAGAGCGGAGCTCTGATATAAGCTGCCCTGGCACACAGTGAGCTTCCAGAAATGGTCCCTTGACCTCTAAATCCACCAAGACCCAGGGAACATGCCCTCTCTGAGCACTCTGACAATGATTTGCATTTCTCTAATGACCAGTGATGATGAGCTTTTCTTCACATGTTTGTTGGCCACATAAATGTCTTCTTTTGAGAAGTGTCTGTTCATATCCTCCGGCCACTTTTGGATGGGGTTGTTTTTTTCTTATAAATATGTTTAAGTTCCTTGTGGATTCTGGATATTAGCCCGATGGATAGATTGCAAAACTTTTCTCCCATTCTGTAAGTTGCCTGTTCACTCTGATGATAGTTTGTTTTGCTGTGCAGAAGCTCTTTAGTTTAATTAGATCCCATTTGTCAATTTTGGCTTTTGTTGCCATTGCTTTTGGTGTTTCAGTCATGAAGCCTTTGCCCATGCCTATGTCCTGAATGGTATTGCCTACGTTTTCTTCTTGGGTTTTTATGGTTTTAGGTCTAACATTTAAGACTTTAATCAATCTTGAGTTAATTTTTGTATCAGGTGTAAGGAAGGGGCCCAGTTTCAGTTTTCTGCATATGGCTAGCCAGTTTTCCCAACACCATTTTAAATAGGGAATCCTTTCCCATTCTTGTTTTTTATTACAACTTTTTACCTAAACATTCAATAGTTTTCACTAACTTTTTGGCAATGAGGCAGCTGAGTCTAAGTAGGTTAAATCACTTATCTGAGGTCACACGGCAGGACAGTGCTTGTTCTGCAAAGTTAAGTGTGTTTCTTTTTGTGGACCATGAGAACATCTCCAACTGCCCTTTTTGACTTGGCCACCAGGGAACTCAGCGCCATGTTCTCAAATCCAGTTTAGTAACTGGCCTTCTGGCCTGTATATCTTTATTCTACCTTCCATCCTGCTCTGTTCTGCTTTTACCTCTTATTCTAGATTATCTTTCTTTAGTCCTAATTTTAAATTTATATCTATAATCTTGTTATATATATTTCTTGGCATCTACTGTAAGTGGGTAGTGAACGAATAAACAAAATGTGATGAATTTTAGAGGACTAAGAAGGGCCTAAGTCACACCAAGATTCATGCTGGATAATTTGTCATCGACCCAGACTGTGGTTCTGCACTCGCCAGTAACCAGTTTTTGTTTTTTTTTTTTTTTTTTGCTTTTTGCCAACCATACATTTTGCTTTCATGGTATGGAAGTGGTTTAAGCTTATGGCTTCCAGCCTGCAGTGGCTATGAGGGGTCAGTCTCTCATCAGGAGGGGTTGGCAGACTCTGTTCTCAAATAGGCAGCAAGGATGGAGGTGGGGCAGGAGCAATTTCACTACCTGCCTGGCGTCTGGGTCTTGCTTAGAGAAATAATTCCAGGCTCTGCTGCTTTCGACTCTGTCTCTCATGGTTCCACTGATTCCTGCAGAGATCTAGAGAGAAAATTTCCAGCGAGGAGTTTCTGGCTCGTTTGATTTTGAACACGTTTTGAGTATTCCACCCCTTACCCCCCCGCCCCCACTCACTACTCTGTAGTTTTTTTTTTTTTTTAAGAAAACAGTTTGAAAGCACAAATAAATAAATAATTGAAAACAGAGGGGCCATTTTTATTTACTTTGGTTGTTTCAGGAGAGGGAAGGGAGCTTACACTTTTTTTGAACTCTTATTCTATGCTAGCCGATGTGCTGCATTCTTAGCTTAAAAGCCTGCTTCTCTTTGATTTCAGAATAACTTGGAAATAAATGATCAGACCCTGCATGCTCTGATCCTGGCTGTCTGCTCTAACTAAATCTCCTCTTCCTTGCTTCCTCCAGCGAGTTGTTCTCCCTTCACCTCCCAGCACAAGCTTTGCACGTGTTGCCGTCTGTCCTACAAAGGTCTGTCCCTTCCCAGTCTCCGTGTGACTCCCTCCTTCACACCCATGGTTCTCCACTGAAATGTCCTTTGAGCACGTCTCAGATGCCTCAGTCTAAAGTAGATGATTCTGGGCTGGGTGCAGTGGCTCACGCCTGTAATCCCAGCACTTTGGGAGGCTGAGGCAGGCAGATCACCTGACATCAGGAGTTCAAGACCAGCCTGGCCAACATAGTAAAACCCCGTGTCTACTAAAAATACAAAAATAAGCCAGGCATGGTGGCGGGTGCCTGTAATCCCAGCTACTTGGGAGGCTGAGGCAGGAGAATCGCTTGAACCTGGGAGGTGGAGGTTGCAGTGAGCTGAGATCACGCCACTGCACTCCAGCCTGGGTGACAGAGCAAAACTCTGTCTCAAAATAAATAAATAAATAAATAAATAAAGTAGATGATTCACAGAAACCTCTGTTCTTTTAGAGCACTCTTCAACACTTTTTATGCTTTTTATGTTTGATTTCTAATAAATATGTTTCTTTCACTATACCATAAGTATATTCCTTCTTCTAAGTTTCATTAAGGTAGAATCACGTATGTCTTATTTCCTGTTATATCCCTAAGTACCTAGCATGTAGTAGGCATTCAATAAAAATTGATTGAATGATTGAACACTCAATCCCATGATTTGAGTGTTTTTTTTGTTTTTGTTTGTTTGTTTGTTTTGAGACAAAGTCTTGCTCTATCACCCAGGCTGGAGTGCAGTGGTACTATCTTGGCTCACTGCAATCTCTGCATCCTGGGTTCAAGCGATTTTCTTGCCTCAGCCTCTCAAGAAGCTGAGACTAACTACAGGCATGTGCCACCATGCCCAGTGATTTGTTTTGCGTGTGTGTGTATTTTTAGCAGAGATGGGGTTTCACTGTGTTGGCCATGCTGGTCTTAAACTCCTGACCTCAGGCCATCCACCCTCCTTGGCCTCTGAAAGTGTTGGGAGTACAGGTGTGAGCCACCACGCCTGGCCTTTTGTAATTATTCTAACAGCTACTACTTATTAGGTGCTGACTATATGCCAGGCACTGTGCCAATTGATTTATTTATTTTCAGGGATTGGGTCTTGTTCTGTCACCATGGCTGGAGTTCAGTGGCACAATCATAGCTCGCTGAAGCTTCAAACTCCTGGGGTCAAGCAGTCCCCCTGCTTCAGCTTCCCAAGTAGCTGGGATTACAGAGATATACCATTACACTCAGCTAATTTTAAAAAATGGCTGATTTTTTTTTTCAGAGATGGAAAAAAAAACAAAAAACAAAAAACAGCTACTACTTATTAGGTGCTGACTGTATGCCAGGCACTGTGCTGATTTTTTTTTAATGTTTTTTATTTTTTTAGAGTTGGGGTCTAGTTCTGTCACCATGGCTGGAGTTCAGTGGCATGATCATAGCTCACTACAGCTTTGAACTCCTGGGCTTAAGCAATCTTCCTGTCTCAGCTTCCCAAGTAGCTGGGATTACAGGCATGGGCTATCACACCCAGCTAATTAAAAAGACATTTTATTGTATAGATAGGGGTCTGGCTATGTTGCCCAGGTTAGTCTCAAACTCCTGGCTTCAAGCGATTCTCCTGCCTCCACCTCCCAATGTGCTGGTGTTACAGGTGTGAGCCATGGCACCTGGCCCTGTGTTGATGTTTTACATACAGCATCTCATTTAATCCCCACCAGGATCCTGTGGGGATGGATTGGATTATCCCCCACTCCTTGGAAGAGCTTAAGGATACCCAACCAGTTGGTGATTGAGCTGGGATTTGAACTCAGGCATTCTAATGGCAAAGCTGTGCCCCTTCCACTCTACCATCGTGTTCCTCTCCAGGGGAGGTGTCCCTGCAGTGCTGTGACTTTGTCGTCGAACATGTGCTGAGGTACGTGAATCCTCTGGAGAAGAAGGGCAAAGGAACAGGCTTTCCAGGCAGGAAGCCCCTGCAGGCGAGGGAGGAAGGCTGCAAGGGACATGGTAGGAGGTATCTTGCTCCCCATAGCTGGGCTGGGAGGATGAGATGGCTGAGAGCCAGGAGCCGGGCTGGGGTTAGGCTCATATCAGCCTGCAGAGGGCTTTGGGGAACCCAGGCTTTGGGGCCAGACAAACATAGCTTCTCACCCACCTGATCATTTCCTCTCTGTTGTATCCTATGTTTCTGGGTCTCAGTTTCCTTATCTATGAAATGGGGATACCATGACCTGTTCTGCCTGCTTCATAGAGTGCTAAGGAGCAGATGACATAACGTGTGCAAAAGCAGCTGTTCTTATTTCTATCACTTATTTTCATTATCGCTATTCTCAAGCAGGCAGACTGTAATTTTTTACCTCTTTCTTTTTTTTCACCCTTGAGTTGTTTGGAAGTTATTTTTAAAAGTCTTTGAAGTGTCCTTTTCCGTATTTGGCAAAAGCAAAATGGAAATTGATAGCATTGTCACCGTCGGCATCCCCTCACTCCGGCCGCCTGGCTGGGGGACAGCTCTGGGAAAATGTGGAGATGTCTGTTGTGGGCGGCTGGTTTGTTATTGCGTGAACTTTTCTGGCGAGACCTGACCAGCTCCCTTTTAAGGCAATTTCTCGTGTTCTTGTTCCTCCTCTTTTCTTTTCCTGCCAATGTCAGGTCCTTTGTGCCATCTCCAGGCTCAGAAATCCGTACAGCCAGAGTCGGTCCCCAGTTTGGCCACTTCCAGCTGAAAAGCTTTCCCATGCCTTCCCTTTAACTTAGAATAGCATCCAAATCCTTCATTGTGACCAAGGCCCTGTGCAGTCTGCTCCTGTCACTTTCCTCTCCATTACTCAGCTCCAAAAGTGTCACCTCCCTTGACTCCTCCAATGCCCCACATGGTTTCCAGCCCCAGGGTCTTTGTGGGGTCTTTGCCAGGAATCCTGTTCCCCGTTTTTTTGTTATGGGTAGCTCTTTCTCATCTTTGACATCTCTGCTCCAGAGTCAACTTCACACATGGCTCTTCCCTAACCCACACTAAAAAATAAGCCTCCTTAAAGAAAAAAAAGAGGCTGGACGTGGTGGCTCATGCCTGTAATTCCAGTGCTTTGGGAGACTGAGGTAGGAGGATCACTTGAGACCGGGAGTTTGAGATCAGCCTGGGCAACACATTGAGACCCCATCTCTACAAAAAAAAAAAAAAAAAAAAATAGCGAGGCGTGGTGCTGTATACCTGTAGTTCTAGCTACTCTGGTGGCTGAGGCAAGAGGATTGCTTGAGCCCAGGAGTTCAAGGCTGCAGTGAGCCGTGATTGCACCACTGAACACCAGACGCAGTGTCATGTACTTGTAGTCCCAGCTGCTTGGGAGGCTGAGGTGGGACCATCTCTTAAGCCTGGGAGTTTGAGGCTACAGTGAGCCCTGATCATCCCTGTGAATAGCCATTGCACTGCAGCCTGAGTTACACAGATACGTCTCTTAAAAAATAAATGAAAAGAAAAGCCTTTTAAATTCAGTGTCTTCGCATAGTTAGTCCAACCTTAAGGAGTGTTACCAGATACAAACAGGATGCCCAGTTACATTTTTTTTTTTTTTTTTTTTTTTTTTTGAGACAGAGTCTCACTCTATCCCCCAGGCTGGAGTGCAGTGGCATGATCTTGGCTCACTGCAACCTCTGCCTCCCAGGTTCAAGTGATTCTGATGCCTCAGCCTCCCGAGTAGCTGGAATTACAGACGTGCACCACCAGGCCTGGCTAATGTTTGTATTTTTAGTAGAGATGGGTTTTTGCCCTGTTGGCCAGGTTGGTCTCGAACTCCTGATCTCAGGTGATCTGCCCACCTTGGCCTCCCAAAGTGCTGGGGTGACAGGCGTGAGCCACCATGCCTGGCAAAACTTTGTAGCCCAGTTTGTTCTATTTTTTTTTTTTTTTTTTGAGACAGAGTCTCGCTCTGTCGCCCAGGCTGTAGTGCAGTGGCATGATCTTGGCTCACTGCAACTTCTGCCTCCCGGGTTCAAGTGATTTCCCTGCCTCAGCCTTCCAAGTAGCTGGGAATATAAGGGCATGCCATTGCACCCAAATTTGAACCTTAGATAAACATTGAATAATTTTCCAGTATTACATCAGATACATAACTTGTATTTAAAAAATCATTCCTTATTTCACTGGATTTAAAATTGAATTGGGTGTCGTATATTTTTACTTGTTAAGTCTGGCAACCCTACCCTCTAGAGAGAGGTGTTGAATGAATGAGTGTGAAGTCCTTAGCTTAGGGCCTGGCACTCAGTAGGTGCTAAGTAAATGTCACCTGTCAGCATCTTCCTCCTCCTCTTCTTCCTCCTCTAGTTGCTTCTCGGAGCTAAGGTCTCCCTGCTCCTTTTTTCCTCTATGGAAATGGATGAGAAAAGGTTTTCTAACAAGGGGCCATCACCTGGATTTTTAGAATAGCATAAAATATTCTCTGCTGCAGCTTCGGAATCCGACTGTGCTGGTGTTTGGCAGGAAAATGCAGTGAGTTATCACAGAGCGTTCCCTCCAGCACTGGGTCATGCAAATATTTATTGCGAGTGTTAAATAATAAATGGAGCAGCCTGCCCAATGGTAAATCTGTCATGTTTGGTTTCAGCCAGGAGTTGTGATGGCTCTGGAATCGCTGCCCGTTTCACCGCATCCACCTGCCCTCTAGAGGAGCAAGGCAAACAGCCGAGTTCTCTGGGGTGGCATCAGTGGGCTGGTGTGGAAGCCAGAGGGGCGGTGGGGGGAGTCAGCCAGGCATGGAAACTGGCAGGTAAGGCAGCCCTGTGGCCCAGGAACCTGAGCCGCAGCCACACCGAGCAGGCCTGGACCTTTGAGTCCCTCTGCCACCACAGTTCTCAGGGGACACGGTCTCATTGTCCACATCTGGATTTATCTTTCCGTATTTCCCTCATTGCTCTTGTCAGCTTCACTCTGGCTGACTGGCTGGAGCTGGCAAGCTTCTGAAAGTGGAGTCAACCTTCCGACCCTTTTTCTAGGCTGAGTGGTGGGTGGAGGAATGAGACCGTGTGTTGGACTCAAACTCGATGCAATAACGTTTCCCAGCCCCTGTGGTGTGCTGGGGCTCCTAGCACACATCCTCTTGTTTAACCTCAGCATTGCAACCTGAAACACAGACACGTGGGTTCTTGAGCCAGATGCCTCTGAGTTGGAATCCTATCTCTGCACTTAACAAGCGGTATGACCTTGAGTGAGCCACAGTTTTTCAGAGCCCCTGTTTCCTGATCTGTAAGGTGGGGGAGATGGTGGCACTCACCTTATGGGGCTGTTATGTATTAGTCCATTGAGGTGTCTTAGCCTGTTTTGCGTTGCCATAAAGGAATACTTGAGGGTGAGTAATTTATAAGAAAAGAGGTTTGTTTAGCTCACGTTCTGCAGACTGTACAAGAAGCATGATGCCAGCATCTGCTTCTGGTGAGACCTCAGGAAGCTTTTCTTCACTGTGGAGGGTGAAAGGGGAGCAGGTGTGTCACATGGTGAGAAGAGGGGTGAGAGAGAGACAGGAAGGGTGCCAAACACTTTTTTAACAATCAGACCCCGCCGTGAACTAAAAGAGTGAGAACTCACTCATTACTCAGGGAGGGCACCAAGCTATTCATGAGGGATCTGCTCCCACCACCCAAATACCTCTCGCCAAGCCCCGCCTCCAACATTGGGGATCACATTTCAACATGAGGTTTGGAGGGGACACACATCCAAACTATCTTATGAGGTAGTAGGATAATGTAGGTGAAGACTTGCACAGTGCCCGGGACCTGGGGACAAATGCTAGCTCTAATGGTTAATAATGGTCCAGAGAAGAAAATAACTGCTCAGATGCACAGACATGACTGCACTAGTCAACCATGCAGGTATGAGTCCCCATCCTAGAGTATGGGGTGCATAGAGCTCTAGCCCACCATTATTGAGTTGTAGAACTAAGGCTCCAATCTGGGGCTTTATGGATCCCTAAATCATGCCCTTTCACCTTCCCCATATCTGCTTTATTCCTCATAGGGTGGCAGGGAGGGTGGAGCTCATGCCTGGCCTTAATCATCATGGCCTAAGTTTGGTAGTGTCCAAACAGTGGTGAGGGGTGAAGTTGTAGGGTTGCCAGGTAGGTTGTGTTTGGCTTCAAATCACTGAGAACCCAACTGGAAGTGGTGTAGATGCTAATGGAAGTTATTGTTTCTCTGCAGGGGGCCATGTGGTTAATTGATTCAGTGGCTCCATTGTGGAATGGTGGGCCTTGTTTCCTTCCACTTTTCCACTATTCCATTCTTAGCAGCTGGCTCTTGCCCTCAGCCACACCCCATCATGGTCTCAAGATAATATGGACAAGAGAGAAGAGAGCCTTCTTCCACTTGTTCCCCGCTTGTTTTTGAGACAGGGTCTCGCTCTGTCACCCAGACTGGAGTGTAGTGGTGCAATCATAGCTCGCTGCAGCCTTGAACTTCTAGGCTCAAGTGATCCTCCTTCAGTTTCCTGAGTAGCTGGGACTATAGGTGCATGCTACCATACCCAGCTAACTTCAGAGTTTTTTCTAGAGATGAGGTCTCCCTCTGTTGCCCAGGCTGGTCTCGAACTCTGGGCCTCAAGTGATCCTCTTGCCTCAACCTCCCAAAGCACTAGGGTTACAGATGTGAGCCACCACGCCCAGCCCATCTGTCCCTTTTTATGATCATTTTCTCATTTTCTCAGAAGCTGCCAGCTGACTTCTCCTTCATCGCATTGGTCAGAAATGTATCACGTGCCCTTTTCTAAGCCAGTTGCTGGCAAGGGAATGGAATTCCCAAGGTTGCCTTAGACCAGTGCTTCTTAAAGCGAGATCCCCAGGCCAGCAGCATCTGCCATGTCTAGGCAATTTTAAGAACTGCAAATTCTCAGACCCCAGTTCAGACCTACTAAATCAGAAACTCTGGGGTGGGATCTATGTTTTTATTTATTTATTTACTAGAATCGGGGTCTCTGTTGCCCAGGCAGGAGTACAGTGACACTATCATAGCGCATTGCAGCCTCCAACTCCTGGGCTTGAGCGATCCTCCTGCCTCAGCCTCCCATGTAGCCAGGACTACAGGTGTGCACCCCCACACCCAGCTATTTTTTTTATTTTTTGTAGAGACAGGGTCTTGCTATGTTGTCCAGTCTGGTCTCAAACTCTTGGCTTAAACAATGCTCTGGTCTCAAACTCTCGGCCTCCCAAAGTGTTAGAATTACAGGCGTGAGCCACTGCGCCCGGCCCATAGTCTATGTTTAAACGTGCCCTCCGGGGGTTTCTGATGGACACTGAGTTTGAGAACCTCTGGCTTCCTAAGATCTTTTCCTCTGAAGAGCCAGAGAATAAATATTTCAGGCTTGTGGCCACACAGTTTCTGTAGCAACCACTCTGTTCTGCTGTTGCAGTGTGAAAGCAGCTATAGATGATAATAAATAAGTGAATGGGTTTATTTATGGAGACTGAGATTTGAATTTCATCTAATTTTTATGTGTTAGGAGATATTATTACACTTTTGATCTTTTCTAACTACTTAAAAATGTAAAAGCCATTTCCAGCTCCTGAGCCGTACAAAAGCAGGTGGTGGGCCGGGTTTAGGCAATGGCTTGCCAGCCCTCCATCAGACTGCTCAAGATTCATCCCCTGAAACTGGGGAGAGCCTAATAGTCTTAAAACACAGAGAGCCCCAGATTCTTTAGAAAATTGGAATTTGGGCTGGGTGTGGTGGCTCACATCTGTAATCCCAGCACTTTGGGAGGCTGAGGTGGGAGGATGGCTTGAGCCCAGGAATTTGAGGCCAGCCTGGGCAACATAATGAGACCCCATCTTTACAAAAAATAAAAATAATAGTCGGACGTGGTGGCATGTACCTGTAGTCCCAGCTACTCAGGAGGCTGAGGCAGGAGGATCTCTTGAGCCCAGGAGTTTGAGGCTGCAGTGAGCTATGATCACGCCACTGATTGCAGCCTGGGTGACAGAGCAAGACACTGTCTCTGTCTAAAAAAAAAAAAATGAAATTGGGCCAGGCGCGGTGGCTCATGTCTCTAATCCCAGCACTTTGGGAGGCCAAAGTGGGTGGATCACCTGAAGTCAGGAGTTCAAGACCAGCCTGGCCAACATGGCGAAACCCCATCTCTACTAAAAATACAAAAATTAGCCGGACGTGCTGGTGGGTGCCTATAATCCCAGCTGCTCGGGAGGCTGAGGCAGGAGAATTGCTTGAACCTGGGAGGCAGAGGTTGCAGTGAGCCGAGATCGTGCCACTGCACTCCAGCCTGGGCAACAGAGCGAGACTCTGTCTCAAAAATAATTTTTTAAAAAAAGGAATTTGATGTATAAGGAAGAAGGGTCAAATTGCTGCTGTTTGTTCACCTGCAGCACTTACCATGATAGGCCTGTGTCCAGGTCAGCTAAGAGTCAACTTCCTTAATGTCTCGCTTTTAAAGTCTCGATTTAGTTTTATTCCTTGGGTAGATTTTTTTCCCATAAGTTATTGGGGTACAAGTGGTATTTGGTTACATGAGTAAGTTCTTTAGTGGTGATTTGTGAGATATTGGTGCACCCATCATCTGAACACTATACGCTGCCCCATATTTGTAGCCTTTTGTCCCTCGACCCCCTTCCACTCTTTCCCCCAAGTCCCCAAAGTCCATTGTATCATTCTTATGACTTAGGCAGATTGTTCATCTTCCCACTGAAAGGCAGTCTTCATTGTCCTGAAAAGCCTGGTTATAAGCTGTTCTCTTACCCGAAACACCAGCTCAAATTCCCAGGTGGCATCAGAGCATAGGAAGGTAACAGGACTGGTTTCAAGCTTCCTGCACGTGATTTGTGACTCTTTAAGAACAAAAATTCTAAATGCCATTTGTAGATGGAGCAACAGAATATCAAAAAGGTTAGAGGTGTGATGTCTAGAGCTACCTCTTAGCTTCCCAATTCTGTAATTTTATGCCACTTCCCTGGGTAACACACTCCCTGGAAGGCCAGCAATCCTACGGCCTGGCCAAGGGCCTCCCTCTTTCCTTAGTAAAAGTTAATAATAATAATACTGATAAAGGGCCGTGCGTGGTGGCTTACACCTGTAATTCCAGCACTTTGGGAGGCCGAGGCGGGAAGATCACCTGAGGTCAGGAGTTCGAGACCAGCCTGGCCAACATGGAGAAACCCCATCTCTACTAAAAATGCAAAAATTAGCTGGGCGTGGTGGCACATGCCTGTACTCCCAGCTACTCAAGAGGCTGAGGCAGGAGAATTGCTTGAACCTGGGAGGTGGAGGTTGCAGTGAGCCAAGATTGCACCACTGCACTCCAGCCTGGGTGACAGAGCAAGACCCTGTTTCAAAAAAAAAAAAAGCAAAAAGGGCTGGGCGTGGTGGCTCATGCCTGTAATCCCAGCACTTTGGGAGGCCGAGGCGGGCGGATCACAAGGTCAGGAGTTTGAGACCAGCCTGGCCAATATGGTGAAACCCTGTCTCTACTAAAAATACAAAAATTAGCCGGGCGTGGTGGCAGGCGCCTGTAATCCCAGCTACTTGGGAGGCTGAGGCAGGAGAATTGCTTGAACCTGGGAGGCGGAGGTTGCAGTGAGCCGAGAGTGCACCACTGTACTCCAGCCTGAGTGACAGAGCGAGACTCCGTCAAAAAAAAAAAAAAAATACTGATAATGACAGTGCTAACAGCAATAATAGATAGCTAACAAGTGTGGAGTGCTTATCCATCTTCTAGTCCCCACCTTCCTTTAGCCCAGGAGTTCGAGGCTGCAGTGAGCTATGATTGTGGCACTGTACTCTAGCCTGGGCAACAGAGCAAGGTCCTGTCTCTAAAAAAATAAAAGCATAAAAATAAAATAACCAAACTTTTTATTAACCTTCTACCCCCAGAGGGCCCCCTCCCTCAAATAGCTCATTAACTAGACCTGGTTTGCATGCCCACCCCCTCTAGGGACTGAGCCCAACTTCTGAGATAGGGACCCTTGAAAGAACTGGGGTTCTGTTAGCAAGAAGAATTAAGACAAGAGGATGACTTTTGGTGTTGACAGTGTCTGCCCCTGTTTTTTGTTTGTTTGTTTGTTTGTTTGTTTGTTTGAGATGGTGTCTCGCTCTGTCACCCAGGCTGGAGTGCAGTGGCGTGATCTCAGCTCACTGCAACCTCTGCCTCCTGAGTTCAAGCGATTCTCCTGCCTCAGCCTCCCGGGTAGCTGGGATTACAGGCGTGTGGCACCACACCTGGCTGATTTTTGTATTTTTAGTAGAGACGGGATTTCACCATGTTGGCCAGGCTGGTCTCGAACTCCTGACCTCAGGTGATCCACCCGCCTTGGCCTCCTAAAGTGCTGGGATTACACGTGTGAGCCACCGTGCCCAGCCTGCCACAGTTCTTTACACATTTGATCTTTAGCTCACCCAACAACCTTGTAAAAATATGATTGCTACCCATAATTTTCAAATAATCTACGTATGCGTAAGAGAGAGAAGTGATTCCCCAAAGATCACGCAGCTAATAAAGTGGAAGGGAGAACCCAGGCCCACCTGGCTCCGAAGCTCACACTCTTTCCACTAAGCTGCCTGCTTCTTTCATTGGAATAGAGATTCTCAATCGTGAATGGTAGGAGTGGGGTGGGGTGAATTTTGACCCTCGGGTGAAATTTGAAAATGCTTGGAGACATTTTTGGTTGTCATAATTGGGAGAAAGGGTGTGATATTGGAATCTAGTGGATAGAGGCCATGGATGCTGCTAAAGTTTTTATAGTGGGCCGGGCGTGGTGGCTCATGCCCATAATCCCAATATTTTGGGAGGCCGAGGTGGGTGGATCACCTGAGGTCAGGAGTTCGAGACCACCCTGGCCAACACGGTGAAACCGCGTTTCTACTAAAAATACAAAAATTAGCCAGGCGTGGTGGTTGGTGCCTGTAATCTCAGCTACTCGGGAGGCTGAGGCAGGAAAATCACTTGAACCCGGGAGACAGAGGTTGCAGTGAGCTGAGATAGCGCCACCGCACTCCAGCCTCGGCGACAGAGCGAGACTCTGTCTCAAAAAAAAAAAAAAATATAGTACATAGGACAGCCCCACAACAAAGAATTATTCAGCCCACAATGGTGCCAAAGTTGAGAAACCCTATATACTAAAACAAGCTCTTTGAGGGCAGGGATCATACTACCTTGACTACCTTGTTCAATTCTCAATCCTTTATACCCTGCCTGTCCTGGCACATTGTAAGTGCTCAGTAAGTAATGACTGAGCAACTGAGCAGATGTGCTACACCAGATTCCAGAGTCAAATAATCATAGACTTGGAGAAGTGCAGGGTTATGGGGGCTGCAGTATAACACTCTACCTCACAGTGGGTGCATCCAAGCCACCAGCTTCCCCTGGTTCCAGAAGGCCTGTTAGAGACATGTCTTGCATTTGCACTTGGTCCAGCACAGCCCATGCCTCCCACTTGTGAAAAGAGGCTGACTGATGGGTGGTGATCAGGGTTGGCTGCCTTTTCATTTTTGAGATCATGGGAACAGAGGGACCGGATGAAGAAACACTTCTCTGAATCTACCCATTTCTAAATGGATGAATCACCAAGGAGGAAACTCAAAGATTAATTTCTCACTGCCCTTCTTCCCTTGCTCTGCTCTTTGTAGACAGTTACTGGTGCTCCAGGGCAAAAGATAATGAAAGTTCTTCCTTGCATCAAACTATTTTCTTCAGGAGATAGAGCCAGCATTAGCCAAAGAGACGGTCTGGGCTCTGGGAGCTTGGCTTGGAGGCCCAGGACATTCAAACAGTCCTTCCCGGAGAACAGGCTGGACCTGCAGTGATGAATAATTATTTTGCAATTGACAGTTCAATACCCACCAGATTCTTCATTGTATGTTTCTGTATCGTGTCAAGTTATGAGAAAACGCAATATTCTTTAACAGCTAGGCAAGAACAATGGTTTTTGCTCATTTGTTTGTTTGTTTCCACCCCCCAGAGGTCAGTTTTTGCAGTAAGAAGAGTCTCATTCTTTTTTTATTTTATTTTATTTGTATTTTGAGACAGTCTCTCTCTGTCATCCAGGCTGGCTGGACTGCAGCGCCTGCAACCTCCATCTCTCAGGTTCAAGGGATTGTCCTGCCTCAAACTTCTGAGTAGCTGGGACTACAGGCATGCCTACGCCCTGCTAATTTATTGTATTTTTAGTAGAGACAAGGTTTCAACATGTTGTCCAGGCTGGTCTTGAGCTCCTGACCTCAAGTGATCCACCCGCCTCACCCTCCCAAAGTGCTGGGATTACTGCCATGGGCCACTGTGCTCGTGACTCTTCAAGAAGAGTCTTGAATTTACTCTGAATGTGTCCTTGGTTGGCACAACCACGAGCAGAATATGCATCCTATCTATCCTCACAAACACTGGGTTTATTATCCCCAATTTGCCTTTGAGGAAATGGAGGCTCAGAGAGGTTAAATAACTTGCTCAAGGTCACGTGGGCAATGAGTGGTGGAGTGGAGATTTGAACTCAGGACTGTCTGTGACCCTCCCAGCCCTGCAGTCTCCAAGTCTCCAGTACTATCTGGCTCTAAAATCCGTACTATTCCCTCTGCTATGTTTTTGTGGCGACTTGAACTCTTCCTTCAAAGTCTTGGCTGCTGCTATGAACTGAACGTGTACCTTGTGAAGTTGTATTTTTTCCATATTGTAATTCCATCCTTCAAAAGTAAGTCTTGTTACTGCAAGACTGTGTTTCACCCGTCCTGGGGTAGGAGTGGCTAACAGGTTGGCTTGGGTCCCACAGTGAAATCTGTTCTGAGCCAGACCCTCCCGAGGGGACAGGGGACGAGCAGGAGAGATTGTAGCTGAAGTAGACATCTCCTGGTTCCCAGAAATGTGGAAGAACCTTGTGCAAAAACAGCTTCCTGCAGAGCCGCAAGATGGGATCCAGGTTATTGGTATTTGAGCACTGTGTTTAGGGGCTATGAGAGAAACCTAACATGAACCGGCTGAAGGAAAAAAGTGGAGGATTACATGAAAATGAATTCAGGGAGCTTGCAGGTGTACTGAAGGGAAGTGTGAGCTCTAAAAGCTGGAAAAGGTCTAAACGTGTAGATTACAAAAATATCTGCAGCTTAGCATGGCAATGACGGATAAAGCGTCAGATATGTGTTTGTCATCCAGTTGTCTATGGCTGTGCAACAAACCACCCAACATGTAGTAGCTTAAAACATGACAGTCATTTATTTTGCTCACACATCCACAATTTGGGCAGGATGTTGAGGGGACAGTTCGTTCCTGCTCCACATGGCATCAGCTGGAGCTCACCAGGGGGCTGCAGAATTCATTTCTGAGATGGCTCCTCTAGCGGTTGCTAAGTTGGCGCTTTCTGGTTGGCTGGGAGCTCAGCTAGGCTGTGGTCCAGGGGACTTGGTTCCTTTGTTTGGGCCTCTCCTCTCTTCAGCTACTTGGGCTTCCTCATCGTATGGTGGCTGGGCTCTAAGACAAGGAGAACCCAGTGGAAGCTCTGTCACATTTTATGATGTAGCCTTGGATGTCGCATAACGTTTCTTCTATATTCTATTGGTCAAGCAATCGCACAGTCTGGATTCAACGGTAGATGACATAGGTTCTACCTTTTGATGAATCAAAAAATTCTGGGATCATGGTTTGAAACTACCAAAAAGTAGCGGCTGTATTGTTTGTTATTATTACAAAGTAGGCCGTGTGCAGTGGCTCACACCTGTAATTCTAGCACTTTGGGAGGCCAGCCTGGGCAACATAATGAGACCCGGTCTCTAAAAAAAAAAAAAAAAAAAAAAAAAAGGAGAGAGATTAGCCAAGTGTGGTGGTGTGTGCCTGTAGTCCCAGCTACTTGGGAGGCTGAGGTGGGAGGATCACTTAAGCCCAGGAGATCGAGGTGGCAGTGAACTATGATCACACTAGGCTGGGAGACAGAGTGAGACCTTATCTCAAAAAAAAGTTAATGATAATTACTACAAAGCAAGGCCAATAGTACAAAAACAGTGATCTTTCACAGTCTATGATATAGCAGGACAGTGCTAGATGTTTCCCATCTGCTATGCCATTTATTCCTCCCCAAAACCTGGGAAGCTCAGGGAGGCATATAAACTGCCTAAACAGGGCCGTGAAGCTAGGAAGTGCTAAAGCCAGGATTTAAACCCAGAAGTCAAATGCTAAAGACTCTGCTAGACTGACTACCTGATTCTAGAGGCTGGGGTGTGTGCTAGGTATCTGAACGATTGGAGAGAAGCAGACAGAAATGTGTGAATGTGAGTGTGCAAATTTGCACAAGGCCAGTAGCACCTAAGGGAGCCCATGTGGGAGATGGGAGGGTCCCTGCCATCTGCTTCCTTCTCCTCATCCATTTCACCCTGGTCTTCTCAGCCCTCCCCTCTCCTCCATGCCCCTCCTTGGTCTCTTCCCATGGACCCTGTGAGAGCCCCTCTCCAGTTGTTTATGGGAGATGTTGAAGGAGAAGCAAGGGCTCCTCACGACCCTGTCTCTGCCTCTTTCCTGTGCTCTGGGACATCTGAACTGTCACATAGTCAGCTGGCAGGGAAGCCCAATTTTCCTTTGGCTCTCCAAAGGGCCTGATTCATGGGTTAGGCTGAGATCAGATAGAGCCCTTGGGTCAGGTGGGTGGGATTCTGGCTCCCAGGGCTGCTGGCAGGTGCCATCTGGTTGTTCTGGAGGGAGTTGAGGGGAATGGTTCCCACCTGGACAGTGTCTGAGGGGTGAGCTGGTGAAGCACTGGGCGGGTGGGGAGCTGGCAGGGACGGGACAGATACAGAGAGTGCCAGGAGGTGTGGACAGCTGCTCGCAGGGCTCTTGGTGACTTTGCCAGGAAACTGTGTCTAGACAGCCTCTGTCTGATCTCTCTTCTCATCCCACATCATCTCCCCGGTTCCTCCCTGGCCTGAGGCCGTCCTGCCAGGTTGGTGCAGGGATATGTTGAACAAAGTTCAGATGTGCTGTGTGCACAGTACCAGGCTCAGCATAGTCTGAGAATGAAAAGCAGCTTCTGAAACTCAGCCCTGCCTCAGGGGCAGGGAGCTGCTGGTCTTGCCAGGAGGCTTAATGCCTGGATCAAATATGAGGGGGCTGGCTGGGCATGATGGCTCACACTCGTGATCCCAGCACTTTGGGAGGCTGAGGTGGTGGGAGGATTGCTTGGGGTCAGGAGTTCGAGATCAGCCTGGGCAACATGGTGAGACTCTGTCTCTACAAAAAAACTAAAATAAAAAAATAGTCGGATGTGGTAGTGCACATCTGTGGTCCTAGCTACTGGGGAGGCTGAGATAGGAGGATCACTTGAGCCCAGGAGTTCAAAGCTGCAGTGAGCTGTGATTGTACCATTGCACTCCAGCCTGAATGACAGAGGCAGACCCTGCCTCCAAAAAAAAAAAAAGACAAATATTTGGGGGCTTCCCCAGATAGACGTCTGGTGCTATGGTCTGAATGTCATTGTTCCCCTTGAATTCATATGTTGGAACTTAATACCCAATGTGATAGTAGTAAGAGGGGACCCTTAGGAAGTGACTAATTCATGAGGAATCCACCTTCATGAATGGGATTAGTGCCCCCTTTTATAAAAGGGGCTTGAGCAAGCGCCTTTGCCTCTTTTGCCATATAAGGACACGGCAACAAGGTACCACCTATGATGCAGAGTGAGCCCTCCTCACCAGGCACTGAATCTGCAGGTGCCTTGATCTGGGACATCCCAGCCTCCAGAACTGTGAGCAACGCACTTCTGTCATTTATAAATTACCCAGTCTAAGGTATTTTGTGATAATAGCCCCAAAATATGACACCCAGAGAGTGTGGGCCCTCTAGAGGTCATTTCTTCCAGGCCCCTGCCAGATGCTGAGCTCAGCCTGCAACCCCAGGCTGTTGAAAATCCGAGGAGGCTGAGGTCAGGGAGGGAGGCAGGAGGCCAGCAGGCCATCAGGGAAGGGACGCCAGTGGGCTCTTGAGGAATGAGGAAGGGGCATTAAAGGGCCCAGGTAGAGGCCTGGAGTGGTGGTGGTGGCCGTGGGGGTGTGAGAAGCTGGTTTGGGTGAAGATGCAGGGAGACAAACAGAGACCCATTGGGCACGGACAGGTGCTCACATGTTTCCTTGCACCTGGCATGCTTCCCCTGGTGAACACTGCCAATGTCCACCCACCTGTTCTTCACCCAGGTGGGCCTCGGGTCTGCAGGGACACAGCAAAGGAATGAAAGCCAGGGGCAGGGGTTTAAATCCTGGCTCTGTCTCTTTTCCTCCGTGTGACCTGGGGCAAGGAAATGGTCTTTATAGCTCATGCGGTCTTTATGCAGTTGTCTTAGGTGATGGGGGATGAGAAAGTGCCTTGTAATCAATAAAGACAGATTTATTACGATAATACAAATTTATTGATTTGTAATCAGTAAAGGCAGATTAACCATACCATTTTTTTTTTTAAATAGGGTCTTGCTGTGTCTCCCAGGCTGGAGTGTAGTGTCATGATCGTAGCTCACTGCAGCCTCGAACTCCTGGCTCAAACTATCCTTCCACCTCAGTCTCCCGAGTAGCTGGAACTACAGGCGCACACCATCATGCTCAGCTAATTTTTATTTTTATAGAGATGGGGATCTCACTATGTTGCCCAGGCTGGTCTTGAACTCCTGGCCTCCAGCAATCCTCCCATCCCAGCCTCGCAAAGTGCTGGGTTTACAGGCGTGAGCCACTGCACCCAGACAGAATCAACCGTATCTTTTGAGCATCTGTTCTGTGCCTGGCACCAGGACCAATTGCTGTGGGTCAACAGAACAGTTTCAGGTGGGTGGTGGATGGAATGGCTGGTGGGCTCAGAGCTAGAGCTTAGGCCCCTCAGCTACTCCTCTGGGCAGGAGTGAGCAGTGCTCACCCTACCCCAGGCTTAGGCCACTTGCGATGTGGGGTTCCTCTTCGGGCACATCTACTGACCCTGGAACTATTGAAGCTATTTTGTGAGTGCTGTGCCCTCTCTGCTGAGACACAATCCCTGTCTGCCACACCCCCAACACATCATTTGCCCCTGGAGTTTAACTGTACTTTGGTGAAGAGTGGCAGAGGCCAGAGGGACCCCAGGGGTGGACATGTGATTAGCTTGATGGGCAACCCCAGGACAGAGAACAGGGATGGGGAAGGAGATGCTTCCCACTGAAGACCCCATGCACTCTGCAGCTTACAATGCTCCTAAAACCCCAATGCTGGTTTATAAACTCTCTTGTCCAATTGCTGGGGGTCAACTGGGAGCCTTGGTGTGTCCCACCCCTCCCCCAGGCTGTCCCGTTGTTAGGCGAGAATGAGGCTTATTTCTGCTCATCCACCAAGTTTGTCTGTTTCCAACTGTCCATTTTTTTCCATCCATCTATCTGCCCGTCCATCCATCTTTCCATCACCTCCTGTCCTTAGGCTTAGGGGATTTCCTCTTGGGAGGGGAACTCTTTTTGCAGAAAAGGACGCTGAGCCCCAAAAGCTGAGTATTTCCCAGCATAAATGTCTGAGCCCTGTTCCCTGGGCAGGTCCTGTATTGGGGATTCAGAGTTGAATTGGAGTTGTCTCAGCCTGTGAAGGAAAGAGACCTATCAACAGGGGGTGACAAGGAGAGTTTGTAGCCAGGTGTGGTGGTGCACACCTGTAGTTCTAGCTAATTGGGAAGCTGAGCAGGGAGGATTGCTTGAGCCCAGGAGTTTGAGACCAGCCTGGGCAACATAGTGAGATGGCCCCATTTCTACAAACATTGTGAAAACTAGCCACGCATGGTGACACATGCCTGTAGTTCGAGCTAATCGGTAGTCTGAGGCAGGAGGATCTTTGGAGCCTAGGGTTTCGAGGCTGCAGTGAGCTAGGATTGTGCCACTGCCTTACAGCCTGGGAGACAGAGTTGCAAGACTCCCAGTTGCGATCATTTAAAAACTGGGAGACTGACATAGCATCTGGCTTTTAGCTTCTCTTAATTTATTAGAAGCTCTGACAGCATTGGGCCCATGTTCCCACGTGGAGACAGTTGGTGGATACAAGATAGGCAGCTACCCCCGTCTTTCAATGAGGCATGCACTCCAATTCACCACAGACCCCACCATTCCCTACTGCTTCTCATTCCTCCCTTTCTTCACTTATGTTATCTGCCTGGACTCTCTGCAAGGATTTTCATTTGTGGTTCCTGTTTCAGGAACAGGCCATGGTGTGGCCTTTCCTGACCTTGTCAAGCCTCAGGTTCCCAGAGGGGACCAAAATAGATACTGCACATTGTAGAGGGATCAGCTGAGGTAATATAGGTGAAAGCTCTCAGGAAGCCTAAAGCTCTCTGCAATCACAAAGCTACACAAATAGAAATTATTATCATCATTATTTATAACCATTGAAAGGACAGGAGACAAAGAAGTCAGTCCCCACCGTACCCCTCCCAACCCCAAGCCCACAAGGGTATTTGTGCCATTATGATGGCATTGATCATTGACATTGACAGTTATTATTAAACGATGTCAACTTCCAAATGCAAAATGTTTACCAGATGAACTCAAATGGGCTGGCAGAAATAATGTCCAGGTGCCGTCTACCTTCAACTCCTCTTCCCATGAATTTCTGTGGCATTTCTCCAGGGCCCAGAGTCAATAAGGGAGAGAGAAATGACTCCTCTGGTTTACTGAAGGTGTGACTTGTGATTCCAGCCAATGTCCTGTTGGTTCCCATTGTCTCCCCTGCCACTACCCATGTGGAGTCTTAGATCTTGGAGACTGTACTATGTGGGCCAACTCTCTCCTCAAGACACATTTATTAAAAGGTGGGTGAAGTATCTTCTCCTTTGCCTGTGTCTTTTGCCCAAAGGGAAGTTGATTGACGACAATGCTCCTTTTTCAAGCTCTGATTGCCGGCGGAGGTTGGATAAAGCATCTTGCTGTGATCTCTAAGTGGGCTGTGCCTTGAAAACATGATTTTTGTGTCTAATCATGTGTGTCTGTGGCTCCCTTGCCACTCCTGATTGCCGTGTCACTGTGACTTTATTTAACATACTTTCAGGACCCACTGTATCTGTCCCGCCTCTCTCTGGATCTTCCCAACTCTGTGGTTGCCTCCCTGCTATATTCATGGCCCCTAGGGGATGCCACGTGTGTTCGGTTCTTCATGCTGTTCCTCTGTCTAAAATGTTCTCTTCTGTGGCAGCTTCCTGCAAACATCTTCTTCTCTTTCCAGACTTTCTTTGATGATTAAGAAGCTTGCACGACCTAAGTCTTATAATTCTGAAAATCATCTCCTAGTTTCCAGGACCCCAGATGCACCAGCATGGCTTAGGGAAAGGAAAATGACCTTTGGAGAGAGAATCTTTGGAGGGATTTGAGCCTCGGCATTGCCACTTACTAGCTACACCATTTGGGACATGTTACAAGCCCCCCTGAACCTCAGTTTCCTCATCTGTGAAATGGGCATAATGATAGGCCCTAAATCTTGTGGTGAGGCTTACATGTGCCAATGGATATAAAGTATACATCATCACAATGCCTGGCACATAATGAAAGATTAATAGGGGCAATTAATATAGTGTTTGTGATAGACCCAAAGATAGACTGACCCGAGGCCGACCCTGGACACCTTTTCAACTGAAATCCCACCACCTTATGTTTTGACTTCTAGGTTTCCTTTCCCTAAAAGAGAAGTTTGGAGAAGGATCTAGAATTGTTGGTTAATCAAGGGCTTGCTACCTTCTAATCACTTCATGTTGATATTAGGATAAAGAGCAAACATCCTTCATGGGGTTTACAAGGCCCTCCATGGCCAGGACCGTGTTTATGTCCCCAGCCTCATAGTCCACTTCTCCTCTCTCCCTGGGTGGTGACACATTGCACAGTACCCTTGCACATGCTCTTTTGCCCACTTAATGCCTGCTCATTCTTCAAAGCCCAGGCACTTCCTCTGGAAGCCTTCCGCAACTCCCTGTGTTCCTTCTCGACAGAGTGTGACCGCCCATTGGGTCCACCTTGCCCGCTGCCTAGACAGAGCTGATTTATCAAGACAGGGGGATTGGAATACAGAGAGAGTAATTCATGCAGAGGGGCATTGTGGGAGACTGGAGTTTGATTATCACTCAAATCAGTCTCCACAAGCATTTGGGGAGCAGAGTTTTTAAGAACAGCTTGGTAGGGGTGGTTAGTTGAAGCCAGTGAGCCAGGAGTGCAGATTGGTCAGGGAAGAAATCATA
The DNA here is from genome assembly GCF_000001405.40 of Homo sapiens. NCBI lineage: Eukaryota > Metazoa > Chordata > Mammalia > Primates > Hominidae > Homo > Homo sapiens. Next base: position 15,333,838 of record NC_000016.10, on the reverse strand, counting down.
GGGAGTCGAAGCTGTCCTCTTGCGCTGAGTCAGTTCCTGGGTTGGGGCCACAAGATCAGATGAGCCAGTTGATCGATCTGGGTGGTGCCACCTGACCCGTCACGTGCAGGGTCTGCAAATTATCTCAAGCACTGATCTTAGGAACAGTTTAGGGAGGGTCAGAATCTTGTAACCTCCAGCCGCCTGACTCCTAAACCATAGTTTCTAATCTTGTGGCTCATTTTAGTCCTAACAAAGGCAATCTAGTCCCCAGGCAAGAAGGAGGTCTGCTTTGGGAAAGGGCTGTTATCATCTTTGCTTTAAACTACAAACTATGAACCATGAACTCAGTTTCTCCCAAAGTTAGGTCAGCCTACACCCAAGAATGAATAAGGACAGCTTGGAGGTTAGAAGCAAGATGGAATTGATCAAGTTAAATCTCTTTCACTGTCTCAGTCATAATTTTGCTAAGGCAGTTTCAAGAGCACTTACTCTAGTTTCTGGTTTTACATTCATGACTGTGTTTTATTTGGTTCATGTCTAATTCCTCCACTGGACCGAGAGCTCCATGATGGCAGGAACCAAGTCCGTGGGTGGCCCCCTGTGGTGTCCCCAGCATTGAACACAGCAGCACGTCCCTCATGGGTGTTCACTACATAATAATTTGTTGGATGCACAGGTGGATACATGACTTACTACTTTAAGAATGTGTGCATTTGAGATGTTTACTTGGAACAACGAAGGCTTATTCTTGAAGAAACAACAAGTGATAAGTCACCAGAAGACAGAAAACAGCATGTTGGAGCTGGGTGGCTCCTGGTGCCTGGGAAATGAACCCTTGGGGTGGTTCTTGGAAGGAAGTGAGCAGGTTTAGTCCCATCTGATGAACTCTTTCCTCTCCATGGTTAAGTTGGCTTCTAACTCAGGGACTAAGTTTTATTTGAGACTGAGGCCACTGCTGGTGGGTTGGTTGGTCTCCTCCACCTTTCCCTTCACCCGTAAATGGGATATTAGTGAATGGGTGGCATAACCCACCTGAGGGTTCTTATAGGGTTTTAGGAGAACAGCCCTCATCTCCCAAGTTCCTGAACTGCCATCAAGATAACTGTGTGTGTGTGTGTGTGTTTGTGTGTTTAATCGAGACAGAGTCTCGCTCTGTTGCTCAGGCTGGAGTGCAGTGGCATGATCTTGGCTCACTGCAACCTCCGCCACTCAGGTTCAAGCAATTCTCATCTCTCAGCCTCCTGAGTAGCTGGGATTACAGGCACGTGCCACCACACCTAGCTAATTTTTTTTTTAAGATAGACTGATTTTTGTATTTTTAATAGAGATGGGGTTTCACCATGTTGGCCAGGCTGGTCTCGAACTCCTGACCTCAGGTGATCTGCTCACCTTGGCATCCCAAAGTTCTGGGATTACAAGTGTGAGCCACCACACCTGGCTATCATCAAGATAACTCTTTAAATAAGCCAAACATTTATTGGCCAAAAGCAATGCACATGTTCTGTCAACAAGCAAATTTGGGGAAACACAAAGAGAATAGAAACAGAAAATAAATATTAACCACCCGGATGTAATCATATTAGCATTTTGGGGCATACGTTTCTGATTCTTTTTAAAAAATATTTATGTCTTTCTGTGTTTTCTATTTATATATGTATTGCAACCTGATTTTTTTCATTGAGCAAATGTAAAATGAACAGAAAATGTCCAGGAAAGCAAATGTCTCCCTTCTGCTGGCCTGGTGTATTACACAGGGTTCTGTGGAGGGACAGAACTAATAGGATAAATGTATATACGAAGGGGAGTTTATTCAGGGGTACTGACTCACACGGTCACAAGGTGAAGTCCCACAATAGGCCATCTGCAAGCTGAGGAGCAAGGAAACCAGTCTGAGTCCCAAAACCTCAAAAGTAGGGAAGCCAGCAGTGCAGCGTTCATTCTGTGGCCAAAGGCTTGAGAGCCCCTGGCAAACCACTGGTGTAAGTCCAAGAGTCCAAAAGCTGAAGAACTTGGAGTCCAATGTTCCAGGGCAGGAAGCATACAGCACAGGAGAAAGATGAAGGCCAGAAGACTCAGTAAGTCTGTTCTTTCCAACTTCTGCCTGCTTTATTCTAGCCATGCTGGCAGCTGATTAGATGGTACCCACCCAGATTGAGGGTGGGTCTGCCTCTCCCAGTCCACTGACTCAAGTGTAAATCTCCTTTAGCAACATCCTCACAGACGCACCCAGGATCAATACTTTGCCCCCTTCGATCCAATCAAGTTGACACTCAATATTAACCATCACACCTGGTATGACAGTACTAGCCTTGTCCCAAGAGGCAGGAGCCCCAGAACTGCAGAGCATCTGATAGAGATGTGAATAGTGGCTTTGGAAGGAATGACTGTGGCCAGGTAAGGTGACAGGTAATGGCGAAAACAGAGGCATGAAATCGTGGGGCAGTTCAGGTGAGCCATTCCCCAATATTCACCAAGAGATAATAGGGAAGGGAGAGAGAGTAGGGGTCTCAAAAGCAGGGTCACGGTGCTGATAATCTGAAAGGTAGGGTCTCAGAGCCATTGAATGTTTCATTTATTCACTCAACGAGAATTTCTTGAGTGGCTAATATGTGCCAGGTGCTGCAGCAGCCAGTGGGGATTGTAGGTCACAAAAACATGACTTCATTCAAAGCATGCACCATTATTTACATATGTAAAGTGCCTTGGCATGAAATAGAAGCCCAATAATCTCTTGCAACCATAGAGATGAGCATTAATGACTTTTCCAGAATTGCATCTATGGTTGGTGATTATTCCTATGTGGCCAAATGACCAGAAGGAGCAGAAAGCTACATTTTTGTGGCATCTTGTATACATAGAAATGATTGCTGTAAATATGTGTTGACTCCCTTTAATACATATGCAACTAATTGAAAGCGGGCAGTTTACGGTGTAGTATCAGTGAAACGTGCTCTGTTGCCATTAAGTATAGCTTTGTTACATTATTGAGACAACTTGCCTTGGGGGCACTGGGGTAAGTTATTGCTTCTTCAACCATATTTTGGTCCTTAGAGGACCAACCGTTAGTCCAGCTTTTATTACCTGCTGTTTCTTTAATCACAACAGGGAAATGTTGGCTAGGCATCGGACGGGAGACTTTTCTTATAAGATGAAATGAGCCAAGATTGGAAGACGACATTTTTATTTGCCTTACAAATGGACTGGATACAGTGTGAATGGCTTCGTGAATGAGATGAAGGGCTCTGCTGAGCAGCAATCCCAAACCATTCACCCTTATGCAGAGGCAGAGAGCCTCCTAAATGAATTGGGTTCTGTTGGAGTTAGCTGCTCTTATTTTCCTGTGCTGAGGAGTCTGGAGTGGGAGGGTATCCATTTCCCAACCAATAATAATTAGCTTTGATTCCAGGCAACATGTGCATTTTTAATCCGTTAGGCATAGGGTCTTCCCGGGACCTATACGTTTTTCAAGATCTACAGAAATGTTTGAGACCAAAAACAAACAAACAAACAAACAAACAAACAAAAAACACCACACAAACACACATACACACACACACATTGGCTTAAAAATGCAAAAGAGAAAATGACAAAATTGAAATTAATGAATATCTTAAAAATTACCTACGCTGGGCATGGTGGCTCACGACTGTAATCCCAGCACTTTGGGAGGCTGAGGCAGGCAGATCACCTGAGGTCAGGAGTTCGAGACCAGGCTGACCAACATGGTGAAACCCTGTCTCTACTAAAAATATGAAAATGAGCTTGGTATGGTGGTGCATGCCTGTAAACCTGTAATCCCAGCTACTCAGGAGGCTGAGACAGGAGAATTGCTTGAACCTGGGAGGTGGAGGTGGCAGTGAGCCGAGATCATGCCATTGCACTCCAGCCTGGGCAACAAGAGTGAAACTCCTTCTAAAAAAAAAAAAAAAAAAAATTACCTACAAATTGTGCTGCTTTGTCAATATCACTAATTGTTAAATTTAACATTCCTAGGGATTTCATTACATCTGAAAAATGTGGATAGTTAGAATTTCCCACTTTCTAGACCTCCTGAATATGCACAATTACCAAGAAATCACATCCAATCTAAATTTAAATAAATCACCTATTGCCAGATAATTTCAGGAGCAGAATTTTAAAATTTTCTCAAAAAATGTTTAGAGCCAAAAATCCATTTAATGTAGGATACAGGCAAATTTGTAGCATGTTTCAAATGCTTTCTGGTGAGACCTCCAAAAGTGAATGTGTCTAGGGTATATAAAATTCTTAAAGGGGCTTTGTCATCCTTCTTCCCCACTCACCCATAAAATAGATGAGATAAAAGCTATTTCTAAGGGTGGCTCTTTTGTGAAGTATTTGAGCTTTACGGTAGATGAGACTATTGTTTAGTAAATATTTGTTCCCTCTCCTATTACATCATTGATGTTCAGCTAGGCTATGTGACTTCCTTTTCCCTGAGAGATGGCATAGTGTACTTCCCTACCCTTCAACTGTTGAGTTGAGCTTAACTTTCTTTGGCTAATGGGATGTGAGAGGACATAACCCTTATGAAAGGCTTGAAATGCTCTCGTGTGATGAGTTTGCCTTCTTGTGCTTTTGCCTTCTCTATGAGAAAAACATGACTTAGTTGGTCACTGGTCCTAGAAAAATGAGATGCATCTAGAGCAGAGCCGCCCCAGCATGTCTTCAGACCTGCAACCTCCAGCAGAGCTGCTCCAGCCAAGCTATATGGGCATGGCAGAGAAATAAGCTCTTTCTGGGATTTGGGGTTGTTTGTCTTACAGCATCTAGCTGACTGCTGCAAGTTCCTGCACACAGTGGTGCTTACTCATGTTTCTGAAGGAATAGCAGTTTGTTTATTTCAACCACATTGCTAGTTATTTGTTATTTTCCACCATATTGCTAGGGTTATAACTCTGAAAACAAGTTCAGCTACTTCTCACATGTTCCTTCTGCCTGAAAACTTTGTCTCCTTGCTCTTCACGTGGATGGCTTTCTCTCTTTGGCTCTGGATTTAAATATTACTCCCTTGGGATGACCTCTTCTGATACATTATTTAAATACCATCTGTGGTGGAGCCTACTATTTACATATTGAAACATCTACATTCCCTTTTCTTCTCTGAAATAACACCTTATTTTCGGGGGAAAAATTTCAAACTGAGACAATAGTTGGAAGAACAGTACAATTAAGTTTTCCCTCTCCTCGAATCATTTCCCAATACTTTACTGTGTGTTTCTTGCAATAAGGACCTTCTCCTATATGCCCATAATACGACCATTAAAGTCAGGAAATTATTATAACATTGATACATTACCACCATCTAATCCAAAGGCCCCATTCAGGTTTCACTGACCATCCCAATAATGTCCTTTATAATCTTGCAGGGCAAGATTATCATAGCATTTAATTGTCACGTCTTATTCCGGCAGATTCATCAGTCTCTTTGTTACTTTCTCGACCTTGATACTTTTGAAGATACAGGCCATTTATGTTGTATAAGAGCTCTCAATTGGGGATTGTCTGATGCTTTTTCGTGACTAGAACTAGGTCGTGCACCAATTCTAGGCTTCAACACCCCATGCCAGATCTCTGTCCTATCCCCTCTCATTGATGCTTACTTTGGTTGGTGCCCTTTAGTGACTTTAACACAGAATATTTGAGGAAGAATAAAAGATGAAACACTGATTTTAATTAGGGTGACATAGACTCTGCTTTAAACAACAACAACAAAACCAAAACCCTCTAATTTCCCAGTCTCTCATGAAGCTACCCAAGCCATGTGAATTAGCTTTGGCCAAGGAATGCAAAGAGAAGAGTAATATGGACATTTTCTCAGAATGAGGACCATATATTTCTTTGCCCATTTTTCCTGTTGTTGGTCTTGAATTAGGATGCAATGGCTAGATCTCTGGATGCCATATTTGACCATGAAGTCAAGTCCAAATGAGAAACGATCATTCCCAAATTAAGGCCGTGACTTAAGGAGGTATATAAAAGAGAAGGTGGCAATTGGTTGAATGTAGGCTGTGATGGAGAAGGACTCAAAGATGTTGTTCAGGCTCTTGGTTTGGGTAACTGGGTGAATGGCGATGATATTCATGGAGAAAGTGAGCTAAAAATTAGGAGTAAAATTATTTGGAAGGCAAGTTAAATTCGTTTTTGGACAGAAATGAATCTGAGATATACAATGGACATCTGATGGTGTTCTCTAAGGTAACGGGAATTGGAAACAGATTTCAATATTGAGGTGGTAGAAGAAGGGGTCAAATCATCAAATCATGATTCTGTTACTTGGAAGGAAGGCTGAAGGGGAGACCTTGAGCATCTTGTTTCTTCTTAGTTCCAGTTATGCTTTATGCTTTTGAGCACTAATCACAGCAGATACTGTGGAGGCTGAGCTCCAGCCATTGTCAAGCCTGTGCTCCAGCACTGGTATAAATTACTGGAGTCCTCATTCTAGAGGAAAGCACGGGGACGAATCTTTTCTAGGGCTCTTTACCTTGTCTACTCTTCCTGCAGGGAGTAGTTCAGACTTTCTTCTTCTACCTCCTCTTCTTCTTTTTTTCTTTATAGAGACAAGATCTCAGTCTGTCACCCATACTGGAGTGTAGTGGCACAATTATAACTCACTGCAGCCTCAAGTTCCTGAGCTCAGGTGATCCTCCTGCCTTAGCCTTCTGAGTAGCTTGGACTGCAGGGTTCATGCCACCATGCCTGGCTTATTTATTTATTTATTTAGTAGAAACAGGGTCTCACTATGTTGCCTAGTCTGGTCTAGAACTTCTGTCCTCAATTCATCCTCCTGCCTCAGCCTCCCAAAGTGCTGGGATTACAGGTGTGAGCCAATACACCCAGCCTAGGTTTTTCTTTCTTTTCAATGAATCATAACCCTTCTCTCTTCATTTCTAGTGAACATGCATCACCTTATCCTATCACAAACCAACTCTGTGACAAATGTACTATTACTATGCCCATTTTACAAATGGAAAAACTGAGACTTAAAGAATTTAAATTGGCTGGGCGCAGTGACTCACACCTATAATCCCAGCTCTTTTGGAGGCCAAGATGGGAGGATTGCTTGAGGTCAGGAGTTCGAGACAAGCTGAGGCAAGAAAGCAAGACCCTGTCTCCACAAAAATTAAATAAATTAGCCAGGTGCGGTGGTGCACACCTCTAGTCCCAGCTACTCCACAGGCTGAGGCAGGAGGATAGCTTAAGCCCAGGAGTTCAAGGCTGCAGTGAACTATGATCATGCCCACTGCACTCCAGCCTGGGCAACAGAGCAAGACCCTGTTTCTGAAAATTAGACAAAATACCAAGCAACAACACCAACAAAACAACAACACCACAAAACAAAGTTAAGTATCCTGGGGTTATACTGGAATCCAAGTAATCTGGTTTAAGAGCTTAACCTCCTAACCACCATGCTATACTGCCTTGTGGCAACTCATGCCTTGTGAATCTTTACTCCTGGTAGTGTTTCACAGTTGACAGAGAGCTTTTGCATTCTTGATCTCATTTGGTCCTCACAACAGCCCTGTGGGGCAGGTAGGAAAGACCTTGTTATTAGACATGAGGGTCCTAAGAACCAGAAAGCTAATGGACATGCCCAAGGTGGCCCAGCCAATGAATAGCAGAGTTAGATAAGAATTGTGATCTTCGGGCCGGGCACGGTGGCTCACACCTATAATCCCAGCACTTTGGGAGGCCAAGGCGGGTGGATCACTTGATGTCAGGAGTTCAAGACCTGACCTCAAGTCTGGCCAACATGATGAAATTCTGTTTCTACTAAAAAATACAAAAATTAGCCAGGTGTGGTGGCACACACCTGTTATCCCAGCTTCTTGGGAGGCTGAGGTAGGAGAATCGTTTGAACCTGGGAGGCGGAGGTTGCAGTAAGCCGAGATCGCGCCACTGCACTCCAGCCTGGGACACAGAGCAAGACTGTCTCAAAAAAAAAAAAAATTGTGATCTTCAGCAGCCTTATAGAGCACTTCTTCTACTGTATAATCCTCGCTTTCCTCATTTACATCTGTGAAAAAGATATTCCTTTTGTTCAGATGCTCTTAGGTGCTCTGAAGCAAGCAATAGCCCAAGCTGGCATTTTGAGAGTCATTTCATGGATGGAAAGCGGAGGCTCAATGGCTAAGGGAATTAGCCTTGGTTCTCCAGTGTGTCTGCAGTCTTCATGGCATTGGTGCTGCTGATCCACAGTCATGCCAGAGGTTGGGTCCGCAGTGAACCGCTTCACAGCTGGCTGGTTGGGGGAAAAGAGAGGTCTAATGATAGAAACCTTTCCCAAAGCAAAGGATGTAAGCCCACACCGAGAATTATTAGAAAGAATAATATTCTCCCACACTGAGAATTATTAGAAAGAAAGAAAGAAAAACTAGAAAGAAGGACAAAGGCATTCCAGCATGCTTCCTGTGACAGATTGAGCCAGTCTTTGTAACCTCAGATTCACAAGGACATTGCAAAGAATTTCCTGTTGCGCTCACCAAAATTGGCTGGCCCTTGTGCCAGAGTCCCACTGACATCCAGAAAACTATTGCCCATCTTCTCTGGGCTGTGCAAGGATTAGTGTCATAATAGATCATCACAGCCAAATGTTATTATACAAAGCAGAAAGCTGCAAGAAATGGATCTTCATTCATTGAATTTGCATGTTTGGTGGGGACTGCTTCAGACTTCCTTTATCTCGTGATCAGTCGTGTGTGTTGATCCTCTTTGCAAGTTGTTGTGAGAACTGGGTGCAGCAAAAGCTGCCACTTCAAGAGACCAAAGGGATGAAAAAGTGCATCAATTTGCATAAAGAACTCAGATAATTTCTAGGTAGAAAGCAGGTCAGAGAGGCTCTAGACCTAGGACTCTCGTGTTGGATTGCTTAGTTTCAAATCGTGCTTATGTCACTTACATGCATGCAATCTGGATAAGACATTTAATATCTCCCCAAGCCTCAGTGTTCTCATCTGTAAAATTAGATGATGTGGTGATGATGAAAGAACATATATAGGCTGGATGCAGTGGCTCATGCCTGTAATTCCGGCATTTTAGGAGGATGGGGTGGGCGGGGCACTTGGGGTCAGGAGTTGAGAACCAGTCCGGCCAACATGGTGAAACCTTGCCTCTAAAGAAAATACAAAAATGAGCCAGGCCTGGTTGTGGGCACCTGTAGTCCCAGCTACTTGGGAGGCTGAGACAGGAGAATTGCTTGAACCCGGGAGACGGAGGTTGCTGTGAGCCAAGATCATACCACTGCACTGCAGCCTGGACAATAGAGCAAGACTCTGTCTCAAGAAAACCCCCAAAAAACAAAAAAAACAAAAATAATATATATAAAACATATATATTATATAATATATAAAAAACATATATAATATAATATATAAAACATACATTATTTAATATATTCTGTAATATCTTTTTAATAACATATTGTATATTACATAACTTGTTATATAACACGTTATATAATATATAATATGTTATATTATATAACACGTTATATAATATATAATTTGTTATATATGTTATATAACATATAAACTATGTATTATATATAATATATGTTTTATATAATATATAATAATTATAATTTATATAATATATGACATTATATATTATATATAACTTATATATTTATGTATGATAAAATATATGGTATATGAAATATACATAATTATATATTATATGATATAATTATATAATATATCATATATGTATTATGTATATTTCATATACATTATATTTTATTATATAAACATAAGTATATATTATACTATGTAATAGTATAATTATACAATGTATAATTATATATTATATGTAATAGTATAATATATAATATACAATGTATAATTATATATTATGATATGTATGACATACATATCTAACATATATTATAACATGTATGTTATATATAACACATATAGCATCCAGATACCATGTATAGCATGTGTACATGCATATATATTTATGTTATTCAACATGGGTCCAGGAATGGAGTAAGAGATCAACAAATACAGTCATTAAAATCAGTGATTCCTCATTCTTCTCCCAGCTCCTTCTTTATGAGATTTTGAAATCCATATGGATGGATAAAAATATCCCCAAATGATGCCTAATGTTGCAGGGAAGGAAAATGAAACTCTGGAAATAAAATTAGTTCAAGGAGAAGGAGCATCTCCGCTGTTGACCCGGCTTAACACTAGACTAAGAATAGATTGCAATGGCCCCAACCTCAGGTATGCCGGATAAGTCCCTGAAGGCCCTAGAGGGGAACCTGAGAAGGGTTTGAATGTTTGCATGTGTGTTCGACAAGCTGGTACCTGGTAGCTGAGATGTAGAGGAGAATCATTGTGCCCTATGTAGAGACTGGACTATGTGGACTTTTTCATAGCTGTAGACAAAGACACGCTGACAGTACCAGACTGGTTTTCAACCTAATGGCAGCCTCGGGGACAAGGGAAGGTGAAAATGGGGCTGCCTATGAATGGATCCGACTCCTCAGGTTTCCATCAGCCTGAAGTTTGGAAGTGATCTTTGGATTAACTGAGTCGGCAGAGTGTTGGACCACGAGAAGGCAGATGTGGAGTGAGATACTGGACTTCTTGGCTCCTGTGAGCAAAGAGGATGGGCATGAGATTAAATGGAAAAGTAAGAGACGTGACAGTTTCCCAGGTTAATAACATGAGTAATGCCAGTTACATGCATGGGAGCTCATTTAACAACTCTTCAGGGTTGTGTTACTACCCAAACCCTTTATGATGCTGAGCACGCACTGCAGACACTGATTCCTGCCTGCCCCTCCACTCTGTTTCCTGGTTACCTGCTTACCTTCTGCCTGATTCATTTTGATCTAGACACACTGGCTTCCATTCTTTTCCATGAACAAGCCAAGCTCCTTCCCACCTCTGGGCCTTTGCACATGCAGTTTCCTCCACCTGGAATGCTGCTCCCAGATCTTTTTACAACACATTTCCTCTCATCTGTTGAGCCTCACCTTACACGTTACCCTTTCAGAAAGATTTTCCCGTTCATGTCCTCTCCGCTACATTATTCTCCCTCCCATCACCCTCTCTAACATCATAGTCCTCACCATTCCCGAAATGATCTTTGTTACTTACTGGGTGGCATGTTTAGAGGCTGCTTTCCCCACTGGCTCTGTGACAGTGACTTTGTCATGGTAACTCAACATTCTGTTTCCTATGGCCTGAAGATTGCTGGGTATATACTAAGTGCTCCATGAGTATTTGTTGGAAGATTCAATGAATCATATCTTACCAATGCAATATTGGAAGCCTAGAGAAATGAAATAACGTTTTCACAATTGCACAGAGTAACAGATGCTTTCAGTGCTTCCCTTGTATCTTCTAACCCTTTACCTCTTAAGCATCCACTGACCCATCCAAATGTAGTTGCATTCTCTTTCTGAGGACTTTTTCTTTTTCTTTTCTTTTTTTTTTTTGAGATGGAGTCTCACTCTGTCGCCCAGGCTGAAGTGCAGTGGCTTGATCTCAGCTCCCACCTCCCAGGTTCAAGCAATTCTCCTGCCTCAGCCTCCTGAGTAGCTGGAATTACAGGCATGCACCACCATGCCCAGCTATTTTTTTTTTTTTTTTTTTTTGAGACGGAGTCTCGCTCTGTCGCCCAGGCTGGAGTGCAGTGGCGCGATCTCGGCTCACTGCAAGCTCCGCCTCCCGGGTTCACGCCATTCTCCTGCCTCAGCCTCCCGAGTAGCTGGGACTACAGGCGCCCGCCACTACGCCCGGCTAATTTTTTGTATTTTTAGTAGAGACGGGGTTTCACCGTGTTAGCCAGGATGGTCTCGATCTCCTGACCTCCTGATCCGCCCACCTCGGCCTCCCAAAGTGCTGGGATTACAGGCGTGAGCCACCATGCCTGGCCCTCTTTCTGAGGTCTTTTTCTGGTTGTACTGTCTTTGCCCACCCGTATGATGGCTTGGAAGTCTTGGAGGAATCAACACCTGCCCTGGGAGCATCCCTCCACCAGGAACTGATGAGAGTTGGTGTATGTGGATAAGTACCCCATCTCCCTCACCCCTTAGGTCAGATAACTATGAAGCAAGAGCTGGTATGTGCATCTTTCCCCAAGTCCTTGTTCAGGGACAAGGTAGTGTGAAATCAGCCATGGTGGGAGGATTTACACCATGGATATGGGCAGACACTACAAATCTGGGCTTTTAATATTTTTCTGCAGTGTTGGTTGTTAAACATCTACCAGCACATTGCTAGAGATGTTCTACACTGTATCCTAGAGTTTTCCAGCAAGTTTTCCAGCAAGTTTTCCAGTTATTGTCCCAAGTAGTAACTTGTTTTATAATATGCCCTTTACTGGCTGCCTCCCTGACCTATTTCATTTCCTGTGTCATGTTTCATTTACCTCCCACATAGATGACTTACTCTTGGAGTCTTGTCTCAGGGTCTGATTCTTGGGAAACCCCAATGAAGGCATACAACTAGTATGCGATAAAACCAGCATTTAAACCTAGGAAGGTCTGACTCCAAATCCACGTGTATTTTACTAATACTCCACTGCCTCTTGTGTCTGACCTGTTCTTTGCCAATCCACTGTGACAGGAGTCCTTTAAGGAGTGAGACAAATGCATTATATTGATGAAAGTAGCTTGCAATTAAGAAGTTAGCTTTCTAGGCCAGGCACAGGGGCTCAAGCCTATAATCCCACCATGATTGGGAGGCCAGGGCAGGAGGATCACTTGAGGTCAGGAGTTCAAGACCAGCCTGGTCAACATGGTGAAACCCCATCTCTACTACAATTATAAAAATTAGCTGGGCATGGTGACGCACACCTGTAATCACAGCTACTTGAGAGGCTGAGGCAGGAGCATCACTTGAATTCAGGAGGCAGAGGTTGCAGTGAGCCGGGATCACACCACTGTACTCCAGCCTGGGTGATAGAGTGAGACTCCATCGCAAAAAAAAAAAAAAAAAAAAAAAAAAAAAGAAGTTACGTTTCTTATGATAAGGGATGGGTTAACTAGATAAAACATGTGGAAATCTAATTTAGTTAGTAAATTATTTTTTATTTCAAAAACACTTTTAAAACATAGACATGTTTTCCATAAAACATGTAGGCACCAAGACAGATTTGATTGCTCTCTTGCGAATGATCAGCAGCAGGCTTCCATTTCATGCTTGTTATAATTTACTGTTTATAGTTCCTAACTCTCTGCTTACACGCTGGTTTGAATATTCAAGGGTCTCACCAAGTGGTGAGGCACTGGACGCAATGATGATGTTGGGTGCAAATGAATAGGGCTTCAGCTGGAAAGGGGCAAGGGGCAGACTGGAAAGAGCTTAGGCTTTAGACCTCTGTACTGGTCAGGACACTTTGGTTCACAAGGGAGAGAAACTCAGTGCAAGCTAGCCTAGGCAGAAAAGAAAAAAGAACTTAATGCCTGGGGAAATTGGAAGGTTGAAGGATGTGGCATTAGCTTCAGGTATGGCTCGATCAAGGATTACTCGCTAATAAAGCCTCTCTCCTTCACTAGAATAGAAGCTCTGTAAAGACAGGCACCTTGTCTGCCCTATTCATAGCTGCATCCTCCATCATATAGAATAATGCCTGGCACACAGTGATAATAAAAATTATAGAGCATGTCATATGGGCATGCCACTGTTCTTAGTTTATCCACTTAACCCAATGAGGTAGGCAATTATTAATTATAATCCCCATTTTTCTGGATGGAGAAACCAAGGCACTGAGAAGTCATTTAGCTGATAAGCAGGGTAACTGGGATTTGAACCTAGGACCTCTTGCTCCAGAGTCTGTGCTCATAACCATGCTGCCATATTAACTCAGTAAGTAGTTGTTGATTGAGTGAATGAATAACTGACTAATGATGAAACTTGCCAGACACAGAGTATTCAGTAACTAGGAGTGCTGACATTTATTTGAGTGGCCTCTGTTTTCTGTGTCCCATTAGCTTTGGGTGCTGGTGTCTTCATCTGCAGGATTCCATATATTTAGCCCAGATCAATGGAGTGCTGGAGGGTCAGGATGAGTCGTGTTCAAGAAAATAAGGTTGGAGTTATTTCTAGAATTTTTTTTTTTTTTTTTTTTTGAGACAGAGTCTCGCTCTGTCGCCCAGGCTGGAGTGCAATGGTGTGATCTCGGCTCACTGCAACCTCTGCCTCCCAGGTTCAAGTGATTCTCATGCCTCAGCCTCCCAAGTAGCTGGGATTACAGGTACCCACCACCATGCTTGGCTAATTTTTGTATTTTTAGTAGAGATGGGGTTTCTCCATGTTGACCAGGCTGGTGTCGAACTCCTGACCTCAAGTGATCCACTGGCCTTGGCCTCCCAATGTGCTGGGATTACAGGTGTGAGACACCACACCCAGCCTGAAATTTTGTTTTAAGTTCCTGAGATCCAGGGGTTGTTTGTTACTGCAGCATAGTCTAACACATCCTGTGTAGAAGCCCTTACTTACTTAGGATGTGTCATTGAGTTCAGAGAGAGGCAGTAGAGGAAAGGGCCCAGACTTTAAAATCAGAGAGATGAAATTCCAACTCTCCACTCACTAGCTGTGTGACCTTGGGTAAGTTCCTTAACCTCTCTGAGCCTCACTCTGCATTCTCACTAGTGAAATTACAACTGTAATTGCTACTCCATGAAATTGCTTTGACTACTAAAATAGGAAACCCTGTCAAGGGTATAACATAGTAGGTGTTGATGAATGTTGGCTATTACTTTTGCTATTATGTAGCAAAGCATAGATTACTTTGACTATTTTGAAAAAACCTGTTGCTATCAATTAAGGATAGAGTGGCTAAATTAAGTAAATTCTGTAAGCAAACAAGGATGGATCTTTAATTCTCCTCCACTTTCGATTTATGGCTGAAGATTTGACAGTTATCTGAAGTCTGACTAGCTTGAAAACCAAGACATCTGTGATTAGACTTACCTTTTGTTCTTCCCATTAGTGTAATTCATTGTTTTAGGACATCTCTGCTAACCCACTCCCCCAATATCCATCTAGCTTGGAGCCTTTATGGCCCTCATAAGGACCCGGCTTCCCCCTTGGTCTTTAAAATTAGACAACAGATGTTCATAATCGAACCTGTCTTGGTTCCAGAAAGTCTGAGATGTTCAGAAATAATCAGAACGTCTCTATAAATATCATAAAGGATATATCATTTTGGCAGAACCAGATCCAGTTTTTGTGGGGACTGAAGCTTTTATAATATGGGGATCTCTGTTTAAGAAAAAGAATACAAAATTATGAATTTAAAATTAGGCACAAAAGAGAATGTTATTTTGGAATGAGAAATTAAGTATAATATTCCTGTAGCTGCCTGGACATGGTAGCTCATGCCTGTAATCCCAGCTTTTTGAGACGCCAAGGTAGGAGGATTTCTTGAGCCCAGGAGTTCAAGACCAGCCTAAGCAACATGGCAAGACCCCCATCTCTACAAAAAAAAAAAATTCAAAAAATTAGCCAGGTGTGGTGGTGTGTGCCTGTAGTCCCAGCTACTCAGGAGGCCGAGGTGGGAGGATCGCTTGAGCCAGGGAGTTAGAGGCTGCAGTGAGCGATGATCTTGCCACCACACTCCAGCCTCCAGCCTGGGGGTAACAGAGTGAGATGTTGTCTCAAAAAAATAAAAAGAGAAAATTCTGGAGCCTTTAGCTATTTCCATTCCATTCTTCTGGGATCTGTGTAGGCAATTAATCAGAAATGTGAACATAGAGGTGCTTCATTATTGAAACCCAGCTTTCCCTTCTCACCTAAAGCCTTCCCCAAGTCCAGCATTTAAAGAGACAGGTACAAGGAAAAGACCCTGAAGCCCAAGCCTCATTAGCTTCAGGTAAATTCACCTCCGCTCTCTGGAGAAGCAGACAACAGAGGCCTCTTGTGAATATTGAGGAGAAGGTTGTATGTGTGTTCATGTGCGTGAGATCCAAGTGGAGAGCATGGAAACCTAGCTCAATTTTCCCTTGAGGTGAGCTTGAAGCTTTGGGTATCTTCCTCTCAGAGAATGTAAACCCATTTTTCCAACATTGTTGTAAAATATTCTGTTCCCACCTTTCCCACAATCAGCTTGCCTGACCCCACCACAGGGTGTGTCATCTTGTGCTTCTGGCACACACACACACACACACACACACACACACACACACACACACTCAGAGCCCTGCCATCTGAAGGCAGCCAGCTCCAGAAAGGCCAACCCTTAGCTGTAACTCAGCATAGCACTGTTCATGATCTTTGGTTTCCATTTCTAGGCTGGTTTCCTTTTTTGTTTTGTTTTTTCCTTTGCCAAGACTGTAGTTGAAATAGGATAAAGGATTTATTTTTCCATAACAAGGTAGGAGAAAGGGTGCTAGGTTACAAGCACCCTGTCAATATCAGAGTTGGAAGCTTCTTCCTACCATCAGGTGTGTGTTGTGAAAGGAACGAGGGGTTCAGGCAAGTATTTCCCAGCAGGTGGGAAGGGGTCTTGATGGGATGGAAACTAGGAAAACAAACCAGATTCCCTGAGGGAAAATCAACTGTTCCTGAACTGTTATCAGTGTGGGAGTAGGGTTCACGGATTTCATATTCTAAACATGTTTGTGTGTGGTGTGTGCACACACACCTACTATGTGGCAGAGCCTGTCATAAGTGGTGATGGATTCCTGTAGATATAGTTTGCTGGAGCTGCCATAACAAAGTACTACAGACTGGGTGGCTTAAATGACAGAGATTAATTTTCTCACAATTCTGGAGGCTGGAAGTCTGAGATCAGGGTGTCAGCAGGGTTGGTTCCTCCAAAGACCTCCTCTTGGCTTGCAGATGGTCGATTCTGGTGTGTCCTCAGATGGTCTTTCCTCTGTGCCTGTCCATCCCTGGTGTCTCTCTGTGTGTCCTAATCTCCTCTTCCTATAACAACATGAGTCTGGTTGGATTAGAGCTCACCCTAAATGAGCTAAATAGGTTTAAACTTAATCACCTATTTCAAGCCCCTATCTCCAAATACAGTGACAGTCTGAGGTGCTAGGGGGTTAGGGCTTCAAGATATGATCCATATGGTTGAAGGGCTTCAAATTCATATATATATATATATATATATATATATATATATATATATATATATATATATAGAGAGAGAGAGAGAGAGAGAGAGAGAGAGAGAGAGAGAGAGAGACAGTCTCGTTCTGTCGCCTAGGCTGGAGTGCAGTGGTGCGATCTTGGCTCACTGCCACTTCCACCTCCCAGGTTCAAGTGATTCTCCTATCCTGGCCTCCCAAGTAGCTGGGATGATAGGCATGCGTCACCACACCTGGCTAATTTTTGTATTTTTAGTAGAGATGGGGTTTCGCCATGTTGGCCAGGCTGGTCTCAAACTGCTGACCTAAGATGATCTGCCCACCTCGGCCTCCCAGAGTACTGGGATTACAGGCATGAGCCACTGTGCCTGGCCTCAAATTCATATTTGAACATTTATTCAAATTTGAATTTTAGGGGGACATAATTCAGCCTGTAGCACTGTCAACCTAAAAGGAAGAAGCTGAGGCAAAATTAATATAAGTAAAGACTCTGTTTGGGCCAAGCTTGAGGACTGTAGCCAGGGAGCGTAGATTCAAGTTTCCCTGAATATACACTCCAATTAGCAGCAGTTACAAGTGGATTTATAAAGGCAAAAAAGGGGGACATGGAGTGGGCTGGTACACAGTTGGTTGCCAGGAATTCTCACTGGTTTTCAGAAATAACATTGACGAGTGATTGGCTATACATTGTTAAGCTATGAGGTGTGGGTTATAGCATCCAGTGGGGCATTATTAGATTAATTTATAGCTACTTGTGGCAATGGCAAGCAGTTTTAAGAAATGAATACCGAGCTCAAAGGGGGTATGTAGGACATGATTGCTATCTCGTTCTATTGCCTCTCTGGGCCTAATAATTTAAAAGGCTTGTATTCCTCAGATGAAAGTTCTGTTCTTTTCTCAGCACCTTGAATGGCTGGAGAGAGCACCACCCCATCCTTGACCATGCTGAGTGCTGGCTGGACTTCAACTGGGCCAGTACTCCCTTTTCCCTTGTGGAAGGTCCCCTGATTAATGCTTACCTGAACGCCTGCTCTTCCTTCAGTCCCCAGTTCTCTGCATTCCCCAGCACTGGGAACAGAGACAGCATGTCTGTGTTATACAATAGGGAAGAGTATGGGCTCTGGCTTTAAACTTTGACTCTGCCCCCTTGTTAGCCCAGCGACTGTGAGCAAGTCATTTCACTTCACCCAACTTGTTTTCCTTTTTGTACATTGGAGGTTACTAAAAGCACCTTACCTGTCCAATTGTAGAGAGGATTAGGTGTATTAATGGGCATGGCACAGTAAACACTCACAAAATGCTAGCTACTATTAATTGTCAAGATTATGTTGGTTGCAAGGAGCAGAAACTCATATGGAAGTCATTTAGGCAATAAAAGGGGATAATTTATTGACTCTCATAACCAAATCCAGGAAGGTAGGAGAGCAGTTGAGTGGCAGGGGCAACTGGAAAGAGACCATTCCCCATGTCTGTCTGTCTTTCATATCTTTTTTATTTTTATATATGTATTTTTTTACCATGGTGGGTTTTTTTTGTTTCTTTTCTTTTTTTGGTTGTTTTTTCCATCCTTGGCTAGAACCATGGCTGCCAACAAGCTTCTCTGTTTCATAATGGGAGACCTTCTCATGTGGTTATGATGTGAAAAAAATCCCAGGGAAGGACTCTGATTGGTTCAGCTCAGGTCACATAGCCACCCACGTGGCCAGGTCAGGGGCTGGGGTGCTTAGGTGGGGCAGTGGGTTCTGGGTAGATAAAAATAATTAATGCCTTCTGCCTTATCTAAATGTTCTTTGTACTATGCCTGGCACTTGGTAGAAATTAAACAAATTCCCCTTTTTCCCTTTCTGTTTGACCCTCATGTCTACTTTTTATTACATAAAAGAGTAATCCAGAAAAGAAAGTCAGCTCATTGGAGACACTGGGTAGGGAGAAAAAGCTTTTTATAGAATATTAGGTAGGTGTAGTGGCTTAGGATGGTAAGAGCTCTGCACGAAAGGAAGACATTACAGTCTAAGGCCACCTGAGAGATCTGAGTCAAGCAGCTCTATCCCTTCCTGAGGACAAAAGAGATTTCAGGCAATGACTCATATTTGTTTGGAGAGCTAATTGACAAGACATATTAAGAGTTTTAGCAATTGTTCATGCTTTTTGATCCAACAAATTCACTTCTAGAGTGTCAAGAACTGTGCTGGTCTAAGATATTATCCTACATGGAGGCTAGTGAGTTTTATGGATGTGGGCAGAAGACATGAGACTCTGGATTGAGAGATAAAGGACTTTATTTTTCATGGCACAACAGGAAGCTTGAGCTTCATGTCTGCACCAGTTCCCTTTGACCCCCAAGTCCCTCAAGGGTGACACAGGTTGACATGGTTTGGCTGTGTCCCCACCCAAATCTCATCTTGAATTGTAGTTCCCACAATCCCCATGTGTCATGGAAGGGACCCAGTGGGAGGTAATTTAATCATGGGGGCAGTTATCTTCATGCTGTTCTTATGATAGTGAATGAGTTCTCACAAAATCTGATGGTTTTATACGGGGCTTTTTCTTCTTTTGCTCATTCTTCCCCTTTCTGCCGCCATGTGAAGAAGGACATGTTTGCTTTCCCTTCTGCCATGATTGTAAGTTTCCCGAGGCCTCCCTGAGTCAATTAAATCTCTTTCCTTTATAAATTACTCAGTCTAGGGTATGTTTTTTGTTTGTTTGTTTTTTTGTTTTTTTTGAGACAGAGTTTCACTCTTGTCGCCCAGGCTGGAGTGCAATGGCAGGATCTCAGCTCACCCCAACCTCTGCCTCCCAAGTTCAAGCAATTGTCCTGCCTCAGCCTCCTGAGTAGCTGGGATTACAGGCATGTACCACCACACCCAGCTAATTTTGTATATTTAGTACAGATGGGATTTCTCCATGTTGGTCAGGCTGGTCTTGAACTCCTGACCTCAGGTGATCTGCCCACCTCAGCATCCCAAAGTGCTGAGATTACAGCCATGCCTAGCCTTTTTTTTTTCTTTTTTTGAGACAGAATCTCACTCTGTCGCCCAGGCTGGAGTGCAGTGGCGCATTCTTGGCTCACTGCAACCTCCACCTCCCGGGTTCAAGCGATTCTCCCACCTCAGCCTCCTGAGTAGCTAGGATTATAGGTGTGCACCACAATGCCTGGCTAATTTTTTGTATTTTAGTAGAGATGAGGTTTCACCATGTTGCCCAGGCTGGTCTCAAACTCCTGAGCTCAGGCAATCTGCCCACCTCGGCCTCCCAAGGTGTTAGGATTACAGGTGTGAGACACCACATCCAGCCTTGGGTATGTTTTTATTAGCAGTGTGAGAAATGAGTAATACACGGATGGATCCAGGTAGAATCTGTGCCTGCAGTGGATTTGCATCACACCTGAGGAACCCCAAGTTTAGGAATCTTGGTCTTTTCAACCTTTACCCTGGATGGAGGGAGACATTGTCATTATAATCCTTTCTTTTTCTTTTTCTTCTTCTTTTTTTGTTTTTTGTTTTTTTTGAGGTAGAGTCTTGCTCTGTCACACCCATGTTGGAGTGCAGTGGTATGATCTTAGCTCATTGCAACCCCTGCCTCTTGGGTTCAAGCAATTCTCCCACCTGTCTCCCAAGTAGCTGGGATTACAGGCACCCACCACCACACCCAGCTAATTTTTTAAGTGTTTGTAGTAGAGACGGGGGTTTCACCATATTAGCCAGGCTGGTCTCGAACTCCCAACCTCAGGTCATCTGCCTGCCTCAGCCTCACAAATTGGTGGGATTACAGGCATGAGCCACTGCGCCTGGTCCGGAGATATTATTATTATAATCCTAATCAGCAAATAAATCTGTCTTCTACTATATTAGCCCTATCTTCCAATGCTATTAGCTATACAAACATCCTTATAAAGACGGTCTAGAACAAATGCTGACACAAGATGTGCAGAAATGTAAGAGACACATGGGGAATTGTTGCACAGCATAGAGAATCTTTCCTAAGGAAACTACATCTGAAACACACACAGAAAATGTATGCTTAAAGCAACAATAGTTCAGCATTAGGGGAAGAGGTTAAACAGACTGTTGTTGGGATATTCTTCTGTTTCTAAACATGTTTCTGAAGATCTTGGAATGGGAAGTGTAAACGTTCAACTTAAAATGTAAAGTGGAACAAAAAGCTGCAAAACTTGAATGTATGTTTTTATTAACTACGTAGAGACATCTATTCTAGGACAACCTGAGGGGAGACTTGCTAAGATGTTCATAGTCCTCCTCTGGGCAGTGAGTCTAGGATCCACTGTTTTTCTTCATTTGGAATGTTCATAGTCTTTCTCTGGGCAATGAGTCTAGGATCCACTGTTTTTCTTCATTTGGAATGTTCATAGTCCTCCTCTGGGCAGTGAGTCTAGGATCCACTGTTTTTCTTCATTTGGAATGTTCATAGTCTTTCTCTGGGCAATGAGTCTAGAATCCACTGTTTTTCTTCATTTGGAATGTTCATAGTCCTCCTCTGGGCAATGAGTCTAGGAGCCACTGTTTTTCTTCATTTGGAATGTTCATAGTCTTCCTCTGGGCAATGAGTCTAGGAGCCACTGTTTTTCTTCATTTGGAATGTTCATAGTCTTCCTCTGGGCAATGAGTCTAGGAGCCACTGTTTTTCTTCATGTGGAATATTCATAGTCCTCCTCTGGGCAATGAGTCTAGGAGCCACTGTTTTTCTTCATGTGGAATGTTAATAGTCTTCCTCTGGGCAATGAGTCTAGGAGCCACTGTTTTTCTTCATTTGGAATGTTCATAGTCTTCCTCTGGGCAATGAGTCTAGGAGCCACTGTTTTTCTTCATTTGGAATGTTCATAGTCTTCCTCTGGGCAATGAGTCTAGGAGCCACTGTTTTTCTTCATGTGGAATGTTCATAGTCCTCCTCTGGGCAATGAGTCTAGGATCCACTGTTTTTCTTCATGTGGAATTTTTTTTTTCAGTTTTTCTATAATGAACATGTATTACTTTTATAATAGAAAATAACAAGATAAATTATTTCTGAAAGCAGTGCCCAGCATCCAGAATTTGGCAAAAACAGGAGAAGAAAGCATAAAACAAGCAGGGAAAAAGGTTTTCAGTTAAATTAGATGTCCAATTAAGAGATCAGCTTGGCTGCAAAATATCTTTTTGACAGACAATTAGTTCTGGGCAAGTCAAATGTTTCAACAGTGCGTTCTTCTGGGGCAATTAAAGTAATTCATACTTGACGTGCGGAAATGTGGTAATTGGGAAAGTTCCCCAAATGGCAGTTGAAACTGGGCTGGTTGTGTTTGGAGAAGTTAAGTCATGCCCTTGACAAGCCATCTATCTGAGTCTACTGAAGAGGGCTTGGGCTGGGTGATTTTAAGATGGAATTTTCCACTGGGCATAGGAAGTGATGTTGGGAATGGAATAGAAGGGTCAACAGTGACAACATTAACAGCATTTATTGTAATATAAATACAGTTGGCCCTTGAACAACATGGATTTGAACCACATGGGTCCACTTATACATGGATTTTTTTCTGTTTTTGCCACCTCTGAGACGGCAAAACCAATTCCTCCTCTTCCTCCTCTTCCTCAGTCTCCTCAATGTGAAGACAATGAGGATGAAGACGTTTATGATGATCCACTTCCACTTAATGAATAACAAATACATTTTCTCTTCCTTATGATTTTCTTAATCATATATTGTTTTCTCTGGCTTATTTTATTGTAAGAATACAGTGTATAATCATCTAAAATACAACATATGTGTCTATTGTTTGTGTTATTGGTAAGACTTCTGGTCAACAATAGGCTATTAGTAGCTACGTTTTGGGGGAGTCAAAAGTTATAGGTGGATTTCCAACTGTGAGGGGGTTGGCATCACAATCATTCATGGGTCAAACATTGTGTCAATAACAATCATACCACACATATTTTGAGTGCCACATGTTGCACTAAGCACTTATGTATCTATTAATTTCTACAACTATCCCGTGCAATAGATATGATTGGAGTTTCCGTCTTACTGATAAGGAAACTGAGGGCCAGAGAGGTCAATTGAGTTGTCCAAGGTCACACAGCCAGTTAGTAATGGAGCTGGAATCTGAATCCATGCAATCTGACCCTTGTTCAATGCTCCTAGACTTATGTGCTGGATTTTTTTTTTTTTTTTTGAAATAACAATGTTTTATACCTCTATCTTTACTTTCCTAGATAAGGGCATCTGATTTCCCTCCATGGCAAGCAAGTTATGTTGTATTTGCTACATTTGAGAGGGAAAAAAGCTGAAGTTCAGAACGGATTAGAAATTTCCCAAGGCCACACAGTGAAAGAATAGAAAGTTTCCTTTTTTAAATGGCGGAGCTTTTATATCAATGCTGTTTGTAAATTTTAGTTGGCAATGTCTGTTATATTCCATGAAACTGAATGAGAGGTGAGGTGGTATATTAGCCAAAACTCTCTCAGCTACATCTTGCTATTGTTCCATGCAACTTCAAAGCCCACAGATAGACTGGACTTCAAGTATGGCTGGATCCAGATGCTTAAATGATATGCTTTGAAATCTGTCTGATCTCTACTTCTCAGCTCTCTTTTCATCCATGTTGGCTTCATTATCAGGCCCTTTTCTTATGCCATCAGCAGCTGCTGACTTACCTCCTACCAGCTTAGTAATCCCAGGGGAAAATGAACTTACCTTTGCCAAAAGCACTGGCATAAGAAGCTGACTCTCATTGCATTGTAAGAGTCAGGTGCCCATCTCTGAACGAATTATTGTGGCTAAGGAAGTAGAAGAGGGTGATTAGTCAGTCCTGATCATGTGCTCAGCCCTAGCTTTAGAAGATGGTGCTATCCAAACTCCATGAATGAACAGTGAAGGAAGGACCATTGTTCAAAAGTAAGTGGAAATGCTGTTTCCAGGAAAGCAGAATGGGAGGAGGAAGCAGGGGGAGGGGGAAGGGATTCAACGGGTGGGAGCTGGAATGGAATTAGCCCTAAATAGTTGGAGTTTGGAGGGTGTAAGTAAGTGTGAGCTGAATGCCGAAAGCAGAGTTTGCAAGATGGTGTGTCAGCCCAGTTCTGAGAAACAAACTCCCATACAGGATTACACATATGTGATTTTTATTAAGGGAAATGCCCTTGAGAGAAAGCAAAGAAGGTGCCACATAAAGCTGGGAGAACCTGAGACAGTAATGCAAGTCTGACTCTGAGTAAAAGAGAGAGGAGAAAAAAGTTAGGGTGCGAACACCATAGGGAAGTCCCTAAGCCAAAGCCGGGGACAGGGGAATCCTGTGTCTCCCGGGGAGGGGTCTGCTTTAGTGTCCCTGCCATGCTCAGTCATTAGCCAGGAGCACCTCATGGAAGGAAGCATATGGATTCCCCAGCGCAGCAGCTGGGGCCCTGGTTAATTACACTCCCAGTAGAGGCAGGTCGATGAGGCCCATTCTCAGGGCCACCACGTGGTGAGCCATGCAGCACTGGCCTGGCAGAACATTTGTCTGGGTTCATACAGTATTTACATTAAAAAAAATCAGGGCTGGGTGCTGTGGCTCACACCTGTAACCCCAGCATTCTGGGAGGCCAAGGCAGGCAGATCACTTGAGATTAGGAGCTGGAGACCAGCGTGGCCAACAAGGGGGAAACCTCATCTCTACTAAAAATACAAAAATTAGCTGGGTATGGTGGTGCACCCCTGTAATCCCAGCTACTTAGGAGGCTGAGGCAGGAGAATTTCTTGAATGTGGGAGGAGGAGGCTGCAGTGAGCTGAGATCATGCCACTGCACTCCAGCCTGGGCAACAGAGTGAGACTCTTGTCTCAAAAAAAAAAAAAAAAAAATCAGTCGCCAGCATTCAACAAACTGTGTATTTTACATCTTTAAAAACCCCTGGATTTCCTGCTTCTCTTTAAAAAATAGTGGCAGTTTGGCAACATTGGGAGTCCATTCCACAAATCTTGCAAAATTGAGTCCTCGCTGCCTCCTTAGATAGGGTGTGTGCTCTCTAGTTTGCCACAGTCTCCACCAGACCCAGTTGCCCTAATCTGTACTCTTCACTCATTTGTGTTACTTGTCTGCCCATGTGTGCATTTAAGTTTGCAACCCTTGCCTTAAATTCATCTGAGAAACAAACTATGGCAGTCAGGTTCAGCCATAGAATCTAATGGGAAGGAGCAAAGCTGGAGATTGAGCGACTAAGCTAGAGGTTGATAAAGCAGGAATAGAGCAGGTAGCTGGAGTCTGAGCAGACAGACTTCAGGGCTTGTCTGCCTTCCTAAGAGCTCCTTTGCTGGCTGGGTGAAGTCACTGAGAACCTAAGCAGAGGGTGTCAGTTCTAGCCTTCCTGGAGAAATCTTAGTTGAGATGGATGTTTAGAGCTGGTGGACACTGCCTTTGTGTCAAGCCAGTCTAGGAGTCACAGCAATATTTGGACACTGGTTGAAAGTTGTTTCATCCCATCCCACTTGCTCAGCAATTTGGACAAGTGTGGGTTTAGGTTATTTTAATTGGTTAATACCCTTTTGTTTAGGTGCTCTCCTTTCCTCTTCCACATGGTTCAGTAAGGCTGCCAATTCTAGAGCTCTTTCTTCTCCTATGAAAGTCATGGATGTCTTAGGCTGGGTTTTCCCAGAGGCAGATCCTGTGATGAGGATTTCCATGTAATGGTTTATTTGTAGGGTGACTCTGGGAAGCACCAGTAGGAGAATGGGAGTGTATTAGTCAGGGTTCTTTAGAGAAGTAGAACCAATAGAATAGCACACACACATACACACACACATATGCATATACATATACACACACACACACACACACACATATATAAGCATATGGGGAATCCATATGCTTCCTTCCATGAGGTGCTCCTGGCTAATGACTGAGCATGGCAGGGACACTAAAGCAGACCTCTCCCAAGGAGACACAGGATTCCCCTGTCCCCAGCTTTGGCTTAGAGACTTCTCTATGGTCCATATATATATATATATATATATGTGTGTGTGTGTGTGTGTGTGTGTGTGTGTATATACACACATGTATATGTACACACACACACACACACACATATATGTGTGTGTATGTGTGTATATATATATACACATACATATATGTATCTATATGCACTTTTATATACATACATTCACATACATATATGTATCTATATGCACTTTTATATATATGTGTGTGTGTGTGTGTATGTGTGTGTGTGTATGCAATTATGGAGGCTGACAAGTCCTAAGATCTGCAGAATGAGTCAGTAAGCTGGAGACCCAGGAGACCCAGTGGTGTAGTTCCAGTCTGAAAACCAGCAGGCTTGAGATCCAGAAAGAGCCGTGTTTCAGTTTGAGTCTAAAGGCAGGAAAATTTTGACGTTTCAGTTTGAAGGCCCTCAGGCAGGAGGAGATCTCTCTGACTCAGGCAAGGGTTGGCCTTTTGTTCTATTTAGACCTTCAACTGATTGGATGAGGACCACGCACATCTGGAGTGCAACCTGCTTTCCTCCGTCTACCGATTTAAATGTTAATCTCGTCTGAAAACACCTTCACGGGAACACCCAGAATAATGTTTTACCAATTATCTGGGCACTCAGCGTCCCAGTCAGGTTGACACATAAAATTAACCATCACAGGGCAAAATGAGACAAGGAAATCTAAACCAGAATAGAGCAAGGTAATGAGTAAGTTACTTCTATGGGCAGCCGGGGCTTGGTCCTTTTGATGGGCTTTGGTTGATGGCATGGAACACACCTCAAAGTGTCCCACCTGAGTGTTGAGAAAACTGAGATATTTATCTTTCATCACTCATCTGACATTGACCAAGGGATTCTCTCAGGGACTTTGACATCCTTGAACTTCTGGCCTGTCTTGCCGAGGCCGAGAAAAGGCCTTCAGGTGGGGAGTTGCAGGTGCTTGCAGAGGGAGGCCTTCAGCTTGTATGGGATGGGGAGGGTCCAAGGGACATGGGTGGCCATTGCCAGTGTCTGCTATGGTTGGTAAGTGGCACATATCTGGTCAAACATCAGGCTCTATCCACCCAGCAGTGTTGGACCTTGGAGTGGCACAGGCATCAGAATCTTCCCTGGGGATTAACTTATTGTGGTTCTTGAACAGAGAGGATATATATCTGGAGGTGCCAGCCTCTACTTGCCCTCCCACATGGAGAGAGATGGAGAATAAGGCTGAGCAAAGACAAACAGTGAAGAGAAATGGAGACAGAGAGAGAGAGAGAGAGAGAGAGAGAGAGCGAGAGAGAGAGAGAGAGAGAGTATACATGTACTTTGAGGCAGTGAGTCCTGTTTCTAGTCCCTGGGGCTCTGGTTCTTTTCTCTTCCTGTCTTAGTCTGTTTTTGCTGCTGTAACAAAATACCCAAGACTAGATAACTTATAAAGGACAGAAACTTATTTCTCACCGTTCTGGAGGCTGAGGAGTCCAGGATCAAGGCACAGGCACATTTTGTGTCTGGTAAGGGGCTCTGTTCCTTACTTCTAAGGTGGTGCCTTGTGTCCTCTGGAGGGCATGAATGCTGTATCCTCATATGTGGAAGGTGGAAGGGCAAAAGGGCCTAAGTTAGTTCCCTCTACCCCTTTATAAGGCATGAATTCATTCCTTAAGGGCCAAGCCCTCCTGACTGAATCACTTCCTAAAAGGCCCCACCTCTTAATACCACTGCAATAAGGATTAAGTTTCAACATGAATTTTGGAGGAGACACATTCAAACCTTAGCATTCCCTTTCCGTAAATGACCTCAGCTGGGTAAACCAGTATATTCGTTTCTTGATTAATTTAGCCAGAGTTAGATTTCTGGGCATGCAACCAAAAGCTCTTACTAACAGTTACTGTGGTGGGATAGGGATGGGGGGAAGGGAGATTGGGATTGAGAGAGAGATTGCCCTGGGCCTAAGAGCTTTCTCTCCTTATTACATCCCAGTGCCTGAGATTTAAGTTGCTAGAAGGAAGATGAGTTTATGGTGGAAATTTGTAACCGACCATTAACTAGAATGGCACAGCTAAGACCCTGTGCCTGACCAATTGTTAGGACTTAAAGAAATAGCAATAAAGAAAGAGCTTTTAGTTTTGGAGCTTAATTAGCCATTCTTTTCCTTCCTGACTTTTAGTTTTATGACTCTAGCTTCCAGGATAGAATTTTATTGTAGTCAGATACAAATTAAACCCAAACAAGGACTCTCCCGTGTTTCTGTTTCTTCAATTTAAATTTATTCTTTGTAGGGTGACACTAAGTACCACAGTATATGTCACATGTAAGAACAGTAAATTTTTAAAAAAGAGAGACAGGGCAAGCATTTATCATTGTGATCTCTTCTCTAAACATAATGGGAACTTAGGTTAATTAAAAAAAAAAGTTAATGCCGTTGTTTTTTGCCTTAAGAAAGGTAGGGTTTTTATCTGAAGTGCTCTGAGAATTGGCACTCTTAAATCTGCAATGATGAGAAATAACAGTAGCTACCATTTGTTGAAAATCTATTAGTAGTATGCTAGGTCCTTAACCTTCAGTATCTCTAATTACCCCAAGACACTTGAAGGATGGATGGTCTAAAGTTTCCATGTGTGCAAAATGATAGCTCTGAGAAGACTTAACCAATGTTTCAAAGATTTAAAAAAAAAAAAAAAAAAGGAATTGGAGCCAGTTTGCATTAAGACCTTTTGAACTCCAAAAAATCTATCTATGTGCTTCCGACTTGAAAAGGGTATGTTTTGCATGCTGGATATGGGTTTGGTGGAGGTGCTGGTGTATACACTGTATGTTTCAATGTTAGACATCGTGCTGGGTACTGCACTTAGTAGGCACCTGATCGCATTTCTGTTCGGCAAATTCAGAAAATGTGAGCGACTGAAACTTCATTAGGTTGAAGGGGAATTTACCTTTTCACTACGTCTGAGCAAAGGGTTTATTCGGTAAGGTATATTTATATTATATTATATTATATTATATTATATTATATTATATTATATTATATTATATTAGTGCCCCATGGAAATTATATTTGTTTCTCTACAGATAACAAAGATTCTTATTTCTCTCTTAAAATTCAAAATAAAGAGTCTTACTGACATCTACCATAAATCCTCTGCTGTAACCAGGTAGAGTATAAATAACTCCATAAAAAGAGAGTAATGCTGTCTTGCATTTGCACAGCACTTTACAGTTTAGAAAGTATTTGCTTGCCATGTCCCTTTCGATCCTCCTGATAGGTTTGCGGGGTAGGAAGGAGAGGTACTGTCATTTCCATCTTCCTGGTGGGAAACAAACATTTGGAGAAGTTGGGTGACTTGCCCCAAGGTGACACAATAGTGAAGGGTTCAAACCAGGACTTAGTTAGTTTGGGTGTCAGAATGGGTCAGAGTGGGTTTGTCTTAGTTAGTTTGGGCTGTGTATTAGTCTCTTCTTGCATTGTTATAAAGAAATACCTGAGACTGGGTAATTTATAAAGAAAAGAGGTTTAATTGGCTCACAGTTTTGCAGGCTGTACAGGAAGCATAGCTGAGGAAGCCTCAGGAAACTTACAATCATGGCAGAAGGTGAAAGGGAAGCTGGCATGTCCTACATGGCTGGAGTAGGAGGAAGAGAGCAAAGGGGAAAGTGCTACACACTTTTAAACAACCAGATCTTGTGAGAACTCACTCACTGTCATGAGAACAGCAAGGGGCAAGTCTGTCCCCGTGATCCAATCCCCTTCCCCCAGGCCCCTCCTCCAACACTGGGGATTACGATTCGACACGAGATTTGGGTGGGGACACAAATCCGAACCATATCAGGCTGCAAATAACAAAATAGTATAAACTGGATGGCTTAAGCAACAGAAATCTATTTCTCACAGTTTTGGAGGCTGAGAAGTGCCACAATCTGGCTGATGTAGCTCCCAGCGGACCCTCCTCCTGGCTTGCAGAAAGCTGCTTTCTCTCTGCATTCTCACATGACGGAGGAAGTGGGGGGTGGGGGGAGCGGAGGTAGAGAGGGAGGGAGGGAAGAGGAGAGACAGAGCAAGAGAGCAAGCCGTCTGGTGTCTTTTCTTGTAAGGATGCTAATTCCATCACGAAGACCTCATCCTCATGATCTCATCTAAACTAATAGTCTTCCAAAAAAGCCCACCTCCTAATACCATCATAATGGAAGTTAAGGCTTCAACATATCAATTTTGAGGGGACACAGTTCAGTCCATTGGACTTAGAGTTCACACTTCCTGGACAAGATTTTGGAATGTTGTAAAGTTTCTTCAGAAAAACAACTATTTTCCCCCAAGCATTTATAGCCCACTTTAGCAGCACTCAACTGCATGCCTCTGATCTATATGCTAATTTTGGATCCGCCTTATCTCTTAAGGAATCCAAGAGTTTGTGTGTGTGTGGATGCTCCTTGATTTGAAATCCTTATGTGCTTAGAACTAATGGCGTTGTAAAACACACTCCACAATGTACCCTTCTCTAATTCAGCCTGATTTTCTCCCATCCCTCCACGTTAGCCAGGCTCCCATGCCCCTGTTTTTGATCACGATTGATTGTCCAGCTCCAAAGCATCATCTGAACGACTTATGGTCTTTCTCCCGAGTGTTGGAGCCCAGGGTAGGCAGATGGGAGAGGGTAGGGGATTTGAACCGGGGAAAGACATTTAAATTTCCTCCTGTTCATCTTAGCTTAGGAAGTTACCTGCTGTCTGAAGGGTGTATCCCTATTTTATTATTTATTTATTTTTACAAAACCAAGGGAAACCAACAACGAACGCAAGAGGAGCTCCTCTGCCTCTGATTCCAGTAGCTGTGTTCTCAGGTTGGAGCAGCCAACCCAGAAATTGGTGGCCAGTGGCTAGGGTCAGGATGAGCAGAGTGAACGCGAGTTCTATGTCTGATTATAAAAACTGTACTTGCTCCTTATGGAGAATTTGAAATCTAGGGAAATTATAAAAATGTAAAGTGTTATCAGTCCTTTGTCAGCCATTGGGCTGGTTGGTTGGTCAGAAGTCATCACTGTTATAGACCCTCATTGCTTAATGAAAATTAATTTGTCAAGCGATTTCCTTGATGATGCTAATATTTATTGAAAGGTTACCCTAGGCTGAGTTCTGGCTAACAGCTGTATATGTGTATACTTTTATTTTCCAAGTGAAGAAACAGGCTCAGAGAGGGTAAGAACTTACTCACGGTCACACAGCAACTGAGTGGGGCGGCTAGAATTTGGGTTCAGATAGTCAGACGTTAGAGTTCAGGTTTTTCATCCCTTCAACATCTACACATTTTTCAAGAAATAACAAGATTCACTTTTGGTTTGAAGAGGAGTGCATGGGAGAGAAAGAAAAGTACCAAATGGGAAAAAGAGAGAGCAAGGAAACCAAACTCCGTTTGTGGTCATGAGCTACATTAAAAAAAAAAAAAAAAAAAAAGCCAGGCCAGGGACAATGGCTGGATTATGCCTGTAATCCTGCCACTTTGGGAGGCCAAGGCAGGAGGATCAATTGAGGTCAGAAGTTTGAGACCAGCCTGGGCAATATAGCGAGACCCCATCTCTACAATTCTTTTCTTTTTTTTCTTTTTTTGAATTAGCAAGGCGTGCTGGTGTGCACCTGTAGCCACAGCTACTGGGGAGGCTGAAGTAGGAGGATCGCTTGAGCCCAGGAGTTCAAGGCTGCAGTGAGCTATGATCCCACCACTGCACTCCAGCCTGAGCAACAGAGTGAGACTCTCTCTGAAAAAACAACAACAACAAAAACAAAAACAAAGCAAAGCTGGTGGTTTCACATGAGTGTTGCTCCTTCTGGAAAGGCATCACTGGAGTGGGTGCCATATTTTGATGCTGCTGCTGCCAATGATGAGAACATGGGCAACCTCTTTTGCCTGTAATTTTTTTTTTTTTTTTTGAGACAGTCTCGCTCTGTCGCCCAGGCTGGAGTGCAGTAGTGCATTCTCAGCTCACTGCAACCTCCACCTCCTGGGTTCAAGGGATTCTCCTGCCTCAGCCTCCCGAGTAGCTGGGATTACAGCTGCCTGCCTCCACACCCAGCTAATTTTTGTATTTTTAGTAGAGATGGGATTTTGCCATGTTGGCGAGGCTGGTCTCAAACTCCTAACCTCGTGATCCACCCGCCTCGGCCTTCCAAAGTGCTGGTATTACAGGCATGAGCCACCGTGCCCGGCCAAGAGAGACTTTTCTACACTTTGTAATTATGTTATTTTTAAACTGAAAACTGTGTTTCCTATTTCTTAGTGTTAGAAAGAAAGAGAAATCCCTCAGAACAATCAGCAGCCTGGAGCATAGTTTGAGACTCCCACTAACAGAGCCAAGAGTCTCAAACTAGGCCAACAGATACCCTTGGGGAACCCTGCTGTATCCCTGGGACATAAAAAACTACAGTACAAACATCATCATCTTCCTGGAGGATGAATAAACTTTAGTAGAGTAATAGTAACTTAAAACACATGTGGCACAAAATAGAACGCAGAGTTCACAAATACCTAAGGTAAAATAAGACTTCAAAGAAAATTTCACCTTTGCAGAGGTTATTTTGGGCTACACTCCACAGAGTATGAATTCATTCTCTTTTCCTCTCAGGGATAGTTTGTTAAGAGTTTGAAAACCACTGCTCTGGGCAAACTGCCCTCCGGAGTCACACACAAAAAATCAATCTCGTTACTAAAGATAAATTTTATTTCAATAAAAATTGTAATGAGCTTGATCACCTACCCTTTTCACCTGACTTGGCTACAAATGACTGCCAACTGTTTAAAAAAGAAAATCCAACCGACCCTCAGAGCTAATATGCTATTACTTTTAAAGATTACAGACAGGCCAGGCGTGGTGGCTCACGCCTGTAATCCCAGCACTCTGGGAGGCCAAGTTCCTATTTCTTAGTGTTAGAAAGAAAGAGAGAGAAATCCCTCAGAACAATCAGCAGCCTGGAGCATAGTTTGAGACTCCCACTAACAGAGCCAAGAGTCTCAAACTAGGCCAACAGGTACCCTTGGGGAACTCTGCTGAGGCTGAGGCAGGAGAATTCCCGGAACCCGGGAGGCGGAGGTTGCAGTGAGCTGAGATCGCGCCATTGCACTTCAGCCTGGGCAGCGAGAGCGAGATTCGGTCTCAAAAAAATAAAAAAATAAAAAAGCCTCTCTTGTGTCCTTGTCCCCAGCCTTCCAGCTCTCCTCTGAGGGAACCAGTTTTCAAGATGGCCCGCAACAATCCCTGCCTGCTGCCATTCACACCTTGTTTAGTCCCCTCCCACGCTGGAAAGATCCATGTTGGGGCTCGTGTGTGACCAATGCCGCAGAAGTGATGTTATGTCACTTCCGCGATTACGTCATGAAAGACTGCAGCTTCCATTGTTGGCTCTTTCTTTCTCTTTCTTGGATCAGTCGCTTTGGAGGAAGCCAGCTGCCATGTTTTGAGGACACTAAGGCACTTTATGGAGAGGCCCACGTGGTGAGGAATTGAGGTTTCTGTCTAAGAGCCAGTAAGGAATAGAGACAACCACACAGTGAGCCTGGAAGCCTAGTCTTCAGCCCCAGAAACGCTCAGATGACTGCAGTCCTGGCTGACATCTTACCTGCAGCCTCATTGGAGACCCTAAGCCAGAGCACTTAGCTGAGTTGGCTTGTGGGTTCCAAATCCAGACAATTAGATGATAAATGCTTGTTGTTTTATATTTAGTTTTAGTTTTTGTGACTACATCGTAGGTGTATATATTTATGGGTTACGTGAGATATTATAGGCATGCAATGTGTAATTATCACATCAGGCTAAATGGGGTATCCATCATCTCAAGCGTTTTCCTTTGTGTTACAATCTAATTATTCTCTTTTAGTTATTCTAAAATGTACGATTAAATTGTTTTTGATTATAGTCACCCCATTGTGCTAGCAAATAGTAGGTCTTATTCATTCTTTTTTTTTTTTTTTTTTTGAGATGGAGTCTTGCTCTGTCGCCCAGGCTGGAGTGCAGTGGTGCGATCTTGGCTCACTGCAACCTCTGCCTCCCAGGTTCCAGGAATTCTCCTGCCTCAGCCTCCTGGGTAGCTGGGACTACAGGCGCCTGTCACCACGCCCGGCTAACTTTTGTATTTTTTAGTAGAGATGGGGTTTCACCATATTGACCGGGCTGGTCTCGAAGTCCTGACCTCATGATCCACCCACCTTGGCCTCCCAAAGTGTTGGGATTACAGGAGTAAGCCACCGCGCCCGGCCTTATTCATTCTTTCTAACTATTTTTTTGTACTATCATGGTTCACTGCAGCCTCATTTTGACCTCCTGGGCTCAATTGATCCTCCCACCCCAGCCTCCTGAGTAGCTGGGACTGTATGCACATGCCACCATACCTAGGTAATTTTTAAAGATTCTTTTATAGAGATGGGGTCTTCTTATGTTGCCCAGGCTCGTCTCAAACTCCTGGGCTCAAGTGATCCTCCCGCCTCTGCTTCCCAAAGTGCTGGGATAACAGGCGTGAGCCACTGCACCCAGTCGATGGCGTGTATTAAAAGGAATGATGATATAAATACTGATGACTAACGTTTATTGAGTGTTTTTTCCATGTCAGGCATTATATCAAGCACTTTACATGCATATCTCATCAGTAAAACATTTGCATTTTTATTTCTTATCACTAGTAAATCCTTCTCCTCCCAGAAGCATTTAAAAATCCACAAACCATGGCTAACTTCCTGTGAAATGGCTTAGTGGGCAAAAATTCAGAATAAGGGGAGTGTGAGTCCATGTCTCCTTTCCAGAGATGAAGAAGTTTGTCTTTTCTGTGCATGAAGAAGACAATGGGATATGGATGACACTAAACCTTTGAAAGTTCCTGCTAACC
The DNA here is from genome assembly GCF_000001405.40 of Homo sapiens. Classification (NCBI taxonomy): domain Eukaryota; kingdom Metazoa; phylum Chordata; class Mammalia; order Primates; family Hominidae; genus Homo; species Homo sapiens. The sequence goes on along the minus strand of NC_000016.10, from coordinate 15,298,995 downwards.
TCCAGGTGGAAGGAAAAGGCCCACGGTGATCAATAAATGTGTTTGCTATTTTTTGGGTGAAAGGAAGAGAGCCTGCACCTCTGTTGGGGTAGGTTATCCACGCTGTCTGCCTGGGGTCCAGATTCCTGGCATTGATATGACTTCTTGGCTCTCTTGAGCCCTGAATCTGCTTCAAATTCAGAAAGCCCCAAGACTTATGGGCTCTATAATTACTCTGGGCTTTGGAGAATGGTTTCTCTTATGAGCAAAACAATGGTGGAAACTTGTACCAATGAAGGAAACACACAAGCGTGTAGAGGAACATTGCTGTTTGCTGATGATGCTGGTGGCTGCTTGGGTGAGAGATAAACTCTCCAAAGAGCGTTGGCCCTTTTGTGGCTGCAGGATCTGGGTGAAAGAGATTCTTGTAGTCTATCCTATCACTAGATACTATCTGTCTTAGTCCATTTTGTGCTGCTATAACAGAATACCACAGACCAGGTAATTTACAATGAATAGAAATTTACTTGGCTCACAGTTCTGGAGGCTGGGAAGTCCGAGGTTGAGAGCTTACATCTGGTGAAGGCCTTCTTGCTGCATCATGGTGTGACCCAAGGCATCACATGGGTGAGAGAGAGGGTGAGAGAGAGCACCTACTCCTGTGAAAACCAGCCCGCTCCCATGATAAAGGCATTAATCCATTCAGAAAGATGATGTCCCCATGATCCAAACACCTCTTGAAGGCCTCACCTCTCAACACGGTTGCATCAGGGATTAAGTTTCCAGCACTCGAACTTTGGGGAACACATGCAAACCATAGCAATATCTGTGCCGGATATTTTGTATTTGCTCCTTTACATCCACTGTCCACCCCCATTTCCTGCTTTGTACCCCAGGAGGCTGACTTCTATGGACTACATCACATGTGGTCTCCCATCCTCTTGTGGCTGCTTGGGTTTGGCCAATGGGGTGGGGATCATAGAATACTAGAAGGTGGGAGGAGAGAGGGATTCGGATATTTATTTCTGTGGCTCCTTCCTGTTGGGTTGCCATAGGTTGGAAGCTCCTGCCAGGCAGCTGTCTTTCCCTGAAGACTGTGGCTACTCTCCTTGGGTTCCATAACTATTTCCCCTCCAGGTCTAGGGGTAGAAATGGCTCCTCACTGCTGCTAGTTAGGGCTACTGCAACCTCCCTTTTTGTTTTTGTTTTTTTTAATCCCACTTATACAGCTATATATAGCCCTTTGCTAAACTCTTTTTAGTTACCCCATTTCAGTTTACTATGTATTTCCTGCCACAACCTTGATTGATACAGCAGCCCAGAGAAGGGAAGCAATTAACTTTCTCACTCCTTTATTCATTCATCCAACCTCCCATCAACACTTACTCTATGCCAGGACTTGTGCTGAGGCTTTTAAGAATGAGACATGATTTCTTGTCTATGTCCCTGAGTTCTCAGTTGTTCACCCCAGAAACTGACTCTTACCAAAGAAAGAGAACATGCCGAAGGCACTGCTGAAGGCCCAGCCTTGGAAAACACCCCATACAAGGTGACTCCAGATAGCTTTATAGTGGCAACTCCTCCAAGGGCATGCGTTAGGGATAGGCTGATCTGGGGACCCCTGCTCTCCCTGCAGAGAATTCATGGAAACCCAATAGGGCCTGTGTTCTTGCATCATGAGTCAAGGTGCCAAGAGAGATCACCTGATTGGCTGATCCAGAGTCACACGGTTGGGGGAGGGTATACAAAGTGGAGGGCTCACCACAGCGGTCAGAGATAAGGCTGCTCCTTGCAGCTCTGTTTTTTGCAATTCCTCTTGGACCCTCCCCAGTTCGGCCACCACCCTTGAGGCTAGCAAGGGTGAGTTGTGTCAGAAGCATTCCATGCAAGGAAATAACAACTTGGAATCCAAATATATTCATTAGTAAGTAATGGAAACCTGAAATTGCTTAAACAAGATGGGACATTATTCTCTCACATTAAAAGGAATTTGGGGGTAGGTGAGTCTAGGGTTGGTTTATTCAGTAGTTCAGTTGTATCATCAAAGACCTGGGCTCTTGCCATCTTTGTGCTCTGACTTACAGAGCAAGGGCTTAATTCCAGTCTTTTCCTCTAATGAGCACAAAATGGGTGCCACAGTGCCTTACATCACATCCTAACACAATAACGTTCAATGTCCAAAGGTCAGAGGAGAAAATGTGTCTTCCTTGTGTCCATTGTTGACAGCAAGGAGGAAATTTCCATCAACTCTCATTGGTCACAATGGGTCACGTGCCTATTCGAAAGCAATCACTAGACAGGGGGTCAGTATTACTATGATTAGTTTAGGTCAGTCAAGATTCACTCCTTGAGGCTCAGAAGGGCAACTTCTCCTAAAGCATGTGACTGTTCAATACTTTAAAAATTGGGGTTCTCTTAGCAACGGAGAAGATGAGGCTCTTTTTTTGACAAGCAATTGTAGCATCTATCAAAGCATAAGAAAAGCTTGTGAGTGATGAGGTTGGAGACTGAGAAGGTTCCAGAACATGACATTCTGGTGAAGTAGGCAGGACCCAGGAATCTCAAAAGTGACCCAATGTCACAGAGTCTGTTGGTGGCAGAGGAATTGAGGCATCTAGAGGCATCTAGGCAGAGTGATTGAGGCATCTCACTTTCTACGCAGAAAAGGAGGCATTTGCTCCACAAAAGCCTCCTGCTAATTCCAGGGACCTTTCGCTGTAGAGACAACTTTATGGCATCAGTGACAACTTTGGCCTCATTGTCCTGACAGAGCCTAGAATGGTGCTATCTTTGGGCTTCATATCTGTGAGGCACTCAGAAATGTATGAAGCATTTCCAAGTCCATGGTCTCATTTGCTCTCCACTTTGCAGTGGGGAAACTGAGGTTCAGACAGGTGAAGAGACCCGATCAAGGTCACATAGCTGGAGAGCAGGAAACACTGAGCTCAACCCCAGATATTTTAACCAAAGGTTTTAGTTCTCTGCCTTCCTGCCTTCTAGATAACTCCATACAGTCTGCAGGGTAGATCCTCAATCATGATGTATGAAAAGCGTGAATGAATGCAAAAAAAAAAAAAAGGTTTAAAAAAGCTGTGCAAGCTGGGCACAGTGGCTCACACCTGTAATCTCAGCAATTTGGGAGGCCAGGGTGGGAGAATGTCTTGAGGCCAGGAGTTTGAGACTAGCCTGGGCAACATAGTGAGACTCCTTTTCTATAAAAAATTTAAAAATTAGCTGGGTATGGTGGTGTGCATCTGTAGTCCCAGCTACTTGGAAGGCCTAGGTGGGAGGATCACTTGAGCCCAGGAGTTCAAGACCAGCCTGAGCAACCTAGGGAGAGCCCGTCTCTACAAAAACTAATATAAATTAGCAAGGTGTGGAAGTGCATTTCTGTAATCCCATCTACTTGGGAGGCTGAGGTGGGAGGATTGCTTGGGCACAGGAGGTCGAGGCTGCAGTGAGCTGTGATCACACCACTGCACTTCCAGCCTGGGTGACAGAGTGAGACCCTGTCTCAAAAAATAAAGTAAAAAAGTTGTGCAAAGATAAAAACCCAGTTATGACTCCCATTGTGGACCCATAAATAAAGCAAAGTTATCAAATAGAGATGTGTGAGCTGCTGAATGGAACAGAACTCACTGGGTTTATGGGGCTGTGTCAGGCACCTCTGACAATGCCAGATATTTACTTTGCAGATGAATGACTTCATTGCTTGCCCCAAATGCATCACTGGTGGGTAATATTTACGCAGATTGGAAGCATTCTCCCTCCTTTATTTGGTCCTGGGCTGTTTGTAACCATTGGATTTTTTTACCTTTTGACTTGACGTTGTTCTTCACGGGACCGTGGTATGGGATGCATTTCAATAAACAATACCAAAGTGACAGATTTCGGCTTTAAATAAAATTGTGTTCCGTAAAGTGGGAGACAAAGGCTTATAACTCACTGTCGGCTGCAGACATTTTGGCAAAAATTATCTTTCCGGCTTTGATCTCCACTGTATCATTTTACTGAGTGGCCCCATGTGCTCTATCAATCAAACCCACTGAAGATGCAGGAGAATCACATTTAAAATCAAATACAAATTGTAGATTCATCTGCCCAGGAGGAAGAGAAATGTGTCATGAATCCTGCCTTCAGTCTTCTATGATTACAATGGAATTAGTTTTTGAAAACTCCAGAGGATGGTTTTCCACTTCCCAACTTTCATATTATTATTATTATTTTTGAAGGGGGTAGCATTAGATGGGTAGAGAGGTAGACTAAAGTGATTCAGCTGTGAGATCGGAGTCTCGCCTTCCATCTAACTGTAGGTTAGGGCCTTTTAATATTCCTCTGACAGAGATTCTTTATGTAGGAAGGGATGTTAAGAAGAAAGATGTTCTCTAACAAGAAAACATTTAGACAAAGAGGATATGACCTCCCTCACTCAATCTCGCCTGCTTTCTTGGCATACATGGGAAGAGAGGATGAACTAGAAAGGAAATATTATTTGCTGATCTCCTTTCTTTGTCTGAGGCACATTGCACAGGATGTCTCATTTGATATTCACATGCCCATGCGAGGTGAACAATCCACACCATGCTTTACAGAAGGGGAAACTGAGGTCAAGAAACATGCTCATGGGCCGGGCGCGGTGGCTCACGCTTGTAATCCCAGCACTTTGGGAGGCTGAGGTGGGCAGATCATGAGGTTCAGCATTCGAGATCAGCCTGGCCAACATGGTGAAACCCTGTCTCTACTAAAAATACAAACATTAGGCCAGGTGTGGTGGCATGCACCTGTAATCCCAGTTACTCGGGAAGCTGAGACAGGAGAATCGAATGAACCCGGAAGGCAGGAGGTTGCAGTGAGCTGAGATTGCACCATTGCACTCCAGCCTGGGCAAAAAGAGCGAAACTCCGTCTCAAAAAAAAAAAAAAAAAAGGAAAACAAATATTAGCCGAGCATCGTGGCACGTGCCTGTAATCCCAGCTACTCAGGAAGCTGAGGTAGGAGAATCGCTTGACCTCACGAGGTGGAGGTTGCAGTCAGCCAAGATTGTGCCACTGCACTCCAACCTGGGTGACAGAGCAAGGCTCTGTCTCAACAAAAAAAAAAAAAAAGAAAAAGAGAAAAGAAACATGCTTATGGCTGAAGAGCTGAGCCCAAGTCTATGTGATTCTGAATAACATGCTTTTAATTTAATTAATTAATTAATTAACTTATTTATTTATTTGAGACAGGGTCTCACTCTGTCTCCCAGGCTGCAGTGCCATTGCACCATCATGGCTTGGCTCACTGCAGCCTTGACCTCCTGGGCTCAAGTGATCCTCCCACCTCAGCCTCCCAACTACCTGGGACTACAGGCACACACTGCCATGCTCAACTAATTTTTTTTTTTTTTTTTGCATTTTTTGAGGAGACGGGGTCTTACTATGTTGCCTAGGCTGGTCTTGGACTCCTGCATTCAATTGACCCTCCTGCCGCGACCTCCCAAAGTACTGGGATTATAGGCTTTAGCCACTGTGCCTAGCCTAAAACTTTTGAGAAAGAATGCTTCTTGTTGATTGTCTCCCCTCTCTATTACCTTAGTGTCTGGCATATAGTAGGTGCTTGAAAGCACTTGTTTAGTGCCTAAGCCAGGGGCTGACAACCTTACTGTAAAGGCCCAGATAGTGGATTATTTGAGGCTTTGGGGGCCATGTGCTCTCTTGCAACCATGCAACCCTGCCATTGTAGTACAAAAGCAGCCACAGACAATACTTTATTTATAAACTCTGAAATTGGAATTTCATATAATTGTCATGTAATGACGTATTATTCCTTTTGTCTTTTTCCCACTAACTATTTAAAATGTAAGAACTAGCTGGGCGCAGTGGCTCATGCCTGTAATCCCAGTACTTTGGGAGGCCGAGGTGGGCGGATGACCTGAGGTCAGGAGTTCGAGACCAGCCTGGACAACATGGTAAAGCCCTGTCTCTACTAAAAATACAAAAATTAGCCGGGTGTGGTGGCAGGTGCCTGTAATTCCAGCTACTCAGGAGGCTGAGGCAGTAGAATCGCTTGAACCTGGCAGGCAGATGTTGCAGTGAGCTGAGATGGTGCCACTGCACTCCAGCCTGGGCGACAGAGCGAGACTCCATCTCAAAATAGTAATAATAATAATAATAATAATAATAATAATAATAATAATAATATAAAATGTAAGAACCATTCTTTCTTAGCTTTCAGGCCATAGGAAAACAAGCAGCTCGGATTTGGCCTTCAGGCTGTATTTTGCAGATTCCTGGTCTAAATAATTACCTTAATTATCACACTAGCAGATACTAAGAACTAGTGTATCTCCAAAGTCTAGTTTGGTGCCCGGTACAAACATTCTTTCCCCAAGGTGGAGTCCACTTGACCAGAGTGGAGAGTTACAGTGCTGGGGAAGAGTTGGAAGACATCTCTGCCTGGGGGTGGGGGGAAGGGCAGAGAAATCTCTTGGGGTTTGTTCTGGGGAAACTGGGAATTGTGGGAGAACTGAGGAGGCGGGAAAGGGGACTTTAAGAATATTATTGTGGGCCAGGCGTGGTGGCTCACGCCTGTAATCCCAGCACTTTGGAGGCTGAGGCGGGCAGATCACGAGGTCAGTAGATCGAGACCATCCTGGCTAACGCAGTGAAACCCCGTCTCTACTAAAAATACAAAAAAGTAGCCGGCCATGGTGGCGGATGCCTGTAGTCCCAGCTACTCGGGAGGCTGAGGCAGGAGAATGGCGTGAACCTGGGAGGCGGAGCTTGCAGTGAGCTGAGGTCGCACCACTGCACTCCAGCCCGGGCGACAGCGAGACTCTGTCTCAAAAAAAAAAAAAAAAGAATATTATTGCGGGTTAGGAATTGGACCTTTTATTACAGAGGTTCTCACTGGGGACTGAATTGTCCCGTGTGTGTGTGTTTGTGTGTGTGTGTGTTTGTGTGTGTGTGTGTGTGTGTGTTTGTGTGTGTGTGTGTGTGTGTGTGTGTTTGTGTGTGTGTGTTTTAAATCTGCAGAGAGCTTTTGGTTGCCCTAATGATAGGGATGGGGGAGTCATTACGGTGTGGGGTAGTTTTTTGAATATATATATGTGTAGATCCCAAATTCATATGGGTTAGAAGAACCATGATTATCAGAGTCTATAACCTTGTTCTATTTTTTTTTTTTTTTTTGAAACAGAGTCTCACTCTGTCACCCAGGCTGGAGTGCAGTGGTGCCATCTCGGCTCACTGCAACCTCTGCCTCCCTGGTTCCAGCGATTCTCCTGCCCCAGCCTCCCGAGTAGCTGGGACTACAGGCGGGTACTACCACGTCCAGCTAATTTTTGTATTTTTAGTAGAGACGGGGTTTCACCCTGTTGGCCAGGATGGTCTTGCTCTCTTGATCTTGTGATCGGCCCACCTTGGCCTCCCAAAGTGCTAGGATTACAGGTGTGAGCCACCACGCCCGGTCCAACCTTCTTCTATTTTATCTGCCTATTCTATTTTATATGTTTACATGTTCTATTTTACATGTAAGTGTTGAATGAACACTGATGTTTCCAAGAATGTAGCAGCTATGGTGTAAATCAAGAGAAGATTTGACTCTGTTTGGTATGGGAATTTATCAAGAAAGAGCCACTCTTTTGAAGAACATGGCACTCTCAGTAAAGCCGATGCGACAACACACCACGCTGTCTGCGTTTGTGACTGTCACTGGTTATTCTACACACACGTGTGTGAGCACTTGACTGCTTCGCTCCGTCTTTCCTGGTGGAAACCCATATCATTTCTCTATATATTATTTCATTAGAAATCCTCATCATTTCATTTCTCCTTTTTATTATAATTAGGGCACAATTGTGATTGGTTAGAAGAGTAGATGGGTTATAGGATCAGCACATTTTTTTTTTTTTCAGGGTAGAAAAGAGAGCTTTTCAGCTGGGCATGGTGGCTCACGCCTATAATCCCAGCACTTTGGGAGGCTGAGGCTGGTGGATCATTTGAGGTCAGGAGTTCGAGACCAGCCTGGCCAACATGGTGAAACCCTGTCTCTACCAAAAATACAAAAAAAACAATGTACCGGGCATGGTGGCACGCATCTGTAATCCCAGCTACTCGGGAGGCTGAGGCACGAGAATCGCTTGAACTCAGGAGGTGGAGGTTGCAATGAGCCAAGATCCCACCACTGCCCTCCAGCCTGGACTATAGAGTAAGACCCTGTCTCAAAAAAAAAAGAGGGCTTTTCAATTGTTGGTTAAAACATGGGACATTGGATCTGATGGCACCAAGAATGCCTGTCCTGTAACACTGTTTGAGCTGATGTGTGGGGAACTGCTTTTGGATTACTTATGGGTTGCTGAAATATACTTCTCTGAATGCAGAGATTGGGCCCCTGATTATATTTGGGAGGCAAAACCATCACCTTGTAGGCACCTGGCAGGGTAAAACAAATGGATGCTTCTTAGAGGCCAACTGCTCTCTCACTTCCTGTTTCCCTTTTGTTTGCAGCGTAAAGCCAGATGCCTTTTATCTCTTGTATCACTGCTGGTTGTCTGAGAATTTTTTTTTTTTTTTTTTTGGACAGAGTCTCGCTCTGTCACCCAGGCTGGAGTGCAGTGGCGCAGTCTTGGCTCACTGCAACCTCTGCCTCTTGGGTTCAAGTGATTCTCCTGCCTCAGCCTCCCAAGTAGCTGGGATTACAGGTGTCCACCACCATGTTCAGCTAATTTTTGTGTTTTTAGTAGAGATGGGACTTCACCATGTTGGCCTGGCTGGTCTCAAACTCCCGACCTCAGGTGATTCACCTGTCTTGGCCTCCCAAAGAGCTGGGATTACAGGTGTGCACCACCACACCCAGCTGATTTTTGTATTTTTAGTAGAGATGAGGTTTCACCATGTTGTCCAGGCTGGTCTTGAACTCCTGATCTCAAATGATCTGCCTGCCTCAGCTTCCCAAAGTGCTGAGATTACAGGCATGAGCCACCACGCCTGGCCTGGGCAGAGTTTTTAAAAATGCTTCAAACTCTCCTTTAGCTCAGTTTGGGTAGAGTCATTCCTTTACAGTATAGTTACAATGGAGCTGCCAATCAGCTCAGGCCACACCCAGCCCACAGTCTCAGAGGGGCTGGGTCCCTGCTCTTTCTCTCTCCCTGAAAAGTGGCTGTTAATTTTCTCCTTTAGTCTCCTTTCCCCAGAAAGATATTTCCCTTTACCTTATGGGAGTTTGATAAAACTGGCATCTCCAGCCTTCTTTTCCTTATGTTGGTTTTTCTGCCACAAAAGGCCCAGAGACATTGTCTATGGAACGTTTGGCTGCAGCTGGGCAGGCGTTTTATTCTATTGGAAAATTCCACTAGGATTTTCTATGATTACAATAGAGCATGGGTCCTCAGTCAAACCCTCCACCACTTATAAGAAGCTCTGTGACTTTGGGGAAGTGACTTAACCTCTCTGAGCCTCACTTTTTCTATTTGGAAAGAGTGATGGGATGGTAGGTTTTATGTGTTAACTCTTAGGGATACAGGTGCACAGCTAGTTGCCTAAACATCATTTTGGGTGTGTTCGTGAGGGCGTTTTGGGATGATTGTCATTTAAATTGGCAGATTGAGGAAAGCAGTTGCCCCTCCTAATGTGGGTGGACTTCATCCAATCCACGGAAGACCTGAATAGAGCAAAAGTCGGTCCTTTCCGAAGTAAGAGAGAATTCCTCCTGCCTGAAGGTTTTTAAACTGCACCATTGGCTTTTTTCTGCCTTTGTACTCAGACTGAAACACTGCTCTTTCCGGGTTTCGAGCCTGCTGGCCTTAGGACTGGAACTAACACCATCAGTTCTCTGGGGTCTCCAGTTTGCTGCCTCACCCTGCAGATGACAGCACTTGTTAGCCTCCATAATTGCGTGAAATCTCTCTCTCTGTTTAGACATTGGTTCTGTTTCTCTGGAAAACCCCAATCAATACAGGCGGTGATAATATTTTGAGGATTAAATGATACAATGAATAGAATATGCTTAACACACAGTGAGTGCTTGGCACATATGATCTCCTCAATACACATCAGCTTTATCATGGAAATTATTATGTATCATTATACAAAATATAATAAGATTTCAAACTTGTGTTCTCTTAGATGTCCTCTAAATTATTCAATGGAACAAAAAACTCTTCACTCATTTTTGTGTGTATGCAAACTTAATGTCTTTCAATAAAATTTTCCAAGTTATTGTATGTTCGCAAGGACATAATTCTGTTTGACTTCCCATCTTTGCAATACTAGTAGTGAGCCTCATTAGCACATGAATGCTGGTGTCTGTGAGATGTGCTTGCCTTCACTGTCCTGTTTGCCTTGCCCAAGGTGGGCGATGGAAAGGACAAGCCATCTATTATTGGTTGGAGGAAAGACCAACCATCTACTGTGGCAGTCTGCTCAGGCTGCCATACAAAATACCACATACTACGTGGCTTAAACAGGAGACATTTATTGTTCACTATTCTGGGGGCTGGGAATTCGAAGATCAAGGTGCTGGGTGATTTGTTTCTCCAGTGAGGGCCCTCTTTGTGGCTTTCAGTTGGAAGCCTTCTTGTTGTATCCTCACAGGGGAGAGAGAGAGCACGCAAGCATGAGAGAGAGTGCAAGAGAGAGAGGGAGAGATCAAGCAAGAGTGAGAGAGAGAGAAAGGTATCTCTGGTGTCTCTTCTAATATGGACACATCACATCTCCAGGACCTTAGGCTTATGATCTCATCTAAACATAATCACCAAAGCCGCATCTTCAAATACCCAAATACCGTAACACTGGTAATTAGGGTGTCAGCTTCGACATATCAGTTTGGGGGTGGAGGCACAAACGTTCATTTCATAGCACTTCCTTTTCCAAAAATGCTCCTTAATCCCTCCCTGCCATCCTTGCTATTCTCATTTGACAGATGAGGAAATTAAGACTCCACGATGTGCCTTAGGTTGCCCATAGCTGTACATCTTATAAGTGCGAGCTCCCCAGATAATTGCATTCATCCACAAGAGCAGAGTTAACTGCAGCATCATAGCCATCCAGGGAGCGTAATGCCCCGTTAAAAATAACAAAGCGTAGAGACCCAGCCTGAACTGAAGATGTGTCTGTGGTTGGGGTTCAGGGTTCTTTGATTTCCAGATCTACCACCCAGATATTTGTCAAGTTACATCTACTTCTGGTGCTCATTTCCACATCTCTAAAACAGAAATAATAACAGTGCCTTTTTGTTGCTGAGAGGATTTTGTGGCGTCATGCAGATGAAGTGGCTCTCAAGAGCCTGACTTAGTAAATGTTGGCTGTGTGTTGGGCATTATTAGCTAAGATGTACAAACAGCAGAGGTTTGGTTTGTATGAGTAGATCATATTCCTGCCTGTTGTCACTGAGGGAGAGCAGAGTCCTAAGGGGAGGGGACACAGGTCAGGAGAATTCTAGGGGGTGGGGGATGTTTCTGATTTCTCAACAATGGGTAAATCTGGGAATCTCATGAGAGCTTCAGTGGGTAAATCTTGGAATCTCGTGAGCAAAATGGGGACATGAAGAAGGAAGAAAAGCTGCTTGGAGGATTGGTGAAGGAGGAGGGAAAGGGAAAAAAAAAGGAAAAAACATTTAGGTGGTGCTAAGTGCCACGCATTTTCCATTTTTGCATCAGTGAATTGTAAAATCACACTGCAAGGCTGGGGATATTATCCCCATTTTACAGATGAGAGAGAGGAGGCTGGGCAAGTTAATGAACTGGTTCAAAGTATCACAGCTAGAGAGTTGGAGCCAAAGTGAGATCGCACCGCTACGCAGACTCTAAAGCCCTTGTCTGTATATTGAATCAAATTTCCCCTTTTGCTGGCTTAGGTAAACTGAGGCAGGAAGTGATGAGAAAGGGTTAAGAGACGTCGGCTGCTCCTTAAACATCTCCCTTCCCAGTGTCATTTGCCATCCATAAACTCTTTCAAAATGTGATAACGGTTTTGATTTTCCTGTCATCTCGATTTGATATGAGAAATTTGGGATTTCCAAATTGACAGAAAACTCGATTTTAAAGATGCTGGAAGGGAAACATCTGTGAAAAATCACAGGAATAATGTCAACATCTGTCCCTGTGAAAGGAAATTGCTGAGGTTCTCAATTTACAGCCAATCAATCAATCTTGGAGGCCAGGGTGCTTGCAAATTGAAATGCATGTTGAAGCTATAGGGATGGCTAATTAATTTAGTTTGTATGCCTATAAGATTTTTCATTGTTTCCTATTCAAAAAAATTCTCTTTTGAATAGGAAACGTGTGCATATGGTAAAAAAAAAAAATTAAACAGTACCAGAAAAAGTATACAGTGAAAATTAAGTTTGTTTTCCATCCCAACCACCAGTTCTTCTTCTCCAAGGTCAAAAGTGTTGCTGGCTTCTCTTGAAACTTTCCAGAGATACAATCTTTATATAGAAAAACATATGTATATATGTCTCCTCCCGGTTTTATAAATGATAGCCCATTGTACATATTACACTGCATCTTGACTTCATTCAACAATATATCTTTGAGGTTTTTGCATAGCAGTCCATATAGACATTCCTTATTCTTTTTATCAGCTGTGTAGTATTCCAGTATACGGATGTGTATAAATTAATCAGTTCCCTCATGGTGGACATTCAGGATATTTTCTGTCATTCTCCACAATTTATGCTAGTATGTCCATCTTGGTGTGTGTTCATCAGTAGGATACAAATCTAGAGGTGAGCCTCCTGGGCAGATGGGATGTGCATTTAAGGTATGATGCCTTCATGTAAAGGGAAGGTTTCCTTTTCTTTTTTCTTATTTTATTAAGAGACAGGGGTCTCACTATGTTGCCCAGGCTGGTCTTGAACTCCTGGGCTCTAGCAATCCTCCTGCCTCAGCCTTCCAAAATGCTGGGATTACAGACGTGGGCCACTGTGCCTGGCCAGGTTTTCTTTGTTATCTTGGAGGGAGCATCACCCCCGTCAAGGAGATCAGATTGGTGAAGGTGGGATGCTGTGTCTGAGAGCTTAATGACTGTTCACAGATATTGTGGCTGCCCTTCTCTAATGTACCTGCTTCTTCAGGCCCAAAAGGTGGAAATGATGTTTGTTTCTTACTTCTTTGGGGCTTTGACTGTGCCATTGAGATTTTGTGCTCAGGGATAAACTACCGTGTATTTACAGTTACCTCAACCTGTGAGGTTTGATGCCTCTTTCTTTCTTTCTTTCTTTCTTTCTTTCTTTCTTTCTTTCTTTCTTTCTTTCTTTCTTTCTTTCTTTCTGTCTCTCTCTGTCTTTTTTTCTTTCTTTCTTTCTTTCTTTCTTTCTTTCTTTCTTCCTTCCTTCCTTCCTTCCTTTCTTTCTTTCGTTCTTCTTTCTTTTTTCCTTCTTCTTTCTTTTTCTTTCTTTCCTCTTTCTCTCTCTCTTTCCCTCTCTCCCTTCCTTCCTTCCTCCATCCCTCCCTTCCTTTCTTGCTTTTTTTTTTTCTTGCTTTGTTACCCAGGCTGGAGTGCAGTGGCATGATCATAGCTCACTGCAGCCTTGAACTTCTGGGCTCAAGCAATCTTCCTGCCTTGGCCACCCTGGGATTACAGGTGTGAACCGTGGCGCCCAGCCTTGGCCACTTTCTTTATTCTAAACTTCTTTGTTCCATACTTTGCTTCTTTTCCCTGGATCCATCCCCACCAGCCTCCCTTGTCACTCCAGTGATAGGACACTCAGTCTTGCCAAGTCAATGTAAACCCAGACCCTTCTCATTTAAAACCTAGTCTCTTTGGTAAACAGTCAATTCAGGATCCTCACATCAATCTGAGTTTTAAATCTTAATTAGTTGAAAGATTTTCATATCTTTATCTTTCCACTTTGGTCACTGGCTTCGCTGTGGGTGCTGCACCACTCAGACCTCTGTGCAGGACCACCGAGGCCCTCTGTCCCCCCAGCTGCTGGGAGACCTAGCTGCTAACAGCTCATAGCAAAGTCCTGCCTCTGGCAAGAAGGCACCTGCAGGAAGCCACCTAGTGCTGGGAAATCCTCCTCCCCTCCTAGGCATCCCATAATCCTGGAGGGTTACAAAGGCTCTGTCCCTTGCCCCTCCGTATGGGAGTGTATTAGTCAGCGTTCTCTAGAGGGACAGAACTAATAGGATAGATGTATATAAAAAGCGGAGTTTATTAAGGAGTATTGACTCACACGATCACCAGGTGAGGTCTCACAGTAGGCCATCTCCAAGCTGAGGAGCAAGGAAGCCAGTCCAAATCCCAAAGCCTCAAAAGTAGGGACGCTAACAGTGCAGCCTTCAGTCTGTGGTCAAAAGTCCAAGAGTCCCAAAGCTGAAGAACTCAGAGTCCGACGTTCGAGGGCAGGAAGCATCCAGCACGAGAGAAAGATGAAGGCTGGAAGACTCAGCCAGTCAAGCCCTTCTATGCTGCTCTGCCTGCTTATATTCTACCTATGCTGGCAGCTGATTAGATGGTGCCCACCCAGATTGAGGGTGGGTCTGCTTTTCCTAGTCCACTGACTCAAATATTAATCTTTTTTGGCAACACCCTCACAGACACATCCAGAAACAATACTTTGTATCCTTCAATCCAATTAAGTTGACACTCAGTATTAACCATCACAGGGGGTGTCTCAGGGGTCCTGGCGACTGTTCCACAGTGCCACTCCCCTCTCTGCCCAATGCTGCTTCCTTGCTTTCCAGCAGGTGCTCCTCCCAGTAAACCCCCTGCACCCAGATCTCCATCCCACAGCTTGTCTCTCTAGAAACCTGACCTATGACAGGCTTATAAACACCACAACAGGGCATGGGTATGGGCCAGGAGAGCTACTCCTCTCATCTGCTGAGGGTCCTACCCCAGGACCCCTGGGGAGGGATGAGGTCCCTGTTGTTCATCTGGGTGATCATCTAACTCCTGATGAGCCCAGGAGTTAGAGACCGGCCTGGGCAACGAAGTGAGACCCCATCTCTCCAAAAAAAAAAAAAAAAAAAAGTCAAAAAATTAGCCAGATGTGGTGCATGCCCCCAGCTACTTGGGAGGCTGAGATGGGAGGATAGCATTAGCCCAGGAGGTTGAGGCTGCAGTGAGCTATGATTGCACCACTGCTCTTCATCCTGGGTGGCAGACTGAGACCCTGTCTCAAAAAAGTTGTCATGGTCCTATGACATTTTTTTAGGTCCTATGCAGGGGTGCAGGTGGAGGTGGTTTCTGGTTCTACCTGACTGTCTTCGTTCAGCCTCGTCCATTTGTTGACTCTGCTACCCACAAGTGAAAGAATATGGCATCTTTCTCATCTCTATATGGTCCCCATGCAGTAAGGAGTTGACTCAGCCGGTCTGGGGAGTTCAAATCCTGCACATTCCAAAGAAAGCTCTGGCCCTTGACTGGCTCCTGGGAGATAACCGCCAAGTCTTTGGAACATTCTGCCTGATAAGAGTGTCTTTGTTTACCTATGGCCTCAGGCTGAGCTAGCTAGTCCATGCTAACAATGCAATTTATGGTGAGTGCCTGTTTTTGTATGTGTCAGTTTGACCTCTAGAGGGGCTGGAGACTGAGTAACAAAAGTCACCCATGCAGGTGCTCCATGCCTGGGTGATGAAATGCTGATAAAACCCCTGGACACCAAGGCTTGGGGGAGCTGCTGTGGCTGGCAGTACTTTGTATACATTGCTAATTGTCTCTTATAGCTTGGCTGTGTCCCCACCCAAATCTCATCTTGAATTGTAGCCCCCACAATTCCTACGTGTCGTGAGAGGGACCCAGTGGGAAGTAATTGAATCACAGGAGTGGTTTCCCCCATACTGTTTTCATGGCAGTGAATAAGTCTCACAAGATCTGATGGTTTTATAAGGAGAACCCCTTTCACTTGGCTCTCATTCTCTCTTTGCCAGCCGCCATGTAAGACATCCCTTTGCTCTCCCTTGCTCTTCTGCCATGATTGTGAGGCCTCCCTAGTCACATGGAACTGCGAGTCCATTAAACCTCTTTTTTTTTTCATAAATTACCCAGTCTCGGGTGTGTCTTTATCAGCAGCATGAAAACAGACTAATACAGAGCATTAGGAGCTATCCTTCTAACTCCACTGGGAGAAAACTATTGGAAACTTACCCCTGGTCTCTCTTGGAGAGACCTATGCATCTTGTACCTTGGTTGATTTTAATCTGTATCCTTTTAGTGCAATAAACAATGTTCATGAGGACAATGGCTTTCCTGATTCTGTGGGTCCTTCTGGCAAATCAATGGGCCTGAGGGCGGTCTTGGAGATCCCTGACAAAAGTCACTGTAGCCAGGGACCATCATCTGTTGAGCTTATTTCAGAGGAAGATGTCATAGGTAATGGGCGTTGGGGGCACCCTGGTTCCATTTGTTGACTCTGCTACCCAGAAGTGAAAGAATGTCGCATCTTTCTCATCTCTGTATGGTCCCCTGCAGTAGAGTTGACTCAGCAGGTCTGGGGAGTTCAAATCCTGCACATTCCTAAGAAAGGTCTGGCCCTTCACTGGCTCCTGGAAGATAACCACTAAGTCTTTGCAACATTGTGCCTGATAAGGGTGTCTTTATTTACCTTTGTTCTAGTTCTTGTTCTAGGTGCTGGTGATAGAACTGTGAACCAAAGGTCATTGCCTTCAAGGAGTTTATATTCAAGTGGAGAAGATGGAAAACCCTCCCCTCACGAACAAACAGACTCTGAAACCTGATAAATAAATATTAGCATTCAGTGAAGTGTTAATGAGTTTCTGTGAGCACATACAACCCTTACCAGAGTTTATCTCATCCTGCCTGAGCTAGCCCCTGCCTCCCTCCCCAGCCCACATATTTTGCCACACCCTTTTCATTCCTCCCAACATTCCAATTCCTTCAACACATGGAACTCCTTCTCACCCCAGGGCCTTTGCACATGTTACTATCTCTGTATAAATGCATTCCTCTCACTTGACACCTGGATAACTCCTCATTGTCCTAGTCTTAGCTTAAATGTCATCATCTGGCCAGGCATGATGGCTGACACCTGTAATCCCAGCACTTTGGGAGGCCGAGGTGGGAGGTTCGCTTGAGCCCAGGAGTTAGAGACCAGCCTGGGCAATGAAGTGAGACCCCATCTCTACCAAAAGAAAAAAAAAAACAAAAAATTAGCTGCATGTGGTGCTGCATGCCTGTAGTCCCAGCTACTTAGGATGTTGACGTGGGAGAATCATGTGAGCCTGGAAGGTCGAGGCTGCAGTGAACTGTAATTGCACCATTGCACCTCATCCTGGGTGACAGAGTGAGACTGTCTCAAAAAAAAAAAAATTCATGACCTTGGGGAAGCCTAGTTGGATACTCTCCTTTTTCCCCAGACCAGCTGGATCTACCATCATAGGCTGTTATAGCATGCATCCAATTCTCTCTTTCTATTGCTCTTTTTTTTTTTTTTTTTTTTTTTTTTTTGTAGAGATGCAGTCTCACTATATTGCCAGGGCTGGTCTTGAATTCCTGGGCTCAAGCAATCCTCCCACCTCGGCCTCCTAAAGTGCTGGGATTACAGGTGTGAGCCACCATGCCCAGCCTGTTACCTTTCATTTTTATTTCAGTCATCATTCTGAGTGGCTGAGCATATGGATGTGTTGATTGTTGAAATAAATCATTTAGGCAAATTGTTACGGGCCCCATCTAAATTCAGAATCCAGCCCTGGATCTGGTCTGTAATTCTTCCCAGCCACAATCTTCCCTGTTGGAGTCCGAGTTCTCCACTCTAGACCTGCAGCGGGAAGCTTTCCAGGGACCAGCCAGTTCCACCGCCTCCAGAGCCACCCCTCACCTGCTGACCTCTTCCTATGTTAGCTGCCCCTCTCGCTGCCTGCTGCCCTTCCCCGGGCCAGCTGATACGAGAGCTGGCGATAACTTGAAATGCTCCCCGCAGAAGATAAATGAGAGGGGAATCTCAGCAGGCATTGAGCTCTGTACCTAACGACTGGCAGTTGGGGCTTCTAATTTTAGGCCTGGGGAGGAAGCTGATTTCTGTGATGAAGGTGGCCACACGCTTTATCAAGGGCCAATTTAGCAAAAATCTAAAATGTATATGAAGCCGTGGTAAGTCTGGATTTTCTTGGTATTTATGCTGGGAGGTTACTTATGAGCGTTTGCTGTGTGACCACATTGCGGTATTAATCATAGGTGGCATTATAATTCTCTAAAATAACAGCCATAAGGCATCAGGGCAATTGAGGCTTGTATTAAGGGAATGGTCCTTTTTTTTCTTGCTGAAGTTAGGCAGCATGAGGCTGGTGTGTTTTTCCTTAAGGCACCAAGGCATCTGAGGGTTTGCACTGGGAATCCCTGGGCTCTCTGGGCCCTCTGGGTCCCTAGGGTCTTCTACTTGCCAACACAGCCTTGGGTTCTCTGCTTCCTGTTGGGGTGACAGGAACACATTGGTGGTCTCTGATGGATATACCAGGCGCTCTGCATAATTTTTCTTCTTGCTTCCGGGGGTAACTCCAGCCCCATCCCTTGAAGGTGAATTTTATGTTATATATATATTTTTTTGCTTAGGCAAGTTTGATTTGGGTTATATTTTCATCATAAAGAATCATGACTATTGCAAATCATTATATAGAAAAGTGATTTTATTCTTGAGCCTGAGATATTCACAGTGAAAATGACAACACATTATTTCTGAGACACCTGCTGGGGGCATCCACCACTTTCCCCCAACCCATTCTCTCTATTCACCTCCAACCAATTTTATCCAAAAGCCAGCTCAGCTGACTGTACAACCACAAGGGATTTGGAGTTAGATGGATATGGCATTTATCAGCTGAATGATCTTGGGCATAATACTCAAACCTTCTGTGCCTCTGTTTTCTCATCTTTAAACGGGGATAGCACAGGGTTGGTGTGAGGAATAAATGAGTTATTATTGTCATAGTAATATACTAATATATAGTTAAATATAATTCTATCTGTCAGATGTAGACAGGGGTGGAGAATGCCTTGGAAGTCATTTCTTCCTACAGAATAAGTGATATGGTTTTGCTGTGTCCCCACCCAAATCTCATCTTGAATTCTAGCTCCCATAATTCCCATGTGTCATGGGAGGGACCCAGTGGGAGATAATTGAATCATGGGGGCAGTTCCCCCATACTGTTCTCATGGTAGTAAATAAGTCTGATAAGAGCTGATGGTTTTATAAGGGGTTTCCCCTTCTGCTTGGCTCTCATTCTCTCTTGCCTGCTGCCATGTAAGATGTGCCTTTTGTCTTCCGCTATGACTGTAAGGCTTCCCCAGCCATGTGGAACTGTGAATCCATTAAACCTATTTTTCCTTATAAATTACTCAGTCTGGGGTGTGGGGGTATGTCTTTATCAGCGTGTGAAAATGGTACCATAAGGAAGTACCTTAAGGTTAGACAATAAGTACAATAAGGAAGGAGGACCGCAATCCAGTCTTGTCTCCCAGAGCCTTGGCACAGAAAGATGGTAACCAATGCTTTGTCTTGGACAATCCCTCCTACCTGCTGGGGAGACAAAGGAGCAAATCCAGCAGAAGATGGAGGGGAAGTGCTGGTTGAGTTGCTTGGCACCCCTTGCCTTTTTTCACCCTCTTCCTCAGCTCCCTGATCACCATATTCTCCCTGTGTCTTTTGGCTCCTGAGATCAGTTGTTGATGAAATGCTGGGCTGGGCTCACTCCCAGAGTGGGAGGAAATGGATGTGGGAACCCTCTTGGGGAGATGGGCAGTTACCGGGGCCCAGAGAACCAATGAGGGCTTTATCCTGCAGTCAGAGTTCAACACCAGCCCTTCCCAGAATCAATCACACCCTCCTTTCCACTATTTCACTGTCTGCCGTGAACTAACAGACATTGGTTGTGTTGCCCTCAGATTCATAGGCTGAAGTCTAACCCCCAATGTGATGGTATCAGGAGGTGAGGCCTTTGGAAAGTAATGAGATCATGAGGGTGGAGCCCTCATGAATAGGATTAGTGCCCTTGTAAGAAGAGATATGAGAGAGATGATACCCGTCTCTCCACCACATGAGGACACAGTGAGAAGGCAGCCATCTGCAAGCCAGGAGAGAGTCCTCACCAGACCCTGACCATGCCAGCACCCTGATCTCAGACTTCCCAGCCCCCAGAACTGTGAGAAATAAATTGCTGTTGTTTAAGCTTCACAGTCTATTATAATTTGTTATAGCAGCTCAAGCTAACTAAGACACTACCCTGACACTCTATTTCAGAAATGACAAGGTTTGGGCAGGGTGTGGTGGCTCATTCCTGTAATCCCAGCACTTTGGGAGGCCAAGGTGGGTGGATCACCTGAGGCCAGGAGTTCAAGACCAGCCTGGCCAACATGGTGAAACCCTGTCTTTACTAAAAATATAAAAATTAGCAAGATGTGGTGGTGCACACCTGTAATCCCAGTACTCTGGAGGTTGAGGCAGGAGAATCACTTGAACCTTGGAGACGGAAGTTGCAGTGAGCCGAGATCATACCACTTGTACTCCAGCCTGGGTGACAGAGTGAGACTGTCTCAAAAAAAAAAAAAAAAAAAAAAAAAAAGATGAGATTTGACTTCACAAACTAAAACTTTTGTTCAGAGAGAAGAGGAAAATGGAGGGTGGGGGAAACCACCCATGCTCCCAAAGATATGAGACGTAGAATTGATCTAAGTGCCACAAAGCAGAATTTTTCTGACTCCATTCTGTTTCTCCTGTGATAATTCAGCTGCTTTCAAATTCCTCTCCTCTCAGACGGTCCTGAGAATCCAGTGGGAGTTTTCTCTGTGCTCCAGAACATAGTGGCCTCTTGCATTCATTCCCTACCAGAAATAATGTCTCATTCACCAGCTATTTTCTCAGCCAATAATTTTTGTCCACCCCCATTCCTCCTTCGGAAACTTGCCCTTCCCAGAGCCCTAGGAGATCCAGAACCCCATAGGATTCTTTTGGCTCTGGCCATGGCTGTGTACCAAGGGGTTGGATATGGGATTACAGCCAGGCCATGTGGACTCTCTCCCAGAAATTTGGAGTTGAAAATCTCTGAGCTTATCTCTGGAAGGTGCTTGAAACTAGAGGGGGATAGAAAGTTGGTGACAATATAGTCATGTTTGGCCTGTGGACAATTGCAATAGAAAAAACTGATATGCAGGGTGATATGGTTTGGCTGTGTCCCCACCTAAATCTCAAACTGTAGCTCCCATAATTTCCACATGTCATCGGAGGGACATGGTGGGAGGTAATTGAATCATGGGGCGGGTTTTTCCCATGCTGTTCTCGTGATAGTGAATAGGTCTCATGAGATCTGATGGCTTTAAAAAGGGGAGTTCCCCTGCACACACTCTCTTGCCTGCCACCATGTAAGACGTGACTTTGCTCCTCATTCGTCTTCTGCCATAATTGTGAGATCTCCAAAGCCATGTGGAACTGGGAGTCCGTGACCGCTCTTTTTCTTTATAAATTACTCAGTCTTGGGTATGTCTTTATTAGCATTGTGAAAACAGACTAATACATGGGGGGGCGGAGAGACAGAGAGGGAGAGAGGGAGATGGGGAGCGAGAAGATGGGGGAGAGAGAGTGAGAGAGAGAGAGAGAGAGAAAGAAAGAAGAGATTGAGAACACAATACAGACTTAGGAAGGACAGACCGGGAGCTCCCAGAAAGACAGAGACAGGCTGTGTTGACTCCTGCTATCTTTCTATCCCAAAACCCTGCTGTGCTTTCTGACTTTGGTTTTGTGGGATGCTTTATTTAATAGGTTGAACTGTGTTCTCCAAAGAGATATGTTGAAAGCCCTAACATCTCAGTACCCCAGAATGTGACCTCTGTTGGAAACAGGGTCATTGCAGATGTAATTACGAAGATGTGATACTGGAGTAGGGTGGGCCCTTAATCTAATACGAGATTGTCCTTAGAAGAAGTAGGAAATTTGGACACAGACCCACAGGGAAGACCCCCTTGTGACAATGGGGATAGCGATTGAAGTTCCATTTTAATGTACGTGCTGCCGAAGCGAGCACAAGGTAGAGATTGAAGTGAAGCTGCTACAAGCCCAGGAATGCCTATGGTTACCAGAAGCCAGGAAAGGAAAGGATGGGATCTTCCCCAGAGGCTCGGGGTACAGCTCTGTGAACCCCTTGATTTTGGACTTCTTCCCTCAAGAATTGTGAGAGAATAAATTTCTCTTGTTTCAAGCCACCTCGTTTGTGCTGTTTTGTTAATCATCCTTAGGAAATCAATATGCCCCTTATCCTTCTTGAATGAGCTCTGTACCTTATAATGAGATTATTGCAGTCTAAAAATCTAGAACTAGTTGCAGGAACATCACAGACAAGGGAAAGTTTGAACCACACCATGGATGAGTGACAAGCTTGGAAAAGAAGGGCACTTCACCTCTGTGGTATTCTTTGCAAAAACTCATGACCTGAGTCTAATCATGAAAAAAGAAAAAAATCAGACAAACTCAAATGGAGGCTAATACGGTTTGGCTCTGTGTTCCAAATCTCATCTTGTGGCTCCCATAATTCCCACGTGTTGTGGGAGGGACCTGGTGGGAGATGATTGAATCATGGGGACAGGTTTTTCCCGTGCTGTTCTCGTGATAGTGAATTAGTCTTATGAGATCTGATGGTTTTTAAAAATGGGAATTTCCCTGCACAAGCTCTTTTTGCCTGCTGCCATCCACATCAGATGTGACTTGCTCCTCCTTGCCTTCCACCATATTTGTGAGGCCTCCACAGCCACATGGAACTGTAAGTCCAATAAACCTCTTTCTTTTGTAAATTGCCCAGTCTCAGGTATGTCTTTATCAGCAGCATGAAAATGGACTAATACAGAGATATATCCTGCAAAATCCGTCCCCAGTACTCCTGAAAACTGCCAAGCTCTGTAGAGTTGGAGTTAGAATACCTTTTGTTGTTGAAGATGTGAAGGAAGTATGCATGTGAATTGACTGCTGAATTCACTTTTGTGCCATTTTTGTAAATACAATAGTTTTGTACAACCTTAGAAAAATAAGGAAAGGCTGAAGAAGCTACACATTTGGTTTGTGTGGTTTCTAATGTAGTTTTATTTTACATTAAAAGATTTAGACAATGGGTCCTCATGGCAGTTGCTGGTGACTTACCTTGTAGTTGTAAAGCTGGGTTCTTGTTTTCTTTTTCTTTTAAATGAAATTATTATTATTATTATTATTATTATTATTATTATTATTATTATTTTGAGACAGCCTCTTGTTCTGTTACCCGGGCTGGAGTGCAGTGGTAAGTCGTAGCTCACTGCAGCCTTTAACTCCTAGATTCAAGGGATCATCCCATCTCAGCCTGCCAAGTAGCTGGGACCACAGGCAGGTGCCTTCACGCCCGGCTAATTTTTAAATTGTTGGTAGAGATGAGGTTTCTGTATGTTGCCCAGGCTGGTCTCTAACTCCTGTGCTCAATCGATCCTCCTGCCTCAGCCTCCCAAATTGCTGGGATGATAGGTGTGAGCCACTGCACCTGGCTGAGGCCTTGTTTTCTTGCTGGCTGTCAGCTGGGGACCTCTATCAGCTTCTAGAGGCCACCTGCATTCTTTGACATGGCCCTGTCACAACATGGTAGCTTACTTCCTCCTAGCCAGCAAGGGAGTCCCTAAGTCTCCTAAGGGGAAATCTTATTTGGAAACATGATCAAGAGAGTGACATTCGGCACCTTTGCCATATTCTGTTGATTAGAAGCAGGTCACAAATTCCATCCTCTCTCAGGCGGGGAGGCTTGTACAAGGGAGTCACCTTAGCTGTGTGCAATCAGGAATACAGCCCAGGGGCCGTGCCTGACAGTTAAGAGGACTCAGTGTGATCAAGCTGATCAATATGAAGTGGGTTAGGCAGCTGCCAGTGCTAAATTCTGGTTGGGAGTTTTCCAAGAACCAGCCCCACCCGTGCGTATCTCTCTGGGTAAACCTCCTGAGACTTGGGAGTCACCTTAGCTGTGAGAACCGTTTTTGGAACTTACCAGCAAAAATGACAGCCCAGGGTATTCCAGGCAGCTGCTTCTCCAGCTCCAGGCAGATGATTCTGGCCCTGCCTTGCAACAGAAATGGAATCGTTTCGAGGGGATGGTCTCCTTGCTCTGGATCCAGCAGCAGCAGATGCTCCAGCCGAAGACGTGTGTCCACTCTGAGCAAGGCTGAGAGAATCAAATTAATTTCTTTTATGACCCGAGGCAAGCTTGAAATTGGCTCTTCCAAGATGAAAAAGGAGAGGCAGGAGTGGCTTGCCTGGCTCCCTACTCTCCTTCTCCTCCTGCCTCCACCTCCTTCCCAGCAGGGCTCCAGCAATTTAATCGGGGTGGGATTCCTTCCACCAAGCAAGGCAGTCTGTCACGCGCCGCTGCAGTAGGGGCCATGCCAGAGACAGCTTTTCGAAGCAGCATCTGTGGGCAGACATTTGGGCAACCCCACTAGGCTGGCAAGCCCTGGTCGATTTTTAGTGACCTCTTAGAAGTAGATGGGAGGGACTGTCAGCCATGCCGGAAGTGGGAGAGAGCAGAAGGGGTCAAAGACAAGCCTCGGCTGGGAAGAGCATCTTTGTGGTCCTGTAATTGATGATTGGGGTGGGGAGCATTGAAACGTTTCCCTTGAATCACAGCCTTCAGTGAGAATGGCTTTGCCTTCTGTTTGGACGGTGTGTTGAGAGTAGGGTAACCATATGTCCTCATTTGCTGCAACAGTCCCTGTTACGACTGCTTTCCTGGTTTTGCCTGTCTCGAAAGCATTCTGGTTTGGGCAATAACTTATAAGGTCATCCTAATTCTGGGTTTCACAGTCTCAGCACTGTGGACATTTTGGGCTAGATAATCCTTTGGGTGAGGGTTGTCCTGTGCACTGTAAGGTGTGTAGCAGCATCCCTAGGCTCTGCCCACTAGATGCCAGTAGCACAACCCCCTGCCCCATTGTCATTGCCAAATGTCCCCTGAGGGGAGGAGGAGGAATCACCCCTGGTTGAGAACCATGGCCCTTTTTTAAGGGCACTGTTGAATCCTTCCTTCTGATACCATCTGGGGGTAACTTGAGTACTTGGTTCATGTTCTGGAAGGAAAAACTCCACATAGTGCTTCTGGGTTCATTTAGCCTATGTAAGCTTCGTTTTTCTGTTTCTTAGACCAGTATCTCACTTTTTTGGGGGAGAGGTGGGACCTCTCCTCCATTCTCAGCCCATGTGTTTTGGGTGACTCGAGAGACTGGGTTTGGCAGATGGGAGAATGCCATTCTCCTGGCTGTTGTGATTGATTCAGAAACCTGCCTTTAAGGTGGTTCAAAGAGCATCAGTGGCAGGACTTCTGTTAGGTGGATAGGGAAAGAGGGGTTCTCTTTTTGCTGGGGTTGCAAACCTGGTAGGGTGGAAACCGGGAGCTGCTGGTGGTCATCTCATCACCCTGGGGGAGAGCCTGCCTGAGAAGGAAATCACAGGAGAGCCGAGCTGAGAGAGGAGAAGGAAAGCCGATCACACTGCCTAACAGCCTGTATCCCCTCCAACCTGATGACAGATCTCACCTAGAGTGAATTTCTCAGTGAAGCCAGTTTGACTTGAGTTTCTGTCAACTTGCAACTCAAAAAGGCCATGTGTTGCCATGAGGTATTTCTCTGTTCCCTTTCCTAATCTAGAGATTAGGTAACTTTAATTCTGCTAATGCTGAGTTTTGTCTCATCAAATGGAAACATCACAGAAGTCTCTGATCTTGCCCCATCAACCCTTCCCATTACCTCTAGGGCTCAGCCAATGCTGCTGGTATCTTTTGCTTCATTTTTTCTTTTCTTTTCTTTTGTTTCTTTCTTTCTTTTTTTTTTTTCTGAGGCAGGGACTTGCTCTGTCACCCAGGCTGAAGTGCAGTGGTGTGATCACGGCTTACTGCAGCCTCAACCTCCTGGGCTCAAGTGATCCTCCCACCTCAGCCTCCTGAGCATAGGTGCACACCACCATGCCTGGCTAGTTTTTTAAATTTTGTTTGTAGAGAGGGGAGTCTTACTCAATCATTCAGGCTGGTCTCAAACTCCTGGGCTCCAGCAATCCTCCCACCTTGATCTCCCGAAGTGTTAGGATTACAGGTGTGAGCCACTGCATCTGGCTGCCTCATTTTTCTTAATCTTTCAAGACTCTGTAGAAATAATACCTACTCCTTTTCATTCCTCCTTATCTCCTGTCTTCCTTTCCAACACTATAGCCCTCTTTTCATTATTACCCACATTTACAAAAGGTCTTTGTAACTTAATGGCATACCCAGACAGAAATAATGTTCTCTGGGTTAATTATCTAGTTTGCCACAATCTCCTGTACCAGATTCTACCCAGCCTGCTCTGATTATAAAGGGGACTATTGAGAAATAGCTGCAAAAATGCACAAAACCATAAGAATTCCCATTCCAAGACCCAGAGCAGATGGCTTTTGGATTATTCCCTTCTCTTTTTCTATCATATGTTTACATAACTGAGTTCATCATCTATATGAAGTCTTACATACATATATTTTTATAAAGATATAAAATTATACAATCACCCCAATTAAAAGGCATGAACATTATTTTAATAATTGGAAGAAGATTTCATTGTACGAACATAGTGTAATTTCAAAAACATTTTTCTGTTGGTTGACACTTCATTTTTTACCATTTGCAATAATGTGATGGCTTCCTTGGGCATACATCTTTGTCCTCAACTGGATGTACTCCCCTAAAATAAATTTCTAGGAGTGGACCTTCTGGGTCAAAATGGGTGAGTATTTGTAAGGCTCTTGATACATATTGCCAAATGACCTTCCAGAAAAATTGTGCCTGTTTACATGCCTACCAGTGGCATGGAAGGGTCAGATGTCAGAATCATGATTGCAATTATTGATAAAGATCCAGCTAGTTCCAGTTTTGCCAACAATATTAACGCCACCAGCACATCCACCAATAATAATAATAACACTAATGGTATGATAAATAAAATAGGTGATATGGTTTGGCTGTGTGTCTCCACCCAAATCTCATCTTGAATTATAATCACCAGGTGTTGCGTCGAGGGAGGGAGCTGTAAGCCCCACGTGTCGAAGGAGGGATGTGATTGGCTCATGGGGGCGGCTTCTCCCATGCTGGTCTCATGATAGTGAGTGAGTTCTCATGAGATCTGATGGTTTTAAACGTGGCAGTTTTTTCCCGTGCTCTCACTTCTCCCTCCTATCGCCTTGTGAAGATGTCTGCTTCTCCTTCTGTCATGATTGTAAGTTTCCTGAGGCCTCCCCAGCCATGCAGACCTGTTGTGAGTCAATTAAACCCCTTTTCTTTATCAATTACCCATTCTTGGCCAGTTGTTTATAGCAGTGTGAGGATGGACTAATACAATAGACTTATTGGGAGCTTGTAATATTCTAGCTATGTTACTAAAAATTTCACACATTATTTCATTTAGTCCATCCAGTAACCTAGAGATTAGGTATTATTATAATTCCCCCATTTACAAAATAGGATAATAAGGTACAAAGACGTTAAGCATCTTGCCTAATGACCACAGCCAGTAAATGGTGGATCTTAGATTTGATGCCAGGCATCTGACTTCTTCAAGCATTGTTTACTGTTTTTAGTATGACAGAGATGACTAGTTGGATGTAATTCCACCTGAATGGCTAGCTTTACTGTGTACGGCTCACCAAAGATCTACCTTGAGGAAAAACATTGCTATACATTGCAAATAATAGCCAGGGCTCTGGTATTAATGTTTCCCAGTCTCTCCCTCCTAAAGACATTGTCACCCTCCCAGCCAGGTGTGTGGTAGAAGGAAACGACTCTCTCCTGATGCTATGAATTCCAAAGAATTCCCATTAACCATATTTCTAAGCCAGTTTGCTTTCTTTCAATGTGCACTTTCTGCAAAATGCCATCTGCACTTGTTTCCTGGGGAAACCATCTCTCTGAGGTGGGTAAGTTCTCATTGTGAAGATGGGGACTTCCCTAATGTTTGGCATTCCCTTTTTGGGGGCACGTACAGTGATTTCTGAACTGACTTGAAAGGCCATTAACTTGGTTTTTACTGCCTTTTCTGGCTTGCAAATTTAATGCCTGGCTCCCAACATGTGTGAATGGACAAACAGCATCAGCATCATCTGGGAACTTGCTAGAAATAAAAATTCTCAGGCTTTACCCTAGACTTACAGAACCGGCAACTCTGAGGGTAGGTTCCAGAAGTCTGTGAGTTTACAAATCTTCCAGGTGATTCTGATCCGTGCTAAACTTGGATCTACTGCTCTAAACCTTAGTTTCTTCCTTTATAAAATAATAGTAGTAGTAGCTGTAGCAGTAATAATAATATTGGCTTCATGGTTATAGGGGGAATTCCATGAGTAATTTGAGTCCTTGGCACTGTGCTTGGCATACAGTAGGTGCTTAATAAGTGGTAGTTGGCATCACTATCTCTGAACTGTGAAGGTCGCTGTGCTTAACCTATGTAGTATTTATCAGCCCCGCATCCCACTCCGTTCAGGGATGGCCCTTCTCCTGCCTGTGGGTCTGGTGGGACCACTCTGCAGAATTTCTTATGCCCAGATCTTCTATCATGGTGTGACAAAAGCATGGCCCATCACATGCTTGCCTTCTGGGAATTTGCATCTTAAGGAGAGATCATCAAGGATGTAGAGTGATTAGAGTCCAGTCATTCCACGACCCTGCAGCCTAGTGCTTCTCAACCTTTAATCTGCTTAACGCTAACTGGAGGATCTTGTTCGCGGGCAGATTCTGACTCGAAAGGTCTGGGGTGGTTCTGAGAGAGAGTCTGCATTTCTGACGAGCTCTACTGGAGATGGTGATGCCAGTACTGCTGGTTTCTGGACTCACGGTGCAGTTGCATCCCGAGAGTAGTGAATCTCATTTTTCAACCTCATCTTAGAATCACCTAGGGGAGGTGTGAAACAAGACAGACCTGAGCCAGTTAAATCTCAGTTTCTTTCCTTTTTGCCTTGCCTTGCTCTGCCTTGCCCTGCCTTGCCCTGCCAGGGTCTCACTCTGTCATCTAGGCTGGAGTGCAGTGGTACAATCTCGGCTCACTGCAATCTCCACCTCCTGGGCTCAAGCTATCCTTTTGCATCAGTCTCCTGAGTAGCTGGGACTACAGGCATGCGCCACCACATCCAGCTAATTTTTGTATTTTTAGTAGAGACGAGGTTTCGCCATGTTTCCCAGGCTGGTCTTGAACTCCCGGGCTCAAGTGATCTGCCTGCCTTGGCCTCCCACACTGTTGGAATTACAGGCATAAGCCACCGTGCCCGGCTTAAATCTCAATTTCTGAGGGTGAGGGCCCAGCATCAGTGGTTTCTAAAAGTCTCTTTGGTTGACTGTTGGCTGCAGTGAGGGTTGAGATCCACCACCATACAAAGATGGTCCAACTGGAACCCCCTCAAGTCTGGGAACTCTATTCTTTCTCTGATCCTATAAGCTCCCCGCTTTTTAATGTAAAGATTTGGTTCTGTTGGCTGGGCATGGTGGCTCACGCCTGTAATCCCAGCACTTTGGGAGGCCAAGGTGGGCAGATCACGAGGTCAGGAGTTTGAGACCAGCCTGGCCAATATGGTGAAACTCTGTCTCTACTAAAAATACAAAAATTAGCTGGGCATGGTGGCGTGTGCCTGTACTCCCAGCTACTCAGGAGGCTGAGGGAGAAGAATCGCTTGAACCCAAGAGGCAGAGCTTGCAGTGAGCCGAGATCATGCACTACTCTCCAGCCTGGGCGACAGAGTGAGACTTTGTCTCAAAAAAAAAAAAAAAAAAAAAAAAAAAGATTTGGTTCTGTTGCTTGCAAACTAAGAACCTTAACTGATAGAGCCTCAGAAATGAGAAGAGAGTCAAGGTGAGTGTTCATTGCCTCTGGGCTCTCCAGCTGCAGATCCTCTTGCTTCTCTGTGCTTCTCTTTGGGATGACACCACAGAGACATTAAACCTTTTGGAGGGCCCGTACAGTAATTTCTGAACCAACTTGAAAAGCCATAAACTTGGTTTTTCCTGCCTTTTCTGGCTTGCAAATTTAATGCCTGGCTCCCAACATGTGTGAATGGACAAATAAAAGAGGAACTGTCCCTTCCTCTCTTTGCCCCCATCAAGGGCCACCTGAGAGACTGTATCTCTTTAGGATCGCTTAGCTCTTTCCTCAGTCCCAGGTCTGGATTTTGCGGGTGACAGCTTCACCAGTATGTGACAAGCCATGCCAGGTGACCAGAGTGTGAACCAGCCTGCTCACCTGTCAGGTGGTGGTAATGAAAACCGATGGACCTGGTGCGGTGGCTCAACACCTGTAATCCTAACACTTTGGGAGTCTGAGGTGGGAGGATCACGAGGTCAGGAGTTCAAGACCAGCCTGGCCAATGTGGTGAGGGCCTGAAGTAGTGGGAACAGAGCGTGACTGAGGCAGAGTCAGCCTTAAAAGATCAGTCGCTAAAAAGGACTTCAACTGCCTGCCTTTGGGGAGAGGGATTTGATGGGAGAAGGGCTGGGGTAAGACAGCTTTGTTTTCCATTTCAAGTCATTTGTATCATTTGCTTGTACTGCTTTGATAAAGAGAAATCTGAAATTCTAGAAAAAATTAGAAGTGAAAAAAAATTCCTTTATAGCCATGAGCAGAACCGTTAACAATAGCAGCCGGGTATGGTGGCTCACGCCTGTAATCTCAGCACTTTGGGAGGCCGAGGTGGGTGGATCACCTGAGGTCAGGAGTTCAAGGCCAGCCTGGCCAACATGGCAAAACCCCGTCTCTACTAAAAATACAAAAATTGCCAGGCGTGGTGGTGGGTGCCTGTAATGCCAGCTACTCAGGAGACTGAGTATGGAGAAACACTTGAATCCAGGAGGCGGAGGTTGCAGTGAGCCGAGAGTGCTCCATTGTACTCCAGCCTGGGTGACAGGAGTGAAACTCTATCTCTAAACAAACAAACAAAAAGCAATAGCAATAGCAATAGCAATGATACTAACTTATATTGATGTGCTAGATTTTATCCATGTCACCTCATTCACCTTTAGTTCTCACTACAACCTTGGGTGACAAACTTGTGTTTGCTTTAGCACTTTACTGGATTTGACACTGAGCGTTCCCTATACCTGGAACCACTTCGGTCCTAGATAAACCAAAGAGGATGGCTGGTCACCCTACTACAGCCCCAGAGGCAGCTGCTATTAACCAATGCATGCTGCAGGGGAGGAAACTGAGACCCTGAGAACTTCTGTAACTCGCATCATGGTCACACAGCTAGTTAGTGGTAGAAACAAGTTACATACCGACTCGGTGGTGGACACAATTAAGGGTCCCACAGTCAGTCAGTTGTAGAAACAGTTAAGAGTCACACAGCTAGTCAGTGGTTGACATAGTTAAGGGTTGTGCAGCTAGTCAGTGGTAGATACTGTTAGTTAAGGGTCACATAGGTAGTCAGTGGTGGACACAGTTAAGGGTCACACAGTTAGTGATAGATTTAAGGGTTACACAGCTAGTTAGTGGTAGATACAGTTAGTTAAGGGTTACACAGCTAGTTAGTGGTAGACACAGTTAAGGGCCACACAGCTAGTCAATGGTAGACAGTTAAAAGACACACGGATAGTTTAAGACACATGGATAGTTTAGTGGTAGATACAGTTAGTTAAGGGCCACACATCTAGTCAGAGGCAGGTATATTTAGTTAAAGGTCACAAAGCTAGTCAGTGGTAGGTACAGCTAGTTAAGGGTCACAAAGCTAGTCAGTGGTAGGTACAGTTAGTTAGGGGTTACACAGCTAGTCAGTGGCAGACAGTTAAGGGTCACAAGACTAGTCAATGGTAGACACAATTAAAAGACACATGGATAGTTTAGTGGTTGATACAGTTAGTGAAGGGTCACACGGCTAGTCAGTGGTAGGTACAGTTAGTTAAGGGTCACACGGCTAGTCAGTGGTAGGTGTAGTTAGTTAAGGGTCACACGGCTAGTCAGTGGTAGGTATAGTTAGTTAAGGGTCACACGGCTAGTCAGTGGTAGGTACAGTTAGTTAAGGGTCACACAGCTAGTCAGTGGTAGGTACAGTTGGTGAGCCATCTCATCACTCGTTTAGTAGTAGAGCTTGGATTGGAACCAGGAAGGGCTGTGTCTGTTACATTACATCACGTCACATGGAGTCTCAGAGCTGAAAGGACTTTAGGGTCGCCGTGTCTAATCCCCTTGTTTGTAGATGGGGAAACTTGCCTGAGTGGCGGAACGCCCTACCCAAGGTCGCATGGTGAGTTTTGGGCTTCTAAGAGACCACTGGAGGAAGTCAGGGAGACATGCCCTGGCAGGGACCCGTCCGGAGGCCTGCCAATTGGCTTTGAGAGGAGCGCGTCTTGCATCTCCCAGGAAGGATTGGCAGAGGGAGGGCGGGCGTCTCGGGCCGGGGGCTGGTGCCCGGGGCTGGGGCTGAGGGGAGGGGGAGGCTGCTTCTCTTTGTAATTTACATACACAGCAGCAACAGCCTGGGGGAAAACAACCCAAACAAACTCTCAAAGGATGTTTTGGACTTAATCCCGGGATCGGAAGCAGCTCGGTAAGATAAATAAGATAAAGTTGGTGTGCCTCTTAAGGTTGAACGATCATATCACTATTGCATTTGAAATATTCATGAGGGGAAGGGAGGTATGAGAAACAGCTACAGAAACATATTCTGCTTTGAAAAGGCAGAATTCAAAGGCATGAAAAATGAATCAGGGGAAATTAATGTCGAGGTTGGGAGGGGGGTGGGCTGGTGGGGGGACAATTATTGCCCAGAAGGAATAAGGAAAGAGATGTGGAGGAGATGTTTCAGACTGGGCCGTGATCAGAATTCTGTATCCTGCCTGGAATATTTGAAATGTCAATTGTCTCATATATCATTTGAAGTCAATACTTGGTCGCAAAATGGATGATTCTAGCAAGGATTAAAAAGCAGGGTGGGCTGGGGGATATGGGATGGGGAGGGTGGAGTGGGGTGGGGCAGGGAGATGGAAAAAGATGGGTAAAGTGAACTAAGTCCTATAAATTGTGGACGAATTACTGATCACTCAAAGAGGGCTCTGGAGGAGTAAGATGCAAAGAAACGGGAATTTCTTGTGATTTCTTGCAAGTCTCTCAGTCTTGGTTTCTCCCTTTATAAAGCCAGGAGGTTGGGCTGGATGTTCTCCTAGATTGTCCCACTTTGCATTGTGGAGGGGGTGGGGCTCTGATTTGGAGATGTGCTTGGAAATTGAGGGTTCCTTAAGGCAAGATGGTCAAGGGTATTGACGAACGGTAGCAATACAGACATGATGCTTGTGGTTAATGGTGGCTCTCAGCAGAGCCCTGCAAGTCTACACCGTGTTAGGGGGGCCAGTGGGGTTTGGCCCCCTTTAAAAGCAAGCCCTGGGACTGTGGACTGGCGCGGTCATTCTAGAGAGATCTGATACTAAAGCAAATGAAGGCTGCATATTCTCTGTGGTCCCAGACCAGCAGCATCAGCATCACCTGGGAGCTTGTTAGAAATGGAAATTCTCGAGTCTCCTTCCAGACTTCTTGAGTCAAAATCTGCCTTTTAACAAGATCCCTGGGTGAGTCCTGTGCATATTAAAGACTGAGCAGCAGCAATTCCCCTCCTGGATTTATACCCCAGAGAAAGTTTCACCCAAGCATGTTCAAGGAGGTGGGTTTGTGGTAGCGGGGTATTGGAAGCCACTGCTGTGCGCATCAGAAGGGGATAGATAAGCAAAGCATGACAGATACTCACTGTGGGATATGACTGCGGTAGTTAGAAAAACAGGTCTGATCTTCACATGCCAGTATGGATGGATCTTTTATTTTATTTATTTATTTATTTATTTTGAGATGGAGTCTCACTCTGTTGCCCAGGCTGGGGTGCAATGGTGCAATCTCGGCTCACTGCAACCTCCGCCTCCTG
The DNA here is from genome assembly GCF_000001405.40 of Homo sapiens. Classification (NCBI taxonomy): domain Eukaryota; kingdom Metazoa; phylum Chordata; class Mammalia; order Primates; family Hominidae; genus Homo; species Homo sapiens. Next base: position 15,265,182 of record NC_000016.10, on the reverse strand, counting down.
GGTTCCAGCAATTCTGCCTCAGCCTCCCGAGTAGCTGGGATTACAGGCGCCCGCCACCATACCTGGCTAATGTTGTATTTTTAGTAGAGACAGGGTTTCACCATACTGGCCAGGCTGGTCTCGAACTCCTGACCACAGGTGATCCGCCCACCGCAGCCTCCCAAAGTGCTGGGATTACATGCGTGAGCCACTGTGCCCGGCCTGGATGGATCTTAAAAACAAAGCACAAGGGGAAAAAAAGTGAGCAATAGAATCAATTTATAGCAAGTGTCTTTGTTTGTGCTGCTATAAAGGAACACCTGAGGCTGGATAATTTACAAAGAAAAAAAGTTTATTTGGCTCATCATTCTGCAAGAATCATGGCATCAATATCTGCTTCTGATGAGGGCTTCAGGAAGCTTCCACTCATGGCAGAAGTGAAGAGGAACTGGTGTGTGTAGATCACATGGTAAGATAGAGAGAGAGAGAGAGGGAGAGAAGAGGGGTATGAGGAAGGAGGATGAGAGAAGGAAGAAGGAGACAGGGAAGAATAGGAGACAGAGGAGGGTTCCAGGTTATTTTTAACTATCAGTTCTCGACTGGATGCCTGTAATCCCAGCACTTTGGGAGGCCGAAGTGGGTGGATCACTTGAGGTCAGGAGTTCGAGACCAGCCTGGCCAACATGTCGAAACCCTCTCTGCACTAAAAATACAAACATTAGCCAGGCATGGTGGCTCTTGCCTGTAACTCCAGCTACTTGGGAGGCTGAGGTGGGAGAATTACTTGAACCCAGGAGGTGGAGGTTGCAATGAGCCGAGATCTTGCCATTGCACTCCAGCCTGGCTGACAGAGCGAGACTGTGTCCCAAAATAAATAAATAAATAAATAAATAAATAGAAAAAAATAAAAACACAAAAATTAGCTGGATGTAGTGGCGGGTGCCTGTAATCCCAGCTACTCGGGAGGCTGAGGCAGGAGAATCTCTTGAATCCGGGAGGCAGAGGTTGCAGTGAGCTGAAATCGTGCCACTGCACTCCAGTCTGGGCAACAGAGCGAGATTACATCTTGAAACACACACACACACGCACACACAATCAGTTCTTGCAGAAACTAAGAGTGGGAAATCACTCACTCTTGAGAGAATGGCACCCAGCCATTCCTGAGGGATCTGCCCCCACGACCAAAACACCTCCCACCAGGCCCCACCTCCAACACTGGGGATCACATTTCAACATGAGACTTGGCAGGGGCCAAAACAAACCATATCTAGACCATAGTATGACACAATTTTTATTGGTTAAAAATGTATTTGTACACAAGACAGTATGCTTAAAGCTACAAGAGGGCAGGGATTTCTGTCTATTTTGTTCACCGCTGTCTTCGTGCCACATTCTGAACACTCAATATTTGATGAGCAAATGCACTTCACAAGAATGCGCACACATTCAAGAGAAGAGGAATACCTCAGCTGAGGGGGTTTTGCACTGCACCGTGGTGCCATGCCAGAAACTGAGGAGTAATTCACTCCACTTTCCGCACCTGGGGTGAAATAGAAGTCCAATCTTGTGTGAGAGGTGAGGGGGAGGGTGGCCGGGCTGGCCTCCGTTTGCAGAGCTTGTTCCATTTCACAGTGGCTTGGCTGCCCTGCCCTTGGTCCCTCCAAGGTCCTGCTTGCTCAGCTCTTGGCTTGCCACCTTCCTGCTCCATCTCTAAGGCTTTATTGGCTGTTCCTGTAGAAACAGACTCTCCAAGTCATGGCTTTTTCTCAGCATTTTGCATGTACCACCTCCCTTATCCTCACAACACTGCCTACAACACTGGTTCTCAACTGGGGACACTTCTATCCCCATAAGGGACATTTGGCAATGTCTGGAGACATTTTTGATTGTCACAACTAGGGCATACTGTGCTACTGTCATCCAGTACGTAGAGGCCATGGATGCTGCTAAACATCCTACAAGGCACAGGGCTGTCCCCAGACTCCCCAGTAAAGGACGATCAGGTCCAAAATGTCAGTGGTGTTGAGGCTGACCTAGGGTAGGGGGCTCTAATATCTCTATTTTATATGTGAGGAAACGGAAGCATGGTGAGGTTGGGTAATCCTGTGTGAGGTCCTGCAGCTGGTAGGCAACGGAGGTGGGGTATAGACCAAGTGAGTCTGGCTCTAGAGTCCTTGCTTTTAACCACCATACATGATTGCTTCTCAGAAGTGGAAAACGCTGAGACAGGCACAGCTTTTTATACCTTCACTCACTTATGTTACGGCGAGGGTGACCAGCTGTCTTGGTTTGCCCAGGCCCGAGCGGATTCCCAGAGTGTGGGACTTGCAGTGCTCAAGCCAGGATGGATAGTCACCCTAGAAACCTCCAGACTCTGTAGACATCTGTGTTTGTGATCTGATTGTTACTTTCAGTCTGTTGAGTTCATATTACTGATGTAAGAGTTAAGAAGAAATTATTTAGGCAGATAGTGAGGGTAAGGAAGTCCTCAGTAAGGTTTTCCTTTTAATGAAAAGCAGTCCCCAAATCATTTTTCTTTTCTAACGGAGAGCATCCTGTAAAATCAAGCTGCAGACATAGGCAAGCAAGCTGGAAGCTTGCACGGGTGAATGCCGGCAGCTCCGCCCATAAGAAAAGGCTAGCTGGGGCTAGGCACGTCCAACACGGCAGCTCCATCTTCCCTTCTCTTTGCCAGCCATGTGTACAGTAAGGAGCAGGCAACAAGGAGCCAGCCAGGCAAAGACCCCATTTGCATAATAACACTAGGGTGGGGCGGCCAACTTCCCCATGCGCTATGTAAATGTCACACCTGGTGCAACCAATCTTTGGGCCCTAGTAAATCAGGCACCGCCTCCCCAACCGTGTAAAATCTGGTGCACTCTGACTTGGGCCAGAAGTCCCACTGGGTGCCCCCCTCTCGGAAGAGAGACAGCGTTCTCCTTTCTCATTCTTTTGCCTATTAAACCTCTGCTTTTAAACTCACTCTTTGTGTGTGTCTGTGTCCTTAATGTTTTTGGTATGAGGCAACGAATCTCGGGTATTACCCCCGAGAGAATGACGCTGCTTCACTCTGTGCTAATCACAATCGACACAAGGGCCGAATCCCAGTCTCAAGTTCACCTACGATGACTTTATCATCCACATGGCTCAAAGCTGTGGTCAAGTTTCCTCCTGTTTTGAAAATATGTGCTATGCTCCAGTTAAGTCAGCACAGCTCTAGGTAGATCAAAATTCATCTTTGGAGGATTTCTGAAATTCACTTGAGGAGTAGATCAGTTGGGGATGGTGTGATGGAGGAAAAAGAAAATCCCAAGGTTTGATGGCAAGGTTAGAGTGACCTTCTGACCTTGAGCAAATGGCTTAAGCTGTCTGGGCCTTGATGTCCTCGTTTATAAAATGAGTCCGTAATAAAAGCCACAATGATGAGCATCAGGCACTGTGCTGAGTGTTTGCCATCTAAGGGGTTATCTGGTTATCTCATTTAATCATCACAACCACGGGAGGGGAAGCTCCTGGGGTTAAGTGTCTCGCCCAAGGTTGCAGCTGGTGGGGAATAGTCTGGTTGCAAACCCAGAGACCACACTTTTAACTGCTATGGAATGTTGTCTCCCGTGGCTGTTTCTGAGGAGATAGAAAAACATGCCAATTAGGGCCAAAAAAACGGGAGGTGGCCTCAAGGGCAGTGCATTACATTAAGAGTGTTTGCAAAGGTGTGGGTGTTTCTCCACCCCCGAGTCGCTGCTGACTTCCCGACACCTACACGCAGGGTCACCCTGCAGCTTCTGAGCACCTGGCCGGCTCCCCCCAGCAATGTGTGTTTGATGTTATCAGTGGGTTTGAGGCACGGCTGAGGCCCCAGGAATCTTTCTCTTTCATGGAGAAGCCAAGCTCACATCTCCCAGTGGCAGCTGGTGCTGGCGTCTGGCTGGAGTTGCAGGGACTATGTGTCAGCTCTAGCAGTTCCTGCGACTGTATTCACCTACTGAAGGTCCTTGATCTATTGCTGGGGTTTGCCAAGGGTCTCAGGGGTCTGCTGCGGAGCAGAGAGACTGATTATTATTTTTTAAATCTCCAGTTGACCCCCTTGTTCTCACGTTAATCACTTTGAGAATAAAAATGGCTACCAATAATTGAGCACTTACTACGTGCCAGGCACAGGCACATCCTATGCCTCCCTCCCTCCTCCTCCGGGGCTGCTGGCTCTCCTTATCCTTTTTATTTTTGCTTTTTTCTCCACAGCTAGTAACTGTGTTCTAAACACCAATAAGAGGGCCTGGCAAATGTGGTTACTCAATAACATTTATTGAATGAATGGGTGTGAGCGAGTGTGTGTTAGGCTCCCTGCTAAGCCCATTACGTGTATTATTTTACTCAACTCTCACAGTAATCCTATGAGATAAGCTTCATCTTTATCTCCATGTTACAAAGGAGAAAATGTGCTCAGAGATGTCAAGTAATTTCCCCCAAAATGCACAGCTTGTGTCAACGCAAGAATGCAAATTTAGCAGTCTCCAAATTCTACCCCATTTACTATCTCCCAAATAGATATGTATAAATATCCCACATATGGAGATACATTTTAAGGATTTATACGTATCTATTTCCATGTAACACGGCCACACATATGTATCCTATATAATATGCACATGTATAGTATGTGCACATATTCACGTGTAAATGTATCAGTTACCTGTAGCTGTGTAACAAGTAACACCACCCTCATGGTTATAAAAATAAACACTTATTTTTTGCTCATAGGTCTGTGGTTTAGCTGGAGAGATTCTGCTTTAGGCTGTGGGTTGAGTTCAAGTCTGATTCTTACATTTATTTCTGAGGTCCAGATTGGAGAAGCAGTGGTACCTGGTGAAGGTTGGCAGCTTCCAGAGAGGAGTGAGCAGAAATACTCAATGCCTTTTAAGGCCTAAGCTGGGAACTGGTGCACCGTCAGCTCTGCTCATGTTCCATTGGCCAAAACAAACCCATCACTAACAGGGCAGAGGATTCTGTTCTTCCCATGGTGAAGGGAATGAGAGGGAAGTAAATATTTGTTAAACAGGAAAACATACCACTATCATATTTTAATTATATATGGATGTATTTGTATTTTATCTTTTTTTTTGAGATGGAGTTTCGCACTTGTCACCCAGGCTGGAGTGCAATGGCACGTTCACGGCTCACTGCAACCTCTACCTCCTGGGTTCAAGCAATTCTCCTGCCTCAGCCTCCCGAGTAGCTGGGATTACAGGCACCTGCCACCATACCCAGCTTTTTTTTTTTTTTTTTTTTTTTTTTGTATTTTTTTTTTTACTAGAGATGAGGTTTCACCATGTTGGCCAGGCTGGTCTTGAACTCCTGACCTCAGGTGATCCACCTGCCTCTGCCTCCCAAAGTGCTGGGATTACAGGCATAAGCCTCGGCGCCCAGCCTATATTTATCTTTTTCACCCATGACCCCAGCTTCAGTGAGGAGTTCTGTTACTTTGTACTTTTACTGGGCATTCGTTTCCTTGTTTGGAAAATAGTGACTATAATTAATAAAAGTGTTTGTATTCTTGCAAATTGCTAAGAGAGTAAATTTGAAGCATCCCCACCACTTGTTAATTAGCTTGATTTCACCAGTCCGCAATGTATACATATTTCAAAACATCAGGTTGTACACAATAATTATAGACAATTTTTGTTTGTCAATTCAAAAAGTAATAAGTAAAGGAAAAGAAAAATGTAAGATACTTTAAAAAATGACTGGCTCGTGTTGAGAAGTAACTTTTACTATTTATTTGTTTTTTGTTTGTTGGTTGGTTGGTTTTTGTTTTTTTTTTTTGAGACGGAGTTTCGCTCTTGTTGCCCAGGCTGGAGTGCAGTGGCACGATCTTGGCTTACTGCAATTTCTGTCTCCCGGGGTTCAAGCAATTCTCCTGTCTCAGCCTCCTGAGTAGCTGGCATTACAGATGCCCACCACCATACCTGGCTAATTTTTTGTATTTTTAGTAGAGACAGGGTTTTGCCACTTTGGCCAGACTGGTCTCAGACTCCTGGCCTCAGGTGATCCACCTGCCTTGGCCTCCCAAAGTGCTGGGATTACAGGCATGAGCCACCGTGCCCAGCCTAACTTGTACTATTTATTTGAGTTAAGCCAACACACACTTGAGTTCCCCACATGTCATAGAGTGATGTGGACAAGCCCTTGAAATCTGGCTTTCCTGATTACCTGGTTGACCTTGTAGATGCCTCTCTGAGCCTCAGATATGTTCTCTGTGAAATGGGCATGAAACCAGTACCCACTTTGTAGAGCACTGTGAGGATTAAGTGAGAGGATACGTGCAAAAGTTTACCACAGTGCCTGGCTCCAGAAGCCACTCAATATATATTTGCTGTTGTTATTAATATTGATACTATTCTTACAACAAAAACAGCACAGATGTTCTAATGATCAATTATCCTAGCCTGTCGTCTGCTGGTCCCCAGCCCATGTTTCTCGGACCCTGTCTGTGTGTGATTTATGATCCGACTCTCTCTACACTTTGTGTTGGGGTTTGATTTTTCCTGCTTTGGCTCAAGACCCCCTTCCTACAGAAATGTTTGGACCCATCTTACAGACTTGTGCCTCCTTGGCTGTCCTGCCTGGTCAGCCCCTTGGAACACAGGGTTGGCCCTAAGTTGGTCCTCCCATCCCAGCAAAATGGTTCACTGGGGCATTGCAGGTTGATTGTGGAATTTCAACAATAGCATGGGTGGTGGGAAAACCTTCGGACATCCACAGACAGCAGCCTGGATGTATAAGAGATGGGGGTGGTGTTCTTTCCATCTGGAGTCCTCCGGGAGCTGTCAAGCCTGGAATCTTTGCAATTTAGGCAGTCTGTTTGTAATGGTCTCAAGAAAACCCATTCTGCCTACAAACGCGGTGACCTTTAATTTTTTTTTCTCAGATTTTTCCAAGATGCACATTGACTCTTCCTGTCAACGTGGAAGGCTCTAATGCCGCCTGGGGCATTTAGATTGCATTTGCCAATCGCTGACTGCTGTAGCCAATTTGTTCCTGATCTCAAGGTCGATTTTGAATAACTTTAGCTGGGCTAAGTCTCTTGCATTGAATAACTGGGAAACAACCTATTAAGGTAGCAGGCGGGCGGGGGCAGGAGGGGGCAGGGGGCTGTTTCTATTTTGTAGAAGTTCTTTGATTTTGGATAAATGAGAAGGCTTCTAGCTCTGCCAGTCATGGACTATGTGGCCTTGAACAAGGGAGGGAAAGAAAGAAACACATGCCAAGTACCTAGCATATGCTAGACACAGTGCTGGGCACTTCACACATGCCAGCTGCTTAATCTACTCTGCGAGGTGAACATCGTGATCTCCATGTTACAGATAAAGAAACGGAGTCTCGGCAACTTGCAGGGTTGAGCTTGGATCTGTCTAAAGCCCCGCCCCTCCCCCTTTTTTTGTTTGTTTGAGACGGAGTCTTGCTATGTTGCCCAGGCTGGTGTGCAACAGTGCAATGATCTTGGCTCACTGCAACCTCCGCCTGCCAGGTTCAAGCAATTCTCCTGCCTCAGCCTCCCGAGCAGCTTGGGATTACAGGCACGTGCCACCATGCCCAGCTAATTTTTTATATTTTTTGTATAGACGAGGTTTCACCATGCTGGCCAGGTTGGTCTCCAACTCCTGACCTCGTGAGCCGCCCGCCTCGGCCTCCCAAAGTGCTGGGATTACAGGCGTGAGCCACCGCGCCCGGCCGATGATGCTCTTTTTAAACTACCCTTATGAGTGTATTTCAGCAACCTCCCCCGACCCGAATTACAGTACCACCGGCTGCGTCCTAATGCTGTGCCCTCTCCTGATATGGTCTGGCTGTATCCCCATCCAAACTCACCTTGAATTGTAATAATCCCCACGTGTCAAGGGCGGGGCCAGGTGGAGATAATTAAAACATGGGGGCAGTTTCCGCATACGGTTCTCATGGTAGTGAGTAAGTCTCACGAGATCTGATGGTTTTATAAATGGGAGTTCCGCTGCGCAAGCTCTCTTGCCTGCCGCTGTGTAGCATGTGACTTCGCTGTTCTCTGGCCTTCCACCATGATTGTGAGACCTCCTCAGCCTTGTGGAACTGTGAGTCCATTCAACCTCTTTCCTTTGTAAATTACTCAGTCTCGGGTAGGTCTTTATTAGCAGCGTGAGAACAAATAAACCTCCTGTCATCTTCTCTCCTTGGATTCACTCCTCTAGTCTGAGATGTCTGGTTCGCCTTGTTTCCCCAGCGGTGGGCTCATGCCGGCAGGGGTTGGCATCAGCAACTGTTCTTTGATCCCATGACTCTGATTTTGAGATGAGCCTGGTGCAGCTTGGTGGTTTCACGTGGGGCCCTTTGGAAGGAGAAAACCTGGTCCGAATCCCTGCAAGTTGTGTGACGGGTTGGGTTCCTTGGAAGCCCGAGAATGAGATTTGGGTAGGTGCGGTTTATTCAAGGTGGGGGTTCTCAGGAGAAGGAAAGTGAGGGAAGGAGGATGATGGGGGAGGGGACAGAGCCAAGCAAGAATGGGCTCTCAGGCTGAGGCTAGCCTTGATCTCACGTGGGTCTCTGGAGTGTATTCTGCCTTGAAGCAGGAGGACTGGACTTTTGTGTGACTCCTCTCGCCTCATATCGCTTAGTCATTGGCCAGTTCAGCATGTGAGAGCATAACTCCCTGGGTGAAATGGCTTTTGCTAGCTAAGGAATTCTCCGGAGAAAGTATTGGTATAAGCCATTAGGCACAGATCAGCAAAGGCTGAATGATGAGTGGTTTACTGGCAATGAGGATCTGGGTGAAGCACCAGGAACAGCTGCGACGTTGTGCAACTGCTCTGCCTCAGTTTTCCTCATCTGTAAAATGGGGATGCTGATAAAACCCATCTCTGAGCGTTGATGCAAGGGTTAGATGAGATACTTGCATTTGTGTTACTGATAATGTGCCTGTCACTGGCCAGGTGCAAAGCAAGGGCTCAACGAAAGCATAAGCTATTATTATTATTATTATTATTGTTATTACTGGCAGTTTTGGATCCATAGCAACAAGCACATATAAACAATGCTCACTTCTTCTCTAGTTTAATTCTTATAACTCTTCTGAGATAAGTTCTACTTCTACCCTGTTTTACAGACATGGAAACTGAGGCACAGTGAGGTGAAGCACTTTGAGCTCACATGATGGGGCTGAGATTCCAATTTAGGGAGTCCAGTCCCAGAGCCCCCAAGTGAGTGCTGGTTTGGGACTGTCTCTTCTGATCATGACAAATCTTTTTTTTGAGATCACTCTCAGTTCCTTGAATGTATCCATCTTCTCTGTTGTTTCTGGGTCTTTGTATATTCTATTCTCTGTGCTGGCAACAGCTTTTCCGCTTTAACCTGATCTGCCCTGGTTCATCCCTTGAGACTGAGCTCTGAGCTCATATTTGGCCTTTTTTTTTTTTTTTTTGAGACAAGGTCTCACCCTGTCACCCAGGCTGGAGTGCAGTGGTGCAATCGTGACTCACTGCAGCCTCAACCTCCCAGGCTCAAGTGATCCTCCCACCTCAGCCTCCCGAGTAGCTGGGACTACAATTGCATGCTACCATGCCCAGCTAACTTGTGTACTTTTTGTAGAGATGAGGTTTCGTCATATTACCCAGGCTGGCCTCGAACTCTCAGGATCAAGTGATCTGCCTGCCTCAACCTCCCAAAGTGCTGGGATTACAGGTATGAGCCACGGCGCTTGGCCCATGTTTGGCCTTTTCCAGGAAGCCCTCCAGGTTGCCTCCTTCCACAGCCCCTTGTCTGTTCCCCAAAGTGTCTGTTAGGATGTATTACACTTGCCTAGTCACTTGTCTGCCTCTCCCATTAGTCTATGGCTCCAAAGAATTGAATATTTTGCCTGTCTCTATCATTGTCACCCCTGCAAGTAGCATTTGTCTGGCACATAGTAGGTACTCAATAAATGTTTATTTTGTGGCTGAATGAGCATTCCAGATTCAGAACTGGAAACATTGGAGGCTTACAAAAGTTCAGAACCGCATACATTGGAGGCTTACAAAAGTTCCTGTTGAGTTGAATTAATTCATTTTGAAATGACATGGACTAAGTTCTTTCTGGGAAGGTTTCCTAACTAAATCCGTGGGCATGGTGGACTGGAGCGTTCCAGAACCAGTGCAAAGAGTCCCCTGTCCATAGGCATGAGATGAAGGCTCAGGGACTTAAAATACACTTCTATTGTGGAAAGTTCTTCAGAGACCCTTCTGGCATTTTATTTAATTGATGCTCGGCTCATTTATTTTATTATTTTATTTTTATTTTTTAATTTTTTTATTTTTTTTTTGAGACGGAGTCTTGCTCTGTCACTCAGGCTGGAGTGCAGTGGCGCAATCTCGGCTCACTGCAACCTCTGCCTCCCAGGTTCAAGCAATTCTCTGCCTCAGCCTCCCGAGTAGCTGGGATTATAGGCAAGTGCCACCATGCCCAGCTAATTTTTGTATTTTTAGTAGAGACGGGGTTTCACCATCTTGGCCAGGCTGGTCTTGAACTCCTGACCTCGTGATCTGCCTGCCTCGACCTCCCAAAGTGCTGGAATTACAGGCGTGAGCCACGGCGCCCAGCCATTTTTATTTTTTTTTTTTTGAGATGGAATGTCACTCTGTCACCTAGGCTGGAGTACAGTGGCGCAATCTCGGCTCACTGCAGCCCCCACCTCCCCGGTTCAAACGATTCTCCTGCCTCAGCCTCCCAAATAGCTGGAACTACAGGCACACACCCACACACCACCACACCTGGCTAATTTTTGTATTTTTGGTAGAGACGGGGTTTCACCATGTTGCCCAGGCTAGTTTTGAACTCCTGACCTCAGGTGATCTGCCCACCTTGGCCTCTCGAAGTGCTGGGATTACAGGCATGAGCCACCACGCCTGGCCCAGTTAATTTATTTTATGTAATGAATGTATTTCTTTTCATTAGGAAAGTATGAGAATCACGTTGCTGAAAATGTGGGAAACCTAGAAAAGTAGAGAAACCCACCCACTATCATTTGGTAGTAAATTTCTTCAGATTTTTCTCCTCCCATATATGTTTTTCTCTTTCTTTATTAAACATACTTATGACCATACTATTAATATAGTTTAGTATCCTGCTACTTTTTTTCCGTTTAGCAAAATGAGATTTTTCCAGGTTTAATTACATAGTTTTAAAAATAACCATCATCATTTTGTTCTTATTTTTTTCCCTTTTGAATTTAAAAAAAAAAATCATAGTAATATGAGCACATCGTACAAAGTTAAAGTACAGAGGAGCTGCTAATGAAAGCAGCGGTTCCTGGCCCCTTCTCTCCTCTCTCCCCTCCTTAAGTCTTATTTCCCGGAGGCAAGTGCTTGAAATGTTGTTTCCATTTTTAGGTCTTCGGTTATTTATCTCTGTAACTCCAAATAAGATGCTTATGTGGCTGTTTCTTGATTTATCAATTTAAGACATTTTCTATTGACTCTGTGCCATAGAAGATGAGGATTCAGCTTATTGACATGGTTCCTCCCCACTTTTTGTCCTTCCCCAGTTTTTATTTGAAAAAAGTCAGACGTGCACATGGCAAATGATGACCGGAGGATGAAGGAGCCCCTCTTACTCTAATGCTTCAGTCTTCCACCCACCCCTCCTCCCAGTTTCTTGTGTATCTGTGGCAGGTCAAAGATGAGTGCAAACTGTTTGATACCCCATGCATTCAGAAATGGGGTCTATTTCCCTTTTCCTGAGCCTGGGCTGGCCTGTGACTGCTTTGACGAATAGATTGCCATAGAAGTGACACCATGATGGTTCTGGTCCTGGCATTTAAGGGATCATGCAGTTTCTGCCTTACACCTCTTGGAACTCTTGGTTTTAAACCCCTGAGCCACTGTGTGAGAAATCTGAGGGCTTTTGCTGGAGGGAAACCTGGAGAGACTCTGAGATGACATGGAAAGGGAGAGAAGTTGCTCTGAGCCCAGCTTCCATCCTGTCCCACTGATATGATTTGGCTGTGTCCCCATCCAAATCTCATCTTGAATTCTCACATGTTGTGAGAGGGACCCGGTGGGAGGTAATTGAATCATGGGGGTGGGTCTTTCTCATGCTATTCTCATGATAGTAAGTCTCATGAGATCTGATGGTTTTATAACAGGGAGTTTCCCTGCACAAGCTCTCTTTTTGCCTGCTGCCATCCATGTAAGACGTGACTTGCTCCTCCTTGCCTTCCACCATGATTGCGAGGCTCCCCAGCCATGTGGAACTCTGAGTCCATTAAACCTCTTTCCTGTAAAAATGACCCAGTCTCAGGTATGTCTTTATTAAGAGCATGAAAATGGACTAATACACCCACCAAGGTGCCTGGCACATCACTAAAACTGCACTAGACCCTTCAGAGCAGCCCCGAAGCCCTCTGAATACTACTGAGTGACCTCAGATGATACTGTGTGAGCAGAAGAACTGCCCAGCTGGGTCCTGCTTGAATTCCTGACCCTCAAAATCATGATCTATAATAAAAACAGTTGTGGCTTTAAGCCATAATGTTTGGGGATTAACTTGAATGGCATCCTTCAGGAGATACCCCATGTGTCATAGGTTTTGGGGATGGAGGTTATCTTAGCCTACCAACAGTGCCTGATACAAATATGTGAATGTTTCATTGGGTCACGCAATCTCAAGAAAGCAGGGATAAGGGAAAGAGAGAAAGAGGAAGAGCAAAACCAAAGAAGTGCATATTGCCTAGTGGAGTTGCAGTTTCCCAGAAACACAAGCATGGGATAACTCTGGAGTCAGTCATCTGCCAGCTCCTGCTGTTTCCTGTCTCTTATTGGTCAAAGCTTGCTCCACTCTGCACTTCTGAGTAATGGCCCTCAGCCCCTCCTAGCAGCTTCTGGGGGATCCAGGACCTCTGGGAGCTGATAGGTGTGATAGAGGCCAGCCCTTAACCCCACCCAGGGTAGGCTGAGTCACTTTTATTTTATTGTAAAATTGATATTTATTTACTTATTATTTTAAGGTAATTTTTTTTGAGACAGGATCGTGCTCTGTTGCCCAGGCTGGAGTACAGTGGCACAGTCATAGCTCACTGCAACCTCAAACTACTGGGCTCATGTGATCCTCCTGCCTCAGCCTCCTGAGTAGCTGGGACTACAGGTATGCACCACCATGCATGGCTAGTTTTTAAAAAGTTTTTTTGGAGGGATGGGGTTTTGCTTTGTTTCCCAGGCTAGTCTCAAACTCTTGACCTCAAGAGATCCTCCTGCTTCAGCCTCTCAAATTGCTGAGATTACAGGCATAAGCCACTATGCCTGGCCTCTATTATTATTATTTTGAGACAGAGTCTCACTCTGTTGCCCAGGCTGGAGTACATCGGTGCAGTCTTGGCTCACTGCAACCTCTGCCTCCTGGGTTCAAACAATTCTTGTGCCTCAGCCTCCGAGTAGCTGGGACTACAGGTGTGTGCCATCATGACTGGCTAATTTTTGTGTTTTTAGTAGAGATGGGGTTTCGCCATGTTGGCCAGGTTGGTCTTGAACTCCTGACCTCAAGTATCCACCTGCCTCGGCCTCCCGAAGTGCTAGGATAACAGGTGTCGGTCACAGCTCCTGGCCACTGGCTTCTATTTTTTTATTTTTTGAGACGGAGTCTAGCTCTTGTTGCCCAGGCTGGGGTTCAGTGGCGCGATCTCGGCTCACTGCAACCTCTCAAGTTCAAGAGATTCTCCAGCCTCAGCCTCCCGAGTAGCTGGGATTACAGGCACGCACCGCCACGCCCAGCTAATTTTTGTATTTTCAGTAGAGACAGGTTTCACCATGTTGGCAGGATGGTCTCGATCTCCTGACCTCATGATCCACCCACCTTGGCCTCCCAAAGTGCTGGGATTACAGGCGTGGGCCATGGCACCTGGCCCAGCCTCTATTTTTAAAGTAACTTTTATGGGATGTCAGACATTGTAAATTTTACCTTGGTGGGTGCTGGATGTTTTTGTGCCTGGCACAGTCCTAGGTGCTGAGGACCTAGCATTGAACAAAAACAAAGATCCCTGCTCTTGCTGAACTTCCATGCTACTGTGGGGAGACAATCAGTGAACAACAAGCATAATTTAGGTTTGCTCTTATTATACTGTTGCACACGTACCTTTTGTATATGTACTCTTAAACGGCCATTGTTTTTAGTGATTTGATTGAACAAATATATTTGATTGAACAGATATATCCTTGCTGAATGAGCCATTTCTCTATTGATGGGTAATTATATTACTTTCTCTAGTAAGAGTCATCAGAAGCTTAGAGGCTTAAGAATCTAAGCTCAACAAACAGAGGTTGGAGAGGTTATTATAAAGTCCATTGTGAGAGCAGCCACTCCTAACCTTGGGACCAAAGATTGGTATTGCGTGACCTGTGAGCCAGAATTACCCTGGATTGGACTGTCCTACCAGGTGGGCCCCTGGCCAGCAAAAGAGATGATGGGGGTTGTTAGAATGTCAGAGAGGGCCTTAGACACCCCTCTTCCATATAGTCTCCAGCTCTTTGACTAAAACCTGTACCCCAGTATATAATCAGTCACCCAGGCCTAGAGTCAAGGTCTTTTATATCATGTAAATTTATTTTTTATTTTTAAAATTTTTTATTTCCATAGGGTTTTGGGGAACAGGTGGTATTTGGTTATGTGAGTAAGTTCTTTAATAGTGATTTGTGAGATTTTGGTGCAGCCATTATCTGAGCAGTACACACTGAACCCAATTTGTAGTCTTTTATCCCTCACCCCCTCCCACCCTTTCCCCCGAGTCCCCAGAGTCCATTGTATCATTCTTATGCCTTTGCATCCTCATAGCTTAGCTCCCACTTGTGAGTGAGAACATACGACGTTTGGTTTTCCATTCCTGAGTTACTTCACCTAGAATAATAATCTCCAGTTCCATCCAGGTTGCTGTGAATGCCATTAATTCATTCCTTATTATGGCTGAGTAGTATAAATATACTGCTGGTATATGGCATATATATACCACAGTTTCTTTATCCACTCGTTGATTGATAGGCATTTGAGCTGGTTTCATATTTTTGCAGTTGTGAATTGTGCTGCTATAAACATGCATGTGCAAGTATCTTTCTCATATAATGATTTCTTTTCCTCAGGGTAGATACCCAGTAGTGGGATTGCCAGATCAAATGGTGGTGCTACTTTTCTTTAAGGAATCTCCACACTGTCTTCCAAGGTGGTTGTACTAGTTTACATTCCCGCCAGCAGTGTAGAAGTGTTCCCTTTTCACCACCTCCATGCCAACATCTATTATGTTTTGATTTTTTGATTCTGGTCATTCTTGCAGGAGTAAGGCGGTATCGCATTGTGGTTTTGATTTGCGTTTCCCTGATCATTAGTGATGTTGAGCATTTTTTCACATGTTTGTTGGCCATTTGTTTATCTTCTTTTGAAAATTGTCTATTCATGTGGATTTATACCTTCCCCGTATTCCCATGCCTTTGTCTTCAATGGGACTATTATTTTTTGTCTAATGGCTTTGAATTAAATCTTCTGTCTTCTATTCCACTGATCTCCAGTCTCCAGCAATAATTATGCTGTTTGCATTGGGGAAGGTGGCAGATGTAGTTGTTGCCTTGCCTATGTCCTCTGGCATAGGAACTCACCATTCCTACTGCAAGCATCTGCAATACTGCCTGGGGCTTTGTCTCACTGCCATAACCTAGGCTCTTGTGGGGCAGGCTGGAAGTGCAGAGAAACCAACACAGGCACATCTCCCCCAGCCAGCTGCTGAGGGCAGTTGCCCTGCCTTCCATACCTTAGGGTGAGGCAGGCGCTATGCTGTCTCCCAGATGTCCCCAGTGGGATTGAACCCCAGTTGCCCATAGTAGCAGCCTGCTTATAAACATGACCTGGATTAGCTCCTTTCCCTTCTCTGTCTCATTTCCCTATTGTCATCCCAGTGTTTCCTGGGCTCACTTTCCAAATCAACCCACTTATCTTCAAGTCCTTCTGTATTAGTCTGTTCTCATGCTGCTAATAAAGACATGCCTGAGACTGGGTCATTTATAAAGGAAAGAGGTTTAATGGACTCACAGTTCTGCATGGCTGGAAAGGCCTCACAATCATGGTGGAAGACAAGAAGGAGCAAAGCCACATCTTACACGGCAGCAGGCAAGAGGCTTGTGCAGGGGAACTCCCATTTATAAAACCATCAGATCTCATGAGACTTACTATCAGGAGAACAGTATGGGGGAAACCACCCCTATGATTCAATTATCTCCACCTGCCCCCGCCCTTGACACATGGAGATTGTTACAATTCAAGGTGAGATCTGGGTAGGGACGCAGCCAAACCGTCTCACCTTCTCTTAGGATTTGTTTCTGGGGAAACCTAACCTATCTAAGATGATGAAAAATACAAAGAACCAGGAAAATCCATAAATAGATTTAACAAGAAAATTTTACCTAGTCTTGATGAGTGGCAAAGCTTGACTGCCCTGAGGAAGTGACTTTGCTGAGCTGAGACCTGAGGATGGGTAGGAGTTAGCTAAGCAAAGCAGCAGTGGAAGAACAGCAGGGGAAGAACATTCCAAGCATAGGGAAGAGCATGTGCGAAGGTCCTGGGGCAGGAATGCTAGTGTGGATGGGGTGCAGAAAGAGAGGCAGAGAATGGTGGTTATCTTTGGAGGATATATGGCCTGAAAGTGAATTTGGGTCCCTGACTTTAAGTCTCTTTCCTCTGCAGTTTAATTATGTCTATACACTTTTTTTTGAACCCCATTATGGTCTGGCTTCATTTAAATGCATCTGAAATGAAATCTCTAATGTTAACAGTGTTGTCAGATGTGAAGGCTTCATTTCTCTTTGGTTCTTTTTCACCGAATGCTATCTGTGAGTTTCTGGGGAGGATATGAGGATTTTGATTGTTTTGATTTTTTTTTTTTTTTGTATGACCACATTATGTTAATTTCCCCATTGTCTTAGAGTATGAGAACATAAAAGCAATAACTCATTTATATGAAGACTGAATGTGCTGAGAGGTTGTCATGGAAACCTCTCATGTTGGCTTGAGTAAATTGAATAACCCCTGTTAAAAGACTGAACACAGATAACTGGCAGGCTTTGTTTCAGGGCAAGAGTTCACAAACTGGGGTCCACAGATGCTCAAACATTCTATCATGAATAGAATTCGGGGATCCCATGATCTTGGACAGTTAAAAATACATCTTATATTCTTTTATCTCTACCTGAAGTTTAGTCTTTCTTTCCATTGTGAATGAATAAAGCAATAAACAAACAAAAAAACAAAAGATTGAACACAGAACTTATTTACCCAATTGCATGGCATTCACAAGAGATGAGAAATTCAACATGATACATGAGATTTTTCCCCCCCGCAGGGGCAGGGAGGAGGATGAAGAGGGTGAATGAATGCTAGGAATGTATTATTTTTATTTAGACAGTGATTTCTATTTTTCTTTCAAAGATTATATTTTTGTTTCCAAATGGGAGAGGTGTTATGGGGCGATAGAGAAAGGATCCAGGGAAAATTGCATGGTAAAATTGCTCCTGGGAAAGACCAGCTTAGGGTATCCATGATTCTCGCTTCTGTAGCCCTGAGCATGTTTCTCCCCTTGGAGCATCCTCTGAAGTCTTGGTCAGAGTCGTTGAAGAGACATGAACCTTTTCAGCATTTTCTGCTTTGCTTTGGCAGGATTGTTTACTGCCTATCAAGCTGACTTACAAAAAATACTAGTTCTGTTGTTTTTCATTTTTAAAAGCAAATTGCTTCACCTCTTCGTAAATAACTCCTTAAAAGAAAAGCCGTGGATGACAGATGAGGAAGCATAGTTGGGAACAGAGCGCGGCGCTCGCTCACGATCATAGTGTCAGGACACAGGAAGCCCTCTGAGCCCCGGGGGTGGGGGCAGCCTCTTTAAAGTGATTATGGAGCAAGAGGAGCTTGAACAGTGGCACTCTGAGCGTTGTCTTGGGCCAGCTTGGAGATCAGGTCCTGGGCTCCAGAAGACATCGAGGCTGGTTCTACCTGGATGTTGCATCCGTAGGTATCAAAGTAGGAGATGCTTTCGAGGGGTGAGTTTTTCATCAGTGGCCTCCACCCCAAAGCACCATAGTCCTACCTCCTTGTTGTATGTCTTTCTTCTCACAGGCTGCTTGTCAGACTTCAGAATTTCATGGGCATGATGGGCAAATAAGCTTGATTAATGCTTCATGCTTGCTATCCACTAAATGTGTTCCCACCATGTGTTGAAACCTAATCCCCAGTGTGATGGATGGTATTAGGGGGTGGGGCCTTTGGGAGGTGATTAGGACATGATGGTGGGGACTCCACAAGTGGGATTCATGCCTATTTATTTATTTATTTGAGACAAGAGTCTCACCCTGTTCCCAGGCTAGAGTGCAGTAGTACCATCTAGGCTCACTGCAACCTCTGCCTCTGGGTTTAAGTGATTCTCCTGCCTCATCCTCTGAGTAGCTGAGACTACTGGATAATTATCTACCACACCTGGATAATTTTTTTTTTTTTTGTATTTTTAGAGAGATGAGGTTCCACCACGTTGGCCAGGCTGTCTTGAACTCCTGATCCAAGTGATCTGCCCATCTTGGCCTCCCAAAGTGCTAGGTTTACAGGCGTGAGCCACTGCGCCTGGCCAATGCCCTTTTAAAAGGGGTCCCAGAGAGCCCCTTTGCCCTTCCATGATGGGAAGACACAGTGAAAAGAGGGCTGTCTATGAACTAGGAAGAAGGCCTTCCCCAGACACTGAATCTGCCTGGGACTTCCCAGATCTTCTGGAGAGAACCGTGAGAAATAAATGTCTGCTGTTTGTAAGCCACACAACCTATGGCATTCTCTTATAGCAGTCTGAATAGACTAAGATAATACCATAAGGATCTACCTTTGGGACTGTGTGCTGTTATAATAAAGGCTCTGATAAGTCCTGCTAGCGCCGTTTAGACCAGGGGTTTCTAAACTTTTTGACCACACAAGTTATTTTTCCCTTTGCAAGCACCTTCCATGGAAATCTTTTGGGAGGCTGAGGCATGAGAATTGCTTGAACCCATGAAGTGAAGGTTGCAGTGAACTGAGATCATGCCACTGCACTCCAGCCTGGGTGATGGAGTAAGACTCTGTGTCAAAAAAAAAAAAAAAAAAACAGAAAAGAAAGAAAAAAGAAAATATTTTCAAAATGATGCCATGGATTAAATCTGATAGTCACAAAGGATCCTTGTCTGGTGTTACCTCCATTTGATGGGTGAGGAAACAGGAGTCCTGAGAAACCAAGTAACTTGCTCAGGGTCATGCTGTTAGGATGTAGCAGAATCAGAACCAAAACCCTAAGTCCCAGACGACTAAAATCCACCACTCCAATGGAGAGGCCCTTACTGCAATGACCTGTTCTGAAGGAGCGAAACAAGGCATTTATTGCAGCATCATTTAATTAGGAAAAAAATCTGGAAAGACCCTGAATGTCCAACTAAAGGGAAATAGTTGATATTTATGATACTTCCATACAATAGAATGTTATGGGGCATCGATAATAGACATGAAGCACAGTAACATGAGGTGGCACATATTATAATGTAAAATGGAGAAATAAAGCAAAATGATAATCATGCAAATTAAATGCATGAAACTAAAAAAGAAATACAAAATAGTAGCTGTCTCTAGATGGTAGGTGAGTCAGTTCAGGTCCTCTGAGTAGCAGAAGGCAAAACAGAATTAATTGTACAAGGTCCCAGTCTCCACTGATTTCAAATCCACTTTTCAACTTCTGTATGAAGTTCTCATTCTCTTACTAATTTTTTTTTTTTTTTTTGAGGCGGAGTCTCACTCTGTTGCCAGGCTTGAGTGTAGTGGCGCGATCTCGGCTCACCGTAACCTGCGCCTCCCGGGTTCAAGTGATTTCCTGCCTCAGCCTCCCAGGTAGCTGGGATTACAGGCGCATGCCACCATGTCCAGCTAATTTTTGTATTTTTAGTAGAGACGGGGTTTCACCATGTTAGCCAGGATGGTCTCGATCTCTTGATCTTGTGATCCACCCACCTCGGCCTCCCAAAGTGCTGGGATTACAGGCATGAGCCACTGTGCCCGGCCCTCTTACTAATTTTAAATAACATGTCTCCTGCAGCTTCTGTATTGCAAATATAGGAAGTGATTTTGGCGAGCATTTGAATTATGGTAGCTGATCTGATCTGTTGTGTCTCCTTACTTTCTAATTCTTTCTTTACTTTCTGCTCTTTTCCTCCCTCTGCTTATTTGCTTCCTCTTGCTGTCTTCCTTTATCTCCTTTTCTTTTCCTACAAATTTCTAAAATGATAGCTGATGAGAAGGAAGATCACTCTTACATAATTTGATTCCTCAGTTTCCATTTTCTTCTTTTTACAAGTATAACATTCTATATTTCTTTTTTTTAAAAAAATTATTTTTTAATTGAAAAATAATGGTACCTATTGATGGAGTACGTAGTGATGTTTTGATATATATAATGTATAGTGATTTGATCAGGGTAATTAGCATATCCATCATCTCAAACGTTTCTCATTTCTTTGTGATGGTAACATTCAGTATCTTCCTTCTAGCTATTTGAAACTGCATTATTATTACTATTATCATTATATTTTATTTAGACAGAATCTTGCTCTGTCACCCAGACTGATTTGTAGTAGCATGATCTCTGCTCAATGCAACCTCTGCCTCTCAGGTTCAAGCGATTCTTCTGCCTCAGCCTGCCGAGTAGCTGGGATTACAGGCATGCTCCACCACGCCCGACTAATATTTTTTTAGTAGAGATGGGGTTTCACCATGTTTGCCAGGCTGGTTTCGAACTCCTGACCTCAAGTGGTCTGCTCACTTCAGAGTCCCAAAGTGCTGGGATCACAGGCACGAGCCACTGCGCCTGGCCAAAACTACATATTGTTAACTGTAGTCATCCTACAGTGGTTTACAACATGAAAGAAAACCAAGTATTAATTGTGCAGGAAATTCATTGAAGAAAATGCCTGTGAAGGGAAATGGGGAGGGAGCAGGGAGAGATTTCAGACCGTAATGCAGGTCTGACACCTCTGAAAGCAGAGTGGGAAGGAAGAGAGATAGTTAGAAAGAGAAAGGCTTCGGCACAACTCTGAGAATGTATCAGCCAGTGTAATAGTTCCTAAGGCAACTCTCTCTGTTGGACAACTCCCAGTTGGGTTAGAATCACCTAATTCCGTTACTTCCACTGTGCCCAGTCACTGGCTGGGAAAATCCCCAGGGAAGTGCAGCCTAGCATGAACACCTCGGTGGGTCAAAAGGTACAGCAGCTAGAGGTTGTCAGTTAGCTCTGCTTCCAGAGCAGTTCACCTTGAAGGAAGATTTGAGCACAGAACTTCCATGACTGAGAGCTTCTGGTGCACTTTACAGCAGAGGAATTTGTGAAGCAGGTTCACTGTTCACTGGCTACCAACTTGTCCAGTGAGACAGAACACTCCCACACAACAAGTTACCTGAGGTAGGTTTATTACTTACAGATAGGCAGCAAGAGATGGTAGAAGCCTAGGATTCATTGTGAGCTATTCCTCCAAGTCCCCGGAAACCTGCTGAGGGTAAGTAGAGTCATATCTGTGCATGCCTTACTTGCACAGAAGCTCAGATACCCCAGAAAGCAGCTGGTTCTGTGTTTTATACCCCAGGATGTGTGATTTGCTGGGCTAAAGTGTTTAAGACATTTTGTTTCTAGGGGTGGACTGAAACAGAGGTTGGGTCGTTCTGGCCAGTCCCTCTCTATCTCAAGATGTTGCATTTCTAGCACATTCTTCAGTTATTCTTAAGAACCATGAGTTGGGAAAAGAGGGAAGAACTGGGTAGGCCCAAGGCCACCCAGTGAACTGTCTAGCAGCATTTTGCATTTTGTAAAAGCACATTAACAATGGTTTTGAGAAGCTGAAGTCTGTGGACTGATTCTCCCTGTAAATACAGGCCTGCTTTACTAGCACCTGCACTTTCTGGTTCTTATGCCCCCTCAAAAGTGTACTGAGTCATTTGAACAGAAGGAGACTGCCCCTCCAGCTCCCCACAATGGGAAATTGTCATCACTGCCACAAAATGAATAGAAGGACTTGGCCAAGTTCATCTTCCTTTGTTTACTGCCTGCACTTCATCCCATTTGGAAGAGAGAAGCAATAGCATTGAATGGTCTGGCTTTTTTTTTTTTTTTTGTAATCATGGCTATACAGCAGGGTAATGAAGGTCAGAGATGGGGGCTTGAACCACCTGCCTGTGGTTTTGAGGTTTCCCCAAATACTCTATGGTTGTTAAGTTCCATAAGAAAGGGACTTGTTTTTCATTTTTATTTTCTTTCCAACTTTTATTTTAGGTTTGGGGGGTACGTGCGCAGATTTGTTTCATGGATAAATTGCATGTTATGGGGCTTGGTGTCCAGATTATTTCATCACCCAGGTAATGAATGTAGTACCTGGTAAGTAGTTTTTCAATCCTCACCCTCCTCCCATCCTCTACCTTCAAGTAGGACCCAGTGTCTATTGTTCCCTTCTTTGTGTTCATGTGAAGTCAGTGTTTACCTCCTAAGTGAGAATGTGCAATATTTGGTTTTCTTTTCCTGTGTTAATTTGCTTAAGATAATGGCATCCAGCTCCATCCATGTTGCTGCAAAGGTCATGATTTCATTCTTTTTTATGGCTGCATAGTATATTCCATGGTGTATATGTACCATACTTTCTTTATCTAGTCTGCAATTGATGGGCATCTAGGTTGATTCGTGTCTTTGCTATTGTAAATAGTGCTGCAATGAACATATGTGTGCATGCATCTTTAAGGTAGAATGATTATTCTTTTGGGATTTATACCCATGAATGGGATTGCTGGATTCAACCTTAGTTCTATTTTAAGTTACTTGAGAAATCTCCAAACTGCTTTCCAGTGACTGGACTAATATACATTCCCATCAACAGTGTATAAGCGTTAAAGGGACTTAACTGCTGAATAGTCTTCACCCAACTCAAAGCCTGGCTCTCAGTAGATACTCAATATATTGCTTATACAATTAAAGGAATGGTTAAAAGGAAGGAAGATGTGTGCAGAATCTGTGTACTGCTAAGTCAGCAAACATTTGCTGAGGGTCTGTTGAATTTGGTCCTGCTCAACATTGAACTTGCCCACTTCTCACCACCATTAAGGCTCCAGAAAATTTGTTTATCCACAGCCTTCTTCTTCTACCTTATTACCTTGTCATTTCTTTGAGACCTAATATCCATTCCTCCTGATCTCCAGCTCAACTCCCTAGAATCCATAGCTTCTAGAGTTTTGTTTATTTATTCCATTTTTATTTATTTGATTTATTCCACTTTCATTGAATATCAAGACCTCCAGGCATAGTTCCAGGCACCTGGTATGCAGCAACAAATATGATGTTCAGATAATCTCTTGCTGCATAAAAAAGAGCCTGATCCCACAGTGGCTGGAAACAAATATTTGGTATTATTGCTCATGACTCTGTGTTGATTGGGCTCACCTACGTGGTTCTCATTTCAAGTCCTATGCAGTTGTAGTCAGATAATGACTGGGGCTGGAGTCATCTGAAGGCTTGACTAGGCTGGCCATCCAAGATGGCTGAGACACATGGCTGGCATGATATTGGCTACTGGTTAGGAGCTCAGTTGGTGCTGTCGCCTGGAGCACTTTCATGTGGCCTTTCTATGTGGTTTGGGCTTCTCGTAGCATAGTGGTGTCTGAGTTCCAAAAGTGAGTATTCCAAGATATAGGAAGTAGCGCTTGATAGTCTTTTAAAACATGGACTGGAAAAGGGCACAGTATGATTTCCACCATATTCAATACGTCAAAGCAATCATGGAGGTCATTAAAGTCAAGGGAGAGGGTGTAGATCCCAAGAGATTGTTGTGTGTTTTTGTTTGTTTGTTTTTTGTATTTTTTTTGAGACGGAGTCTGCCTCTGTCACCCAGGCTGGAGTGCAGTGGTGTGACCTCGGCTGACTGCAACCTCCGCCTCCTGGATTCAAGTGATTCTCGTGCCTCAGCCTCCCGAGCAGCTGGGACTACAGGCGCCCACCACCACATCAGCTAATTTTTGTATTTTTAGTGGAGACGGGGTTTCACTGTGTTGGCCAGGTGGGTCTGGAACTCCTGACCTCAGGTGATCTGCCTGCCTTGGCCTCCCAAATTGCTGAGATTACTGATGTGAGCCACCGTGCCTGGCCCTAAGGGATTGCTTTGATGTAAAAATGTACAGCCATTTGAAAATGGCCACAGGTGGTCTCTGCTGTCAAGGACTTCAGAGTTGATAAAGAGATAGTGATGAAACCTATAGTAGGCTGAATCATGGCCACTCAAAGATAGCAGGTTCTAGTCCGCGGAACCTGTATATGTTAAATTATAAGGAAAAGGAGTCTTTGCAGGTATGATTAAATTAAGGATGTTGACATGGGGAGATTATTCTGGATTATCTAGGTGGGCCCTAAATTTGATTGCAAGTGTCTTATAAGAGAAAGGTGGAGAGATATTACACCCAGAAGACAAGAAGGTGATATATCCAGATGGAGGCAGAGATTGGGGTGATGCCACTCCAAGCAAGGTAATGCTGGCAGCCACCAGAAGCTGGAAGAGGCAAGGAACAGACTGTCCCCTAGCACTTCTATAGGGAACGAGCCCTACTGACACCTTGATTTCAGTTTATTGCAACCGATTTCAGTCTTCTGACCTCCAGACCTGGGAGAGAAGAAATTCCTGTTGTTTGAAGCCATTTAGTTTGAGATCATTGTTACAAAAGTCTCAGGAAATGAATACAAACCCAGACAATGACAAGCAAGGGTGGAGGTGATATGGAGGAAGCATATAGGAGGCACCTGAAGCCCAGCCCAGCTGGGAGAGAAGAAAGCAGGAATGCTTCTTTAAGCTCTGATGTTCAAATGAGAACACATGGACACACGGAGGGAAACGACACACACTGGGGACAGTTGGAGAGTGGGGGGTGAGGGGTGGGAGAGCATTAGGACAAATAGCTAATGCTTGTGGTGCTTAAAACCCAGATGATGGGTTGATAGGTGCAGCAAACCACCATGACACATGTATACCTACGTAAGAAACCTACACATTCTGCACTTGTATCCCAGAACTTAAAAAAAAAAAAAATTCTGACGTTGATTCATCCCTAGGAAGTGTGGCATCATGGTGATGTTCATTCATCCCTAAGAAGTGTGGCATATGACAACATGTGGAACTTGAATCCATTAAACTTCTTTTTCTTTACAAATTACCCAGTCTCAGGCATGTCTTTATTAGCAGTGTGAGAATGGACTAATACAAATATTATGATGAATGAGGACATTCTCATATCTTCCACAAAACCATCATGGAAGACATTATCCATCATTTGGTTACATTTCCCTTATGTAAGGATCCAAGGGGATCTGGAGTACTGCTTTTCTGTTTGCGTCTCAACTCTGCCACATACTAGCTGGGTTTATAGGCTGCTGTGAGGTTTCAATGAGTAAATCAAAACCTGTAAACACTTGGTGCATGCATAGTAAGTACTTAAAACTGGTATTGTTATAATTTTCGGGATATGGTAAAGGATATTGTTTTTCTGGGGAAAGACACTAGGCCCATCATGGGGGTAATACCCTCATGACCTCGTCTAACCCAAATTACCTCCTCCAAATGCCATTGCACTGGGGGCTAGGGCTTCAACGTGTGGATTTGGTGGAGAAAGACAAAGACATTCAGTCCATAACAATTTTCCTTGGATTTTTATGTATACGATCAAGTCACCTAGGAATGATGACTGTTTCATTTCTTCCTTTCTGGACATTTCCCCCCTGTCTAACTGCACTAGCTAGGATATCCAGGACAATGTGGAATGGAAGTGAGGCTTATGGGTATCAGTGCTATGATACCATCCACAGGGAGAAACCTTTGGCTTTGTATGAAAAGCTGATGGGTAGGGATATTGATATGGTTTGTCTGTGTCCCCACCCAAATCTCAACTTGAATTGTAGCTCCCATAATTCCCATGTGTCATGGGAGGGACCCAGTGGGAGGTAATTGAATCAAGATGGGGGGTCTTTTCCATGCTATTCTTGGCCAGTTGTCAGCCTGCCCAACATATTGTGAAACCGTGTCTCTACTAAAAATAATAAGCCCTCTCTTGCCTGCTGCCATGTAAGATGTGACTTTGCTACTCCTTTGCCTTCTGCCGTGATTGTGAGGCCTCCCTAGACATGTGGAATTGTGAGTCCATTTGTGAGTCCACCTCTTTTTCTTTATAAATTACCCAGTTTCAGGTATGTCTTTATTAGCAGTGTGAGAATGGACTACTTCAAATGTCATGATGAATGAGGACATTCTCATATCTTCTGCAAAACCATCATGGGAGACATTATCCATCATTTAGTTACATTTGCCTTATGTAAGGATCCAAGTGGAATTTTTTTTGAATTCTATTCTAAGAAAAATCATTTCCTTTCCTGTGAACAGCTATACTTCCCTTTGTTAAATGATGATATTCATGTGTCCTTTATGTTTTCTTTTTCTTTTGCTCTGGCTATTAGGGAGCTAAAACCCAAGAGCACATGCAATCAAAATAACCATATTAAATGAGTTTTCTTATGTATTTGATAAATAAATAATTTTTCTTTTGGTTTCCCTTTGGGTGTACCTTTTATTGCAAGCTGTCTCAAGAAGTTTTTTTCACAGTAAATGGGGATAAAATTATTTTAAAAGAATAATACCTGACCTGATTATTACCTGGGTTTATTTCATTGACTGAATGGTGAGACTAATGAATGGACAAGAGCTTTATGAACTGTAAAATGCCGTGTCTGTTATTAACTAGGGGAAGAACATGATTGTCCTTGACTTTAACCAATGTACCTTGTGTCTTCCTTAGTTGGCACTGATGGTTCTGAGTTAGGTAACCATGCTCCCTAAAGCCTCTGAGATTTCCCCTGAGCATCCTGGCCACTCAGTGCTTATTTTGCACCACTCTTGTGTGTCCAGGATGACTCCTTCAACTTTATCTTTCTTCTAGAAAGTTGCTATCCATTGTTTACATCCAGTGGCTCATGCATTCATAGACTGCAGCAGCATTTTCTAAGCACCAGCTGCTGGGTATGTATTGGTTACCTGCCCAGCAACCCTTTTCTCTTCTTCTTTGCTGAGACCATCCCATTTTCATTCATGCATCAGTTGGCAATATGCCCAGAGAAATGGAGCCCCTTCCTTCCTCATGCTCTTAGGCATGGAACTCAGTTGGCCCAAGCCAGGCATGCTCATCTTGTTTCTCTCACTGCTGACTGGTTTAGCCTTGGGCACATGACCTGGTTCTCAGTAGTGAGCTAGTAAGGATCAGAAAAACCGCAAAGCCATGACATTATTGAATTAACCTGTCTGGACCACCTACGCCTGGATTTTGTGTGGGAGATACAATAAATCTGGATTATAGGTTGGTGCAAAATTAATATTTAAATCACCTGTAGTTCAACTCTGTGTTGCTTGCAGTCAAAAGTATCCTTATCAGGCTGGGCACAGTGGCTCACGCCTGTAATCCCAGCATTTTGGGAGGCTGATACAGGCGGATCACCTGAGGTCAGGAGTTTGAGACTAGCTTGGCCAACATATAGTGAAACCCTGTCTCTACTAAAAATAAAAAATTAGCTAGGCGTGGTGACACGTACCTGTAATCCCAGCTACTCAGGAGGCTGAGGCAGGAGAATCGCTTGAACCTGGGAAGCGGAGGTTGCAGTGAACTAAGATCCCGCCACTGCACTCTAGCCTGGGTGACAGGGCGAGACTCCATCTCTTGCAAAAAAACAAAAAAAGTCCTAATCAACTGTTTTAGTTTGGATGCTCACTGAAGTAGACTCTGAGGCAAGGATTTGAGTGCCAATAGTTTATTAAGCTTGAGGAGGTGGGGGAAAGGGGACAGGCAAGGGAGGGAAGTGGCAAGAAAGATGCATTATCATGTCAGTTACCAGTGTGGGGAATCACAGTTTAATCTCTCTGGGGAACTCTGGAAAATGACACAGAGCAGGGATTTGCAAACTATTGGCCCATGGCAAACCTGTTCTGCCACCTGTTATTTCAATAAAATGTTCCTGGAATACAGTCACACCCTTTCATTTATGTATAGCCCATGGCAGCTTTTATACAACAGCAGCAGAGTTGAGCATCTGTGAGAGACAATATGACCTGCAAAACATAAAATATTTACTATATGACCCTTTTTCAAGAAGTTTGCCAACCCTAGTGTTGAGCATGTAGCTCAGAATCACCCCCTGGAGGAGTGAAGGAGCTGGGATATTTATACGTCCCTCCTGTTAGTCACTGGTGAAGACCTAATGCAGGAGGTATGTTAATTCTCCAGGACTTCCGACCTGTCCTGTGCACAGGCATTGTGGGCCCTGGCCAAGCAAAGAGATGTAAATACCGATTGTTGGGATTTGTGCAAGTATGGACCCTACTGGTCCATACCAGTACACTAACAGAGATGGCCACATCAGTGCATCCAGAGATGGCTGAGAAGTGCACCTGTCCTCCAGGAACCCATAGTCTGAAGGCAAGGTTGGAAATGGCCAAACATTTTTATTTTTATTTTTTTTGAGATGGAATCTCACTCTGTCACCCAGGCTGGAGTGCAATGGAATGATCTCGGCTCCCTGCAACCTCCGCCTCCCAGGTTCAAGTGATTTTCCCTCCTCAGCCTCCCAAGTAGCTGGGATTACAGGGACCTGCCATCATGCCGGCTAATTTTTTGCATTTTTATAGAGATGGGGTTTCACCATGTTGGCCAGGCTGGTTTTGAACTCCTGATCTCAAGTGATCCACCCACTTCAGCCTCCCAAAGTGCTGGGATTACAGGTGTGAGCAATCGCACCTGGCCTTTATTTTTATTTTGTGAGACAGGGTCTCACTCTGTTGCCCAGGCTGGAGTACAGTGGCACAGTCATAGCTCACTGCAGCCTCAAAATCCTGTGCTCAAGTGATCCTCCCACTTCAGCCTCCCATGTAGCTGGAACCACAGGCCTGTAGCATCCTACCTGGCTAATTTAAAAAACAAACAAAAAAAAAAAACAAAAAAAAATAAAGTGTGTAGAGACAGAGTCTCACTGTGTTGCCCAGGCTGGTCTCAAACTCTTGGGCTGAAGCATTCCTCCTATCCCCGCCTCTCAAAGTGCTTGGGATTACAGGTGTGAGTCACTGTGCCCTGCTCAAACATTTTATAATTAAGTAGAATAACCGACATGTCAGCTGGGGTCCCCTGAATCCTCAAAGATCTAGGTAAGATCTTCTATGCAGGCTACTTCCTGCTAATCTGGGGAGGGCGACCTTCTCAAGGTCGTATCTGCCTCTGGCCCTGGTGGCCCCAACCCACGCTGGCTCTGCTTTTTCCCCTACAGGAGCTTAAGTGCAGAACTTTGCGTCTCCCATTGCCTGCAGGAAACCTACTCAGCTAGTGAGTTCATAGGGCTTCACTGAAGACTGGGGGATTCTGGAGGGGATGATTTTCTGGCACATTCAGGCTTCTAGAACCCTCTATTCTTTCCCCAGCTCTGCTTCTCATTTTTTTTCTTGTCTGGCTCCAAAACCTTACTCCTTTTATTGAGCACATTATTTCTCTCCAGTTCCCACCTCTGCATTTCCTTTCCTGAATGCTTCTAGGGCCTCAGCAGAACAAGGAACGCCTCATTGATGACGTTAAAAAACAACAACAACAAAACAACCCAAGACACAAGACACAGACAAAACTTTTTTTTTTTTTTTTTTTTTTGGTATTCTCCAGACAAAACGTTTGCAGCATGAGATGAGGTCCCCTTTGGAAACATCTCCCCACATTCTGTGATTCTGCCAAGTCCTCTAAATTTTGTTTCCTCCTTCATCCACCAGGTGGATTTCAGGACTCCTACTGTCAGAGGCTTGGAATAAACTTCTGGCATGCTTTGCTTCTGTTTTGCTTTCTTTCTTTCTTTTTTTCTGAGATGGAGTTTTGTTCTTGTTGCCCAGGCTGGAGTGCAATGGCGTGATCTCGGCTCACCACAACCTCCATCTCCCAGGTTCAAGTGATTCTCCTGCTTCAGCCTCCAGAGTAGCTGGGAAGCTGGGATTACAGGCATGCGTCGCCACGCCCATCTAATTCTGTATTTTTAGTAGAGATGGGGTTTCTCCATGTTGGTCAGGCTGGTCTCAAACTCCTGACTTCAGGTAATCTACTCGCCTAGGCCTCCCAAAGTGCTGGGGATTACAGGCATGAGCTATCGCATCCGGCCCTGTTTGGCTTTCTAAAATAGACTGTGTGTCTCACCCAGCATGACGTTAGATCTGTTTAGCATGACAGCATTCCATTGAGTCAACTCCTTGGACATACTATATGTTTTGTTTCCCTGGTAGCTAATTAAATAAGACAACTAAGTGCAGTCTAGAAAGTTCCTCTCATAACAAAGTTCCCAAGAATTTACGTCTTTGCTTTACTTACTTACTTTTTCGTGGTAGTTGAAGTTCAAGTGGAAACTGATTATAAAGGAGAAACCTAAATCAAGTTAGGTGAATTCTGCAGTATGAACTGTGCTTGGAAAATCTAACTGGTAATGTATCCACATTGGGAACTTGGTCCTTCCTCTCACAAAGAAAATTCCAGGTCAATTTCATCCCCTATGCTAAGCATTTGAGTGTTCAGGAATGTGATTTTAGTTTTATAAAAATTGTTCTTTTTAAAATTCCTGTCAAATAATCAGATTTTTTTCTCAGCACATTTAGAAGTAAAAATGGAAAGTTTAGAGCATTTTGATATTTTAGTATTTATTTCCATGAAGTCACTTAACCCTCCCAGACTAGTTTCAGAGTTTTGTCTTCCAACCCAACTTTGTGTCTCACTGTACATTTTCTGCATGTACAATGAGAGGTGATTTTTAATTGGAATCCCTTACATTTTTAGAGAGAAATCTCTCCTCCTCTATTCTTCTTCCTCTCCTCTCACTGTCTCTCATTTTAATCCAGAGAATCAAAGTGTCTCTTACAGGCTTGGATATCAAGCTGAACTGTTAAAAACAGTGGGGTCCAGGAACCTGAGTTTAAAACAAGCACCTCTGATTGTCTAAGTGGACTTAGAGAAAGACAAATGCTGTGTGATCTCACTTATTTGTGGAATTTAAAAACGTTGAACTCATACAAAAAGAGTAGAATTAGCTAAGTGAACTAATTCAGACAGAGAAAGACAAATGCTGTGTGATCTCACTTATCTGTGGAATCTGAAAATGTTGAACTCAGAGGAAAAGAGAGTCGAATTAGAATGGTTGCCAGGGGCTAGGAGGAAATGTTGCTCAAAGGGTACAGACTTTCGGTGATAAGATGAATAAGTTCTGGGCATCTCATATTTGGCACGGTAACTATGGTTAACAATACCATATTGCTTACTTGAAATTTGTTAAGAGAGCAGCTCTTAAATTTTTTTTTTTACTTTTTGTGGGTATATAATAAATGTATATATTTATGGGTACATGAGATGTTCTGATACAGGTATGTGGTGTGTAATAATCACATCATGAAGAATGGGGTATCTATACCCTCAAATATTTATCCTTTGTGTTACAAGCAATCCAAATACACTCTTTCAGTTATTTTAAAATGTACAATTAGGCCAGGCGTGGTGGCTCACGCCTGTAATCCCCACACTTTGGGAGGCCGAAGCAGGTGGATCACGAGGTCTAGAGTTTGAGACCATCCTGGCCAACATGATGAAACCCCGTCTCTACTAAAAATACAAAAAATGAGCCAGGCATGGTGGCATATGCCTGTAGTCCCAGCTACTCGGGAGGCTGAGGCAGGAGAATTGCTTGAACCCAGGAGGCAGAGGTTGCAGTGAGCCCAGATCGCGCCACTGTACTCCAGCCTGGTGACAGAGCAAGGCTCTGTCTCAAAAAAAAAAAAAAAAGTGCAATTAAATTATTGACTATAGTCACTCTGTTGTGCTATCAAGTAGTAGGTCTTTTTTTTTTTTTTTTTGGAGTGAAGATCTCATTTCTGTTACCCAGGCTAGAGTGCAGTGGCATGATGACAGCTCACTGCAGCCTCGACTTCCTGGGCTCAAGTGATCCTCCCACTTCAGCCTCCTGAGTAGCTGGGACTACAGGTGTGCCCCACAATGCCTGGCTATTTTTTGTATTTTTAGTAGAGATGGGGTATTGCCATGTTGCCCGGCTAGTCTTGAAATCCTGGCCTTAAGTGATCTGTCCGCCTTGGCCTCCTAAAGAGCTGGGCTTACAGGTGTGAGCCACCACACCTGACCAAGTAGTAAGTGTTACTCATTCTTTGTAACTATTTTTCTTGTACCCATTAACCATCCCTACATTCCCCAGCCCACTACCCTTCCCAGCCTCTGGTAATCACCATCCTTTCACTAAGAGACCAGATCTTAGGTGTTCTCATCACATAAACATCCAAAGACAACTATGGGAGGTAATGAATAGGGTAATTAGCTGGTTCATGGTGATCATTTCACAATTTGTGTATACATATATCTCCAAAGATCACATTGTACACTGTAAATGTATTCCATTTTTATTTGTCAATTTTACCCCTGTAAAGCTGGGAAAATGAAATAAAATAAGCATCTTGGGCAGAACTGGCTGCATAGTTTTCAGGGCCCAGCACAAAACGAAAATGTGGTGATTCTTGTTATGAAAATTATAGGAATTCTGGCTGGGTGCAGGGGCTCACACCTGTAATCCCAATACTTTCGGAGGCTGAGGCTGGGGAGTTGCTTTGAGTCCAGGAGTTTGAGACCAGCCTGGGCAACATGGCAAAACTGCATCTCTACAAAAAAAAATAAATTAATTAATTAAAAAAAATAAATAAATAAATCAGCCGGGAATGGTGGTATACATCTGTGGTCCTAGTTACTCGGGAGGCTAAGGCAGGAGGACCGCTTGAGCCTAGGAGGTTGAGGCTGCAGTGAGCCTCATGCCACTGCATTGTAGCCTGGGTGACAGAGAAAGACCTTGTCTCAAAAAAAAAAAAAAAAAAAAAAATTATAGGAATTTCAAAATGCCAGCATCACAGTGGGGTCGTCTAATTATGGGGCCTTGTGCAGTTACCCCAGGCAGCATAGCAAGAAGCCTGGAAGAGCTTTGCTGCAGGATTCAGATCCCAGACCATGGTGCCCATGAGTTTCAAGATCTTGTAACATGAAGGCGTGTCTTCAACAGACTCTCTCCAAAGAAATCCTCTCTTGCTCTTGGCCCTTCTTTGTGCCTGAAAAGCGTGAGAAGAGGGTGTAAGCAGGACAGAACCACTTTTATTTTTATTTATATATTTTTTTGAGATGGAGTCTCGCTCTGTCGCCCAGGCTGGAGTGCAGTGGCACCATCTCGGCTCACTGCAAGCTCCGCCTCCCGGGGTCACGCCATTCTCCTGCCTCAGCCTCCCGAGTACCTGGGACTACAGGCGCCCGCCACCACGCCCCGCTGATTTTTTTTTTTTTTTTTTTTTTTTGTATTTTTACTAGAGACGGGGTTTCACCGTGTTAGCCAGGGTGGTCTCCATCTCCTGACCTCGTGATCCGCCCGCTTTGGCCTCCGAAAGTGCTGGGATTATAGTCGTGAGCCACTGTGCCCGGCCAGAACCACTTTTCAAAGATTTTGTTTGAAAATCTGCCTTTTGATTTTGTACTTGATTTTGGAATTCTTTATTATTATTATTATTTTTTGAAACGAAGTCTCGCTCTGTCACCCAGCCTGGTGTGCAGTGGCGCCATCTCGGCTCACTGCATGCTCCGCCTCCAGAGTTCACACCATGCTCCTGCCTCAGCCTCCCGAGTAGCTGGGACTACAGGCGCCCGCCCCCGTGCCCGGCTAATTTTTTTGTATTTTTTTAGTAGAGATGGGGTTTCACCGTGTTAGCCAAGATCGTCTCAATCTCCTGACCTCGTGATCTGCCCACCTCGGCCTCCCAAAGTGCTGGGATTACAGGCGTGAGCCACCTACTGTTTACACCGAAAAAAAATAGTAGGCTCTGGAGATGCAACAGACCCTGCTTTTATGGAGCTTTCAGAGAGGGAAGACAAGTCAACACATGAATAAATGTTAAGAGGTAGTGAGCATTAAGGAGATAAAGTAGGTATAGAGAATGGAGAGAGATGGGAGGTGTGACCCCGTTTCAATAGGGTGGTGAGTGAAGGCCTCTCTGAAAAGGTGGCTTTGAGCAAACGCCCAAATAAATGGAGGGGCTGAGCCGTGCAGATATCTGGAAGCAAATGGGGCAGGGGAAGGAGCTGTTTCAAAGGATCCAAGATGGGCAAACACCTGCAGGGCTTAGAAATGGTGGCTATAATCAGAAAGCATGTAGCAATAGAAGCCTTGCAGCTGAATACATGCATTTGAGGCAGCAATGACTTCTTTCTAGGGGGTTTATATGGGGAGGGATTTTTCTTTTTGGGAAAAACCCTGAGGTACACGTACTCAAAGGAAATATTTGTTGACTTGGATGGAAAGGGCCTGTCTTCAGCTTTCTTTCTGCTCTGCCCGGCTGCCTCTCAGTGTTAGGTTCAATGCTTGAGGCTGTGCCAAGTTGATTTCCCTGTGAGAGCAGACGCCTGATAGAAGGGCACAGTGCCAGTCCCGTTGATAATGAAATCTTTGCATCCCCGTTGACACTTCTATAAAGGACAGAAGAGGAACTGCAAGTTCCCATTCTGATCTTTTATTTCTGTTTTGTCACCCTCAAGAAGATCTGTCAGAAAGCTTTTGGGATCTGGACTCAGATGGACCTGAATTTGAAGCCCACTGCGAATTTTACTGCAGTGGGATTTTGGTGAGAGCTGCTCAAACCTGAACTTGAGGCCAGGCCTGGTGGTTCATGCCTGTAATCTCAGCACTTTGGGAGGCCGAGACAGGAGGATCATTTGAACTCAGGAGTTCAAGGCTAGGCTGGGCAACATAGGGAGATCCTGTCTGTAATAAAGAATAAAAAATTAAAACCCTGAATTTGAGAGGAGCACGTGGTGACAGTGCTCAGATTTGGATTATTCATGCCCAATATTGTGGCTCTTTCTGTTTTTGTTTTCAAATTTTGTTTTATATTTGTCTTTACAGAACATTAACAATGTCCCAAACTAATAACTAAATAAAAAAGCCATCCTCAGAGTAGGTACAGAGTGGTTAGTTGCCCTGGTTGGAGGAGTGGGAGAGTTCTATCACCAATATTGTTTAGAATTGCCAGTAATAATAAAAATGGATGACCTTTAATTGCTTTTTGTTCATGTCATAATACTCGTGTATGAAATTCATATATTTTTAGAAATCACCACGTTGTTTTGGAATAATTTTAGATTTGCAGAAGTTGCAAAAATAGCACAGATAATTCTTGTAGTTACCCTTCATCCAGTTCCCCCTAATGTTAGCATCTTACATCACCATGGTACATTTGTCAAAAGAAATTAATATTAATATAATGCTATTAACTATAGACTTTACTCAAATTTCATCAGTTTTTCCACCAATGTCCTTTTTTCCTGGATCCAAAATTTGATTTAGATACCAATTGCATTTAATAGTTGATTGTATTACTGTTTTTTAAATTCTCTACAGACAAGGCACCTATTGACTGCACCTGGCAGAACAAAGCACTCCCACACTCCTCTTTCTTGGTTCTCCCCTCTTCTCAGCCTTAGAGAGGTCCCATTTTCATTCCTATTACCCTTCTTCTTCTCTCTCCACCAAAGGAAACTTTTTTTTTTGTGGTTTTAGCCTTTTATTATTTTATTTCGCTAATATAAGCAAATATATATTCTAATCCCTTTCACTTCCTTATACAAAACAACATACTCTTTTCTGAAACCTTGCTAATTTCATTTGAATGAACTGGAAACTCCTCCATACTGGGGATATAGAGGTCCTTCTCATTCTTTTAGTATGTTTCATAGTACTCTGCTGGGTGGCTATATCATGCTTTATTCAACCATTCCCCTATTGATGGACATTTGGGTTGTTTCTACTCATTGGGTGTTATAATACTGCAACAAATCAGTCGTGGTTTTCTTAGGGAGAAAGATGAGGGTGGGAGGGAGAAAAGTGACATTAATCTGTAAATTATGAATAGTTCCATAAAGAATAGAATGGAACTGGAGTGCCTTTTCTTTTTCTTTCTTTCTTTTTTCTTTTTCTTTTGAGATAGGGTCTCACTCTGCCCAGGCTGGAGTGCCATGGCGTGATCTCAGTTCACTGCAGCCTCAACTTTCCTGGCTCAAGTTATCCTCCCACCTCAGTCTCCTGAATAGCTGAGATTACAGGTGTGTGCCACTATGCTTACGAGTTTTGTTTTGTATTATTTGCAGAGATGGGATCTCACCATATTGCCCACACTGGTCTCGAACTCCCAGGTTCAAACCATCCTCCTGACTCAGCCTCCCAAAGTGCTGCGACTATAGGCGTGAGTCATGGCACCTGGCCTGGAGTGCCTTTTCTATGGAAACCAGGGGACCCCTAAAACTCATCTTTCTTTTTGCCTGAGGGATTATCCCTTTGTGATGACCTTGACTTTGAAGGTAGGTAGGCTTGGAAGCCCATATACTTGGTGATAATCAAGAGATTCTACAGTTGAGGCTTCAAGACTTGCACTTGCTTTATAACAATTGCTGGAGAAAAAAAATTATGCCAACTCAGGAAATGGACTCCAGTCAATAAGGCCTTCAGTGCAAATATTCTCTTGGAATAATTTATTAACTCCCTGCAGACCTTGTGGTCAGGCACAATTAGAGTCTTCTCCCACAGAGGCTGCGTGCCATTTAGCAGCCTGGGGCTATGGCCTGCAACATGGTATTGAGGAGGCCCAGGGGACATCTGAGAATTGGGGCTGGTGAAGATGAAATTGAGGAGACAGCTCAATAAGGCAAACAAGCAAGGGATGTGCAGGTGGACAGGCCTGGGTTCAAATCCCTACTCTGCTAAATGTTTTAGCTGGGGTTCTTTGGGTGAGTTTCTTTACCTCTTTGAGTCTCCATTTCCATCTCTGTTAGATGGGCATAAGGATTGCTGTGAGGTTTACATGAGCTGAATTTCTGCCCTTACAGGGAATATAAGTTGGCAAAGCCTCAGGCATTGAACTTAACACAGACAGACAGCAGGACAGGGCAAAACAAAAGCTGAGGATGGGCC
The DNA here is from genome assembly GCF_000001405.40 of Homo sapiens. Classification (NCBI taxonomy): domain Eukaryota; kingdom Metazoa; phylum Chordata; class Mammalia; order Primates; family Hominidae; genus Homo; species Homo sapiens. The sequence continues at coordinate 15,228,062 of NC_000016.10, read as the reverse complement.
TTTTCCATCCAAGTCAACAAATATTTCCCCTGAGCCCATGTGTCTCAGAGTTTTCCCTAAAAGGAAAATATGTAAAGCACTCAGCACCAAGTGTCTATTAAACGACAGTAATTAGTTTGGGGAGAAGTTTCAACTCCATGGGGTACAAGCATGAACTAGTTTTGTTTTTTTTCTTAAATATTATTATCAGTTGTATGTTCAGTCTTTCTACCCCAGTGGGTGCTAGGTCCCTTAACTTTCTGGCCACTTTCAGCTATTAAAAAACTTAGTTCAGTCTGACTTAAATCTCCAATTTCAGATCCAATGAAAAGTTCACTTCTGGCCAGATGCGGTGGCTCATGCTTGTAATTCCAGCATTTTGGGAGGCTGAGGCAGGCGGATCATCTGAGGTCAGGAGTTCAAGACCAGCCTGGCCAACATAGTGAAACCCCGTCTCTACTAAAAATACAAAATCAGCTGGGCGTGGTGGCGGGCACCTGTAATCCCAGCTACTTGGGAGGCTGAGGCAGGAGAATCACTTGAACCTAGGAGGCAGAGGTTGCAGTGAGCCCAGATCGGGCCATTGCACTCCAGCCTGGGCAAAAAGAACGAAACTGCATCTAAAAAACAAACAAACAAACAAACAAACAAACGTTATCTCTCTTCCCCATGGCAGGGACCTGAAGAGGTGCGTGCGAAGGGCATGTTTAGCTCTTTATGCATCTCCCATTCCTCTCTTTGTGTGTGGAGATGGGGAGGAAAGTGGGTCGGGGAGTTTAGGCTTATTTCTACTTAACTTGGCAAGGTCGTAGTTATGGGTGGCATTTCTGATCTTGTTCTGTGTAACACTGGTTTTGCTGCTCAAAACCTTTGCAAATGAGATGGTTCTGGTGTAGATCGTGTGCTTGGTTTCAATGTCATATGTGCCCCATCTGTCACTGAGACCCTTAGGGGAAGGCCAGCCTTGCCTCCCTTTGGCCCCTTTCAATCATCTGTGGCCCCAAGCCCCTCATTTAGTGGCTCCTTGGATAGCCTCTCATCTGTATCTCTGGCTTCCTCTTCTACCATGAAATCACAGGCATCTGTGACGCACTCTTAGGGCACAGGGAATGAGAGGGAGATGCCTGCCCCTGTCCTTTTCCTACATTAAGCTTTGCTTAGAGTCAGCTTTTCCAAGAGTGTCCTCACTCCATCTTACTCAGATGATCGCACTAGAGGGGCTCATGGCTCTGCAGCTCAGGGATAGAGATGCTAGCCCCTCCTTCTTGCAATCAGCCCCCATGGCTCCATGGCAGGTGACCATATAATTGGCTGGTGACCATGACAGGTGACCATATAATTTGTTGCTCAGATTTGGACTGTTCTGAGTATGAAAGGGAATGAGAAGTTATTAATAGATATGTTAAGACAACAGGTATAAATTGGGATCATGCAGGGCAAACTGGGGATGTGTGATCACCCTCTTTTGGAGCAATTTCTCTTGGGGATCTCTCACCCTGAGCTAGGTACCAACTGTCTGCTGTAGTCATTGATCCAGAACAACTGGAGAATTCCTACTTGATGTCCTGTTATAGAAGCAATGGTGACAAAGTAGGTGGTGGTGAGGATTAAATGAGAGAGTGTATTTAAAGTGCTTAGCACAGCTGCTAGCACACAGTAGGTGCTCATAGTGGGTCCTGTTACCTCCGTTACCTCCCCTTTCCACCCCACTGTAGCTCTGCTGTGATGGGTCTACTCTCTGAATTCAAAATCAAGTGATAAGAGCATTAATTAAGCACCAACTACGTGTCAGGGGCTGTGCTAAGTACTTTATAGACCTTACCTTTCTCAGTCCTAAGAACAGTCTTAAAGTAGGTAAATATTATGTCCATTGTATAGTTAGAACAACCGAGGCTCAGAGAGGCTAAGTGCTTTCCCAAGGTCACACAGCATATAAGTGGCAGAGCTGTGATAGAAACCAGGACTGCTTGACTCCATGGTTCACTCCTGACATGGTTTGGATTTGTGTCCCTGCCTAAATCTCATGTCGAATTGTAATTCCCAGTGTTGAAAAAGGGGCCAGGTGGGAGGTGATTGGATCATGGGGGCAGATTTCTCCCTTGCTGTTCTTGTGATAGTGAGTGAGTTCTCATGAGATCTGGTTGTTTAAAAGTGTGTAGCACCTTCCTCTTCTCTCTCTTCCTTCTGCTCTGGTGATGTAAGACATGCCTGCTTCTCCTCTGCCTTCTGCCATGATTGTAAGTTTCCTGAGACCTCCCCAGCCATGCTTCCTGTACAGCCTGCGGAATCATGAGCCTATTAAACCTCTTTTCTTTGTAAATTTCCCAGCTTCAGATATTTCTTCATAGCAGTGCAAGAACTAATACAACACCTTTAGCAACTCAGCCACATGAGGAGTTGAGAGTATGCAACTCTCAACTCTAACTCAAGTGTAGATGGGGCTGAGTCTGTTTTATTTCTGAGCAGACAAGGTAGGGATCCCAGGCTTGTAATTTCATAAAAGGAAGTATGGGAAGGCTTTCTTCGAATTGAAGTTGAGCCTTGCGCAAGCATGAGAGGTAAAAAAAATCCATTCTGGAGGGATCTAAGATGACCAGAAAGAACTCAACCATCTGGGGGAGAGTGGATGCTGCGTGGGAGATGAGACCAGGAAATTTGCCACTGCATCATTGGTTTTTGGACCTTTGGCAGATCGGATATAATGGAAGGCATTTAGAGCATCTGAATCTATTGACTGTCCAATTCAGTCGATTGATTGTTCAGTGTTGCCAACATTTTGACTTTAGTTCACAGCATTTCTCTTGAAATGGGTTGGCTATATTCCCAATCAAATACTGATTGACACATTGGCATCAAGCATTCTTATGTGCCCAGCTCAGTGGTGGTCACTTGGTGGAAGAATATGATCTATCACCAAGGAGTTACTACTTAGTTTGGGAGGAATCTTAAGTAACATGGAATAATTTGGTCTATCTTAGCCCCCCAAAAGATTGCTTTCATTTATTTATTTAGCCACGCTTTGGCGTAATTCTTTAACTTGCTATTGGGAGATATTTTGGTTACCCATTGTCAATAATGGGGCATAGTGAATCTTCCCCAAACTCTGTGGCATGCAACAGTGAACATATATTTAGCTCATGCATCTGCGACTGGGGGGTGGCTGAACCCAGCTGGGCTTGCTTATGCAACTGCAGGTCAGCAGGGGGTGTGCTGAGCTAGGCTGGGCTCAGCTGTGTGGTTCTGCTGTAGGCTACAGGTCTGTGGGTTAAGTTGAATGAGCTTGACTCCAGGTATTTTTTTACCTTCTTTGAACCAGAGGGCTAGCCAGGGCATGCTCTTCTCATGGTGATGGGAGAGATTCAGGAATTCACATCCAGCTGCACAAACACATCTAAAGCTCCTACTTGTATCATGTCTATCATCATTTCATTCACCAAAACAAGTCATGTGGCCAAGCTCAAACTTAAGAGATAGAAAGAAACTATCAAATTACATGGGAAAGAGAAAGAGAATGAGTTCTGGAAGAGGAAAAGAACTCAGAGGAAGTTATAACAACTAGTTGTGAAAGACTCCTGGTGTATTGGTGCTGTTGAAAGGGTTGTCCAGATGGGTGTGGTGGTTCATGCCTGTAATCCCAGCACTTTGGGAAGCTGAGGCGGGTGGATCATTTGAGCTCAGGAGTTCAAGACTAGCCTGACCAACATGGTGAAACCCCTTCTCTACTAAAAATATAAAAATTAGCCGGGCGTGGTGGCACACGCCTGTGGTCCCAGCTACTTGGGAGGCTGAGGCAGGAGAATCACTTGAACCAGGGAGGTGGAGGTTGCAGTGAGCCGAGATTGCGCCACTGCACTCCAGCCTGGGCAAGAGAGTGAGACTCCATCTCAAAAAGAAAAAAAAAACAAAGAAAGAAAGGGTTGTCCACTTCACTCTCACTATGGCCCAGTGCCCCACACCTCTCAACTTTAGAGAGAGCTGTGCTTCCCTTGAGCAACTGGGACATTTTTATTGCATGGATGCCAACCAGAAGCCCAGAGTCAAATTTCAGCTTATCTCTACCTTGTGGCTATAAAAATAATCCTAATAACTGCTCTCAACCCACCTATAGCTTCATCATAGCTGCTGCTTCTACGATACCTTCACTGATTTTATCCTGTTGCATTGAGTAAGTTTTTTTAAGTATCTACACGTCTTTTCTGGAATAAAATAGGGCAGAAATGAACACACCTGAATGCCAGATGTAAGGTACGGATAATTCATTCCACTAGTATTTACCAAATACGGTGTGTCAGGCTCTGTATGTGGTATCTGAGGTTATGCAGGTGAGTGTTACACATTCCCTGCCTTCGAGGAACTCACATGACAATAGACTATAGCAGAGTTTTTCAAGTTCAGTTACACTGATATTTTGGGCCAGATAGTTCTTGTTGGGGGCGGTGGGGGCTGTCTTGCGCATTGTAGGATGTTTAAGCATTCCTAGCCTCTACCCAGTAGGTGGCAGTAGTGACCCCCCCAATATGACAATTAAAATCCCCAGAATTGCCACATGTCCCTTGAAAAGCACAATCATCCCTGGTTAAGTGCAACTGTAGGAGGCTTGGGAGCTCAGAATAGACACGGAACCCAGAAAAGCTTGCCACTTTGATACCTGAGTGAAGGTTGGGAGGCTGGTTGCAGAAGCCAAGAGAAGGAGTAGGGAAAGGCCATTTCTGTTACGTGGAGTAGCCGGGGTTGGTGGACCTGCACAGGGTGGGGGCATGAATGTTGAGAGATGAAGCCAGAGATGCAGGCAGAGCCAGGCCTTGTGCCACAGACCTTGCATGAATGTGACTCTGTAGATCCCTACCTTCAGCGTGTCTGAGAAAAGACACTTGTTCAACACGTGAATTCTTGGGACCCCTTCCAGGGGGTTAAATCCGGGAATCTCAATTTAATTTCCTGGAGGGAGTCCCGAGAATCTGCATGTGGAATGAACCTGAACTCATTAATTCCCTGGCAGGGGTCTGCAAGGATCTGAATGTCTCCAACGGGGTCTGGGAATCTGATTTTTTGAGGCATCTGTGACGATTCTGATACAGAAAGTCCCAGACTCACCTGAGTCCTTCATCTGCGTTATTTAACTTGAATTTAGAATGTCTGTAGAGGTAATGGTGAGCTACTGAAGCCTCATCTGCAGGGGTGACACAGGGTTAGGGTTATAGATGACAGCTGCTGTGGATCAGGGCTCTTCGTCTTGGTTTGTACAATGGTATCACTCGAGGAGTCTTGAGCCAGACCTTTGTCAGGCTCTCCCTCAGATCAATTGCGTCTGAATCTCTGGGGGTGGGGCCCTGGAAACAGTATTTTATTTTTGCTGATTCTTACAGGTACTCATATATTCACACACTGGCACTTACTTATTCAGTAGCCTTTTGTGCCATGCTCAAAGCACTGGGAATATAGAAGTGAACGCGCCACAGGCTCTGCTCTCATTGAAATTACCTTTACTGTTGTGGTAGACAATAAGCGAATAAACACGTATTAAATCAGTATATTTATTTATGAAGAAATATATGAAGCCATATTGAACAATGAGGAAGTGATAGGAATGGGAGGTTTATTTTTTTAAAAATATAAGTTTTATTCAGATACATAATTCACATTCCATACAATTCACCCATTTAAAGTACACAATTTAATAGTTTGTCGTATATTCACAGAATTGTGCAACCATCACCACAATCGACTTTTTTTATTTTTTAGAGACAGGGTCTCACATTGTCACCCAGGCTGGAGTGCAGTGATGAGATCATGGCTCACTGCCGCTTCAAATTCCTAGGCTCAAAGGATCCTCCTGCCTCAGCCTCCTGAGTAGTTGGGACCACAGGCATGCACCATCACACCCAGCTAATTAAAAAAAATTTTGTTTGTAGAAATGGGATCTAGCTACATTGCCCAGGCTGGTCTTGAACTCCTGAGCTCAAGTGACCCTCCCACCTAAGCCTCCCAAAGTGCTGAGATTACAGGCATGAGCCACCACACTCAGCCTACAGTCCGAACATTTTCATTTCCTCGAAAAGAAACCCTGTAGTCACTACCAGAAACTCCCCATTTCCTCCCATTTCCCCTCCCCCAACCCCTGGCAACCATTAATCTACTTTACGTGTCTATGGATTTGCCTAGTCTGGACATTTCATATAAATGGAATGAAATAACATATGTTTCTTTGTGACTGGCTTCTTTCACTTACATAGCTTTTAAAGACCCATCTGTGTTGCAGTGTGGATCAGCACATCATTCCTAGACCACATTTTGTTCATCCATTCATCAGTTGATGGACACTTCGGTGGTTTCCACTTTTTGGATATCCATGAATACTGCTATTATGAACATTTGTATATAAGTTTTTTGTGTGGATACAGAAACTATCAATTCTCTTACATATATATACCTAGGAGTGGAGTTGCTGGGTCATATGATAACTCTGTTTAACCCTTTGAGGAACTAACTGCCAGCCTTGTTTCCCAAGTGACTGTACCATTTTACATTTCTACCAGCGGTATTATAAGGTTCCAATTTCTCCATATTTTCGTCAATACTTGTCGTTGTTCGTCTTTTTAATTATAGCTATCCTTGTGGGTGTGGAGTGGTCTCTCATTGTTGATTGAATTTGCATTTCCCTGATGGCTAATGACATCGAGCATCTTTTTGTGTGCTTGTTGGTGAACAGTGTGGTATGAAGCTTCTTCAGGTTATTCTAACAGGTAGGCAGAGTTGCGAAGTCTACTTGTGTTTGAGGAAAGCAGAGATTCTTGTGGGTCAGTGGTTGCTGGGAGAAGCTTCCCGAAGGAAGGTATGTCACCTAGAGGGGTTATACTTGTAGGTGGACCTGCTGAAAGGGTGAGATCCCTCAGGGGCTCATGCAGGGCAGATTGGAGGGAGCAGAGCTGAACAGTGGAGAGCACAGTTAGAAGGCTTCTTCAGGCATCCAGGGGTCATAACTGGAGAGAGGAGAGTGGAATTGAAGAGGGCGGATGGGACAGACATGAAGTTGGGATCGAGCCGACCTCAGGAAGATGAAGTACTGGGGGAGGGTGTGGGCAGAGGGGAGACAGGGAAAGGAAAAATCAGATGTTGAATTTGTTCAACTTCAGTGGCAGAAATGAGAAAACCATTTTGGGAAAAAAAAGATGAAGATGGACTAGGATCCGAGAAGAAGCAGGGTCACAAACAGCGTAAGCCCAAAGGACATTCTCTGCTGTTTCTGAACCCGCCTTGGCTGGCCCGTAAACTGGGCAGGGGTGACAGTCCTGTGTTGTAAAGGGCGTAGAGGGCTTAAGCGAGGTAATTGATATAGCCTGGAAGCTACACTGATTTGAACTTTGTTCATACATCTAATTAATTACCTGATATTATTATTTACATTTGGCTCTCTTGTCTTACTTATCTTTATAACTGTCTCTCTATTTGCTTAACCTCAGGACCTATAACAGAGCCAGATTTACAGTTTCTTTTCCTTCCCTTTATTAACAGCTGAGCACTCACTGTGTGCCAGTTGTTGTACATATGGGTTATGCAATGTCGGCTTCCAGCAGCCCTGTTTTACAGATGAGCCAAACAAACCCCCTCCCCGAGTTACTCGTCTGTAGACTGAGTTATGGCACTGTGACGGAAGGGGATAAGTTTGCTGACTGCATGCTATAAGCCCGTTTATGTCATTTTTCTTTTTTAATCTTCCAGTCTCCCAGTAAGGTGGGTGTGATTGTCCTCATGTTGCAGAAAGGCAATGAATTGCCCAAGACCCCACAGCTAGTGAAGTGTCAGGGTCTGATTGCAAAACCCATAACTCCCCATTGTAGCACATCCCCTCTTCTGAGACCTTGGGGCAACGGGAGAAGAGATGGATCATGAAGGGGAAAGTCTGCAAGGACCTGGAGGCGAAGCTCCAGGGCGGGAGGCTGCAGTGCCGCCCTCTGCTCCCAGATGGCGCTCAAGGCTCAGCTTCCAGAACACACTTAAGGCTCCAGGCTGCCTTTGGTAGGCTACTGGTTTAACGCAAAATGTATTTTAAGGAAAGGAAGAGGTGCTTTGTTTTATTTTGTTGGTTTTGAGGGGTTTTTTTTGGTCATTGTTTTGTTTTTGTTTCTGCTTGCAAAGCCAATCACTACCTCTAAGCTTGCAGTTCGTCCGTGTACCTTACATCCGGCTAACATCCTAGCAAAACCCTAGAGAGGAAAGGGATAGGTAAGGGGCGAGGGAGGGGACCAGTCGGGTAAGCATTTCAAGAAGAAATTAGAGTGAAATGGCCCCATTATGGAGACCCCCCTCTTTCTTGACCGTTTAAGCCAAGTTGGCATGGTTCGTAGATACCAGCAAAATCCCCTACCCTGGAAAGTGGGACCTCCGTCAGTCAAAAGAAAGAACATTGTCAGAGGTGCAAAGAATCGTCATTCAGTGTCGGACCCCTCATTTGGTGGATTCAGAAAATGGACGGCCAAGTCATGGGTCCAAGTTCAGGTCTTTTGGTGCCATTTTACTCACCCCGTTAAGTTTTCTCTCTGTTAAAAAAATTGAAAAGTTAGGCCAGGGGTGGTGGCTCACGCCTGTCATCCCAGCACTTTTGGAAGCCTACGTGGGAGGATGGTTTGAGGCGAGGAGTTCGAGATCAGCCTGGCTAATATGGCGAAACCCCGTTTCTACTAAAAAAAAATAATAATAAAAACAAAAAATTTAAGTATTTGTTGCCTAGCTGGGGTTTGCATGGGCATGAGTCAGGAAAGTGGGCTGCGTGCACAAAATGGGAGGTACCTTTTCTCCTCCAAGGCGGCCCCAGCTCCAGCTATGGGGAGATGTTATGTTGCCTATTTTTCTTTTCCACTTGTTTTTTTAAAAAGTGAGAGATCAGGATTTTTTATGTACAATTTCCCAATGTTTAACAGTTGCCAACTAAGTTTTTTTTTTGTTTTTTTTAAGAAGGTCACTATGAGCCTTAGTCCTGTGGGAGCATCTTGGCGCCTGCTTTTTGTCTGGTTTGGGCAGCACCCTGAGGAGGGGGAAGTGGGTGGGGTGCCAAGATTGGGTATGGCGGGGTGTCAGGTCAGTTTGGAAGAGTCTTGGCCTGCTGGTTGGAGAGGAGGCCTGGCTGGATTTTATGCTGTTCAAATGAGAAACAGACCCATTCTGAGAAATTGAAAGTTGTGCCATCTTTATTTCCTATTTTCCACTCTGTGATTTTTTTTTTTTTTTTTTTTTAAGACAGAGTCTCACTCTTGTTGCCCAGGCTGGAGTGCAGTGGTGCGATCTCAGCTCACTGCAACCTCTGCTTCCCAGGTTCAAGCGATTCTCCTGCCACAGTCTCCCAAGTAGCTGGGATTACAGGCATGCACCACCATGCCTGGCTAATTTTTTTTAATTTAGTAGAGACAGGGTTTCATCATGTTGGTCAGGCTGGTCTCAAACTCCTGACCTCAGGTGATTCACCCGCCTCAGCCTCCCAAAGTGTTGGGATTACAGGCGTAAGCCACCATGCCCAGCCTCTGTGATTAAAGTCAAAATGTGGGAATTATTTTCATGCACATTGTAGATATAGACACTAAATGTAATTCCATCTCCCGAACCCTCTATCCGCCTTTTTTTGTTGCTGTTGTTGGAGTCCAAATGCCTAAAAATTGTGCAGAGCTTAATGCCTCATATAGGTTTCTTTCTCCTCGGTCTTTCTTTCTTTCTTCTTCTTCTTTTTTTGTTTTTAACTTTTATTTTTAGTTCAGGAGTACATGTGAAGGTTTGTTCCATAGGTAAACTTGTGTCATGGGGGTTTGTTGTTCAGATTATTTCATCATCCAGGTGTTAAACCTAGTACCCATTAGTTATTTTTCCTGAGTCTTCCTCCTCCCACCCTCCACCCTTTGATAGGCCCCAGTGTGTGTTGTTCCCCTCTATGTATTCTCATCGTTTAGCTCCCGCTTCTAAGTGAGAACATGCAGTATTTGGTTTTCTGTTCCTGTGTTAGTTTGCTAAGGACAGTGGTCTCCAGCTCCATCTATGTCCCCACAAAGGATGTGAGCTCGTTCTTTCTTAATGGCTGCACAGTATTCCATGGTGTATATATAACACTTTTTTTTTTTAATCCAGTCTATCATTGGTAGGCATTTAGGTTGGGTCTTTATATCTTGTCTCATATATATTTTTCATTTTTCTCACTTTGTCTGTTAATTGCACTTTCCAATTTTGTTATGTTATGTGCATTTTTGGAAGCTGCCTCAAGAACATCCTGGAACGAATAAAAATGCTTGTGTAGCAGGACATTCTGGCTGACTGATCTGGAGGTCGAGATGCTTTGACTGTGGACAATACTTCCCTCTCCTCTGCCTGCTTGCATGCTCCGAGGCTTTTATTTTTAATGGAAACAGGGAGATAAAGGGAATGGAATAGGATCTGCTTTCTATTTGGCTCTCTGTGCTGGGTTTGAGGTCCTATGATTAGAGGGACAGACTGACAGCTGTTTTTCAGGGGACACTTGGTGACATCCTAAGCAAGGCATGATGGCCAGGAGTTCACATTGCCCTAGAGACAAGCAGAGTGGCTTCAAGGTCTGGGTGGCAATTGATGGCCAAACTCTGACTCCAGGTCTCTGCAGGGAAGTTGCTGCTTGTCATTTTCAGGTAGCTCAACAGACTGGAAGCTTTGCGGGGATCTGGAATAATCTGCTTTTTAGAAGCAGCAATGAAGCTTCCCTCAGCTTCTTTGTGAACGAATGTGTGCCAAGCAGACTGGAAAGTGCTCTGTGAACTCTGATTGCTAAATGCAGGTGGGTACATCACAGAGACCCATTGTGTTGACCAGAGACCACTTTGAGGGGGCTCATTCCTGCAAACCATCCAGATAAATGGGGGCACATGTCACCATCATTTTTGTATGAGAGAAAGTAGGAATGGTTTGTCAAGATCTGCCAAAATTAAAAACACGCAACAATTCCACTTCTTGGAATCCATCCTATGGAAATATTCATATATGTGCAGAATAATATATGTTCAAGGTGTTCATTGCAGTATGTTTTGTGATAGAGAAAATGTGGGATAACCTAAATATTCATCAACTAGGGAGTGGCTAAATTATGGTATATCCGTACTACTGGGCGCCATGTAGCTGTTAAAAAGATAAGATAAATTGATAAGTGGCAACATGGAAATATCTCCCAAGCACACCAACTTTACATAAACTATGTGTGTGCATCTATATACGTGTGTGTATCTATCTATCTATCTGTCTGTCTATCTACCTATCTATCTATCTATATTTGACTCTTGAACAATACAGATGTGAACTGCTTCAAAACCCCTGTGTAGATGAAGGGTTACTTTTCCTGTCCTTGAGTTCTGCAAGGTTGACTGCAGGTCTCGGGTAGGCACAGATTTTGGTACACCTGGGGGTCCTGGAACCAGTCCCCTGTGTATACCGAGGGATGGCTGTGTATAGTTCATATATATATATATAGTTATAGTTTATAGTCTATATATACTCTATATAACTACATATATACTATGTACTATATGTAACTATATATTTATATATTTAATATATACATTTATATATTTACATGTGTTTACATATAGTACATGTTCATTTATATATTTACTAAATATATAAATATAGTATATATTTAGTACTAAATATGTACTATATGTAACTATAAATATTTATGTATACTAAATATACTAAATATGTATTTAGTAAATTTAGTATATACTGAATATATATTTAGTAAATTTAGTATATACTAAATACAGTATCTATAGTATATATAGTATTATATATAGTATATCGTATATACACACATATATAGTATATATTATATATACACATACTATCTATACATATATAGTATATTTAGTGCCAAATATATATTATATGTAATTATATCAATATTTATATATTATTATATATAAATATATATGGTATATATAGTATTTATGTATACTAGATATGTAAATACTTAGTATATATAGTATATTTAGTACTAAATATGTACTATATGTAACTATAGTTACATACATATAGTACATATTTAGTTTTAGTCCTAAATGTTTAGTACGTTAAATATTAAGTGTATAAAACTATATATAGTATATATACATATTTAATATATAGTTAATGGAATATAATATGAAATATAAATTTTCCATATTTTATATGGTTATATATAACTGTATATATACATAACTACATACATATACATGCAGTTGTGTATTTATATAGTGTGTGTGTGTGTGTGTGTGTGTGTGTGTGTGTGTGTGACATTGTGTATGTACAATCAATATCCCCCTCCCCACGGGAAGGCATCTGGGTTTGTAGACTGGCTGGTGACTAACGGATTATGGAAAGTTGTTGCCTGTGGTCAGGGTCGTGCTCAAAATGTTTGAGCACCGGGAGGGCATGAGCACAGATTCACCAGAGTGGATGCTGGAGCGGGCCCCGCAGGCCCTTGCTCGGCCAGGTGTTAAGCCTGGATAATGAGAGTGAGGGGCATGTGAGGTAGCAGGGGAGGTTGCTGAGCGACTGGCGTGGGAGAGTGTCCCTGTTTTGAACAACTGGTGTGGCCGTACTGAAAGCCCTAGTGAAATATCCGTCTTGCCGTTGGCAGTCTTATTTTAAAATTCTAATAAGAAAGTGGTGGGCTGTCTACACCCTGATTTGCAAGTGGCAAATTGGGAAGTGGGCTCCATAAATAGAAGGCCTTTGGGAGTTTATCCTGAACCTTGGACTTCCTGCTCCAGGGGTTGGATCCCAGACCCGGGTCCGACAGTGCCAACCAGTTCTGTTGTATCGTAATCTTCAAGGGAACTAACCCATTTCGGCAGAAAACTTGGTATAATTAGCGGTTAATAAGCAGGGCCCAGGTTCCCCACGGCCCAAATAGTTTCTGTATTGATCTCCGCCTGTGCACTGTCAGCACTCTGGAAGGATTGAACTTTAAGTGCTTAATTCAGCCCCATTCAACCGATAATTTTGGTTTTGTCCTTCAAACAAAAGCACCCTTGTTTATTCTTTTTTTCCACCCACAAATAATAAAGTCAATCCATTTCTCTCCCTTCTCCCGCCAAAAGCTAGTCTGCCCCTGTAATCAATACATCTGGAAATGTCAATGTATTCCTGAGTGAGGAGCTGGGGGTGCGTGAGGACGGGAAAGGGGGGCTTGATGGGGAAGGTGGCTCCAGAATCTCCTGGAAAACAGATGGCTGCTTAAATGCTATCACGGCAAATTCCCGCCTACGTCAAGTCTCTGAGCTTCCGCACCTGGGCACGTGGTGTTGCACACGGCCTTTCAGGTGTGGTTGACAGAAATACACATCGAACACTTACACGTTTGCATCACAACCTCAAAACCAAACTGCTAAGCTTTCAGCTTTTTCGAAGTTATCAAGCAAACTGCATGGCAGTCATGCTCATTCTAACCTCGTCCCAGGTCACACTCCCTGAGCCTCACCTTATCCATGAGGCTAGAGTTGTGTGGGTGGGAGACATGGATGGAGACAGACTCAGAGCTAGTCTATTAGGTAAGCTGGAGCCAAGCGATACTGACATGCCTGAATCTCAGCCAGTCAGCAGACTAGTTACCCGGTTTAAGACATTAATACTATTCCTGAAGCATACAGGTCTGGGTAAGTGTTTGGAGAAAGAGACAATATCACTGAGTACCTACTATGTGTCAATTTAATTTTGTTTTTTTAAACTTTATTTTTTTTATGAGACAGTTTCATGATGTTGCTCAGGCAGGATTCAAACTCCTGGGCTCAGGCAATCCTCCTGCCTTAGCCTCCAGAGTAGCTGGGACTACAAGTGCATGCCACTGCTCCTGGTTCAATACTTTTGTAAATAGTCTTTTTAAATTACCACAACAAGTCTTTTCTTATTCCAGAGATGAGGAAACAAATGGAGATTAAGTGAATTGCCTTCAGGTCACATAGATGATAAATGACAGAGCCAGTTTAGGAACTGTGCCTTTCTGAATCCCAAACCCATTGTGTGTGTGTGTGTGTGTGTGTGTGTGTGTTTGTTTGTGAGAGAGAGAGAGAGAGAGAGAGAAAGAGAGATCTGTGCTTCATTTACCCCATCCAAAAAACAAGAGAGCAAAAATAATACTTCTTCCTGGGGTGGTTAAAAGGATTAAATGAGCTATGCCTATAAAATGTTTAGTCATATTTAGCACTTAAAATAGTTGATATTGTTATTATCGTTATAATTATCCCCATGGTATGCATTAAACAGTCATTTTCAGAAATCTCTGGCTTTAGCACAGTTGCCAAAACTTTATTTTTTCTTGATTTTTATCCTTAAAACCTGCATGGCATTGAAAATAAATAAGACAGGATCTCTCTATTCTCAAAGGAGTGACCATCTGGTTATGCGGAGGAGGGACAGAGAAAGAGGGAAAGAACAAGTTACAATAGACTGTGTCATATTTATTATAGTGGGAATATATTGGAACAGAGAGGAAAGTAGTAGCCTTATACAGCCTGGGAAGGGGGCTCAGTAATGGCCCATGGGGGGATTTGAACCTATGAAAGATGAGGATAAAGTATAGGATCAGCAGTCAAGGAATGGAGAGGGGGTTGGAGCAGAAGGAACAGCACCTGCAAAGGCGTGGAGGTTTGAAAGCACCTGGACCATTTGGGGATGTTGCAATTAGGCTGAGGAATCTAAAGTGAAGGGGGCTTGTTGAGAAATGGCTGGGCGGGGGCCAGGGCTCAGTTATGGTAGGATTTCCCAGCTGAGGAGCAGAGACTATATCCTGGAGGTTTTGTGAATTCTTGAAGGTTTTTAAGCAGAAAAGGGGCAGATTCAGGATTGTGTTTCAGAAAATGGCTTTTCGGCAGGGACTCTACTAGGGAAGAGTGAAAGTAATAAGACCGCCTTGAAGACTGCTGGAGGATTTAGAGGAGACACCATGAGCCCTGAGGATGAGTAGAAATCAGTCATGAATGGAGAAAAAGCTCTGTTTATAAAGATGGAAGAGCTTCTTATTTTTATTTTTTTTTCAAATCTAGAACCCACAAATAAGAGTTGGGGACTGACTGGATATGAGAGTGAGGGAGGGAAAGTCTCAAATGATTTCAGTTTGGGTTGGTCAGTGGAGCCTGTAACCAAGAAAGGAGACAGGGGAGAAGCATGTTTTAAGATGAAGTTGGAAACCAAGTGTTTTAGTTCTGGCTGCTTTAACAAAATACCATGGATCAAATGGCTTAAACAGCAAGCATTTATTTCTCACAGATCTAGAGACTGGGAAGTCTGAGATCATGGTGCCTGCTGATTCGGTTCTTGGGGAGGGGCTCTTCCTGGATTGCAGATGATAGTTTTCTCCTCTGTCCTCACTTGGTCAAGAGAGAGTGAGCAAGCTGTCTAGTGCCTTCTTACAAGGGTACTAATCCCGTCATAAGGATCATCCTGATGGCCTAATCTTAAACCTGTGTACCTCCCAAAAGCCCCGTCTCCAAATACCATCACATTCTCCAATGTGTTAGTGCTTCAACATATGAATTTTTAGAGATACAGTTTAGCCCATGGCATCAAGCTTTGGACAGTTTGAGTTTCCAGTATCTTGGCCACCAAAGTGGAGATGAGCTGGATATGCAGTGCCCAGCTCTGTGTACAGAGCACAGTAATTGGTGATCAATAGATGATTAATACGTATTTATTGAGGGAATGATTCGATGGCTAAAACCATGATGTGGATGAGATTTTCCAGGCTCATCCTGATTATATTTCTAGAAGGAACATAAGCGGGGTGCAATGCAGATAGTCTTGGGAGAACATTAACTATCCCAAGGGACTCCCCAATAAGGACTTAAGAGAAGCTTAAAATTCAGAAATTACAAGCGCACGGATCAAGAGAAGATTCAGAGTATGGTGAATAGTCATTTTCAGTACTGATGTTGACCTATAAAATTTATAGACTAGCTAACTTTTTTCCTTTTTAGAATAAATAACCAACATTTATTGAGTACTTGCTGTGTGCTGAGCCCCATGTCGAAGGCTTTACCTGTAATTTCTTCACTTCACAGCCACAACCTAATGAAAGGAAGACACTATGTTTGTATTTCCCTTCTAGAGATGAAGAAACCGAGGCTTAGAGATATCACTAATTGCTCAAGGTTTTGCAGCTGTTGTGCTGTGGATCTGGGATTCAAACCCAGGTCCGGTTGACTTTTGAGCTAAGACTATCGCTCTTTTGCCTCCTGAATTTCTAGTCATTTAAAAATCAAGGCTGAGGCTATCAAGCTGCGCAAAAGCTGTTTTGGCTTATAAGACAATCAGGTTGGGAGACTGAGACTACTTGGGAGGAAAAAGGGGGAAATACAAGTTGCAAGTGTGCAAGTTGCTACACTGGTCCTGTGTATCTTTGAGTTTTTGCAGGTACTCTATTCACCATCTGTCTCTCCTCATCTCTTGTGAAATGGAGTTGGTGGCCTTTAAAAAGCTGCCAGCTTTGAGAAAGGGGGGCTCAGTTTCCCAATCTTGGCCCAGAGGACTTCTCTCCATCTGGATGAGCATTGAGATCAAGGGTGAGCTAGTCCCAAGGTTAATTGGATGAACCGATCTTTTCTTTTGTTGGCTTGTGGAGGTCAATTAGTAATGTGGATGATTGGATTCAGTTAAATGCCTTCAATGAACTAGGTCTATAGGGGACAGTGATTGGTTCCCAAATGGGGTGAGGGACCCATTTGGACTAAACGTTTCACCTTGCCCTGGCTTTGGTGGCTTCAAAACCAAATGAATGGCCCTTTAAGCCATTAAGCAGTCGCAAAGAAGCAGGTCTACCAGCACTCCTGTTCATTGGTTTGTTTTTATTTATTTGAGCATTTTATTTTTATTTATTTATTTATTTATTTTTGAGATGGAGAAAGACTCCGTCTCAAAAAAAAAAAACAACAACAAAATAAAAAAAAACCCACAAAGAAGGCATTCCCTGTTGCTAAAATATAAAATTATTTATTTATTTGTATTTTTTTATTTGAGCATTTTATTCATTTGAGCAGTTTATTTTCCCCAATTTCATCCCTTGTAGTGGAAAAAGCACAGTCTAGAGTCAGGAAGACATAGCTATGACTTCTAACCCTGTCTTTTGCTATATGCATGAAGTTGGGCAATGATATTAGTGTTTCTGAGCCTTAATTTCCTTGCCTGAAAAATGGGGCCTCCGGGCACAGTGACTCACGCCTGTAATCTTAGCACTTTGGGAGGCCGAGGCGGGAGGACCGCTTGAGCCCAGGAGTTCGAGAGCAGACTGGGCAACATGGTGAAACCCTGTCCCTACAAAAAATACAAAGATTAGCCGGGTGTGGTGGCATGGACCTGTCATCCCAGCTACTCGGGAGGCTGAGAGGTGGGAGGACGGCTTGAGCCTGGGAGGTTGAGGCTGCAGTGAGTTGTGATTGCACTACTACATTCCAGCCTGGGCAATTAAAAATAAAATGGAGCCGATAGAATTTACCTTGCCGTAGTGCTTATTGTGGATATGAAATGGAATAACATTAATATTTAAGGTGTTTATTGCTGGGCCTGGTACTAAGAATGTGAATCTCTTTTCCTGTAGAGAATGGAGGCTGTACCCTCTAGATAATTTGTAGCTGGTTTGTAGCTGGTTGTTTATTTCATTGCCCTAGTGATCTGGTATTTTCAGACAAATAAGATCTGATATTGAAATGATGCCCATATTGTGTCTCTGTGTTCTAAAAGTAATCGGAAGTTGTCCCAGGAATTGAGGTGTTATAACTACTTGCAAACCATTGCATCTTAACTGAGTCCAAGCAAATTTCACTAGAGCTCCATACATGTACTTCCATATTCTTTATGATACAGAATCACATGAGCTGGGTCCTGGTTTTGATCTCAACCTCATTTCCCTGAAAACAAACAAACAAACAAACAAACAAACCATAAGCAGTACAAAATGAGTACTGATGAGAGTGACATTCACAGCCACACCTTGATCCTGCAGTTGAGGAAATACAGTCGTTACAGGAGCTTATGCTGAGTCTTCTGTGAGTCTCAGATATTTTGGATGCTGGCGACTTCTCACAGGTTGATGTCCAAGCCACTGCAAGGCTCATGTAATGGGCAGCTCCAAGACTGAAGTAAGAACAAGTTTCAGTAAGATAGTATGGGAAGAGTAGGTTGCCCTTTCAGCATGAACCCTTCAGGATGTTTTGCTAGGAATTTGCAATGCCAGAGTAAAAGGTGTAGAAGGAGTATATAGAAATAAGACATGCCCTAGGCCGGGCACGGTGGCTCAAACCTGTAATCCCAGCACTTTGAGAGACCGAGGCAGGCAGATCATGATGTCAGGAGATCGAGACCATCCTGGCTAACACAGTGAAACCCCATCTCTACTAAAAATACAAAAAATTAGCCAGGAGTGGTGGTGGGCACCTGTAATCCCAGCTACTCAGGAGGCTGAGGCAGGAGAATGGCTGAACCTGGGAGGCGGAGCTTGCAATGAGCCGAGATTGTACCACTGCACTCCAGCCTGGGCGACAGAGGAAGAGTCCGTCTCAAAAACAAACAAACAAAAAAACAAACAACAGAAGAACAAACAACAAAATAAAAAAACCTCCACAAAGAAATAAGGCATTCCCTGTTGCTAAAATATAAAATTAAAATGTAATGGATCAGAGTAGAGAAATGCAGGGTTGCTCTAACAACAACAACAAAAACGATGCGTAGTGATAAATGCGTACTATGTGTCAGATGTTTTTCTTGGCTGGAGAATTCATCTAAGTTTCAGAATATATTCTAATGAAGGGGGGATAGACAATAAAAAAGTGTATATGATTTTGTATATTAGGAAATGATAATTACCAATGTGAAAATACAGGAAGGAAAGAGGATAGAGAGTGTGAGGAGTGGAGTGGATGCTATAATTTCAAGTAGGTAATTATGGAAGGTTTCAATGAGTAAATATAATAGCACTTGAACAAGACATTCTCTCATTTTCTGAGAAGTGTTCTAGGAAGAGAGAACCCCACAGTACCTAGGCACTAAGGTATGAGCATTCCTGGAATGATCAAATAAGAACAAAAAGGGTCGGCCGGGCGTGGTGGCTCACGCCTGTAATTCCAGCACTTTGGGAGGCCAAGGCGGGCGGATCACGAGGTCAGGAGATCACGACCATCCTGGCTAACACGGTGAAACCCTGTCTCTACTAAAAAAATACAAAAAATTAGCCGGGCGTGGTGGCGGACACCTGTAGTCCCAGCTACTCGGGAGGCTGAGGCAGGAGAATGGCGTGAACCCGGGAGGCGGAACTTGCAGTGAGCCGAGATTGTGCCACTGCACTCCAGCCTGGGTAACAGAGTGACTCCGTCTCAAAGAAAAAAAAAAAAGAACAAAAAAGATCAATGCAGCAAATTCAGGCAATAATAGGGTGGTGGGAAATGAAGTCAGAGAGTTACAAGACAGATGGTTCCTGAGACAACCAACTTGAATTTATCCAATTGGAGAGTTTATTGTCATGCTCATCCTTCTTATGATTGTTTTCCTTGTTCTAACATCTTGCTGGGCACTTTGATGTGTATATTACCTGCAGGATCTTCTCAATCCTCACAACTACCTTTTGAGGCAGATAGTATATTATTCCCGTTGCACATAGAAGCAAACCAAGGCTCAGAGAGGTTAAGTAACTTTATAAAGCCACAGAGGACAGTGGCAAAGGCCCAGTGCCTTTTCTATCAGGCTATCTTGCTTCCATTTTCAAAGCAGTTTTGTGTCCCACCTTGTATCCTTTGCTCACAGCCTTGTCAATAAGAGCCTCCAGACAGCTCTTATTAGTCCTATTAATTGCTTCTTCCTAATTCCCGGGAATGGAATTGAATGGTAAAAATTGAATGGGTAGACACAATTTCTGAGACTCTTTTCTATGGAGCTATGTTTGTGTCCCCCACACAAATTCATGTGTTGAAACCCTAACCTCCAACGGGATGATATCTCACTGGGATGATATTAGGTAGGGCCTTTGGGAGGTAATTAAATCACAAGGGTGGAGCCCTTATCAATGGGATTAGTGTCCCTATAAGAAGAGAAAGAGGCTGGTGCTCTCTCCCTCTCTGCCAAGTGAGGACACAGCAAGAAAGTTGCTGTCTACACACCGTAAAATGAACCCTCACTGGAACCAACCATGCTGGCACCCTGATCTTGGACTTCCAGCTTCCAAAGCTCCGAGAAAGAAACTTCTGTTGTTTAAGCCCCAGGCTGTGGTATTTTGTTATAGGAGCCTGAACTGACGAAGGCACTCCAATCTATTTTGCACAATATTTCCTTCTTGGGTTGTGTCCGGGGACCTTGTTCATGGCACTGACCTTCCACATGTGCTTGGTGATTCTTGTGAAATCCTTTTCCATAACCCAGTTCTCCCATCAACATCACTCCCTTTGTCTCTCTCTTTTTGATCATTGCCTTCTACATATTAATTTTTGTTTTCATGTTTCTCCTCTCTCCCCTGGTAGTACACAGAGGCCGGGCTTGGCCAGTGTTCATTGCTGCATATGGAAGCTTGCTTTCTCATCTTTCAAAAAGCTACTGTGGTTGGAATTTTCGTTGCACAACCATTTCTGGCTTGTTTTCCTTCTGGGTGGAGAATTGCACTTCTCTGCCCCTTGGCCTTGAGTTGTGCCACACGAGTGGAAGTGGCATATGTGACTTCTGGGTGGCAGCATTTAATTACTGGGGTGAGATCCTCCGGGGCTTTTTTTTTCCCCCTGAATGAGGCAAGCTCTGAAGCATCTGTTGAGATGGAGCCTCATGAGGTGGAAGCAAAGTGGAGAACTGAGCCAGCACACAAAGGAGGGTGGCTGCCTGTCCTAGAAAGCTGCCAAGGCTGGAAGAAATAGCTTGATCGTGTCACATGACCGTGATTTGGATTTCAGTGTGTGTGTATGTATATGTGTGTGTGTGTGTGTGTGTGTGTTTTGTTACTGTATCATTACCTAGCCTATACAGATTGACGCTGCCTTATTCATCAACTCTAGGTTTGAAGTCAGGCAATGCCTTGCTTTTTTTGCTCAGCAGCCTGGTGTGAGGTTAGAACTGGGGGTTTGCAGGCAGATAGACTTGCCTTTTATGAGCTTGGGCAAGTTACTTTCTCCATTTTCTGGCTTTCTTTTCTGTGAATGGAAGTGACTGAAACCCACCTCCCAGGGTTGTTGTGAGAATTAAATGTAGTAACACACGTAAAGTAGGCGGCACACTGTAGGTTTTTAATGGGTGCTTATTTTCTTTCTTCCTTTCTTGCACCATCATTAACTCTAGGATTATGTGCCCATTTTTTTTTCTCCTAACGATTCCACTTTTCTCATTAACCAGTGTTTCCTCGTTGCCAGGATTTAGTGGCAAGTAACCGTTTCCTCTGTCGCTTCCTCTGTCTTCTGAAAGATGAGATCATCAGCAGGGCAAGGCGAGGATTTATCAGAAGAGACGCCCAACAGATGTCCAGAGAGCATAAATCCCCACTGCTGCTCCGTCTTGCCTCTGTGCCAGCTTTGTAATCGGTATTAGGGAAACATGGTCTGGTTGATTGCTCTGCAATAGACTCTTACAACATTAACACTTGTTTCCCTATATTCTAGTTCTCCAAGATATTTGTTTTCATTTTCAATTTTGATTCAATTCAATTCGATGCTTGTTTTGACTTGGGCACAGGGCTGGGCATAGAGGATACAAAGGTGGATTCAGGCATAGCCCCTGCCTATAGGAAAGCCAGTCGGGTGAGGGAGACTGATATATCAGCCAAACCAATCAACTAACCCAGAGACCCAAATCCCAGACGTTGCAATAATTATAAAAATGTAAGCATGTACATGCTATGGAGAGAAGACTAAGAGGAACGTGTGAATTCCATTGGGTCTAGAAGTGGGAGAGGGATGAAGATGACTTCTTTTAAAAGGTTATGTTTTATCAGGGTTTTGATGGATGAACAGGAGTTTGCTAAGTGGATTGTAGAGGAACAGCATTTGGGAAAAAGGCACAGCATTGCAGAGGCACAGTTGCGTGGAACCTGAGACATAGTTCTGGGCAACAGAAGCGGTTTGATGTTTAACAGAGCAGAAAATGCGAAGTGGGAAGCAGCAAGAGATAAAAAAGAAGGTTTTATCCAGGCAGGCAAGGGGGAAAGGACATATTCTATTTTTTAAAAAATAATAGAGTCGAGACCTCGCTGTGCTGCCCAGGCCAGTCTCGAACTCCTGGGCTCAAGTGATCCTCCTGCCTTAGCCTCCCAAAGTGCTAGGATTACGGGCATGAGGCACTGCTCCCAGCCAGAAAAGGACACATTCTTGAGGTTGTAGGTATTTCTTTGACCTACTTCTCTTTGAGATTTACTCTATATTGCTTTATACTAGCCACAAACTCCAGTTGACACGGGTGTGTTTGTTGTCTTGCCTGATAATGTTGTTGAGTGTTCAGCACTCCTAGATCTGGATGGGGCGAAGAACTCACTGGAAAGAGCATGGAGTCAGGATAAGGACACTTAGGCTTCAATCCTGACTTTCTGCTTTATTATCCCCATGTTTTTAGGCAAGTACCTGAGGGTCTCCATTACCTCCCCTACAGAATGAGGAATATCATTCCTGCCTCACTGAGCACTTATGAGGATTAATAATTCAATAAATATTTAAAGTACTCAGCCCGGAACTTGGCATCCGTTGGGTGCGCTTCGCATCTTCCAGTTGGAGAAATCAGTTATCAGTGTTTGGGAGTTGCATTAAGCTCATAAAGTAATGGCTGGAAATTATTAAGATTGATTTTTAAAAATACAATCATGCTTTTATTTTCTTTTGGAAAACAGAACTTTATTGCTTCTCACAACAAAACTTTCAGTGCCCTCCGAGGAGAAAAATAAACTTACAAAAGAAAAAAAAAGAAACTTAAAAACAATATGGCACTTCTGTGGTATCAAGCCTCAAAGGTCTTACCTCGAGATTATTTTGGTAAATCCATTTACATTTTTTTAGTCTCCCCTCCCCTCCAATGTCATGTGTAAGAACACATAGATATTTTGACATCTCCATTGTGATATTTATTTTAAGCCATCAGTAGAGTTTTAAATATCTTAGAAGTGAACTCTGGCCTCTGTGGAAGGCAAACTAATTATTTCCCAAACTGTTCCATAAAGCCAGAACCTGGCATTTATTCCTGGCAGCTTAGAAAGGAAACGTGAAGATGCTGGCTTTCTAAGGAAGGGGATGTGCAGTCAAACAAGAGCTCAGAAACTTGGGGGCCCAAAGCCATCTTGGCTGCTATATTTTGCAAGGAAGCCCTGGTGTCCCTGGAGAGCAGCTGGGACCAGAGTTTCACACAAGCGGTTTTGCAGATGATCCCAGCGAAACAAAAGCAGTGGTGATGAGTGGAACAAAGATTTATTG
The DNA here is from genome assembly GCF_000001405.40 of Homo sapiens. Classification (NCBI taxonomy): domain Eukaryota; kingdom Metazoa; phylum Chordata; class Mammalia; order Primates; family Hominidae; genus Homo; species Homo sapiens. Next base: position 15,204,693 of record NC_000016.10, on the reverse strand, counting down.
TTACAGATATGTCAAGGACTGACAAAGGTCTCGTATGATTATGTCACCATACAACATCTCTACGAAGTAGAGATTCTTTAGTCCCCTTTTATTAGGTGTGGAAACTGAGTCTTGGAGAAGTTAAGTCTCTTGTCCAAGGTCACATGGCCAGGTGGTTGAGAGCTGTAGGCCTGACACCAGAAAGTCTGATCTCAACCATTCTGCTGCCTTAGTGTCTTCATGCTGTGTGTCCTTGGGCAGCTCACCTAACCTCTCTGAGCATCTCAGTTTCTCCTTCCACTAAATGGGAATGATAATACCTACTACCAACCTCACAGTTGTGCTGATCAGAAATGCTTCCAGAGGTGGAAGCACTTAGAAAAAATAAGTGAAAGCAGAACATCGTAATTAACTTGGCTTTGAGTAATGATATCTTCTATTTCTTACTGTGACAACATCCCTAGCTCTATACAGTCCCTTACCTGGCTGTCAGTTTTCTGTTGTAGATGATACCACCTTGGGCCACATACATATTCCTTCCTCTTTTGTCTTTAGCCATTTCCCCATCTCAGGCTTTTGTTTTCTCCCCAGTCATCTCACTTACAGGGTTCCCTAACTTCTGAAGCTCTCACTGATTTTTTTTCCAGAGAGTTTTATGGCGGAGAGGAGCACCAGGGTCCATGGAATTCATAGAAGAAAGTCCACCAACTAGCCTGTGGGTTTAGAGGGGCTTTCTGGATGATCTAACTCTTGCGAGATGAAGATGATGTAGGTTGAAGCAGAGAGGAGAGAGGAAAGGGCATTGCAGACTTGTGCAAAGGCATGGCACGTTTTGGGATCCACAAGTATTTGCGTAAGATAGGGTGAATGTGGGTGGAGTGTTGGTATGGTTCGTTAAATATTGAATGAATGCTTTTCCCTTTGTTTCCTTAGCTAACTTAGTCTCAGGAGAACAAAGACTGTACCTTAATTTCATACCCCTCACAGTGCCCAATCTAGGGATAGACACAGAGCCAGCCCCAGGAAGTACTCAGGTTATTGATTTATTAACACTCTCATGCGGATGGGTTGGACTTTATTGGGTGAAATAGGCAGCACAACAATGCAGAAAGCCTGTAGAACTTGGAGTCAGACAGATCTTGTGCAAGCCATTTAGTCTCTCTCAGCCTCAGTTTCTTCATCTGTGAGATGGGGCTAATACATACATACCTCATAGAATTGTTGTGGAAGTGAAATGAGACATGATATATGTGAAAGGATGAATCAAGCAGACTCAACACATGCTAGTTCTTGTTTTTGCTGACTGCCTGCTATCGTCTCAGTATTTGTCCCCCTAAAGCTCATGTTGAAGTTTGATCCCAATGTTGGAGGTGGCAGACTCATGGGAGGGGTTGGGGTCATGGAGGCAGATCCCTCATGAATGGCTTGGTGCCCTCCTCATGTTTATAAGTGAGTTACTGCTGTATTAGTTCCTGTGAGAGCTGATTGTTAAAAAGGCTTGATACCTCCCCCTCTTTCTCTTGCTTCCCCTCTCGCCATGTGATCTCTGCATATGCGAGCTCCTCTTCACCTTCCACCATGAGTGGAAGCAGCCTGAGGCCCTCACCAGATGCAGATACTGGCACCGTGCTTCATGGACAGCCTGCAGAACCAGTAGCTAAATAAACCTTTGTTTGTTTATAAATTACCCAACCTCAGGTATTTGTTTATAGCAACGCAAGATGGACTAAGACACCGCCCTCTGATCATGAGGTCAGGAGATTGAGACCATCCTGGCTAACATGGTGAAACCCTGTCTCTACTAAAAAATACAACAAAAATTAGCCGGGCGTGGTGGTGTGCGCCTGTAGTCCCAGCTACTCGGGAGGCTGAGGCAGGAGAATGGCGTGAACCCAGGAGGCGGAGCTTGCAGTGAGCCGAGTTTGCGCCACTGCACTCCAGCCTGAGGGACAGAGCGAGACTCCGTCTCAAAAAAAAAAAAAAACAAAAAAAAGACCATCTTCTGTGTTAATATGTTAATCCTAACTGCTTCTTGGAGGCTCCAACTTTGTTGATGGCAGCCAGGAATAGGTGAATAGGTGAGTTATTTAAGTAGACAGTTGCCCACATTGGCTTCAGCTCAAGCTAACTCACCACAGCTACCACACCAGAAGATGCTCTACACTCTGCTGTCCTGGAGATGGAAGTTTGCTCCCATAACAAATAAAATAGAGGAGGGCATTTGAGTGCAGGAAACATTTTGTTTATTTACACTCACCTCTACCAAAGGCAGGAGGAGGCTTGTAGGACATGGGAAATGTCCTACAATGCAATCCCTTTCATCTGTAGTCACTGACCTTCCTCTGATATGTCACTCTTCACCTGTTACAGGGTATACCCCACAACTGCAGGGATCTTTGCTTGTATTCCAAGCCTAGAACAGTACCAGACAAAGAGTAAGGGCTCTATAATTTCTGGAAAGAATAAATGCATTAATCTCACCAAGCCTCCGTCCTTTATTTGCCTTCTAGATGGAATTGGCTAGATCATGTGTCATCCTATCATATCACTACTTTCTTCCTTTGCATTTGCTTGTTTTTGTGATAAAATTATCAGTGTGGAAGGTGGAATGTAGCTTAGGCAACAAGAGCGGAGTTCCTACAGGGAGGTCTTATTTACTGTCTGCTTTGGTCAAACTTGAAGTGGGTTCTTGGCTCATCTTGGTCTTGAGGGCTCAAGACCGTTCATGCTGGTTGATGTTTGGTCAGCTTGTTCCCAATGTGCCTTTGATTCCCTGACTTGGCACACTTTGAAGCTACTCTCCCAAATAAATAGATTTCTCCCCCTCTAATAAAGGATCAATATAGCTATACTGTTAATATTATTGATAGTCTCTTCCTCCTTTCCATGCCAAAAAACTGAGCCGAACTGAAACTGGCCCAATTGTCCCATAGAACTGATGTTTATGGTTTCTTTTAAATACACATAGAAATTGGCCATCCCAGTCTTGAAACTTGCAAAAGTTACATTTGTCTTATCTGAGTTCCTTTCTCAGGCCTCCAACCATCAGGCTTCCCAGATAGAATCAAGGAGCTGAAACTCACCAGATCTCTGAATCTGGACAGTGAAAGCACCCGACCCTTCATCCATCATGACTGCCTAAGCAACCACTTGCTTCTTGTTGACAAACTCCTCTTCCTTTCCTCTCCCTAATTCCTGTTTTCTCACAAATGGTTACATTTCTTCCCTGCTATAAAAATACCTAATTTTAGTCAGCTAGGGGAATGGATTTGATGCTGATCTCCCATCTTCTTGGCTGCAGGATCCAATTGAAGCCTTCTTCCCTGGCAATACTCATTGTCTCAGTGATTGGCTTTCTGTGCAGCAAGCATTAGAACCTAGACTGAACCTCTGGTGTTTCAGTAACAAGATCACCAGGTGTTACGAAGCACCTGTATGCATTGGGAAGTCCTTGCTCATTTCCTTCCCTCTTAGGCATAATGGATGTCTTCAGATACACAAGTGCAATCTAAGAAACAGATCCACATATCTAACTGTGCCTGCGTCTTGAAAGTCCACCCAGCTGATGTTTCAAAAGGCAATTGAAAAGATGGTAGCTAGACTCCTCTTGAAGCTTCATTTCCATTTTGATTTTCTTATTCAACACAATGTGATATTTTCTTGAAAGGGAGACTCCAATTGAGGGGCCAAGAGGTGGGTCAGCTTCACCAAGATAAGAGTAATTACTGGCCAAAAAAAAAAAGAAAAGGAAAAGAATTTCAGATAGAATAAGTGGATGCAGCCTGTCTGCTTGAGCTTTGCTGCTAATTACCAGACTGCTATCCCTCATTCAGAGGGAAGAACTCTACTCCAGCTGAGTTTCAATTTAAAATATGAGGTTGGTGATCAAACACAAGCTTCACCCAAAACAATGACGTTGGAAGAGATGGCTCCGATGAATGAAGGTAGCTGTGATGGAGCTTAATAAAATGAGGGTTTCAAGGATGTGGTATTTCTGTTTTCATTTCACAATAATAAAGTCATGAATGAGAGAAAAATATGCTGGTTACATTACTTTAAAATACCTTGGCAAAAATCTAATTTCTTATTGATTAGTTTCCCATCGAAGGGAAGGCCTGTAGATAAAAGAAAATTGACTGCTGAGAATTCTAAAATAAAGAAAGTAAATGAGGGAAGATGTTTAAATTTTTAAGAGGAAGAAAAAGTATAATCAATGTCCCCAAATATGTCACTTGTACAAGTACTGCTGGGACTGAGAGCTAAGCTGTTCTTGATCTGATTGACTTACTTTCATTGACACCAATATTTAAAAAATGTAAAATCAACAGACTGGCTTTGGAAAGCAAAGCCCATAGAAAGATGTTCCAGGTACCACGGAAAGTAAAAGCATGTAGGAGTGAGAATTATTCCTGGAAATTGGGTAGGGAATTATTTGATAGGTTACTGTATGCTCGTGACTTTTGGTTGCAAGCAATAGGAACCTGAAAACTGGTTTAAACCAGTGGTTCTCAATAGGAGGTGATTTTGCCCCTTGGGACAGTTGGCAATGATTGCAGCTGTTTTTGGTGGCCATGACTCGTGGGTGAGAATGGCTCTAGAAGCCAGGAACATTGCTAAACATCCTGCAATGTACAAGCCAGCCCCCATCCAGCCAAACACTATCAATAGTGTTGAGGTTCAGGAACTCAAGCTTAAACAGAAAAAGTAGAATTTGTTGATTCACAACTGAAAAATCCAGGATGAATCTATTTGGATCCAGATGTTCAAACTGACATCAGAAGTGGCTTTTTCTCTCAGGCCTGCTACTTTCCTTGTAAGATTTATTTTTGGGGAGTTTTTTTCCCCTTGTAGTCCCAAGACAGGCTTCAGCAGCTCAGCTGAAGGCTGCTGCCAGGTTAGGGGTTCTAGTGACAGAAGAGCTTATCTTTCTCCTTGCTTCTCCCTAGGAATTCTGAGATATACTCTTATCTTTTTTTTTTTCACCTTTTAAGTTCAGGGGTACACGTGCAGGTTGTGTAGGTTTGTTACATAGGTAAACATGTGCCATGGTGGTTTGCTGCACAGGTTATCCCATCACCTAAGTATTAAGCCCAACATCCCTTAGCTATTCTTCTTGATGCTCTCTGTCCCCCACCACTCTGACTGACAGGCCCCAGTGTGCATTTTTCCCCCCAGGTATCCTTGTGTTCTCATTTTTCAGCTCTTGCTTATAAGTGAGAAAATGCAGTGTTTGATATTCTGTTCTTACATTAGTTTGCTGAGGATAGTGACTTTCAACTCCATTCATGTCCCTGCAAAGAACATGATCTCATCCATTTTTATGGCTGCATAGTATTCCATGGTGTATATGTACCACATTTTCTTTATCCAGTCTATCATTGATGGGCATTTAGATGGATTCCGTGTCTTTGCTATTGTGAATAGTGCTGCAGTGAACATACAAGTGCCTGTATCTTTATAATAGAATGATTTATATTCCTTTGGGATATATACCCAGTAATGGGATTGCTGGGTCTAATGGCATTTCTGCCTCTAGGTCTTAGAGGAATCACTACACTGTCTTCCACAATAGTTGAACTAATTTACACTCCCAGATTGACTCTCATTTAACTAAACTGTCACATGATCATCCCTGAACCACTCCTTGTGAGGATGGAGTATTCTGATTGACTAGGCTTGGGACACACATCCATCCTTGACTCTGGGGACAGAGGTGTTGAATTGATACCAGTTACACCAGTGTGCTGGTGGGCTGAGAGGGCAGGAAGGTGCTTTACCAAAAGGAAAAATGAAGTGCTATATTCAGAATTAGAGAGTAGATGCTGAGCAGCCAACAATCAGATGCTCACTACATTTGTTTTCTGCAAAAATTCTGAGGAGTGATGGTGTGGGGGCCACTAGGACCCTCTACAACATCTCTCTCTCTTCCCCTGTCATCCAAAAAACCTTCAGAAATACACCTATTGTAGTCTCTCTCTCTCCTAACACTCACGTTGTTACATTGTCATAAACGTATTTATCTACCTATCCACCTGTTCCCTTAGGCTTTTCAAGACCTAAACACAGGGATGATGTCTAATTCATCTTTGTGTTTCCAACACCTTGCATAGAGTAGAGCACCTAGTAGGCTAAAGTGAAACTCTTCTTTTTCAGTAGAATGTCAATTTGATCCTTTTAGACTATCCATCATGCATTAATCAGATGTTTATTGTGCAGCTACTATGTGTCCCCCACTCAAACCCTGGGGAATAAGCAAGAAACAGGATGCAAGTGTGGAATGTCACATATGGTAGGGTGGCAGCCATCTTACGAGTGATCCAAAGTGAGTTACACAATGCAAAGGGAAGTCCTGAGAGCTATGGAAACCACAGCAAGGGTCCACTTTGGAGTGGGAGTCTTTACAAGCGATGCTCAAAGGGGGCAGCCTGGAAGATAAGTGAGATTTAGTTTTGCAAAAGGAGCGGGTGGAAGAGCTTTCTATGCAAAGGGAATAGCCTGTGTGAAGGCCTTGAGATGGTGGTGGGGTCCTCAGTTCCGGTATTATGTCCTGTTAGCAAGATAGGGTTACATTTTAGGTCTGATTTAAGGAAGGGTGGCCTCAGCTCTCCACTTTGATGGGCCTCTGAGACAGTGATAATTCAATTGCAAGGAATAGAAACCCATTCAAAGAGATTAAAGTGGATATGAAATTTTACTGTCTGGACACACAAGGCTCTCTGGAAATCCGACGTATGCAGCTGGACCTCATGGGACTTGGAATGTTGTTAATCAGCCGCTTTCTCCATTTCACTCTCTGGAGCTTACCTCTGCACATCTGCTCCATTCTCTTCTCTGCAGACTGGCGCCTGCCGTTGGAATCTCAGGGTTTGCTGTTTCCCAGTTTCTACTTGCCCAGGGCCCTGGGACTTCTTCTTCATGACCTTACAGCTCCAGCTTCTAATGCACTCTGATCAATTGCGCCTCTATCTGAATGTAAGAGTTTCCCAGGTGTAGGAATATGATAGGTCCGGGTAGTAGGAGGTGTACACTCTGGTCCAATCAGATGTGGCCAGGTGAAGGTGTCAGGTGGGTGCCTCTGCTGTGTGTGGGCTAGAGAGCATCTCAGAGAAGTCATGCAGGTAGGGAAGCACCTCTCTGGTTCTTGGTGGAGCTCTCTGGAGTGGTATGGCTAAACACTGAAGAAGATGATGAGGATGTCGCTGCTGTGCTCAAAAGGGCCCAGCCTTCTTGTCATAATCGTATACTTGTTATCCTATTTAACACTCATGATCATCCAGTGAAGGGTTAACACTATTCTACAGAGGAGACAACTGAGATACAGAAAGGTGGACAAACATTGCTTCAAAAGTTATTTTTATGAAATGTTAATTGTCTCACATATCTGGATTCCAACCTGAGGGAAAATGTCACCCCAGATAATAGCCTGGAGTTCCATAGCCAAAGTAATTATCGTTTCTCTCTCCTTCTCACTTAACATACTCCAGCCACACAGGTATTCTTCTGGTTTCCTAAATACTCAGCCTTTGCATGTGCTGTTTTCTCTGCCAGAAATTCTCTTCCCTCCCACTCTTTACTAGGTTAACTTTTCCTTATCCTTCAGGTTTTAGTGTAGACATTACTTCCTCAGGGAGATTTTTCCTGACTCCCTGAGTAGAATCAGTTTCACCCTCTTTATTCTGGCTTATGGCACTCTGATCTCTTCTCTTAATGTTTTATCAGAATTTTAATCTTACAAGTTTTGCACAATTACCCTGCCTAGACTGTTAACTCCTTGAAGGAGAGGAATCACATCTGCCAGGCAACTAGTAGGTGACCAGTAAATAATGATTAGATTGGCCAGGTGCAGTGGCTCACACCTGTAATTTCAGGAGGCCGAGGTGCATGGATTGTTTGAGGTCAGGAGTTCGAGACCAGCCTGGGCAAATGGACAAACCCTGTCTCTACCAAAAATACAAAAAGTTAACCAAATGTGGTGTTGCATGCCTGTGGCCCCAGCTACTCAGGAGGCTGAGGCAGGAGGATTATTGGAGCCAGGGAGGTGGAGGCTGCAGTGAGCTGATATCACACTACTGCACTCCAGTTCCGGGCAACAGAACGAGACCCCATCTCAGAAAAAGAAAAATAGTGGTTAGATAAATAATGTTAATGTAATTATCCAGGGAGAGGATCTTTCGCCAATTTTGTTTGGATAGAGTAAAAGCTTAAACTACTGCTTAAAATGATTCATTCTTTCTGTGGAGGTAGGGGAATGCCTTAAATAGAGATAACTGATGTTTGGTAAGGTTGCTAAATGAAAGATGCCCAAAAAACCCTCACATTTAAGTTAGGAAGGTCATTTGGCTGCTTCCAGGTTTTTTCTTCTGTTCTTTTAGGATGATTCAGAGGGCCAAGCTGCAGCAAAATTTTGGGAAAGTGAAGGAAAACTAGTGCTTATTGAGAAGCTACTAATGATCAGGCAGCATATTAGGTGCTTTGTAAACACCATCTCATTTGATTCTCTTGACAGCCCTGAATCATGTGGGTGGTGCCCTTTGTGCATGGGCTCCTTCAGTTTCCATTCCAGCCTCTGTCAACTGTGTCATTCTATACTGCAGAGGCTGGGTTGCTAAAAGGTCAATATACTGGACTCCCTTGCAGCTAGGATTCTGACTATGACTCAGGTTCTGCAAATCAGATACTCTTTGCGTCTTGAATTTATAACTGAGTTAAGAGGGGAAAATGGCATAATGCCATTCACTTTGCTCCTGTGGATCTCTGCAGAGTCTGGGTAGTTCTGCAGCCATTAGCTTCCTGATGTGGTGACTTCTCGTAGTGCAGGTAGCAGTTTTCACCATCATAGCAGAGGCAGAGTGATTTGGGGGACCAGGGAATTGTTCTTGGAAGCTCCAACTCTTTGGGTCCTTCCAATGGTTTCCTAAGTCAGCTTACATCTGGTAATCACTTCCCTTCTGCGTAAGGTAGCTGGAGTGGTTTCCATTGTCTGCAACTGAACACTCATTTAAAAAGTAGGCTTTCAGGTATATTTTCCCCTCACTTTGAGAAACTGAGGTGAGAGGATCAGAGAGTTCAAATCAACTTGACACAGCCTTCACAGCAGGGAAGTGATGGAGAATTTGAAATCAGAATGGACTTTTTCCATTTGTCTATCTTCAGCACTGCCACCAACTTCTCTTTTCTGTGGCCCCTTTCTCTCTTTCTTTCCTCCAAGATCCTTCCTCCATGACATATGTTGTTTCAAACAGTTAGGATCTGACAGTCAAATTCAATCCAAGGGCTCAGGGGCTTGGTGTAACCCTACCTGGGCATATGTCTTTAAGAGGACTGTGGTGAAGGGAAGATGGTGAGCTGTAAGGCATGAGTTCCAGGTACCGTGACATCTGCTTGAAGAGGAGGTTAAGAGGTTCATGGAGAAAGCTGGGATGGGATAGAGTGGAAGGAAAGTCAGGAAAAATGACTTGGGTTCTCAATTTGTAATTGTCCTGGCCTGATTTCTTGTGCTAATCTTGCCAATTTGCTAAGAGAGGCTTGCTCCAGGTGGTAAGCCTCCTAAAGCTTTGGATCCAGGTTTTTAAGCTGGTTGGAGCTCACTCCTCTTCTGACCCATCCCCAACAGCTCTCCTGTCAGATTTTAGACATGCCAGCTAATTCCTTTCTATAGATTCGCCTGGCTTTATTAGGAGTAATGGTATCGAGGGTATTTTTCTTTATAGATGTTATAATTAGTAATTGTTTTGAAGGGCAATTGCTGTTAAACTACATATTTTTTCTTTTCCTGGAGGACAGGACAATTTCCAAGACTGATTATTTCACAATTGAAATTCCATGTCTCCCAGAGGTAAATTTTTATAGCAGTTGGTGGAAGTCAAATCCTCTCTTTTTATTTTTTTCCCCATTGCACATTCATATGCAGACACACAAAAAAACATTTCTGGGAAAGGAAGCGGAAAGATGAAGCCTCCACTGAGTGTTCAACAGCTTTTATAGACAGTTCCCTGGCTCTCTGGCTAATGTGATAGATGATAAATGCTCCCGAGATACCATTTCAGTCAATTAATTAGTTAATGTTTAAAGATGGAAAGTGTCATGTAGATAAAGAACATTATGACTCTCTTAATAAAAATGACTTAAACCAAGAAAAAATAGGGATGAGGAGATAGTATACGTTTTGCCTTTGAACTATAATTTCTCTCTTTGATTCTTGTAGCCACCCATGGGGTTGTAAGCACCTCCATATCGTTGGGTCACCTCCATAAAGCTTTTTCTTCTGGTTGGAAATTTTCAGCACAGTAAATGTGGTGAGCTAATAGATTATTTTCTTTTAAATAGAATGGGGGTAGTGTCTTAGTCCATTTGGACTGCTGTAACAAAATACCATAAACTTGGTAGCTTATAAACAACAGGAATTTATTTCTCACTGTTTTGAGGTCTGGGAAGTTCAAGATGAAGGTATCTACAGATTCAGTGTCTGCTGAGGACCTGCTTCCTGGTTCTTACATGGATGACTTTTCACTATAATCTGACCTGATAGGAGGGACAAAGATCTCTCTGGGATCTCTTATAAAGTCACTAATCCGATTCATGAGGGCTCCTGTCTTATGACCCAGTCATCTCCTAAAGGCCTCACCTCCTAATACCATCACCTTGGGGATTAGGATTTTAACAGATGAATTTTGGGGAGGGACACAAACTGAACTCAAACCATAGCAGGTAGGCATGTCCAGAGCTAGCTTGTTGTTTGGGGCTTTGAAACTGTGTTGAGCAATTCCCTACATCAGCCATGCTCAGAGATGACTGGAAGATGGGGAGTGGATATAGTAGATATAGACTTTTTTAGGGGGTTTCCCCAAGGATCAAGATCCAAAAAGTAAAACCCAGTTCTTTATGGTGAGGCTTTTGAGCTTTGAACTGAAGACAAGAATTACAGCAACGAATGAGATGCCCAACGGAAATGAATATGGGAGTACTCCCAAAGGTATCAGTAAAAGAAGAGGGTCCCAGAAAAATGGCCACCAGCACAGTTGCAGGGCCCAGTTCTCACAATGTTGTAACACTGGCTTCCATGCTGGCGGGAGGTCACGTTGGTGAGAAGGTTTGGGGTGAGGACAGACATCCCTCACCAAATATAGGGCTTATCAAATTCATGCATTCCAACCATCCTAATAGACAGATGCGTGCCTCACCCATTCTATTGCTGGGATCTTCTCTGCCCATTGAGAGGATCCAAAAGAAACAGCTGCATCAGAAATAGTGGCTTCCTAAAATTCAATTCTATTCTGATATTTGACAAACTGGCAATGTTTGATGCAGAAGATATATCCCTGCTCTGTCACACTCACAACTGTGAGCTGATAAAAGACTTTTTTCCTTGTCACAGCTGCCCAGACATTTTTCATGAACAGAAGTTAGAAAACAATTGATTAAGCTATAATCTCCTGTCTTCCCACACAGTGTCTAGGAATGATGGAGAATGCATGCACTGGAGTTAGACAGTTCCGTGGTTGTAAGATTTGCTCTAGCACCTTCTAGCTGTGCAAACTTGTGAGATTTCCTAATCTGCTTGGAACCTCAACTTCCTTATCTGCTAACGGGGATAATAACAATATTTATCTTGGCAGGATTCAGAGAGAAACTTATTTATTCATCCACTCCAGAAATGTTTTTAGATTCTATTATATGGCAGGCATGTGCTAGCATGTTGGTTTCACAATAGTGAGTAAGTCAGGAACACACTTTGCTTTCATGAAGCTTATATATTCATGGGGAGGCAGGCAATAACTAAGTTAATTTAAAATGGTGATGTGTTATGGAAAAAATACAATAAAGGAACAAGATAAAGAATGACTTAGCATGGGAGGTGGACAGCTTAGTTCGGGATTACCTTTTGGAGGTGGCCTTGAATTAAGAAATGAGGAATGACAAGGAGTGAGCCACGCACATATCTGGGCAAAAGCATTCTCAGCAGAGAGACCAGCAAGTGCAAAGGCCCTGGGGTAGGAAGAGCTTGGCATGCTCTAGAAAATAAAAAGGGCCAGTGTGGGTATAGCATATTAAGTGATGTGGGGGCATGGTCAGAGGTGTAGTCAAAAAGGCAGGCAGGGACCAGATCGTGCAGGGCCTCAGGCTATGATTAGGAGTAAAAAATGCATTCTCAATTCAGTGCCTGGCATAGTCAGTGCTCAATAATCGAATGTTTCCTTTCTTTGCAATTCCTTTCCCTTAAAACAGAGTTGAAACTTGGCTAAGTTATTGAGTGACCATTCTGGTGGCTCCTTCCTCCCCTGGAACTGAAAGGATCTGTTAGTTGCATAACAAGAAAGGTTTTTCTTTTTGCACAATGCCGTAGACCTTGAAAAGGTTCCAAGTAGGAGTTTCATGTCTCAGAGGGAGGAGGAAGATGATGAGATGCTTAGGAGACTATGAGAACCCATTGAGTAGATAGAATAGGAAACTTCAGTTTAATAAGCTTGAGCTTAGATGCCTGTGACAGTCTCTGTCATATAAATAAGAATATGCTGCAATTTATATGAACTGGACTTTAGGAATCTGGAACACTTGAAAAATGAGAACACACATTTTTTATACTTTGCTTCTGGGAGAAGGGCAAAGACGGGAATATAAGTGATAGCAAATAGTGTTTTAAATAAAAATTCCACATGCCAAAGATCTCTGCTGATTCAGTCTAATTTCTAACACTATCTTTAGTCCCAGAATACACAATTCTTAGGCCTGCAAGAATGCTCATCTTTCCAAGAGAGACTCAATTTCTTTGGGGGAATTTATTGACAGTGGGTAGCAATGTGGGCTAAGCTATTGATTCTTTTTTTCTGTTAATAAGGGAGGAAATAAATGGGATTTTCAGTTTCATCCCTCTGCTAACTGGGGGGAAAAAGCCCTCTGCCCATGTGCACTGAGTCCTGGTTAATCAAGTTTTTGCTGTGGTTGGCAGACAAAAGCTGAGCAGATTTTTTTCCAAGTGTGGTGCAAAGTAGGGCTGGATTTTGCTGTAATTTTGTCATTAGACCCAAAAGAAGAAATGACATTAATCAGAGATAATTTTCCTGGGCTTCCCAGAGGGGTATGAAAGGCAGAGTGAACTCCCCATTGCTCTGAAGTGGCAGAGAGTGACCATCCAACAGATGAATTGAACAGATGGGAGGAATTGTCAATGTACAATTGATAAGCACCCTGGTGATGGAAAGGAAGAAACTGCTTAGAAAATGATGTGGGGGATGCATGGAGTAGAGATTTTGCTGAATATTGAAGGCCTCCCTTACCCTTGATTTGGCATCTGCAGAATAATGGTATATAGGGAGGCACTTGGCCAAAATCTCATATGGAAAACAATTAACAAATCAATTACTTTAATATACATTTGTTAAGCATCTCCTATATGATACTATGCTTAGATGATGAATAAAGAAATATATCAGACCTTTTCTCTCTGAAAGCTCTGCCTTCAAGGTGATCAGTAGGGGAGAAAAAGATGGGGAGGCAGGGCATATTAATTATTAAATTCAGGATGATGAAGACCATGACAGAGGTGACAAAAACACCCTGGTCTGGGAGCTCAGGAATGGCTTTCAGGAGGAGATATCTAGGATGGAATATTTTCTAATTATAGAAATATTACACATTGTCTTATGTTGGGATCTGTTGCTACATACCAGGTGACCCCATGACTTAAGCAGCTTGACTGACCCACATTTATTATCTTATAGTTGTGGGCCAGGAATATGGATGTGAGTTAGCTAGGTCCTCTGCTTCATGGTTTTGCACAAGGCTATAATCAAATGTTGGTGCAAGGTTGTGGTCTCACGTGAAGGTCTGACTGGGGAAGTATCCATTTCCAAGCTCACTCAGTAGTTATTGGCAGCATTGAGCTCTTTGTTGGCTGTTGACTAGAGATGACCTTCATTTCTTTGCCATGTGGGTCTCTTCAATGTGGCAGCTTGCATTATCAAAGCACACAAGGAGAGAAGACAATCTAGAGAGTCTGGTGGCAAGATGGAAGTCAATCTCTTCTATCCCAATCATGGAAGTGACACTCATCACTTTTGGATTTAGAAACATGGCACACTCATGGTGAGGGGATTGTATAAGGGCATTAACAGAGAAGATGCTGGAGATCATTGGAGAACATGTCAAAAGCTGTCTATCAAAGGTCCTAGAAGCAGATCCTGAAATGAGGGCTCATTTAAAACCAGTTTAATAGGAAGTGTTTCCAGGAAAAACCCAAGCAGGTGTGTGATAGCAAACAAAGTCTAGCAGAAGATAACTGTGGCTCAATCTGCAGGGGAGATCTGGAGGCAGCATATTTTGAAGTAATTCCCGTTAAGAAGCAAGGGAGGTGAAGTATTTAAACTCCTCCACCTGTCAATCATTGGCTAAGGGCTGCTCTTGGGCAACATAAATTCCCAGGTGCTTCTAGCTCTCCGTGCATTCAGAGAAAGTGGATTCCAATATTCTGAGGCTGTTGGGAGTGAAAGCACATGGGAAACTGGTGTGCACAAAATCATCAAGGGAGCTGAGGGGATGTGGGAGGGCACTGACAGCATCTGCTGCTCAGGTTCATTGTAAAACATTGTGACAATATGGAAGAGTAAAAAGAAATTGGTAATTCTGCAGGAATGACTGCAACTAGAAGCTAGTCTTAAAGGTTGGGCTGGAATAAATCCAGGAAAGGAGACAGAGAGGAGTAACCTAGAGAGAGGAAACATCGGGGAGGGATATTTGAAGGGGTGCGAGCATAGCACCTTTTAGTAAATCTAAGTAATTAAAAAATAGAGTCTAAGTAAATCATAGAGATCTGAGCCACAGATGGGCATTTTTCACAAAGTGTTTAAGCATTTTTAAGGTAACATTGAAAAATGGCAGGTTCTACAAAAAAAAATCTTAATTTCCTGATTCTTTTGAAAACTCAGAAGAGCTTGCAATGCTGAGTCTGCATTTCTGCTGGGCAAAGGGGCTGGACCTGTGAAGTTGCTCAGTTGTTGAGTTGGGGCATGCCCTTGTGGTTTTGTCCTGGCCCAGCACACTCCACTGAGTCCCTATATGCCCTTGAGATTGAAACCTCTGGTCTGAGTGTGTCTGGCGTTGTGTAAGGTACAGCTGGCAAGAGCTATATTATTAAAAGCCTCAAACATCAAGCTGAGGACTAGGAATGTGTTGTAGGGAAATGGGGAGCCATTGAAGGTTTTAAGTATCTGTATGACATCCGGAGATTTGCTCTCTAGGAAACCCATGTCATTTGGCCCCATTGATGCCCCAAATCAGATCTGGGGATGGGCGATTGTTTAAATCAAACTTTAAAAATGATTCTCAGCCAGACACAGTGGCTCACACCTGTAATCCCAGCACTTCGGGAATCTGGGGCAGGAGAATGGCCTGAGCCCAGGAGTTTGAGGCCAGTGTGGGCAACATGATGAGACCCCTATCTCTAAAAAAAACAAAAAAAATCCTCGGATGTTTAGAATTAGGTTAGTTATAATCCTTGCTCATGACATACTGTCATTATTTCTCTGAGAATGGATCTTTTAGTTTAATTGATTAAAAATTTAATAATCTAATAAATACCCCTGATCTCATCATTCAACCAAGAGCAATCACATTGACAATAACACACATCTATTCCTATTTCACTGTGTAGTGGGTTTCTGCTGTCTTTGCTTACTCATCAACCATTCTCCATTGTAGTAACCTAGTGAAAATTAGATGAGCTTAGACATCATCTAGGACAGCCATTTTTAAAAGAATCTCCCTTTTAAAGAATTTCTCTAACCAGCGATGGGAAATTCACAGCTCCAGCGAGCAGCCAGTTTTATGATAGCTGTTAGAAAGCTGGGCCTGCCTGTAATGCCTGCCCACTGTTTCCAGCTGGGCTGTCTTTTAATTTCCTTCCACTTACCTGGAACCTGGTAAACATAATCTTCATTCAACCTGTATCAAGCACCTGCCTTGTATAAGGCGCTGCAGGGAATACAAAGGTGGTTAAGACAAGGTTTTTTTCTGCCCCTGTGGAGTTCATAGTTTAGCAGAGGAGATAAGACAAATACACAAATAATTATAATACAATGTCAAGAGTGCTGTGTACTATAAGAGAGAAACAAGCAAAGTGTTATTGAAATTCAGAGAGAGAGAGAAAGAGACAGAGATTAATTCCAGGTAGAGGAAGTTGGAAAAGCTGCATGCAAGAAGTAGCACTGGGGCTGTGCCTTGATGGGAGGTGAAGGTGATGGTTTTACAGACTGGGGAGAGGGAACCAGAGAGTGCTATCCATACAGAGGAAAAAACATGGACAAAGATGTGGAGGTGGGAGAGTGCAGGGCTGATGACCCCCAGGGACTGTGGACATAGATCCTCATTGGCCAGGAGTCTCACTGTAGAAGTCAAAGTCTAGAGCAGATGCAAGGGTACTGGGGCCACAGCCTCTCACAGTATGAATTGTTCACCTGCCAGTATTCAACATTACTAATTCTTCCTCATCCTCCTCCTCCAGGAAGCCTTTGATACTTCCCCAGGTTGGCTTAGGCGCCTCCCTGTATACTCCTTAATTTCCCTGGGCTTATGTTTGTCATAGGCTTTAGCTCTGTCCTGTCCTGGTCATGGCTCTAATGTGATTGTGTCTTGGCCTCCTCCCTAAGACCATGAGCAATTGAGGGCTGGGATAATGACTTCTACACCACCGCCTCCCCAGTGCTTAGCACGGTGCCCGGCGTAAGGTAGGTCTTCATTATACAGTTACTAAGTGAATGAATGCTATTTTGGTCCTATTGCTGCCTACCTCTGTCCCTCATTATCCTGCCCATTAGACTTGGAATATGTATTTAGCTCTCTCTACTTTTTTCTCAGCTATCATTCAAGGTCTTGACTTTGCCTTTTTATAGTATATATTTTCATTTTATGCATTACCTATGGAATCAGATTCAAACTCTCATTCTGGTCCAACCTGCAAAGTCACAATCTGGATAAAGCCCATTTCTTCAGCCGACCTGGTCTGCTTTGAGCCCCAATATACCCCTCCTTAGGCATTTTTCAATTCAACGATTATTTATGGAGTGCCTACCCCATGCTGGGAACACACAATGAGGGCAGTGTTAGGATGTCCCTGGGTTAACTCACATTTGGCTGTATCTCTGAATCTCACTAGAAAAACTCAGAGGCTGGAGAAAATGGCAAGTTCCCACGGAGGAGAGAGGTCTGATATATCAGCCAGATTAATTCTTCCAGTGCCACTATTAGATGAGTGCTTGGGTCCATCAAGCAAGTCCTGATGGCAGCTACCTCTTCCGATACTCATCTGGGAATCTATCTGGGCTCTTTCAGGGGGAACAGGAGATTGTAATTCTGAAGTGGAACAGAAAGAAATGTAATTGGATCAATGGGCTATTAATGATGCTATTGAAGAGTGCTCTGCCAGAGCTGTGTTGTGAATGGGGCTGGCCACAGAGAACCCGGCCACGGCCACGTGCGAGCTCGACTTTGACACAAAGCCTTCTGCACACTGTGAAGGTTTTTTTTTTTTTGTATGTGTGATCTCATATAATTCTTTATAATTTTCCCTGGCCAGAAAGACTGTTTTAGTGGGGTCAGGTAAGGCCTGCTAGGCATTTGGCTATGTGTCTGCGGATGGGAAGAAAGATTCACATGGATATTTGTGCTGTATAGGGTGGTTGCAGGCATCAGATGACCTCCTGTTTGTGGCTGAGTTATTTCTGACGGGCAGAAATGGGAAGCAAAGTGAGTGCTCATCCATGGGGGAGTGGCTGACTAAGCAATGGGGCTTCCACCTATGGACTGGTACGTGCCCAATAAGGACAGTGAAGGTGAGTGATATCAGGGGTATTGGGGGCTTTCTTTTCTTCTTCTTTTTTTTTAGTTTAATGGGGTACACCTGCAGGTTTTTTACATGGGTATCTTGCATGATGCCGAGGTTTGGGCTTCTGATGATCTCGTTGCCCAAGTAGCAAACTTGGTACTCAATAGGTAATATTTCAGCCCTTGCCCCCTCCTTCACTTCCCCCTTTTGGAATCCTCAGTGTCTCTTGTTCCCGTCTTTCTGTCTTTGTGTACCCAGTGTTTAGTTCCCGCATGTAAGTGAGAATGTGCAGTATTTGGTTTTCTGTTTCTGCGTTAATTTGCTTAGGATAACAGCCTCCAGCTGCATCCATGGTGCTATAGAGAACATCATTTTATTCTTTTTTTGTGGCTGTCTAGTATTCTGTGGTATATATGTACCATATTTTCTTTATCCAGTCCACCACTGATGGACAGCTGGGTTGATTCCATGTCTTGGCTATTGTGACTAGCACTGCTATAAAGATATGAGCACAAGTGTCTTTTCGGTAGAATGACTTATTTCCTTTGGGTACATATCAACGATGGGATTGCTGGGTCCAGTGAAAGTTCCATTTTTAGTTCTTTGAGAAATCAACTTGGAGGGCTTACAACAAGGAATTGTTGAATACATGGGAACGGTTGGTAGAATATGATCCCATTTCTATAAAACAATGATTGCCCACACTCGTGTGTCTGTATGGCTGTCTAGAATTAAATGAGGATGGACACTATATAGAAGACCACTGACTGGACTGTCAGTACAGGTTTTCTGGTGGGGCAGGTGTTGGAGCAGGTGGGGAGATGGCAATGGGGGTGAGAATAGAGGGGCAGGGCAAATGAGCCAAAATTGGTAGCAAAAAAAGTTTGCCGTCTCTCTCTCCCTGTCTCCTCCTCTCTCTCTGTTTCTGCCTCTCTCTCTCTCTCTCTGCTTGTCTCTGTCTCTTTTTCTCATACACACACACACACACACACACACACACACACACACAAAGGAATGCTCACTTTTTATGCATTTATGTAAAATTTATATATACATGGATATATATGTAAGGCTAAATAATTGGAAAAAGGTACAAACAAGAATCAAGGGACATATTAACATTTCATTTATAATTGACACATATAATTATACATGTTTATAAGTATAGTGTAATATTTTGATACATATATACATTGTATAATGATCAAACAGGGTAGCCAGTGTGTGTCCATCACTTCAAACCTTTACCGTTTCTTTGTGGTGATCATTTTCAAGCTCCTCTTCTCTGACTATCTTGAAATATGCAATGTATGGTCATTAGCTCCAGTCGCCCTACTGTGTAATAGAACACAGGAACTTATTCTTCCTGATTAACTTTGTACCCCTTGGCCGACCTATCCCCATTGCTCCTTCTATGTCCCTTCTCCTGCCTCTAGTAAGCATCAAGTGACATTATTTATTTTTATGCACAAAACATGTATCGGTGGCACACTCTGTGCCAGGCATTTTGCTTGGTATGAGCAATACAGTGATAAGACCCAGGATCTATCCTTTAGAAAGTATTTTGTAATCTCTCTCTCTATGTATAAAACAACTAGCAGGGTGCAGTGGCTCATGCCTGTAATCCCAGCACTTTGGGAGGCCGAGGCAGGTGGATCCCTTGAGGCCAGGAGTTCGAGACCAGCCTGGCCAACATGGCTAAACCCCGTCTCTACTAAAAATGCAAAAAAATTAGCCAGGTATGGTGGCACATGCCTATAATCCTAGCTACTGGGGAGGCTGAGGCAAGAGCATCACTTGAATCTGGGAGGCAGAGGCTGCAATGAGCTGAGATCGTGCCACTGCATTCTACCCTGGGTGACAGAGTGAGACCCTGTTTCCAAAAATAAAAATAAAAAAAATAAAATACAAATTAGAGTGGTTTCCAATTCTGGCTACACGTTGGAGTCACCACTGAGGGCTGCAGCTTTAAAAAAATACTAAAGGCCAGGGTCCCACCCTAGACTAATTAAATCAGAATCTAGATTGTAGGGACCTGAAGTTTCAAAAATCTACCCTAATGTAAAGATTGACAATGGTTGAGGGTGATTGTCTTAGAACCTGAATTCTAATACTGTAAGATGTATTATCTTAGACTCAAATATCTGTTAGTAACTTTAGGCTAGGCTTTTGCACAGATTGCTTTTATTTAATAAAATGCAAATGCAATTTCAGCCGTGTGGAAGCAGTACCTAAATGGCTGTGTGGACCCATCATTCCCAGGGTGCTGAGCTAAAGGGGCAACCAGGGAGGATGCTAAAGGTTGATGGCTAAGGGTGGTTTGATCTCATGACCCCTCCCTGTGGTTTCTCAAGGCCGCTCCCTGCCATCTGCTGAAGGTTGGTTGTTTGGCTTGGTGACGTTCAGAAAAAAGCAGTACCCCCTTGGACCGCTCTCTTATGTGGCTGAAGCAGTGTGGTTCTGAAATTAACTGGAGGATTTACCTCCTCTGAGATGTTGGCACTTCCTAATGAATTGTTTTCCCACTTAAAAATACACACTCATGTCATTTAAGGAAACTCAACAGGTGAAGCCCAGTAATTAAGGATCTCTGCAGGAAGAGGAAACTGAAAGCAGCAGCTGGATCTCTTCTTAACAGCACCATTAATCAGCACCACCTGCACAGGGAAAGCCAGGCATCAATTGCTATGCAAGCCCAGAGGGCCAGGCTAGTGTCCCAGTCAGGATGGTCACTGTCCAGCATGCATTTCAGGGTTGTGGAAGAGAAGGTACAGGGCCCCAGCTGTGGTGAGGCAAGCGGGGTGCTTAGGATGCAAATTAAAGCTGCATTCACCCTGCACTTGCCTGAACTTGGATTCTAGGTACCCTGCTCTTAAGGAAGTACCCATTCTTAGGGTCATGCTTGTGCAGTCAGCCCCTGAGAGTGAGTGCCACCTTAAGTGTTGCACTTTCTTGCCTGATCATAGTTCAAGCACTGGAAAGGCGTGTTGGTTTGGGGACTGTTTGAATCTTCACTTTTCCACTTTCTAGCTCAGTGATTTAAAGCTAGTGATAATGTTTCTCTCTGAGCCTCAGTTTCTTCATTTGGAAGATGAAGAAATGAATGTAGCATATCATATGCCAAGGTGCAGGTTTAATAGTTGACATTACTATTATTTAATAGAAAACTTCTATTTCAAAAGTTGGCTGCTGTTTGAATTAGTTGACCTAGGAGTATCATGAGGAATCCTTCTGAGACAACTGCATATTTTCTTTTCCCAGAAAAAATACTTTAATTGGTGTGGTTTTCTTATTTGCAGGGAGGTTTCCTCTGGAGTACGGTAGAGATGAGAAAAGCTTAGATTAAGAAGAGTTGCATTGGTATGCATGACAAAAAAATAGTAATTTGAGGTCTTTTCCCAGCTCAGGGAAAGAGGGTCTTGGGTGTACTGACCATTGCGAAAAATTAGAAGGAAATAGAGAAGAGACTTGGTGGAGGACCCCCCCACCCCCCACCAAAATGACAGCAGTTGGGCTTTAAGGAAAGGTTGGGGAATGTAGGATTCAAGAGACTTAGTAGAGGATCCCCCCAAAATGACAGCAGTTGGACTCTGAGGAAAGGCTAGGGAATGTGGAATTCAAGAGACTTGGTAGAGGACCCCCCAAAAATGACAGCAGCTGGGCTCTGAGGAAAGGCTAGGGAAGTGAAATTTCCTACGGCAGGGGTGAGTGAAGAACTTCAAGACAGAGATAAGTAACTTTGTGGAAGTCATGGCTTATTGCATGCTGTAATCCCCCTCCATATCCTGAGAGCTTCAGTAAAGTCAGCGGCATGAGACAGCTCTGTCTTAGAGATCATTGGGAGAAATGAAGGAAGAGACAGGTTCCATTGTGAGTTACAGCAGGATGGAGAGAGGCCATCAACAGAGCTCACTACAGAGAGGTAAGAAATCTTCAGGAGTGGGAATTCAGGCTGAGGTGTGAGTTTGAGCAGGAAACCCTTGAAAACTGGGCCAAACCAAGTTGGAATGAGCAATTTCATACGTGTATCCCAAGCACTTAGGATAATGTCTGGTGCCTAGTAGGTGCTTTGTAATTATCGGTGGAATTATTGATGTTAACAGAGGGCCAAGAGGGATTAGTGAGCAGGAATTTCAGGCAGGCAATTTTCAGCCTAACGTAATGTAAGTTGCTTGGAGAAGTAATGACTTCCCTGTCACTAAATAGGTGAGGTGCATGAAAGGCTGGACTAGCTGAGTTCAAGCTTGTCTGGACTAGATAGCTTCTAAACTCATCTGTCAGTTGGATGTACACTGGTTCAGTCCATGTTTTTAAGACTGGATGGGCCTGAGTTAAAAGACTGACTCCTGCAACTAGCTGTGTGACATTGAGTAAGTCACCCAATTCCTCTGAGCCTCAGACTCCCATTTGTAAAATCAGGAAGGTGGGAGTGCCTACCCCGTGGAGATGCCTGATCCCTGGAGGGTTAAAAGAGAAGATGTCGGTAATGTATGTAAATGGCTTAGAGCATTTCCTCCCTGCCAGTAAGTGTATCCTTAAGAATACATAACACCTCAGAGATTGTACAGCTCTGTTACTCTCATTTCTAAGGCTGGGGCTGGTGAAGTATCTTCCCACAAGTCTGAGAATGCACAAATGAAACCTAAGTTTTCTGACTCCCATCCTACTCCTCATCCACTTCACTGGCGTGACTCCACCACACAAAGAGGAATGGATTGGCCTGCTAGGGCTGGGTGAGGGGCAGGCATTTCTCAGAAGACCCAACCTCCTGAAGGCCTGATGACAATAGAGGTGCTATCCAGTGAAGTCATAAACAACCAATAATCTAGATTTTCTGAGTTATTGGAAGGGCACCAGAGGAGAAACAGTGGTCACGAGGAGTTGCATTTGTCCTCACTGGAAGGAGAATCTTTAGTTAAGGGACATTAGTTTGTTTCTTAAACAAGGATGGATACACAAGGGCAGACCATCACCTTATGCTATGGTGGAGGAATACTTTTGTCTGGAGATATTTCATCAAGCAGTGGCTGTAAAGGTTGCTTATTGTGAGCCACTAGGCTGTGTGTGCATAGAGTAGGAGCTCCATAAGTACTTGTTTAATGAATGGATAGTTTCCACTACTAATTGCTTCACCTGTCTACTTGACAACCATAGGCATAGGAAGAGACTTGTAGCTACCATCTGTATTAGTTATTTATTCCCGCATAACAAATTATCCAAAACTTAATGGCTTAACACAACCACCTTGTTGGTTTACTTACAATTCTGTGAGTCAACAATTTGGGCTGAGCTCAGGTGAGTGGTTCTTCTGTTGGTCTTTCCTGGGGCTATTCCTATTCTGCACACATCTGGGGACTCCATTAGAGACAGATTGTCTATGATGACTTCACTCCCAATTCTGGCATTTGGGGCTGTCTATTGGCCAGACCTTGCTTCACATAGTTTCTCACCCTCAAGGAGTCTAGCCCAGACTCCCCATATGTCAGTCTCAGGGTAGCATTTCAAGAGGGATAAGGTAGACGTTTCTGGCCTGTTGTGGTGTAGGCTGTGAATTACCATAACATCACTTCTTTGAGATTTTCTTGGTCAAGGCAAATCACATGACAAGGACTCAAGAGGGTAGAGAAATAGGTTCTACTATTTAGTGGAAAGGACAGCAAAGTGACATCACAAAGAGGAATGCATATAGAGATGGGGGGAATATGTGACCAACTTTAGTAATCACTGTAATTCTGAATTGACTCACAAACACTATCAAGACGGATCATTGTCATACCCTAGTTCAAAAAGCAGTCCTTGCAGCAATACAGAACAGATAGAAGTGAAGAGAATGTGATTTTGCTAAAAATGACATATTTACATGACCAGTGATGGGTGAGACCTATGAAAAATCCCCAGAGATTCTCAAGAACTCATAAAGTGCATTTCCATATTTATGTAGAATATCAATCTCCTGCTGTCTTTGACTTCACCTAGTATATTCCTAGGTATGTGTATCTAAGCCCAAGTTGGTCTCACGTTTTTGCCTACTTCCGAGTCAATATGTGACATGCCATCCCACCTTTTTGTGTTACCACATTATTATAACATAAGGGGTGGTTATGTTTCCTGGTTATCTTGAGCTCGAGCAGGTCCTTCTTGGTGATAGCCCATTGGTTTCTTCCAAGTGTGCCCATGTCATGCTATTTTTCTCCAATCTAAATCTTGCCAGGAACTAAGCATTATGTCATCATCTCCTTTACATACCTGTTGGTGTTAAATCAACTTTTATAATTTTCCCTTGTCCTAGTATTTTTGGGATATGCCTGTTTTTTTCTCAGGTAGTTAAGTCTGTCTATTTAAAAAGTAATATTGAACCTGAACACTCTCATCTGTTTTAGGTCTCCATTCAAAAGTCACTTTTCTGGTGAGTCCTTTCCTGACCCTATTCTTTAAGAACTGGAACTCTTTCCAGCCGGTCCCAAGCCCCTTTACTTGATGTTTCTCTCCCCATAGCACTTAACACCATCTATAATTCTATATATTATTTTTAATTTTTATAGTCTCTCTCTAAGCTCCGGGAAGGTAGTGGATGTTTGTTTGTTTTGGTTACTGTTATAACAAACAGTTATAAGCTGGAGCAGTGCCTGACCTAAAGTAGATAATAAATACTTGTTGCAAAAATAAATAATTACCTCTCTCTCTTTAACGATGTCTCTATTTGTCTGTATCTAGTTCTGTCTATATCTATCTCCATCTATACATCCATCCATTTTTCCATCCATCCATCCATCCACCCACCCATCCATCCATCCATTCATCTGTCCGTCCATCTGTCCATCCATCCATCCATCCATCCATCCATCCATCCATCCATCCATCCATCCATCCATCTGTCCATTTGTTCATCTGTCCATCCATTCATCCATCAACCTACCCACCCACTCACTCATCCATCCATCATGCTAGTGAGCCTGCCTAGTTAACACTGTCGCATGTTTTAAAAAATAGAATAACTGAAAACTAGGAGCAGATCAATTAATATCAGAGAGTTTCTATGGATCCTCAGGCTCCTTTCTCTGACTGAGCATCTGTCTTTGAGGCAAGGGAAGTCTGTGGTGAAAATGAAGGCAATTCTTCAGTGAAAGAGAGACCAGGTCTTGCTACATCTGAGGGACATCATTAGGGAGCAAAAGCTCTTTCATGCCTGAAACTTTAAAAATTGAAACTGCATATATTAAATAATTTCTCTTTTTAATCTCAGAAACTTTGGTGGCAGTGGGCTGGGAGAGTCATTGCAGTAGGGTGAGAATCTTCCGTCTTTATTTTATTCTTGAGATTTGTGAGTTGTTCTCTGCCCCTGTGTACTTTGGGGGTCTTCTCTGTTTTTAAGCATTTGCTGAGAAAAAATTTTTTTTTTCTGGTGACTTTTGGTTATTAGACAGTCAGGCCAAAAGTGAGAGAAAAAATACATTCAGGTCAGTTTTCTGGGACTAGTTTTGTTTTAATAACAATGACATTCGAGGAATCCACTTTGTTTCCCTGTCACTGGTGGCCAGTTTCTGCCTCATGGGGTGGAGGTGAGGGCAGAGTTTCCTTGTGGCTGCATTCCTGAGAGCATCATTAGAAACAGAATGCTCAAGCCATTGTTTTGTTTGGCTCATACAGTATTGATTTTATTTTGCTTCTATCCATCCATGTGTCCATTCATCCATCCGTCCATTCGTCTATCCATCCATTCATCCGTCGGCCTACCCACCCACTTATTTATCCATCCATCATGCTAGTGAGCCTGCCTGGTTAACACTGTTGCATGACTTAAATAATAGAAGAATTGAAAACCAGAAGCAGATCCTAGTTTTAAAAAAATTATTTTATTTTATTTTTTTGGATCACAGGCTCGTGGCACATCCACATGGGTCTCTGCAAGGACCCAGGGCAAGGGAGAATTAACATAGTCAGCATGAGGTTGCCATCTTTAGAAAGGCTTGCTTTCAGGCTTGGCTCTTCACTGGCATCTGGGAACTTGGCTTTTGCATTGTTATCTAACTATGTAAAACACTGTTTTGCCCGCTTAGCTCCCAGAATACCTGCTTCGCGCCCAGAATACCTGCTTCCTTTCCAGGAGCCTGGAATTTCAATAGTTGTTTCTAGTTTTTGTGCTTATGTGACCAGCTCTCAATAAAACACCCAAACTTTGAGCCTAAACGTGGGCTTCTCTAGGCAGAAACACTGAAGAGGTGTTGCCGAAAGAACATATTCACCGTGATCCCTAGGGCTAGAGAGAGGTGGGGAGAACACTGGGAGTCTGTGCATGGATTCTTCCAGATTCTACCTGCTGTGTGTCCCTTGCCCCTTGCCGATCCTGTAATAAACCATAGCTGTGAGTACAATCGCTTCTCACTCCTGTAAGTCTTCCTAGTTGCATTATCAAATGTGTCTCTCACTGATTTGTCTCTGGGTTCATTTCCTTTCATCCCCACCACCTCACTCTAGTTACTTACATTTCCTACCCTTAATAGGCCATCGTGTGTGCTTAATGTATATCTTTTGTTTGTGTATATTCTTGAAGAATATTGTGTGCGCGTATTTGTTTATTCCTAATATAGTTATTAATTGTGGAATATGACTCTGAATCAATATCTCATTTATTTTATACTTTAAGTACATATAGTAAAGTTGACTCTTTTTTTGATGCATGGTTCTATGAATTTTAACACATATATAGATTAATGTAACCACTTTGAGCACAATTAAGATACCGAACACTTTCATCATTCCAAAGAAGTCCTTCATGTTATTCCTTATAGTTGCATGCTTCCCCCACCCATAGTCCCTGGCAACCACTGATCTGTTTCCATCATTATGCTTTTGTCTTTTCAAGAAAGTCATGTTGTGGGCTGAATGTTTGTGTCCTCCTGCAAATTCCCATGCTGAAATATAATCCCCAATATGATGCTATTTAGAAGTGAGGCTTTTGGAAGATAATTAGATCATGAGGGTGGAGCCCTCATGAATGGGATTAGTGCCCTTATAAAAGGGACCCCAGAGAAGTCTCTCATGCTCTTTCTACCACTTGAAGATATAATGGGAAGTTGGCCATTTGCAACCTGGAGGAGGGCCCTCAATCTAGAGGAAGGCCCTCACCATGCTGGCCCCCTGATCTTGAACTTTTAGCCTCCGCAACTGTGTGAAATAAATTTCGTTTGCTTATAAGCCACCAAGTTTATGGTATTTTGGTATATAGCAACCTGAATGGACTAAGATAATAACCTTTTGAGGCTGACTTATTTCACTCAGGATAATGCCTGTGAGATTCATTCTGGTTATTATGTATCAGGAGTTTGTTTGTTGTTTAATTGCCAAATAGTATTCCATGGTGTGGATGTTTGTTTATCCACTTCCTCTTTGGAGGCTATTTAGATTTTCTCCAGGTTTTGCTAACTATGAATAGAGTGTCTATAAATTTGTGTATCTGTGTATAGGTTTTCCTTCCTTCCTTCCTTCCTTCCTTCCTCCCTCCCTCTCTTTCCTTTTCCTTTTCCTTTTCTTTCCCTTCCCTTCCCTTCCTTTTCTTTTCTTTTTCTTTTTTCTCTTTCCTTTTCTTTTCTTTTGTTTCTCCTTTTCTTTTCTTTTGATGGATTCGGCTCAGTGGCACCATCTTGGCTCACTGCAACCTCCACCTCCGAAGTTCAAGCAATTCTCCTGCCTCAGCTTCCCGAGTAGATGGGATTACAGACACCTGCCACCACGCTCGGCTAATTTTTGTAATTTTAGTACAGATGGGGTTTCACCATATTGGCTAGACTGGTCTCGAGCTCCTGACCTCAGGTGATCTGCCTGCCTTAGCCTCCCAAAGTTCTAGGACTACAGGTTTGAGCCACCCGTACCCAGCCCTGTGGATGGGTTTTTGTACAAACGTGTTTTTATTTCTTTAGGGCACCTGGGGGTGAGATTACAGGGTCACATTATAAGTGTATATTTAACTTTATAAAAAACGGCCAAACTGTTTTCCAGAAGGGCTATGTCATTTTGCTTTCCTACTGGCAGTATATGAAAATTCCTAATTACTCTGCATGCTTGCCAGTGCTTGGTATTGTCAATTGAATCCATATCTTTTGAAAGTCCTCCATCCTAAGTTTTATTTGTAGTTAAGGTATAATTAACATAAAGAGCACAGACCTTATGTGGACTGCATGATATTTTCTTACATACGTATAGATCTTGTGTAATCACCACCTAGATGAACATATAGAATATTTCTGACCCTGCAGGAGTCTCCCTGTCAATCCTTAAAGTCTATCCTTTCCAGCCGGGCGTGGTGGCGGGCACCTGTAGTCCCAGCTACTCGGGAGGCTGAGGCAGGAGAATGGTGTGAACCTGGGAGGCGGAGCTTGCAGTGAGCCGAGATCACGCCATTGCACTCCAGCCTGGGCGACAGAGCGAGACTCCGTCTCAAAAAAAAAAAAAAAAAAAAAAAGTCTATCCTTTCCAAAGGACATTAGTGTAATGACCTCTAACACTGTTGATTAGTTTTGCCTGGTTTTGAACTTCATGAAAGGAGGCATTCTGTGTCTATTCTTTGTGCCTGGCTTATTTTGCTTAATGGGATGTCTATGAGATGCATCCGTATTTTCATTGTTGTATTGTATTCTATTGTATGCATATACCTCAATTTCTTTATTAACAACTGGCTGTTTCTGGTTTGGGGCTATTATGGATTAAATGTGTACATGTCTTTTGGTGGACACAAACACTCATATCTCTTGAGTATAATTCCAGGAGTGGAATTTGCTGGTTCAAAGTATTTATATTGAGCTTTAGTAAATACTATCAAATAAATTTCCAAAGTACATGTGCCAATTTACTCTCCCAATGTGTACACTTTGAAAAAGATTGATGCATGTGGAATTGTATTAATCGTCTCATGCTGTTTTTGTTTTTTTTTTTTTAACTCCCCCTCCTCACTCTCATTAAAGCTGTAAGGTCCATCTCTATTGCTATTTGTACATCTAAAATGTTACTTCTGGCCAGGCACGGTGGCTCAAGCCTATAATCCCAGCACTTTGGGAGGCCGAGGCAGGTGGGTCACCTGAGGTCAGGAGTTCAAGACCAGCCTGGCCAACATGGTGAAACCCCCCTCTACTAAAATACAAAAAATTAGCTGGGCGTGGTGGCAGGCACCTGTAATTCCAGCTATTCAGCAGGCTGAAGCAGGAGAATCACTTGAACCCAGGAGATGGAGGTTGCAGTGAGCTGAAATCATGCCACTGCACTCCAGCCTGGGCTGGAGTGAAACGCCGTCTCAAAAAAAAAAAAAAGAAGAAAAAGAAAAATTAAAAAAAAAAGGTCACTTCTAATACCCCACGGTATTTGCTCATCCACTTTTATCTGCCTAGTTCCCCAATGATAGACAACCTCGTTACCTCCACCTTCCACAAATAACCTTGCAATGATTATTTCTGTATGTGTCTTCCTAAGGAGCTTTGTAAGACTTTCTTATAGAACTGCTGGTCCTTGGGTCTGTGAATCTTCCTTTGACTAAATAGTAACAGGTCACACCAGCATACCCTCCATCAGCTGTGCCTGAGGGTTCCTATGTCCCCACTTTTCTGCCAATATTTGTCCTTTTTGAAATTTGTCTGCTTGCGAGGTGTGAAATATCTCATTAATGTTTTAATTTGCATTTATCTGCATACAAATACATTTTAACATCTCTTTATATATATGTTTAATGTTTATGCAGGGTGAGCTGTGTTACTTAAAAGCAGCATTTTTCAACCTTGGCACTGTTGGCATTTTGGGCAGGAAAATTTGTTGTTGGGGACAGGGGCAGGCTGTCCTGTGCACTGCTGTATGTTTTGCAGCATCCCTGGCCTCTACCCACCAAATACCAGTAGCACCGTCCACCCCAGTTGTGACAACCAAAAGTGTCTCCCGATATTGCGAAATGTCCCTTAGGGAGCAAAATTGCCCCGGTTGAGAATCAGTACTGTAAAGGGACCAGATGGAGCAGACACTGATTAAGAATCAAATAGCATTGGTATAAGCCATTGAATTTAGCATTGGATAGTGGAGTTAGACGGGGATGGAAATTTGGGTTCCTAGGATGTCAAATTATTATCTTCTCTGACCTAACTAATACCAGTAGCATCAAGATCTGGAGTTCTAGTCCTTCACATTTTCTTATTCTCATTACCCATTGACTTCTGTCTTAGAGATTTGCAGCTTGAGAGCCAGGCAAACCTGGCTGACAGTGTCACTTAAGGGGATGGTAGGGCACAGAAGTGGGGGATTGAGAAGGTCAGGCTAGGGGACGTACCCAGGGGAGCCAATCAGAGAACGATTCCAATTGCAGTTGAGGCAAAATGAGGCAGATGTGGCTGGAGAAGCTGTGCTCCTTTTCAGAGCTAGAGGTGAACCTTGGGGTCTGGAGTTGGGTAGATCAGGAGCCGAGAGGTGCAGGGAAAGTGGCCCTGTGTACCTTTGTGGTATTGGAGGCTTGCTTTTGGGGATGCCAGAGGCACCACTGGCCTTCTTCTTCTTTTTTTTTTGAGACAGAGTTTTGCTCTTGTTGCCCAGGCTGAAGTGCAATGGCGCGATCTCAGCTCACTGCAACCTCTGCCTCCCGGGTTCAAGCGATTCTCCTGCCTTAGCCTCCTGAGTAGCTGGGATTACAGGCCTGTGCCACCATGCCTGGCTGATTTTGTATTTTTTTAAATAGAGACAGGGTTTCTTTATATTGGTCAGGCTGGTCTCGAACTCCTGACCTCAGGTGATCCACCTGCCTCGGCCTCCCAAAGTGCTGGGATTAAAGGTGTGAGCCACCGTGCCTGGCGGCCTGGCCTTCTTTTATCTTTCCTGAACACTATGAGGTTGTTCCTGCCTCAACACCTTCAGGCATGATATTCCCTCTGCCTTGAAGGTTCTTCCTTTTAGGCTCAAGGTGGCGAAATTCTTCTCACCATTTGGGTTTTGGCTCGAATATCACTTTGGGCCAATCTGTTGTTTACTGCCATATTCCTAGCCTTGAGAACGGTGTTGAATGAATTATAAATTTACCATGATTGTCATTTTATAAATGAGAAAAAGATTTAGAGAGCTGAGATAACTTGTTTAAGGTCACATAGCCATTACGTGGAAGAGTTGGGATTTGAACTCATGGTCTTCAAAGCTGTGGTCTTACCACTATACTATATTTAACCTCTGCGATGAAGGAAGAAGTATATATTTAGTCTTTGTCCTGGTTCCTGACACAGAACTTCTAAAACCCTTGGAATTTCCTGAATGATGGGTTTAGGGGAGCATCTTTTGTTGTTCATAACAAGTCCCTTTCAACGATTCCTGAGTTTTCGCAAATGAGGGGACTCTTGGTGAGCTCTAGATAGATTCAGGATGGGGCTGGCTATAGAGAAACCAACCTCATGATTAAAAGGTTGGAGGAGCTATTAGGCTCATTGCCCACCCCAAATCTTACTTCCCACCTCAAGGAGAGGAGAGAGGCTGAAGTCAACAACCATTGACCTAATCACCAAATAGCCAATGGTTTAATCACACCTATGTAGTGGAACCTCCATAATACTAAAGGATGGGGTTCAGAGAGCTTCTGAGTTGGTGAGTGCATGGAGCTGGGAGGCTGGTGTGCATGGGGCCCTTCTCCCATCCTTCCCCTATGCTTCCCTTCCATTGGGCTGTTATTGACTTTCATCCTTTATAATAAACCAGTAGTAGTAATTAAAACACTTTTCTGATTTCTGGGAGTCATTTTAACAAATTATCAAACCTGAGAGTGGGTTGCAGGAACCCCCGATTTATAGCTGGTTGCTTAGGAGTACAGGTAGCAACCTGGGATTTGCAACTGGCCTCAGAGGTTGGGGGCCTTCTTGTGGGTTGGAACCCTTCACTCATAGGGTCTGACGGTAACACCAGGTAGGCAGTGCCAAAGTTTAATTTAATTATAGAATACCCAATTGGTATCCACAGAGAATTGGAGGATTGTTTAGTGTGAAAATTCCCGTACATTAGGTGTGTAAAAAGTTCATAACTTCCATCTGTGAAATAAGATGATAACTCCTATCCAAATTAGCAAATATTCAAGCATGAGTCTGGCAATGCCCTAGACACTGGGATACCATGGGGAAGAAGAAGGCAAGGGCTCTCGCTTCGTGGAACCCACAGTCTGGTGATTCACTGCAAGAAGAGTGTGGTGAGTGCAGACAGGGGACACCTGGGGAGCAGGCGCTGGCCAGAGTTGAAGACTATGGCATGATGGAGAGGACTGTTCTAGGAAGAGACGTCATATGTGGCAAGAACCTGGTGACTTTGAGGAGCTGACAAAAGTTCTAGTTCACTGGAGGGTAGATGAGCAGTTCAGGGGTGGAAGATGGAGTTCCTCAAGGTAAGAACCAAAGGGACAGAGAACTTGAACTTTATCCCAAGGACACCAACCTATAACAGAGACTCAGGTCTCAGAATATTGAAGACATCTGGCGTCAGGGCATTTCTAGGTAGCTCTTATTTGCCTTCGTAACCAAAATACCCACCCCCGGTTTGATGGTGTTTCTTAGCTAGGTGGCCATATGGGGGCCCAGCCTCAGGAGGTAAATTAATTAACCATTTAATTAACCACCCAATCAATCAGTCAATCAATCAGATAACTAGCCAACAAATTAACTCAGCAGTTAGGTACTGAGTGCCTGATATATGCTACATACTGTTCTAGATGATTGGTGAGGGAACATTGAATGAAAAAGCACAGGTCCTGCCTTCATGGGGTTTCTCAGGGGAAGAAAGAGTAAATGGATAAGTACAATGTGCAGTGTGTCAGGTGGGATAAGAGTGGCGGGAAGGGATACAGCAGGAGGGAATAGCAGGTGACAAGGAGGAGAGAGGCTTACAGAAATAAATAGAGTGAGAGAGAGGTGACATTTGAGCAAAGTCCAGAGGGAGCTCAGGGAGAGAGCAGGTGCAAATGACCTTGAAATGGAAGCGTCCTTGACATGTTTGAGAAGTGGCAAGGAGGTTGGTGGGGCTGGAGTGCAGGGAGCCTGGTGGTCAGTAGTTGAGATCAGATGGAAAGAAGCAAAGCCCACCGTCTCTGGAACTTGAGAACAAGCATCCCCAAAGCCCTCCTGGAAATTGTAACAAGGTTTTCCAGGCTGTGGACCTGTCAGCTGAAGCAGTTGGTGCTGACTGGCTGGTGTTAATTACATGTCTCCAGCTCTAGCTCCTCATCCAGGGTGGCTTAACTTGGATTAAGTCTTTGATTTAATGCAAGGTTTGTGTCCCATGTGCTTAAGAATGTGGCTTGATTTAACTGTGGAATCTATAAATTGACCTTCCAGCTGGGGATCTTCTTTTTAATCTTTCAATTAGATCTAAAGATGCTCACTCTGTTTGCAGAGGGATAGATACCATTGCATGTCAAGGACTTTCACATCTGTATAGGAGACCCAGGGGAGATTCAGTTGACTTGGGCTATTCTTAGAAGAAGCCCTAGCTGTTCTGGGGATAACCTTCTCCTTTGCAATATACCCTACGTACCTATCAGGAGGCAAAATAAGAAAACCCCAAGCAAGAACTTAAAGGGAGAAAAACACTAACATGGAGGCTCAGTTTTCTTGGCATGAAAAAATAGCCTATTGTTTTTTGCTTAAAAAAATAAGAGGAAGAGGGGTTGGGAAGAGATACCTCCAGGTTTGGCCATTCAGTCATTCAGACTATTTATTTAATAACTTTCATGTGGCAGTCACTCTCCTGGGTGTTGATATGACAGTGAGCAAAATGGACAAAAGTTCTTGACCTCATAGATCTACATTCTAGTGGGATGGTGGGAAGGGAGAGACATTTTAGAAATAGGAATAATGCTACATGTTAGAGGTCAGAAAATGCTACAAAGAAAAAGCAGAGCCAGGGCCCAGGGCATGTTGAGAGGGTTGGAGTCCCAATTGTAAATAGGGTGGTGATAAGGTTTGACTCTGTGTCCCCACCCAAATCTCATCTCTAACTGTAATCTCCGCATGTCAAGGGAAGGACCTGGTGGGAGGTGACTGGATCATGGGGGCTCTTTCCTCCATGCTGTTCTTGTGATAGTGAGTGAGTTTTCAAGAAAGCCGATGGTTTTATAAGTGGCTGTTTCCCCTGCTCTCCTCTCTTGCCTGCTGCCATGTAAGACATGCCTGTTTCCCCTTCGGCCATGATTGTAAATTCCCTGAGAACTCCCCAGCCATGCAGAACTGTGGGCCAATTAAATCTCTTTTTTTTAATAAATCACCCAGTCTCAGGCAGCTCTTTATAGCAGTGTGAAAATGGACTAATACAGGTGGTCAACATTTTCTTTTTGTTACTATGAAAGAAATTATTGGGAAAATTGGTGACATATTAATAAGGTTTGTGGATTAGATAATGGTATTAAGTCAATGTCAATTTCCTGACTTTATATGGTAGTTACCTAAGAAAATGACCATGGTCTTAGGAAATACACACTGAAGTGATTAGGGGTAAAGGAATATCATGACCCCAACTCATTCTTAAACAATTCATAAAAAAATACAAATGCAATATGTATGTATCAAGAAAAGATGATAAAGCAAGTGTGGTAAAATATTGACGATTTTAGGAAGACTAGGTAAAACGGGTTTATGAGAATTTTTTTAAGACAGTGTCTCACTCTATTGCCCAGGCTGGAGTGCAGTGGCACAGTCACAGCTCACTGCAGCCTCGACCTCCTGGACTCAAGCCATCCTCCCACTTCAGCCTCCCAAGTTACTGGGACTGCAGGTGAGCACCACCATGCTTGGCTAATTCTTTCATTATTATTATTATTTTTGTAGAGATGGGGTCTTGATATGTTGCCCAGGCTGGTCTCGACCTCCTGGCCTCAAGCAATGCTCTCAGCTCAGCCTCCCAAAATGCTGGCACTACAGGCGTGAGCCACCACACCCAGCCTGTATATGAGCGCTCTTTATACCAAGCTTACAACTTTCCTGTTAGGATCAAATTATTTCAAAATCTAAAAAAAAAAAATTACAAAAATAAGCAAGGTGTCAAGGAACCATCACAACTTCTTATGCTCATCTCCCACCCCTCTGCTGTTCCATGTTCAACACAATCACTTTACTGAATTATGTGTCACCCTCTTCTTCCCTCTCCGCAGCTCCTGTCAAACATTCACTTTCAGAATTTTCTGCTTTGGTTGGCTCTGCCAGAAATGGCCTTTTCTCCTTTTCTCCCTGGAAAACTCCTATTCATCCTTTAAAGCCCTTCTCTGTAGAAATGTATCTTTGTTGTTTCCTATTCTCTCAGAAGAGAAGAAATAACCCCTTCCTCTGTGTCTTGTTTATTATTATATTATTGGATGTGAAACATTATTGTTTTTGTTTCAGTGTAAGTCATCTGCTCTCTCCTCCTCACTGTGAGTATCATGTGTCTCATAAGGCATGGGTCTCATTCATCTTTCTGTCCCCAGCCTAGACTACTACCCAACCCAGAGTGGAAGCTCAATAGAACTTTGCTGAAATGAATGGAAAGTTCTGATTGTCTGATTGGAGCACAGGAGCTTGGGGGACAGTTTGCACAGTGAAAGAAGGGGTCCTGATGGAACAAGCTAGCATCAGTTCAGTTCGGTCTGCAGAAAGACCTTTCTATGGTGGCGGACATTGACATATCTGTAGTCAAGGTAAAGCTGTCTAGGGAATCTTGCAGGGCAGAGACACGTCTGCAGAATATTTGCATCATAGAGCTGAGGACAGTAACTGGGGGCAGGGCAGGAGAGTCATGGGAATGAGGTCATGCATAGAAGTATGACTTAACTTGGTCTAAAAATAAATTGCTGGTGGTAGGTTGTCCAGTTACCCTTTGTCATTAAATGACCGAGACTTCTTTTGACCAGGATTCTTGTTAAGTTTTCTTGCCAGGCTGAACTCTAAAAATGACACGCATTCAGGGCTGAACAGAGGCTCACAGATCATTAATCCAAACTCCATGGAATGCTCGCACTCCCTCATTACTTTGATACCCCTGGTTTTTAAGGCTCAGAAGAAGGGTGACCCTGAATGTTAACCCTCCAAGTGGAATGTAAAACACACGACTGTTAACGGACCTATTTCAGTCTCTCTGGGTACCTTGGGAACAGAGATTCTATGTGATACGTGACACAATTTTCAGTCATTGTAGCTATCGATATAGTTCAAGCGAGGCTTTTGCCCAAAGTGGGGAGACTCAGGCAAAAATAAATTGGGGCAGGAACAGTAGAGTCATGTGGGTTCTGTAGGAATCTGCTAATGAGGGAGAAAAAGAGAATACCATGAAATGGAATAGCATGCTGGTTTTAAAAAAGAGTCTTTAAGAGTCTTGGAGACAAACAGCTCTTGGCTTGAGTCACAGCCCGGTCATTCACCAGCCGTGAGACCTCAGGCAAGGCACTCATCTTCTTTGAGCTTTAGTGTCTGCATCTATGAGGTGGGAATAATCATCACAGTTACCTCAAACGGTCCTTAAAAGGATGAAATTACTTAATGCTTGTAAAGTACTTAGTATAGTGTATGACATCTAGGAAGGGCTCAATAAATTTTGTTAGTAACAACAACATAATAAAAATTATTATTTTTTAATTTATCATCATCATTATTACTTAGAGACAGGATCTCGCTGTGTCACCCAGGTTGGAGTGCAGTGGCATGATAATCAGTCACTGCAGCCTCAAACTCCCGGGTTCCAATCATAGGTCACTGCAGCCTCAAACTCCTGGGCTCAAGTGATCCTCCTGCCTCAGCCCTGAGTAGCTGGGGCTACAGGTGTGCACCACTGTACCTGGCTATTTTTAAATTTAATTTTTTTTTTAAATTAAACTTCTATGTTGCCGAGGCTGGTCTTGAACTTCTGACCTCATGTGGTCCTCCTGCCTTGGCTTACCAAAGTACTTAGGGGTTACAGTGCAAAGGGATTAAAGACGTGAGTGTTCCACTGCAGCTGGCCTGATTTTATTTTATTATTTATTTATTTATTTTATTTTATTAGTTTTTTTAATTTAATTTTTTTTTTTTGAGGCAGAGTTTTGCTTTTGTTGCCCAGGCTGGAGTGCAATGGTGTCATCTCAACTCATCACAACCTCCGCCTCCTGAGTTCAAGAAATTCTCCTGCCTCAGCCTCCCGAGTAGCTGGGATTACAGGCATGTGCCACCACATCCGGCTAATTTTTTGTATTTTTAGTAGAGATGGGATTTCTCCATGTTGGTCAGGCTGGTCTTGATCCGCCCACCTCAGCCTCCCAAAGTGCTGGGATTAAAGGCTTGAGCCACCACGCCCGGCCTTATTTATTTATTTTTAAAATTATACTTTAAGTTCTGGTGTACATGTGCAGAATGTGCAGGTTTGTAACATAGGTGTACACGTGCCATGGTGGTTTGCTGCACCCATCAACCCATCATCTACATTAGATATTTCTCATAATGCTATCCCTCCCCTAGCCCCCCACGCCCTGACAGGCCCCAGTATGTGATGTTCCCCTCCCTGTGTCCATGTGTTCTTATTGTTCAATTCCCACTTATGAGTGAAAACATGCAATGTCTAGTTTTCTGTCCTTGTGATAGTTTGCTGAGAATGATGGTTTCCAGCTTCATCCATGTCCCTGCAAAGGACATGAACTAATCCTTTTTTATGGCTACATAGTATTCTGTGGTGTATATGTGCCACATTTTCTTTATCCAGTCTGTCATTGATGGGTATTGGGTTGGTTCCAAGTCTTTGCTATTGTGAACAGTGTGCCTGGCCTAATTTTAAAACACAAATAATGGACCTCATTTTCTAGCCTGTCTCCTCTATTATTCCATGAGCATTTCAGAGCAGTGCTGTGTCTGATATATCTGTGACATCGCCTCATCCCCTGCAAAAGCTGGCACAGAGAAGGTGCTTGGTGAATGCATTTCTTGAAGTGAGTTAAAGCCACCATTCTTGCAGCCTAGATTTTGTTTCTAGGAAGGGCACCATGTCCACCTGGTTCACAGCTGTGTTCTGAGCACGGAGCATGGCACCTCGCACATGGTGGGCAGTTAGACATTTGTGGACTGGTAGAGGAAGGAATGATAGGAGCAGCAACAAGGTTTCTGAGAACCATGCACAATCATGCCACATGCATGCACCAGAGACTATAGCCAAGGCTGCTGGCTTCTTAGGTGTATATTTCAGCACTTCTATATAACTTGTAACATTGTATTAAGTCTGATTTACTGATGTGCGCACAGTAAACACTGTGGAAGGATAGGTACCAAACTGTCCCCAGCAGTTTCCTGGGGGTTGGACCTCTTGCTTTTTATTATACACTTGTCTATTGCTTGATGCTTTTATAGTAAGCATGAATTACTTTGGCAATGAAAACACCAAATAAGATAAAGAAATAAAATATTGAAAAGGGAGAGGGGGAAGATGAAGAGGAAAGAAGAACAGAAATGAGCAGATTTTTTAGAAAGAAAAATGTCAGGCACAGGTGGGAGGGAGTAACCCTTGGTTGTGAATTTTGTCCCTCCCAGACCTCAGATATTACCCTCCAGCCCTGCAGGGAGCACTGTCTCCTCTTGGTGTGCCTTTAAATGTCAGGGTCCCACTGCAGAGAAGGGGTGAACTGAGGACATTTTCACACTTTTAGGGCAGTGTTTTGTTTGGAATAATGCTAACAACTCATGAGAGGAAAGATTTTTGCAGCTGGACAGATCTGGGTCAGGATGCCAGCTCCATTATTTGCTAGCTGGACAAGTTATTTCACCTCTTGAGATCAGTGCTTTAATCTCTAAAAGGGGACTAATAAATATCTACCTGCTAGCACTTCAGCCTTAGAGGACTAAGTAAGGTAGTAAAAACCTTCAAATACCTATGGTGATGATGATGATGATGGCATTTAGTTGGTATGGATAGACAATCAGCTACTAATTCACACCCATGTTTCTTCTACCTGTCTTTATCCTCAGAACACAAACATGGATGTTTTCAAATTTTCAAATGCGTTTCTGAAAATAGCATATGCTTTTTTTTCTTCTTCTTTAAGTGACAAGGTCTCACTCAGGCTGGAGTGCAGTGGTGGGATCATGGCTCACTGTAGCCGTGACCTCCTGGGCTGAAACGATCCTCCTGCTTCAGCCTCCTGAGTAGCTGGGACTACAGGTGTACACCACTGTATCTGGCTAATTTTTGTATTTTTCATAGAGACAAAGTCTCACTATGTTGCCCAGGCTGGTATTGAATTCCTGGTCTCCAGCGATCTTCCCACCTCAGCCTTCTGAAGTGCTGAGATTATAGGCATGAGCCATCTCACCTGGCCAACAGATTGTTTAAATATTTTTTTCCTTAAAAATATTTTTAGATTCGGGGGGTATATGTGCAGATTTGTTACCTAGGTGTATTCTCTGATGTTGAGGTTTGGGGCTCTGCTGATCCCATCATCCAGATACTAAGCTTAGTACCCAATAGTTAGTTAATTTTTGTGCTATTTTAAAATTGGATTTTATCGGGCTTCCCTAGAGCTCCCAATCTCGTAATCCTGTGGAGTGTGTTTTGGTACCACACGATCTTGGTAAGTTTACAGTAGGTTTTATTGATCAATCTTCTCTAAGCCTTCATAAATCTGCTATTTTAGAATTTGTTCAGTAATTTCCTCAGATAATCAGTTCAAGAGATCTGTGGTTCAACATGGTGACTATAGTTAACAACAATGTATTCTTGAAATTTGCTAAGAGAGTAATGTGTGAGGTCATGCATGTTAATTAGCTTGATTTGGCATTTTAAAATGTATATATATTTCAAAATATGTTGCACACAATAAATACAATATACACAATTTTTATTTGTCAATTATAAAACTGATTAATAAAAAAGTTTCCTCAGAAGTCAATGCCTGTATCTGGTTCTCGGATGTCAACTTCCAACCCATCCCCTTTGTGAAAAGAGAGACCCCAGCGGCCTCTCTCCGGTTTGGTTTCTCTGAAAGGGATCACAGTTCAGGTCTTTGGAGGTAGCTCCATGGATATGAACATGGGTTCTGAGACTTGTGCATGTGGCCTAGAAATTTGAATTCATTTAAAGCAATGTTCTCTTACTTGCTGTCCATCTATTTCAGATTTCATGTTCTTCTTAATGATATACATATATATTTTTTCATTTTGCTTATTTATTCATTTTACTTGAAGAGATGGGCACACATGAATTTGCAATTTTCTCTGCTGCCTGCTGTTTTGCTGCTGAATGCTCAGTCTGTTTTCCTGGTACCTGCTTTTCCTCTAGAATAGTGCGCTTCTGATGGTGTTGGTTCCACCCCGCCACTCAGGGCATTGCATTCTCAGGTCTCTAGGGATTGTTTCAGAAATGAGCAGGTGACTCAGTTGGTATGCAATGCATACTGTTGCCTCTGCTGGGGAAGAGGCACCTTTGGCTCTTTTCTTCTAGAACTGCTTAAAAAAAAAAAGCTACAGTGAACATGGCCTTCTAGGAGCCACTACCTAGGGCCTGATATTTAGAATGCCCCAATATGGTGCCCCAGGTAGAGAGCTGAGTCAAGAGGAAAAAAGTCAAGATGTAAGTGAGTCTAGGCCCATTGGCTCATGCCTCTTATCACAACACTTTGGGAGGCTGACATGGGAGTATTGCTTGAGGCTAGGAGTTCAAGACCAGCCTGGGCGATATGGTGAGACCCTGTCTGTAGACCAAAAAAAAAAAAAAAAAAAAAATTAGCTGGGCATGGTAGCACATGTCTGTAGTCCCAGCTACTTGGAAGGCTGGGGTAAAAAGATTGCTGCAGCCCAGGGTTCAAGGCTGCAGTGAGCTATGATCATGCCTCTGGACCCCAGTCTGGGTGACAGAGTAAGACCCCATCTCTAAGAAAAAAAAAAAGAAAAGAAAAAATATGAGTGAACAGGACCAAGCTATTCTAAAGACAGTCTTTTCTTTCCCCTGAACTTTTTGATTATTTAAGCCAATAAATTCCTTCTTTTGCTTAACCCAGTTTGATTTGAGGTTCTTGTTAATTGCAGCAAAGTCCTAACCAAACACTTAAAACAGCAAACCTCTGAAAGTTGCTTTAAGGCTTGATTTTGAGAGCCCATTGGCTTTTTGGGTTTTGGCAAATTAGTGTAGGGTTTATGCCTTCCTGACCATATCTTTGACATTTTTGTCATTCTCTGATGTCCTTTTGTGATCACGAGTCCCTTTTTATATGCGTTCTAGGATTTTAAATATCTAAGCAAACCCCTAGCCTGGATCCAGGATTTCTTTCATTTTAAAATGTCTTTTTTTCATGATAAAAGTATTTCATTGTACCACACATCTAAATTTAGAAATAGAGAAAAATGGGAGGAAAGAATTACCCAGTGATCTTCTACCCAAACAAAACTAGTGAACATTTCCCAAAAATTCTTTCCCACACTTTCTTATTCCCACATAGATCATTGGATTCTACTCTATAAATAGTTTGACATATTGCTTTTAAATTTTTAAAAAGTTAATACATCCATATGCCATAAAATTTAAAAGATAGCACACATTCTTCTGCATCTTATATTTAAAAACATTTTCAATCGGCAAATAAGTACATATATTTATGGGGTACAATGGGATGTTATGATATGTGCATACATTGTGGAATAATTAAATCAGGTCAATTAACATACTCATCCCCTCACATACTTAACATTTCTTTGTGGTGAGAACATTTAAAATCTACTTTTAGCAGTGGTGGTGATCAGAGGGTGAGGATGTGGTAGATGGGGAAAGAAAGATGTTGGCCAAAGGGTACAGAAGGAATAAGTTTTAGTGATCTATTGCACACTATGGTGACTATAGTTAATGTGTATTTCAAAACTGTACCTTGCATTATTCACTTAACGGTTAATCTTGGAAATGGTTCTATGTCAGTAGAGAGTGTCCTCATTCTTCTTTTATATGTATGTACGAGAGATTATTTAAGCCAGCCCCTACTATTGGAACACAGTTTGCTTCCAGGTTTTAGGTCATTGTAACCAGTGCTGCACAGCTTTTTGCATGAAGCTTTGG
Organism: Homo sapiens; assembly: GCF_000001405.40. Classification (NCBI taxonomy): domain Eukaryota; kingdom Metazoa; phylum Chordata; class Mammalia; order Primates; family Hominidae; genus Homo; species Homo sapiens. The sequence continues at coordinate 15,162,887 of NC_000016.10, read as the reverse complement.
TGCTAGTTCCAAAGGATTCTCTGAAAACAAAGAATATAGTCAAATGGCAGGGATATTTTGGAGGCCATTGATACCGTTCTGAAATTCTCTCTCCATAGGGCTGCTGTTTTTGCTACTTCCTCCAGGAGAAAATGAAAGGGCTCTGTTTGTTTATTTTTATTTTTTATTTTTTCTGAAATCATTCTTTTATTCTTTTCATGAAATTTCAGAAAAATTCCAGGAGAGCTAACAACAAGGACTAAGGTTAAAACCAAAATTTAATTTTTGGTACCACTGATTAACAAAACCATTTTGTTGAATCTTAATGGAGTGACTGAGTAACTTAGTATTAATAACTTAGAACTGATTGAACACTACTGATTCTGTTTAAGTTTTATTTGAAAGTTTAAACATGTTGCTTTAAATAATTTGATCTATTTACTATACCTTCATATCTGCTTCATATTTAAAACTCCATGTGTAGAAAATATCAAACTTGTACGTTACTTTACAATTATTTTCTAGTAAGAGAACTCAGTTACTTGTTTGTTTGTTTATTCTTATTCAGCACTGAGATCAGTGCTCGGCACATAGTAAGTGTTTAATGTGTTAGGTTTTACAACTGCTGCTATTATTATTTTTTCCTTTTGACTCTCCTCACTCTTTTCTCAGTATCACTGGAGAACATACCAAGCTGTATCTCAATTATGCAGACCTCTCTTCCAAGCCTAGGGACTGGAATCATGGATGCATAATCTTTCCTGTGAACTGTAGGAAACACTCCTCACCCCTGTCAGGGAGTAATATAGGACGTCGTTCTGAAAAAGAAAAAAGAAGAAGGAAACAGTGATGCCTCCCTTGGTTAGGCTGAAATCAAAGATAAGACTTTCTCCCTTTTCTTGTTGCTTCCCATTTTAAAAGGTCTAATCAAAATCCTGCTTCCATAGCACAGGACCTGGCATATAGGAGGCACTTAAGTTTTGAATGAACGAATGATTGATTGTTGTACTCTTTGACTGATCTCTCCAGTAGCCAACTGGAAACTTGACGAGGAACATGACCATCTTTTCTTCTTACCAGACCCTACAGCCTTAGCTTTGGCCACAGAAAAAGCCACCTTTGTGATCAGCAAGCAAGACAGGTCTCTCTCGTGTCCCAGGAGCACCAAAGATGGCAGACTCATCTGAAATGTTCATGCCATTGGTAAATTTCAAGGGAGGCTTTTACTGATACTGTCATAAATACGTAACAGATTAGAATTCAAAGAATAAATACCATGATTCCATACTGCTATAAATGATCAGATAAGAGAGAAGAGACAAATCTCCCAGGCAGAAGAATTCCAGATTATTTATTTATTTATTTTTATTTAATTTTTTTTTTTACACAGGGTCTTGCTCTGTTGCCCAGGTTGGAGTGCAGTGATGTAATCTTGGCTTACTGCAACCTCCACCTCCCAGGTTCAAGCGATTCTTGTGCCTCAGCCTCCCGAGTAGCTGGGATCACAGGCATGCGCTGCCACACTCGGCTAATTTTTTGTATTTTTAGTAGAGGCGGGGTTTCACCATGTTGACCAGGTTGGTCTCAAACTCCTGACCTCAAGCGATCACCCTCCTCGGCCTCCCATTCAAGTGCTGGGATGACAGGTGTGAGCCGCCGTGCCCGGCCCCAGGTAATTTATATAGCTATTCCATCGTCAAGGAGGTGGAGCGGACTTCCCACATCCTAAGTGTGGGCTGTGCATAGTGACTCTCTTCCAAAGAGTACAGTGTGAAAAGAGAGGAGAGAGTAACTTTACAGTGGAGAACACGGACAGACACTACCTCAGCCAGGTGATCAAAGTCAACATCAATAGCGGCAAGTCATCTTGAGAGAATGCGTGCCTGATACAGAGTGCTGAGAATGATTCTTAAGCTCTGTGGTCCTTCTCCTCAAAACACACACAAGCCAAGACTAAGGATGAGAAAAGCATCTGCCAAATCCCAGTTGAGGAACATTCTACAAAATACCTGACCAGCACTCCTCAAAATGCTCCATGTGGTATCCTGGAACAGAAAAAGGACATTAAGCAAAAACTAAGGCAATCAGAATCAACTATGGACTTCAGGTGGCCAGGCACGGTGGCTCGCGCCTGTAACCCTAGCACTTTGTGGGGCCGAGGCCGGCGGATGGGTTGAGCCCAGGAGTTCAAGACCAGCCTGGGCGACATGGCGAAACCCCATCTCTACAAAAAATACAAAAAATTAGCCAGGCTTGTGGTGTGCACCTGTAGTCCTAGCTACTCGGGAGGCTGAGATGGGAGGATCACTTGAGTCCGGGAAGTCAAGGCTGCAAGTGACCCGTGATTGTGCCACTGTATACCAGCATGGGCAATGAGAGTGAGACCCTGTCTCAACAAACAAACAACAAACAAACAAACAAACAAAAACAAATTCTCTGGGGATGGTGGCAGGCACCTGTATTTCCAGCTACTTGGGAGGCTGAGATGGAGGATCACTTGAGCCAGGGGAGGTCGAGGGTTGAGGCTGCCATGAACTATGATCACACCACCACACTCCAGCCTAGGTGACGAGCAAGACCCTGTCCCCACCCCCCCAAAAAAAGTATGGACTTTAGTTCATAATGCATCAAGCTATGGGGTACATGGAAACTCTCTGTACTGCTTTCACCATTTTTCTAAAACTGTTCTAAAATAAAAAATTTACTTAAACATTTATTTAAAAAAAAAAACAAACCATTTGAGTACCAACAGTGTCATATGCTCAACTTAGCACATCTTTTTCCTGGTTTGGTTTGTGGGCGTGAATGTGTACTGAGCCATCTAAACCTTGGTTGCCCGACCTTCACCGTAGCCACTGACCCAGGTTAACAGACAAAAGGCCCAGGTTAAGGTTATGCCCAGTGGCCATAAAATAGCCCAGCATCCAGATTGCACTCCTTGATGTACCCAAAAAAGCCAAGGAATAGGACGGATGGGCGGGGAGTGTGGGGCAAACTACTGCCCATTGCCCAACTCTGGCCTGCTGTCTGTTTTATAAATAAAGTTTTATTGGAACACAGTCACACCCATTCATTTATCATCATCTATGGCTACATTTGCATGACAATGGCAGCGTTGTGTAGTTGCACCAGAGATCGTGTGGCCCACAAAATATTTATTATCTAGCACTTTACAGAAAAAGCTTGTCAACCTCCAGGACAGTGGCCACAAGTTCTGCCATCATCTCATCCCTTAGCAAGAAGGGAAAGGAATGCCCATTAAGGCACAAATTGTTTTCTGTTGTTGTTTGTTTGTTTGTTTGTTTTTGAGACGGAGTTTCACTCTTGTCGCCCAGGCTGGAGTGCAATGGCGTGATCTTGGCTCACTGCAACCTCCGCCTCCCAGGTTCAAGCGATTCTCCTGCCTCAACCTCCCGAGTAGCTAGGATTACAGGCGCCAGCCACCACATCCAGCAAATTTTTGTATTTTTAGTAGCAACGGGGTTTCACTATGTTGGCCAGGCTGGTCTCGAACTCCTGACCGCAGGTGATCCACCTGCTTTGGCCTCCCAAAGCGCTGGGATTACAGGTGCGAGCCACCGTGCCTGGCCACAAGGTGGTCTTTTAACAACAGAGCACACAGCTGGACAAAGCCCAACGCTCTCTTCTTTGGGGCCGAGGTGGGTCATTAATATTGAACATTTACAATGTACTTGCTCCAGGTGATTCAGTTTAATTTCTGCCGTCTCTTGTAACAGGGCTCCCACGTGCACGGGTCGGGGCCGTGTGTCTGCCTCAGCTTTCTGAGGCCCCACAGCGTATTGATTCTGCGAAACGTACGTTTCTTTGAAATCAGCGTCTCTTGACATGACAGGAGATCACACATCGCTTGTTTTCTGTCCCTTTCATTGCCCTCTGAACATGATAAAATCATGACCTAGCGTCGCCGAGGGACCTCAGCATCTCTTGGAAAGAAGGACTTGCCTTCTTTTTTAATCTTTGTCAAGCCAGTGAGGCCAAGTAGAAAATTTTTAGCAGCTTTGGAGCCAGACAGATCGGAGTGCGAGTTCTGCCCGTTATTGACTGGACCGTGTGACCCTGGGAGAGCCGCCTAGTGTCTATGAGACGGAGGCTGTTGGGCAGGAAAATGGGGATGGTCCCAGCATTATGGGGCGGTTGTGAGAATTCAGTGCAATGATGCAGTGCTCCCAGAACAGCTGGTCTAGGGCTTGGCTCATGGGACTGTCCCTTCGCAGAGGCAGCGTGGACATTCCGCTGGTATCCACTGGTGTGGCTGTGCCTGTTTGGTCACCGTGTCTGTTCTGATTGGTCGGTGCTCCTGCATGTCAAGAGTTCAATGTTATGAAAATCATCCCTGCCTAGAGATGAATTCCCCCTTCCCCTGAGGTCTAGACTGGCATAGCTGCTTTTGGAGCCTCACCTGCTGAGAGCTCACAGCTGTCCTTCTCTAGAGAATCACCCTCAGATGGGAGCCACGTTGCCTGGGATGGGATGCCATGCCCAGTAATGGCCCAGTGACTAACTGATACAGCAACGTGAATGGCTGGTCCCTGCCCCACGGTGGGGACGATCCTGTGGCGTGCTCTCTGCTGCTCGTGGGATAGGTCAAGGCGGGACTTTAAGGGACCACATTCTCACTCTGCTCTGTCCCCTTCTGCATCCTGTAGTCCTCACCTCCCTTCTCCTGAAAGCCCCTTTCAAAACAAAAACAAAAACCACATCCACCCAAGTCCCTGTCTCCACCTCTGCCTCCAGGAAAGCCGGCGGAAGGCCGCCAGTCTCAGCTGTGACAGATACAGATATTTCTGCATTTCCAGGACTGAGGTCAATCCCTGGGGACCCAGTGAGGCGGTATCTGAGGGGCCATGGAGCTGGCTTGATGGGGTCTACAGGTAGGCAGGGACCTGGTGGGGATGTGACTCAAGGATTTTTATCAAATATCTTTATCTCCTGACAGATGCAAAAAAAAAAAAAAATGAGATCAGACTCCAGGGTTTCCTCCATGCCACACTGTGGCCCCATTGTTTGTTGTGCTATCAGCAGAAGTTGACTTTGCAAGGAATGTACACGTGTATGTGATGTTTGAATGCACCTGTGCGTGCGTGCATTTGTGTGTGCATGCGTGCATTCGTGTGTGTGTGTGTGTGTGTGTGTGTGAGAGTGTGTGTGCGCGCTGAGGATGTGAGCCCCACTTCCGGCCCAGTGCCCCTGCCCAGGCTGGCTCTGCCCTCCTGCTGCTCTGGGCCCCTCAGGCAGTGACTACCTGGTACATAGGGAAGGCATCGGCATCCCTTATTCATGGGGACTGTAGACTGTCTCCACCATATTGGGTCTTTTGGCCTCTTGGACATGACTTGGCCTCTGCTGGCTTTAAGGGACTGCCAGAGATGCCATCTGCTCTGGGAAATGTTCTCAGCCTGGGCACAGCCCACTAACCACTGCCTGCTTGTCTGAGACTTCTCTGTCCAGGAAAACAGCCCAGCCTGACCAGAGATGGGCATAGAGCCATATTTTGGGAAAGACTGGTTGGGGGTCAACTTGGTTTCTGGAACCAGTTCTGATTTCAGTTGCAGGGGACAGTGAGCCAGTTACTGCCCACTGGCTGCATCCTAAGCCTTCCTAGAGGAGAGCTAGCCTCCTCCTAGGGTTCCCCAGGCTGGACCACTTCTGCCTGGGTGATGGGTTGGGAGAAAGACGTTAATATTTGGAGCAGTGTTATATTAGTCAGCCCTCCCATTTGCAAACATTAGAAAACCAGCTCAAATTAGTGATAAAAGAAAATCTCAGCTGAATTAAATTTAAAGTAGTTTAATTGAGCAATGAATGATTTGCGAATTGGGCAGACCCCAGAATCACAGCAGATTCATAGAGACTCCAGCGCAGCCACGTGGTGGAAGAAGATTTATGGACAAAAGAAGGGAAATGATGTACAGAAATCAGAAGTGAAGTACAGAATGGCTGGATTGTTACAAGTTGGCGTTTGCCTTATTTGAGTACAGTTTGAACACTCAGCAGCGTATGAGCGGTTGAACTACGGCCTCTGGGATTGGCCAAGACTCAGCTATTGTTACAGACGCATACTCCTAAGTTAGGTTTTCAATCTTGTCTACCTATTAAGCTAGGTTGCAATTTGTCCACAAGGACTCAACTATAGAAGTACGAAGTCCCACTCAGGCCATATTTAGTTCACTTTAACACTAGCTTCGGCAACTGTCTCTCAGAGCCCAGGACAGGGCAGGGATGCAACTGGGCTTCAGGAAACTTGAATTCATTGACTGTCTCTTCCCCATCTTAGATGCAGTGCTAAGGGCTTTTTAGTAATTTTCTCATTTGATTCTCAAAACAAACTGATGAGGAAACGGTCTGAGAGTAGTTAGGCAGCTTTTCAAGGTCACACAGATAGTAAATGTCATCACTGGGACTTGAACTCAGGTCTTTCTGACTCTCATGTCTGTGCAACATGTCATCTCAGCCACTGTTGACACTGTATATGTGGATTAGGGTTGGCTAAACTGCTGTAACAAATAGACCCAACTGGAATGGTGCATGTATGTACAATAGGGGTTTATTTCTTATGATATAGTTCACGGTGGTCCCAGGTGAATAAGGATGGGTAGGTCTGCATTTTTCATAATCATCTGGGTCTCTGCTCAGGCTCCTAGAGTCTCTGCCACCTTCCCCATGTGGCTTCCAAGGCCACCTTGGAGACAGAGCTTGGTGGAGCACATGTGGTAGGATTTTTTTTGTTTTTGAGACGGAGTCTCACTGTATTGCCCAGTCTGGAGTGCAGTGGTGCAATCTCGGCTCACTGCAACCTCTGCCTCCCAGGTTCAAGCTATTCTCCTGTCTCAGCCTCCCTAGTAGCTGGGACTACAGGCACCTGCCACCACGCCTGGCTAATTTTTGTATTTTTAGTAGAAATGGGATTTCACCTTGTTGGTCAGGTTGGTCTCAAACTCCTGACCTCAGGTGATCCACCCACCTCGGCCTCCCAAAGTGCTGGGATTACAGGCATGAGCCACCACTCCCAGCCAGTTCTTTTTTTCTTTTTTCCATTTTTTTTTTTTCGAGACAGGGTCTTACTCTGTTGCCCAGGCTGGAGTGCAGTGGCACAATCACGGCTCAGCGCAGCCACTGCCTCCTGGGCTCACACGCTCCTCCGGCCTCAGCCTCTCGAGTACCTGGGACTACAAGTGTGAGCCAGTTTGGCTAATTTTGGCTAATTTTTGTAGAAACGGGGTCTCGCCATGTTGGCCAGGCTGGTCTCCAACTCCTGGGCTCAAGGGATCCACCTTCCTCCCCCTCTCAAAGTTCTGGGATTACCGGAGTGACCCACTGTGCCCTGCTGGCAAATTTCTTAAACTGTGCCTCAGTGACCTCATTTAATAAAGGGAATAATTGTAGCACACTTTTTCTAGAGCTGTGAAGATTCAATGGAATAAATAAGGCAATAAATGAATGGATGGGGAATGGAGGATGTGGGTTTCCTCCCTCTTGTCTTTCAATAAGCTCTCACCATCAACCTCCCATTGCCTGTTCTCTCTCTTCCCCCTCTCTCCTTCTGTCTCTCTCTTAGCCAGGAAACCTGGGGTAGGGAGGCTTGGAGCCAGCGGGTGCGTCGGGAGGCTGCGGGTACTGACTGGGGACGCGCACGGAGATTGCGGGAGAAGGATCCACGCCGCGGGAGAAGGATCCATGCCGCGGGAGAAGGATCAGGGTGGAGCCTGTGGCTGCTGCAGGAGGAGGAACCCGCCGCCTGGCCCACACCACAGGAGAAGGGCGGAGCCAGATGGCACCCTGCCCACCGCTTCCCGCCCACGCACTTTAGCCTGCAGTGGGGCGGAGCGTGAAAAATACCTCGTGCGCCTCGGCCGACTCTCCAGTGCGACGGGCGGAGCTTCCAGACGCTCCGCCCCACGTCGCATGCGCCCCGGGAACGCGTGGGGCGGAGCTTCCGGAGGCCCCGCTCTGCTGCCGACCCTGTGGAGCGGAGGGTGAAGCCTCCGGATGCCAGTCCCTCATCGCTGGCCTGGTCGCGCTGTGGCGAAGGGGGCGGAGCCTGCACCCGCCCCGCCCCCACCGCGCCCCGTCCGCCCCGCGCGGCGCGGGGAGGAGGAGGAGCCGCGGCGGGGCTCGCACTGCAGCGCCAGCGTCCGAGCGGGCGGCCAAGCTCCCGGAGCGGCCTGGCCCCGAGCCTCGAGCGGGCGTCGCTCAGCAGCAGGTCGCGGCCGCAGCCCCATCCAGCCCCGCGCCCGCCATGCCGTCTGCCGGCCCCGCCTGAGCCGCGGCCTCCGCGCGCGGGCGGGCCTGGGGACGGCGGGGCCATGCGCGCGCTGCCCTAACGATGCCGCCCGCCGCGCCCGCCCGCCTGGCGCTGGCCCTGGGCCTGGGCCTGTGGCTCGGGGCGCTGGCGGGGGGCCCCGGGCGCGGCTGCGGGCCTTGCGAGCCCCCCTGCCTCTGCGGCCTAGCGCCCGGCGCCGCCTGCCGCGTCAACTGCTCGGGCCGCGGGCTGCGGACGCTCGGTCCCGCGCTGCGCATCCCCGCGGACGCCACAGCGCTGTGAGTAGCGGGCCCAGCGGCACCCGGGAGAGGCCGCGGGACGGGCGGGTGTGGGCGCGTTCCCTGGCCCGGGACGGGAAGCAGGACGCGGGCCAGGACGCTCCCAGGGCGAGGCTCCGGCGCGGGCACAGCGGCCCTGCTAAATAAGGAACGCCTGGAGCCGCGGTTGGCACGGCCCGGGGGAGCCGAAAAACCCCGGGTCTGGAGACAGACGTCCCACCCGGGGGCTGTGCAGACGCCAGCGGGGGCGGGGCCCGGAGGCCCGCTCAGCTGGGAGGACAAACAGTCGCTAATTGGAGAGGAATTGGGATGCGGCCTGGGGCTGCGGGGTACCCGGAGAGGTGGGGATGGTTGTAGGGGGCTGCAGGGAAGAGTTCCAGGAGGTGTCTGGACAAGGATTTGATGGATGTGCAAGAATTGGGCTGATGCTTAGGAAGGGGCGATGAGGTGGGTCCAGAAGAAGGGGGGTGAACGGTGTGAGCAAAGACCATGAGGCTGGAGGCTGGCCACGGGAGGTGTGAGGGGTAGGGGCAGGGTGGGAGGTGGGCTCGCGGGTGGGCTGGGGTCATGAAGGGCCTCAGGCGCTCTGCTATTGGGTTCCAAGGCTATCCTGAGAACAGGGGTGAGGGCGGATTGCCGTGGGGGGTTAAAGCCTTGTCATGTTCGCTTTCGGGAGATAAAAACAACAGGTGGCCTTTATGGAGACGCTGCCCAGAGCCAGGTCTGTGCCAGGCTCCTGTTGGGGGTCGTCATGCGGAATCCTGACTCTGACCATCCGAGGCATAGGGACCGTGGAGATTTGCATTTCACAGATGAGGAAACAGGTTTGGAGAGGTGACACGACCTGTCCCAGGCATCACAGCCAGGACAGGACCTGTCCCAGGCATCACAGCCGGGATGTGCATAGCAGGGATTTGGAACTATGAGGTGCCCAGGACCCAGGGTTGGATTGAAAAGGGCGCAGGGGACTAAGATAAGCAGACAGTTGTCCCCAGCGCTGGGGAGAGTCTTGGGACCAGTCTGATGCCTTGTATTTCCCAGGCTCCAGGCTCCTCGCCGGGACAGTGTCTCCTTGGGTGCGTGCTGGATCCCTGGGGGACGTGGCACATCCCCAGGCTTGCTAAACATTGGGTGGGTTCTGGCATTTGGTTTTGTAACGTTTCTGGGTCACTCCCGCCTGTGGCCACCCTTCCTTAGGGGAGCCGTGTGTCCTTGGGGCTTTGCTGGGTGGTCTCGAGGGTGGGAGAAGAATGGGTTCTCCTGGACCAATGGAGCCCGTGCCCCTCGGGGCCACATTGCTCCTGCGCTCCCTGACTGCGGACGCGTGTGTCTCGCGGCTGTCTCTGTGGAGATGGCCTCCTCCTGCCTGGCAACAGCACCCACAGAATTGCATCAGACCTACCCCACCCGTTGTTTGTGATGCTGTAGCTGAGGGCTCCTCTGTCTGCCAGGCCGGTCACTGGGGACTCTGTCCAGGTCCTGGTGGTTCCTGCTTCCCAGCACCTGATGGTGTCCATGAGAGCAGCCCCTCGGGAGCTGTCCGGGAGAGAAGGGCGCTGGTGGCTGCTGAGCGGAGAGCAAGGCCCGTGTTCTCCAGGCCCTTGGCACAGCAGCGGAGCCCCCGCCCCTGCCTTGTGTTGTCCTCTTAGGCTCTGGTCCTGGGGTTTGGAGGAGGGGGACCCTGGGGGTTGGTGGCCTGTCCCAGCCTGAGCTGGCAAGATTCCGAATGCCAGGCCCCTCAAGTGTGCAACAGGGCACAGGGTGACCTCGTGGGCAGGTGGGTGCTGTTCTGTACACACCTGGGGCCGCCGCTGGGAGAGTTCTGGAAGGTGGGGTGAGGGGACCCATGGGAAACTAGGGCCCTAGGAAGGATGTGAAGGCCCTGGCTGGCCCCCCAGGCCACCCTCTGTGCTGTGGGGCAGCCCAGCCATTTTGCTGTCTACCCTGCAAACTCCTCCTCGGGGAGACGGCTGGGTTTTCCCCAGGGAAGAGGGGTCAAGCTGGGAGAGGTGAAGGACACAGATCACAGCTGCTGGCAGGTGTTTAAGGGTCCAGGAGCGTTGCTGTCTGGGTGTCACCAGTAGCCTTCCTGGGGAGCTCACGCAGGTGCCTCTCCACTTGTGGCTCCCTGGCTGCTGAAGCTCAGCAGGGACAGCTGTGTCCAGTTCCAGGTGGAGGACAGCCGGGGCTTCTGAGGCCACAGCCTGCCTTGGGTTAATGATGCTGCCGAGAGGTGGTGGCTTTTGGAAAAGATGGCGTACTGCAAAACGTGCTGCTCTGCGTGGCTCGAAGCTCCGTGGGGAGACGTGGGCAGAGCTGTGGCTGACTCACAGACCCCCCACCCCAGAGCCTGCCCTGCCCTCCCTGCCCCGACCCTTCCCCTCCTGACCCATGTGTTTTTTTTTTTTTTTTTTTTTTTGAGACAGAGTTCACTCTTGTTGCCAAGGCTGGAGTGCAACGGCACGATCTCGGCTCATGGCAACCTCCGCCTCCTGGGTTCAAGCGCTTTTCCTGCCTCAGCCTCCCGAGTAGCTGGGATTACAGGCGTGCACCACCATTCCTGGCTAATTTTCTATTTTTAGTAGAGACAGGGTTTCTCCATATTGGTCAGGCTGGTCTTGAACTCCTGACCTCAGATGATCCGCCCGCCTCGGCCTCCCAAAGTGCTGGGATTACAGGCATGAGCCACCACGCCCAGCCCTGACCCATGTTTTGAACCAAATTCCAGCCACCCTTTTATCTGCAAGCATTTTGGAGGGCATCGCAATACTGCAGACCCACCTAACACAACAGACAATTCCTTCATGCCACCGAAGGCCTGGTGTGTTCACATTTTTGGTTTAATAGTTTGAATTAAGAGCCAAATAAGGTCCACACACTGCAATTAGTTGATGTCTTTTTTTTTTTTTTTTTTTTTTTTTTTTTGAGACGGAGTCTTGCTCTTGTCTCCAGGCCGCAGTGCAGTGGCATGATCTCAGCTCGCCGCAACCTCCGACTCCCTGGTGCAAGCGATTCTCCTGCCTCAGCCTCCCGAGTACCTGGTAGCTGGGTTTACAGGCATGCACCACCGTGCCCAGCTAATTTTTGTATTTTTAGTAGAGACGGGGTTTTACCGTGTTGGCCAGGATGGTCTCGATCTCCTGACCTCGTGATCTGCCCACCTCGGCCTCCCAAAGTGCTGGGATTACAGGCGTGAGCCACCGCACCCGGCCAATGTCTTTTAAAAATATATACTTTTTTTTTTTTTTTTTGAGACAGAGTTTCGCTCTTGTTGCCCAGGCTGGAGTGCAGTGGCGCGATCTCAGCTCACGGCAACCTCCGCCTCCCGGGTTCAAGCGATTCTCCTGCCTCAGCCTCTCCAGTAGCTGGGATTACAGGCGTGTGCCACCATGCCTGGCTAATTTTGTATTTTTAGGAGAGACGGGGTTTCTCCACGTTGGTCAGGCTGGTCTCAAACTCCTGACCTCAAGTGATCCGCCTGCCTTGGCCTCCCAAAGTGTTGGGATTACAGGTGTGAGCCAGCGCGCCCAGACAAAAATGTATATGTGTGTCTTTAAGGCTGGTCAAGCAAAGCAGTGGAACTGGAGAAAGAATGAAGAATTCTACCTGGCTGTGATCAATTCGTTGTGAACACCACTGTGCTTGGACCAGCTAGCTGATGTCTTTTGTTTTGTTTTGTTTGAGACGGAGTCTGGCTCTGTCACCCAGGCTGGAGGACAATGGTGTGATCTCGGCTCACTGCAGCCTCCACCTCCCGGGTTCAAGCGATTCTCCTGCCTCAGCCTCCTGAGTAGCTGGGATTACAGGCGCGCGCCACCACGCCCGGCTAATTTTTAAAAATATTTTTAGTAGAGATGGGGTTTCACCATGTTGGTCAGGCTGGTCTTGAACTCTTGGCCTTAGGTGATCTGCTTGCCTCGGCCTCCCGAAGTGCTGGGATTACAGGTGTGAGTGATGTCTTTTATTTATTTATTTATTTATTTATTTATTTATTTATTTATTGTTATTTGAGATGGAGTCTCACTCTGTTGCCCAGGCTGGAGTGCAGCAGTGCCATCTCGGCTCACTGCAAGCTCCGCCGCCTGGGTTCACGCCATTCTCCTGCCTCAGCCTCCTGAGTAGCCTGGACTGGTGCCCGCCACCATGCCCAGCTAATTTTTTGTATTTTTAGTAGAGACGGGGTTTCACCGTGTTAGCCAGGATGGTCTGGATCTCCTGACCTCGTGATCCACCCGCCTCAGCCTCCCAAAGTGCTGGGATTACAGGCTTGAGCCACCGCCTGTCTTTTAAATGTCCGATGATGTCTAGGAGCTTCCCTTCCTCTCTTTTTCCTTGTGCAATTTGTTGAAGAAACTGGCTCCTGCAGCCTGGATTTCTCGCTGTGTCTTGGGGGTGCCACCTCCATGGTGTCTCCTCCGTGGTGCTGTGAGTGTGTCCTTTGTGTTTCTTGTAAATTGGTCGTTGGAGCCGACATCCCATTGTCCCAGAGGTTGTCCTGGCTGGCAGTGACCTAGGTGTAGATGTCATCAGCTCAGGGCCCCCTGCTCTAAAGGCCACTTCTGGTGCTGGTTGCCACTCACCCTGGCTGGGGGTCACCTGGGTCTGCTGCTGTCTCGCAAATGCTGGGGTCCAGGACTGGGCACATCGAGGGACTTGGTAGGTGCTTGGTTCACTGATGTAAAATATAGGAGCACCCAGGGCCTTGCCCTTTCCCACCTGCATCCCTGAATGACAGGAGAGTGTGGGAGAGTGTAGGGACAGCAGGCGCAGACCCCGGGGCCCCTGCCTGGGATTGGCGTCGGGGAAGACAGTCATTCTGGAGCGACCCCTAGGCCTGATGCCTTAGAGCGCAACTGCCACAGACACAGCTTCCTTGGGGGGCTGGCCAGGCCACGGAGGGGCCCCTGGCTCCCATTTCTGGTCCCTGGATCCTGAGAGCAAGGACTAGGGATTGTCACCAAGGCCTCCATGAGCCCTCAGCAGAAGGAGGGCCACCCTCGAGGGCTCCGTTATCACTGGAGCCCGCGTTCAACAAACACGCAGATGATTCTCCAAGGACAGAGATGGATGATGGGGAGGGGGCTGGCCTGGAAGGACCCCCAGTGCAGGTGACATTGAAGCCAGGTTTCAAAGCTCCCACAGGGAGCTGCCCAGAGAGAGTCCCCAAGGGGCAAGGTGACTCGGGGGCAGGGGTAGGGCCTCAGTCAGGAGAGCCTAGGAGAGGCCCGTGTCTTCTAGGAAGAGCCCTGGCAGCCGAGCGGAGGCAGTGGTGAGGACCTGCATCCTGCATGTGCAGCTGGCCTCACCCGGGGTCCCTGAGCCGGGTCTTACGTGGCTCCCGCACTCGGGCGTTCAGAACGTGCCTGCGTGAGAAACGGTAGTTTCTTTATTAGACACGGATGCAAACTCGCCAAACTTGTGGACAAAAATGTGGACAAGAAGTCACACGCTCACTCCTGTACGCGATTGCCGGCAGGGGTGGGGGAAGGGATGGGGAGGCTTTGGTTGTGTCTGTAGCAGTTGGGAATGTGGGGCACCCGAGCGCCCACTGCAGAGGCGACTGTGGAGACAGAGAGCACCTGCAGGTCATCCATGCAGTATCGGCTTGCATCCAGATCATACAGGGAACACTATGATTCAACAACAGACAGGGACCCCGTTTAAACATGGACAAGGGGTCACTCACGCCTGGAATCCCAGCAGTTTGGGAGGCCAGGGTGGGTGGATCGCTTGAGCCCAGGAGTTTGACACCAGCCTGGGCAACAGGGTGAGACCCCGGTCTCTAAAAAATAAAAGAACATTGGCCGGGCGTGGTGGTGTGCATCTGTGGTCCCAGCTATTCAAGAGACTGAGGTGGGACATCACTTGAGCCGAGGAGGTCAAGGCTGCAGTGAGCTGTGATCACACCACTGCACTCCAGGCTGGGTCACAGAGCAAGACCCTGTCTCAAAAAAAAAAAAAAAAAAAAAAAAAAAAAAATCACAGGATCTGAACAGAGATTTCTCCAAAGAAGATGCACAGATGGCCAACAGCGTGTGAGAAGATGGTCGGCCTCATTAGTCATGAGGGAAACGGAAATCAAAACCACTGTCCAGCCGGGCGCGGTGCCTCACGCCTGTAATCCCAGCACTTTAGGAGAGCAGATGGCTTGAGGCCAGGAGTTTGAGGCCAGCCTGGGCAACATAGCGAGACCAATAAATAGATATTAGTGGTGGCGCCTGTAGTCCCAGCTAGTTGGGAGGCTGAGGGGGGAGGATTCCCTGAGTCTATGAGGTTGAGACTGCAGTTAGCTGTGATGGTGCCACTGCACTCCAGCCTGGGTGACTAGGAAACGGTCTTTAAAAAAAAAACAAAACAAAAAAACAGGGTGGGCGCGGTGGTTCACGCCTGTAATCTCAGCACTTTGGGAGGCCAAGGTGGGGGGATCACAAGGTCAGGAATTTGTGACCAGCCTGACCAACATGGTGAAACCCGTTCTACTAAAAATACAAAAATTAGCGAGGTGTGGTGGTGGGCGCCTGTAATCCCAGCTAATTAGGAGGCTGAGGCAGGAGAATCACTTGAACCCGGGAGGCGGAGGTTGCAGTGAGCCAATATCACACCACTGCACTCTAGCCTGGTCAACAGAGCGAGACTCTGTCTCAAAAAAACAAAAAAATGCTGAGCATGGTGGCGCATGCCTGTAGTCTCAGCTACTTTG
This sequence comes from Homo sapiens, assembly GCF_000001405.40. Taxonomy (NCBI): domain Eukaryota; kingdom Metazoa; phylum Chordata; class Mammalia; order Primates; family Hominidae; genus Homo; species Homo sapiens. Next base: position 15,147,649 of record NC_000016.10, on the reverse strand, counting down.
GGGGCTGAGGCAGGAGAATCGCTTGAACCTGGGAGGCAGAGGTTGCAGTGAGGCAAGATTGCACCATTGCACTCCAGCCTGGGAGACAGAGTGAAACTCTGTCTCAAAAAGAAAAGGTCTAGGAAGAGTCCGCACCCTCTCCCCGCGGTGGCCACGCCGGGCCCTGCGCTGAGCCCTCTGTGTTCTTGTCTCTCCATAGCTCATCACGGCACTGCAGGGTTGCAGCCACTCCTGGTCTCATTTTACAGACCAGGAAATTGAGGCTCTGAGAAGCCGTGGTGATGATTTCATCAGCATGCTCTGGGGCAGACCCCTGCAGCCGCACAGGGTGCCTGGGGCCCACACTAGTGCCCTGGTTTATAGACAGACAGAGGTGGCAGTGGCGCTTCCGAGTCGGGCTGGGATGTGCTTGCACTCCCCGAGGGGCTGAGGGGCCCTGCACCCAGGTGCAGCTGCTTGGGTGCTGCCAGCCCCTCCCACCTCTCCCTCCCTGCCAGCCCCTCCCACCTCTCCCTCCCTGCCAGCCCCTCCCACCTCTCCCTCCCTGCCAGCCCCTCCCACCTCTCCCTCCCTGGCTCATCCCTGCTGTGTCCCTTCCCTGTAGTTTCCTGTTCAGTTTCAGGAAGGAGGCTGGGAACCCAGATGTAGGGAATTTGCGCCCTGGAGTCAGACTTGGGTTCACGTCCCAGCGCCTCCACTTCTGGTGTGACCTTGGTCCAGTCTCTCAGCCTCAGTTTCCTCACCTGTAAAGTGGGCTCCATGATTAGATGCACCCTGCAGGGCAGTGTAGCAGTGACCTGGCTCAGCCACTGGCAGCCCCAACAATCATACCTTGTTAAAGTAGCTCTGTCGGTTCCCTCAGGGGTTCCGGGGGCCCATTCCCCTGTCCTCCATGCACTGTGAGACCTGCCCTGCCACAGAGCAGAGTGTAACAGCCTGAGGGTGAGAGCCAGACACTGTGCCTGTGCTTAGACCGGACACTGGACGACGGGAGCCAGTGCAGCCTGGGCGGGTGGACTCTTATGGACCCCTCAGCACCCAGCCTCGGTGCCTTCAGCGCAGGGCCGCGTGGCTGTAGGGGCTCACAAGACCCGGCCTACTCCTGCTTGTGCCTACCTCTGGGTGTTTGCCCATTGGTGCCTTTTGACGCGTTCTGGTGTGTGTGAGACGTGCGGGGCTGGGAAGTATTGGCAGAGCCGCGAGTATCGTCCTCACTCCTTTTGTTCTTTTGACGTAAGCTGGCGAGTGGCACTGCCTGAGTTCCGCTCAGTGCCCGCCCTGACGTGCGGACCCTGCTGCATCCTTGCTGTTAGGTGGTGGCGGTGTGCGCTGTCGCTGGTGGGCACCAAGAGCCTTTGGGAGCTTTGGGGAGGTTGTGCCAAGCTTGAGCCTCGACGTCCCCCTTCCCGGCTTTCTGTTGGCTCTTCTGAGGCCAGGGCATCTCTGTGAGGGCCTCCTGCTGGAGCCATCTCTGTGGATCTCCTCTGCCATCCTGGCCCACGTGTGGGTGATGCGCTGGCCACCATCTCGTGACAGTGGCCGGGCACCGCTGCCAAATGTGGGTCCCGCATCTGCAAGCCCCTCCCTGGGTCCCCTAGGGTATGGGGTGGTTCTGCCACTGCCCTCGCTCCCCCACCTTGGGGTGCCTCTCCCCCTGCTCGTGGGGGAGACCCTGCCTGGGATCTGCTTTCCAGCGAGGAACATACTTTGGAGGGAGACACACGTGTTCTTTTCTGGAGCTCTGCAGTGGCCACGGCAGCCCAGCCCGCCAAGCACCCTGGAATGAAAACAGCCCGCTGCCGTCTGGGCCTGGCCTGCACTCTGCTGCCTGCGCTCCAGCTGGCTGAGGCCGGGCACGTCTGCGGGCACAGCGGCGGGGGCGTCACAGTCTCCCTGCAGAGTGAGCGCAGCTGGAAAATGCAGCTCACGCCCTTTCCCAGAACACCTCGCTCTTCATGGCTTGGCAGCTGTCCTCGCCTAGGGGCCGGGGTGCCCAGGCACTGGTGGCAGGAGAAGGGCTACATCTGGGGCTGAGGCGGGCTGGGTCCTTTTCTCCCTGCAGCTCCCAAGGCCCAGCCCTGGCCCAGCCTGGCGTTCCTGACCTTAGCAGCGCCATGATCTGAAGACAGGCTGGCTTCTGTCAGGCCACCTCGGAAAGGGCTTTGTGCCCAGGCAGAGGCGGAAGCCAGCTCTTCCTTCTGGTTGAGGCAGGAATGAGGCCAGCGCTGGGGCAAGCCCATGCCCAGGGAACGTCACAGCTGTGGGAGTACAGGGGCTCCGGGTTGTGAGCCCGTCCACTGTGCATCGTGGCCCTGGCCTCAGGATGGCTCGTGCCATCATTGGCTGTGCCCACAGCCGAGTGGGTGATGGGATTCCGGCTGCCCCGCTGGATCTGTGCTGCTGCCCTCTCCAGGGCACTGCTGTGCCCGCACAGCCGGGCGCAGATGGCCAGTTTGCTTGGCCCCCCCCACCACCCTCTTCCTACCTTGGCTTCCTCCATTGACACTCTGGACCCTGCTGGCTGCCCGGGGAGGTGTTTGGGGGATGGTGTTGGGGGAGGAGGAGGGCCTCTTGAGCCTCTGTGCCCATCAGGAGCATAAGGTCAGTGCAGCACCTGCCCACCCAGGCTGTGAAGGGTGGGAGTGGAGAGGGATGCAAGGGGGTCACAACGCCTGGCTCCATGTCAGCTGTGTGCAGGGGCACCAGGAGCCGGCCCTCATTCTCCCCTTGAACTGGAAGGGTGGCCCCGACCCCAGCGGCAGGTGGCATACGTATGAAGCGCTCTCCTTCCTACACCCACAGGTGGGCTTGTCTCCAAACGGCCCTTTTTGAGCTGGCTGTGTTTTTCCATCCGTGTAGGCAAGGACATCGCAGACTCCCCTTTCTCATCTCCCTCGTTCAGCCTCCGAGGCCGGAGTCTCCATCCCTGTGCCTGCCTGTGGGTCCCGGGAGGACCTGAGGCTGCCCATGTCACCCCCGGCGTCTCATCCTGGGAACAGTTGAGCCATGGGAGGGATCTGTAAGGACAGAATGCCGCTGAGCCTGGGGCTCCCCGGCTAGTCTCACACCCCGTGTCCGGGACCCAGAGAACCTCGTGCAGGGCTCTGTTGCCTGGGGCCTGGCAGCCTCGTCCTCTATCAGAGGCTGCAACCCCCACCCCTCGTGGGGCCAGGGTTGTGGCCGGCCTCCCTGGCCCTCCCCATGGAAGTGGTAGGCGGAGCCAGCAGCCGTCTGCCCAGCCCGGGGCTGCACTGTTTTTTTTCAAATGAGCACCGTCCCAAACTGCAGCCTGTTAATTTAAACAGGATCATTTCCGGCCCTGGAAGCCGCCTCACTCTCCTTAAATAGAAAGGAGCACAGCGCAGAGGGAAACAGAAGAGGTCATGGCTCGGCTGGCCCAGCGAGGAAGGGGCCACAGTGGGGGTGGCACTGCTGCCTGTCCCCTGTCCTCTCCAGCGCCCACACTGCACCCCATTTCCTCACCCTGGGCCTGCTCTCGGGAGGGACGGGCCTGGGGGTCCTCTTGCTGGGCGGAGGGGAACCGGCTCCTCCAGGAGAGGACGGGGCCTGGCAGGGGGCATGGGGCCTCCCTGGGTCTGGCGTCCTGTCCTGCCCCTGCCGAGGGAGGAGCGGTTACATAAGCTCCGCAGGTGGCCCCTCCGAGCCGGTCCCCCCAGCCCAGTTTCCAGTGAGGCGGCCAGCGCGGGCAGGGGTGCCGGGCCTGGCACACGCCCGCCGCTGACCACACGCGTCTGGAATGTGCAGATGTTTCTTTGGGGGCTCCGTCCGGCCCCCAGACCCCACTCAGCATCTGGTCTGGGAAATGGGCGCCTGGGGCACTCAGCTCTGAGTGTGAGGCTCTGAGGCAGGTCTGGTTTGTCTGGGGCCATTCCCTCTGTTGTGGATTGGGAGGGCCCCGGGAGCTGCCCCACACCCAGGGAAGTTCTCAGTCCCACTGTTGCACGCCCCGACCCCGGCTCCCCCGGCCCAGGAGCGCCTGTGGGGCAGAAGGCCCAGCCACAAGACTTCCCGGGCCCTGCCAGCCTCAGGCTTCACCCACCCTCGCGCCAACTGTGGGCAGAGCCCAGGGGGAGGGCAGGAGAGCCAGCGCCTGGCTGGGAACACCCCTGAGGGGCCGAGGCTCCAGGGCGAGGGGGCCCGACCTGGGGTTCACACGCCCGGGTGGCGGGCAGACCCGCTGCAGCATGAGACACGTGTCAGATACCTCGGGCCGGCAGGCTGGCCCTGCTGCCCACAGCCCTGGGACGTGGCCCCACCTGTGACAGGGGTGTGGAGGGGCAGCCTCCAGGCCTGGCCACACCCTCTGCTGTTGCTGCTCCTGCTCCAGGATTGGCAAGGGTGCTGGGAAGGGGTGAAGACCCGTACTGTGGCCACACACCTGGGACTTCCTTCTCCACCCAGTGGTGCCCCAGCAGCCGCTAAGGAGCCCGCTGGGTCCCACGCTAGGATGGTCCTAACTCCTCCTGCCTTCCAGATCGGACGCTCGGCGCTGGGGGCCCCTTGTGTCCCGGGGCTGGGGCACCGTCCTGCCCCCCATGGGGGTGTACTTCTCCCAACAAGCTTGGCTTCAGCTTCCCTGGGAGCACATCCTGGCCCTCGGGCACCCATCAGGCTGTCCCTGTGCACCTGGCTCCCACCCTTCCAGCTTATAGCAGGAACTGGGGTGAGGAGTGCGTGGGGCAGCAAGGGCTTGGGACCCCAGAGGACCCTGCACTCTGCTCTGTGCTCTTGCCTGGGCTTAGGGCCGCTCGGTGGTCCTGCTGCCAGATGCCTGGGCCCTGCTGTGTCCCCCATCCTTGCAGGGAACCAGAACGTGGGGGCAGGGCATCAGACAGCGGCGATGATGTCACCTGGCGGGTGCAGAGGAAGCCCGAGGGGCGGGGTGGGGGGGCTGGCGCGAGGCTGCCTGGCTAGGCCTTGGCGTTCCCCCAGAACGGCGATGGCAAAAGCAGATGCAGACGTGGAAAAGTACGGGAGCAAGCGGGGTGAGGACTCCACGGGGATCCCTGTACTGGTCCCTGTCCCTGAAGCCCACACCTGAGTCCTGCCCAGGGCAGATGCTTCCACACCCAGGGGGCACCTGAGTCCTACCCAGGGCAGACGCTTCCACACCCTGGGGGCTGGGGGACTGCACCTGGCTCCTGTCTGGGCCCCAGCTTCATTCCACTGCCCTGGGCCCTGGGAGCTCGGCCGAGCGGGGTCCCCAAGACCTTGCTGCATTTGTGGGCCTTGGGCTGGGGTGAGGGCCGGGAGAAGGAGCCAGCCTGGAGCCTGGCACGCAGGGAGTGCATGGCCAGAACCGGTGACAGGCGGGGCTGCCTGCTGGCATGGAAGAAGTGTCCATGGCACCCCCAGGCCTGGTTCACAGTGGGATGGGTGGGGAGCGGGGGGGCTCTGGGGTCCTCGGCTGACCTGCCCCCACCCCTGCCCTGGCTTGTCAGCTCCCAGCAGCAGCCACTCTTGATGGATTTTCCAGAAAATGAGGTGTGGCCAAACATCTTCAGGCTTTTCCTTCTTTCCTTTCTCCCGTGGCCTGGGTGGGAGCTGCTCCCCATGCCTGTGCCCCTCCCCGGGGCAGTTTCACAGCTGTGTCCCTTCCAGGGGGCCTGCCTGTGTTCACCGTGGCCTCTGCAGCACCTCTCGCCCCTTAGGGCTGCTGCGCCTCAGGTCCTGGTGCCTCATTCTCCCTAAAGCATTGGTTCTGCTGCCGCCGCAGCCGCTGAAAAGTCCCTCCTCAGGTCTAACTGCAGTTCCTTACAGCACAGTGTTCCCCCTCGGGCATGGTGCTTGGGCAGCGGGTGTGAGTCCAGCTGCCTCACCCTGTCTCGTGAATGGCCTCTTGCTGGTCTCCCAGCCGCCACCCTGTCCCACCCCACGGCGGGGATGGTGTGGATGCCTAGCAGCGTGGCTGTGGGCCCACCCATCCTTATGGGCAGTGGGGAGCACCTCAGCCTGTGTCCCTACCTTGGTGTAGAGGAGGGGACGGCAGAGAAGCAGGGTTCAGTTAGGGGGGAAGCGGTGGCCCTGCCGGAGGGGCCGTTCCCTGTGTGCCTGGCCCCCAGATCCTCTCCCCTCCCGGAGCCCAGGGCACAGGCATAGGCTCTCTGAGTGTCCCACAGCCCCTGGGGGAAGGGAACTGCACCCCCAACCGTGCCCTCCATCCGCAGATGGAACGAGAAGCTCCGGGAGCCAGTGCCCAGCGTCTCATCTGTCTGGGCGCCCAGCCCAGGTGAGGGCTCGGCTCCACCGTCCGTGGCTGGGGCTGCTTCCTGGCACGGAGAAGGCCTCGGCTGCTCTGTCCCCTCAGCTGGGGTGGCCTCTGGTCCCCTTCTTTGTTGGTTCCCTTTTCAAGCCCTTGCCCTGGCCCCGGGCCCCACCAGGCAGCCTGTGTGTGCGTCTCTCCTGCGCCGGGTAGGCTGCTGCGGGAGCGGAGCTCCGGTGGGAGGAGCAGGGCTGGCTGGAGGCTGGCAGGGCTGGGCGGGTGCTCAGGGCTGGAGGCCGGCAGGGGCTGGGCGGGTGCTCAGGGATGGAGGGTGGCAGGGACTGGCAGGGGCTGGGCGGGTGCTCAGGGATGGAGGCCGGTAGGGGCTGGGCGGGTGCTCAGGGATGGAGGCCACCCCGGCTTGGGCCTGGCTGCCGGGTGGTCATTGCTGGGAAGAGCAAGTCTAGGCAGAGGCACCTGCTGGGTCACTCGTGGGGAGGGTGACACCTGGGGAAGTAGAGGCCCGTGGCAGGAGGTGAGGTCTCGGGGTCCTGGGGAGCAGGGGGGTGGTGTGCAGACCTGCGGAGCCACAGTCCCTGTGCCAGGAGCACTACTGGGAGTGCGTGGGACCAGGAGGGGTGCCCAGGGTGGGCGGCAGGGTGACCCCCGAGGTGCTTGAGGCCGAGGGGAGGTGGAGTTCTCGGTTTGCCCCAGCTCTCTGGCTTCTCACCTCCACATCACCAGCTCCAGGACCTGGTTTGTAACTCGGGCAGCTCTGAAAAGAGAGACATGCTGCCGCCCTTTGGTTTCTGTTGCCTTTTCTTCACTGACTGCTGACATGGGATGTCTTTCCCATGGCTGTGACCAATTGTGCTTCTTTTAATTGCCTGGTTTTTCTTTTTTTGTTTTTGGAGTTTTCTCTTTCTTTCCTCCCTCCCTCTCGCCCTCCGTCCTTTTTCTTTTTTTTTTTTTTTTTTTTGAGATGGAGCTTCACTCTTGCAGGATGGGGTGCTGGAGTGCAGGGGCGCGATCTCAGCTCACTGCAACCTCTGCCTCCCGGGTTCAAGTGATTCTCCTGCCTAAGCCTCCTGAGTAGCTGGAATTACAGGTGCTTGCCACCACGCCCAACTAATTCTGTAGTTTTGGTAGAGACAGGGTGTCTCCGTGTTGGTCAGTCTGGTCTTGAACTCCTGACCTCAGGTGATCCGCCCGCCTCAGCCTCCCAAAGTGCTGGGATTACAGGCAGGAGCCATTGCACCCGGCTCTTTCCCCTTCTCCTTTTCTTCTCTCTCTCCTCCCTTTCTTTTCTTTTTTTTTTTTTTTTTTTTTTTGAGATGGAGTCTCGCTATGTCACCAGGCTGGATTGCAGTGGCGTGATCTTGGCTCACTGCAACCTTCGCCTCCCGGGTTCACGTGATTCTCCTGCCTCAGCCTCCAGAGTGGCTGGCACTAACAGGCTCCCGCCACCACGCCCACCTAATTTTTGCATTTTTAGTAGAGATGGGGTTTCACCCTGTTGGCCAGGATGGTCTCGATCTCTTGATCTCATAATCCACCCACCTTGGCCTCCCAAAGTTCTGGGATTACAGGAGTGAGCCACCGTGCCCAGCCATCTTTCTTTTCTTGCTTTCTCTTTCTTTTCTTTCGAGACCGGGTCTTGCTCTGTCGCCCAGGCTGGACTGCAGTGGCACAGTCATAGCTCACTGCAGCCTCGACCTCCCTGGCTCAAGCGATCCTTCTTCCTCAGCCCCCCGAGTAGTTGGAACTACAGCTCCACACCACCATGCCTGGCTGATTCTTTTTTTCCTTGTAGAGATGGGGTCTTGCTATGCTGTCCATCCTGGTCTCAAACTCCTGGCCTTCCCAAAGCACTGGGATTACAGGCATAAGCCACCACAGCCAGTTTCCTTTTCTTCTTTTTAACTGGAATAGTTGACTTTTTCTTTATTAGCTGTGTGTCAGGAGGGTATTTTTGGCCTTTAGTATGTCGTCTAAGTTGCTAGTGCTTTTCTGAGATTGTAGTTTGTTTTCTAATTTTATTTATATTTTGCGTAGAAGTTGTGTATTTTAGATGGAGTTAGGTCGGCTGGTCTTTGATGTTTTATTTATTAATTATGTATGTATTTATTTATTTTTGAGGTAGAGTCTCGCCGTTTCACCCCAGCTGGAGTACAGTGATGCGATCTCAGCTCCCTGTAGCCTTGACCTCTCTGGGCTCAAGTGATTTTTCTCTCCTCTACCTCCCGAGTACTTGGGACCCCAGGCGCATGCCGCCATGCCTGGCTAATGTGTATTTTTTTGTAGATACGGGGTCTCACTGTGTTGCCCAGGGTGGTTTCAAAATCCTGGGCTCAGGCGATCCTTCCGTCTCAGCTCCCACGGTGCTGTGTTACCGGCGTGTGCCCCAGTGCCTGGCCGTCTTGGAGGTCTTGTTTCTCTGGGTTTATGCCTCAAGGTGGCGCCTGCTCCCCTGTGCTCCCTGGTAGCCTGGTAGTGAGCCTGCTTCTCACACAGTCATACCTGGTTGTGGTCCCACAGTGGGACCACCCTGTTGGGTTCAGAACAGGAGATGGGGGCCCCTCGAGTCTGTGTGGGGGCTGTGGACAGGGTTGGGAGACCTTGGCTCTGTGGGGGACTGTGGACAGGGGATGGGGGGCCTTGGCCCTGCGTGGGATGGGTTGGGGGTCCGTGCCCTTCCTGGCCCTGGGTGGACAGGTCCAGGTGGCACTCGGCATAGGGCTGAGATGGGTGCAGAGGGCTGAGGCCCCCAGGCCTCTCCCGGCTTGGTTTCCCCAGATGAGTGTTCATTTGGGTCTTCCATCAGAAAGGCCCCTCCTGACCTCTGGGAGTGGGGAGCTCAAGGGTGGGAGGCCATAGCTTGGGGATGCTGGCAATGTGTGGGATGGGCCCAGGGATGGCCTCTGGCCTACTAAGGGCTCTGGCCCTGACCCACGGCCACTCACTCCTCAGAGACGTCTCCCACAACCTGCTCCGGGCGCTGGACGTTGGGCTCCTGGCGAACCTCTCGGCGCTGGCAGAGCTGTGAGTGTCCCCCAGTCGTGCCAGCATGCGGGGCTCACTCCGGGTGGGCTGGCGGCACCGCCTCTTGCTGCTCAGCTGTGGGGGCTTCCGTCAGCTTTGCCGAATCCCCCCTCTCTTCCAGGGATATAAGCAACAACAAGATTTCTACGTTAGAAGAAGGAATATTTGCTAATTTATTTAATTTAAGTGAAATGTAAGTTGTGGTTCTTTGGGTGGGGTCCTGGCTGGACCCCAGGCCCCCAGTATCCCTTCTGCCCTCCCAGTTGGTCTGTGTCCCCTTCCAGGCTTGAGACCAGATCCTGGGGGCAGTTCACTACCTGCTTGGAGCCCCCCAGTGCCGGCTTGGTTGGGGCAGGGGAGGCGGTGCTGTCAGGGTGGCTCCAGGGCCTGGTTGCCAGTGGGGGGCTGGCATAGACCCTTCCCACCAGACCTGGTCCCCAACACCTGCCCCTGCCCCGCAGAAACCTGAGTGGGAACCCGTTTGAGTGTGACTGTGGCCTGGCGTGGCTGCCGCGATGGGCGGAGGAGCAGCAGGTGCGGGTGGTGCAGCCCGAGGCAGCCACGTGTGCTGGGCCTGACTCCCTGGCTGGCCAGCCTCTGCTTGGCATCCCCTTGCTGGACAGTGGCTGTGGTGAGTGCCGGTGGGTGGGGCCAGCTCTGTCCTTCCCAGCCAGGTGGGACCTGGGCCCTGCAGACACTGGGCAGGGCTCAGGAAGGCCTCTCTGGGGGGGGGCTCCGGGCCAAGGGAACAGCATGGGAGCCTGTGAGTGCGGCGGGCGGATGGGGGTGTGTGGGGTGGAGCCAGGAGGAGCAGAACCCGGGGTCCAGTGGCTGCCTCTTCTAGGTGAGGAGTATGTCGCCTGCCTCCCTGACAACAGCTCAGGCACCGTGGCAGCAGTGTCCTTTTCAGCTGCCCACGAAGGCCTGCTTCAGCCAGAGGCCTGCAGCGCCTTCTGCTTCTCCACCGGCCAGGGCCTCGCAGCCCTCTCGGAGCAGGGCTGGTGCCTGTGTGGGGCGGCCCAGCCCTCTAGTGCCTCCTTCGCCTGCCTGTCCCTCTGCTCCGGCCCCCCGCCGCCTCCTGCCCCCACCTGTAGGGGCCCCACCCTCCTCCAGCACGTCTTCCCTGCCTCCCCAGGGGCCCCCCTGGTGGGGCCCCACGGACCCCTGGCCTCCGGCCAGCTAGCAGCCTTCCACATCGCTGCCCCGCTCCCTGTCACTGCCACACGCTGGGACTTCGGAGACGGCTCCCCCGAGGTGGATGCCGCTGGGCCGGCTGCCTCGCATCGCTATGTGCTGCCTGGGCGCTATCACGTGACGGCCGTGCTGGCCCTGGGGGCCGGCTCAGCCCTGCTGGGGACAGACGTGCAGGTGGAAGCGGCACCTGCCGCCCTGGAGCTCGTGTGCCCGTCCTCGGTGCAGAGTGACGAGAGCCTCGACCTCAGCATCCAGAACCGCGGTGGTTCAGGCCTGGAGGCTGCCTACAGCATCGTGGCCCTGGGCGAGGAGCCGGCCCGAGGTGAGTGTCTGCTGCCCACTCCCCTTCCTCCCCAGGGCCATCCAGATGGGGCAGAGCCTGGTACCCCCGTCTTGGGCCCACACTGACCGTTGACACCCTCATTCCCACCGGTCTCCAGCGGTGCACCCGCTCTGCCCCTCGGACACGGAGATCTTCTCTGGCAACGGGCACTGCTACCGCCTGGTGGTGGAGAAGGCGGCCTGGCTGCAGGCGCAGGAGCAGTGTCGGGCCTGGGCCGGGGCCGCCCTGGCAATGGTGGACAGTCCCGCCGTGCAGCGCTTCCTGGTCTCCCGGGTCACCAGGTGCCTGCCCCCACCCCCCGAGGGGCCATAGGTTGGGAGATCTCTGAAGCAGTGGGGCAGAGCCTGCGGCTGGGGAGTCTCAGGAGGAGGGAGGTGGGAGCTGGGCCGGCCCTGGTGAGCAGGTGGCGCCGGCCGGTGGGGCCGTTCCTGTCAGCTCTGCAGATGCAGAGGTGGACGCGAGCTGGGGGCAGCCTCCGGACACTCCTGGGCACGCCATACGGGAGGTGGCCTGCGCGGGGATCCCTGCCGGTGCCCACAGGCCCCGTGGGTGGGTGCTGCTGTGAGCCTGGGGTGGTGGGCCCTGCTCTCCAGGCTCTGAGCCTCAGTTTCCCCATCTGGAAAGGGGGACAGTGATGGGGCTCCCAGCGGGCTGCTGTGAGGGTGGGAGGATGGAGGAGTGCCCTGAGCCCCCTGGCATCCCACACCCGCCCCCAGGAGCCTAGACGTGTGGATCGGCTTCTCGACTGTGCAGCGGGTGGAGGTGGGCCCAGCGCCGCAGGGCGAGGCCTTCAGCCTGGAGAGCTGCCAGAACTGGCTGCCCGGGGAGCCACACCCAGCCACAGCCGAGCACTGCATCTGGCTCGGGCCCACCAGCCGGGGTGCCCGGCGCGTGTGGCCCTGCCCGGCGTGGACGTGAGCCGGCCTCAGCTGGTGCTGCCGCGGCTGGCGCTGCCTGTGGGGCACTACTGCTTTGTGTTTGTCGTGTCATTTGGGGACACGCCACTGGCACGGAGCATCCAGGCCAATGTGACGGTGGCCCCTGAGCGCCTGGTGCCCATCACTGAGGGTGGCTCATACCGCGTGTGGTCAGACACACAGGACCTGGTGCTGGATGGGAGCGAGTCCTACGACCCCAACCTGGAGGATGGCGACCAGACGCCGCTCAGTTTCCAGTGGGCCTGTGTGGCTTCGACACAGGTCAGTGCGTGGCAGGGCCGTCCTCCATGCCCCTCACCCGTCCACACCCATGAGCCCAGAGAACACCCAGCTTGCCACCAGGGCTGGCCCGTCCTCAGTGCCTGGTGGGCCCCGTCCCAGCATGGGGAGGGGGTCTCCCGCGCTGTCTCCTGGGCCGGGCTCTGCTTTAAAACTGGATGGGGTTCTCGGGCCACGTCGCCCCTTGTTCTCGGCCTGCAGAGGGAGGCTGGCGGGTGTGCGCTGAACTTTGGGCCCCGCGGGAGCAGCACGGTCACCATTCCACGGGAACGGCTGGCGGCTGGCGTGGAGTACACCTTCAGCCTCACCGTGTGGAAGGCCGGCCGCAAGGAGGAGGCCACCAACCAGACGGTGGGTGCCGCCCGCCCCTCGGCCACTTGCCTTGGACAGCCCAACCTCCCTGCTCATCTACTGTTTTCCGTGTTTTAGTGCTGGTGGAGGCCGCGCGCTCTTCCCTCTCTGTTTCTGATGCAAATTCTACGTAACACGACAGCCTGCTTCAGCTTTGCTTCCTTCCAAACCTGCCACAGTTCCACATACAGTCTTCAAGCCACATATGCTCTAGTGACAAAAGCTACACAGTCCCCCAGCAATACCAACAGTGAGGAAGAGCCCCTTCCCACCCCAGAGGCAGCCACTGTCCCCAGCCCATGTCCCTGTTGCTGGATGTGGTGGGCCGGTTCTCACCCTCACGCTCCCCACTCTGGACCGGCCAGGAGGCTTGGTGACCCTGAGCCCGTGGTGGCTGCTCCTGCTGCTGTCAGGCGGGGCCTGCTGGTGCCCCAGAGTGGGTGTCTGTTCCCCAGTCCCTGCTTTCCTCAACGGGCCTGATTGGGGGTCTGCCCAGAGGGGTCGTCTGAGGGGAGGGTGTGGGAGCAGGTTCCATCCCGGCTCAGCCTCCTGACCCAGGCCCTGGCTAAGGGCTGCAGGAGTCTGTGAGTCAGGCCTACGTGGCAACTGCGGTCCTCACACCCCCACATACGTCTGTTCCCACACGCATCCCCCCAGGGGCCCTCAGTGAGCATTGCCTGCCTCCTGTCAGGGTCCAGCTGGCTCCAGTACACCAGAACGCACACCCCAGTGTCCTCTGCCCTGTGTATGCCCTTCCGCCGCCCAGGTTGGAAGGTGGCAAACCGGATGAGTATCCTGGGAGGGGGTGAGCTCACCGGCAGTGGCCAGGCCCCTGGGAAACCTGGAGTTTGGGAGCAGCATCCTCCACGGGTCCCCCAGACCTTCCAGCAGGCCAAATAGACCTGTGTTGGAGGTAACCCCACTCCCACGCCAGGTGCTGATCCGCAGTGGCCGGGTGCCCATTGTGTCCTTGGAGTGTGTGTCCTGCAAGGCACAGGCCGTGTACGAAGTGAGCCGCAGCTCCTACGTGTACCTGGAGGGCCGCTGCCTCAATTGCAGCAGCGGCTCCAAGCGAGGGGTGAGTGTTGAGCGGGGTGTGGGCGGGCTGGGGATGGGTCCCATGGCCGAGGGGACGGGGCCTGCAGGCAGAAGTGGGGCTGACAGGGCAGAGGGTTGCGCCCCCTCACCACCCCTTCTGCCTGCAGCGGTGGGCTGCACGTACGTTCAGCAACAAGACACTGGTGCTGGATGAGACCACCACATCCACGGGCAGCGCAGGCATGTGACTGGTGCTGCGGCGGGGCGTGCTGCGGGACGGCGAGGGATACACCTTCACGCTGACGGTGCTGGGCCGCTCTGGCGAGGAGGAGGGCTGCGCCTCCATCCCCCTGTCCCCCAACCGCCCGCCGCTGGGGGGCTCTTGCCGCCTCTTCCCACTGGGCGCTGTGCACGCCCTCACCACCAAGGTGCACTTCGAATGCACGGGTGAGTACAGGCCTGCTTAGGGGGAGCAGCGGGATCCCCCGACTGTGACGTCACGGAGCCCTCCCGTGATGCCATGGGGACCGTCCCTCAGGCTGGCATGACGCGGAGGATGCTGGCGCCCCGCTGGTGTACGCCCTGCTGCTGCAGCGCTGTCGCCAGGGCCACTGCGAGGAGTTCTGTGTCTACAAGGGCAGCCTCTCCGGCTACGGAGCCGTGCTGCCCCCGGGTTTCAGGCCACACTTCGAGGTGGGCCTGGCCGTGGTGGTGCAGGACCAGCTGGGAGCCGCTGTGGTCGCCCTCAACAGGTGAGCCAGGCCGTGGGAGGGCGCCCCCGAGACTGCCACCTGCTCACCACCCCCCTCTGCTCGTAGGTCTCTGGCCATCACCCTCCCAGAGCCCAACGGCAGCGCAATGGGGCTCACAGTCTGGCTGCACGGGCTCACCGCTAGTGTGCTCCCGGGGCTGCTGCGGCAGGCCGATCCCCAGCACGTCATCGAGTACTCGCTGGCCCTGGTCACCGTCCTGAACGAGGTGAGTGCAGCCTGGCAGGGGACCTCACATCTGCTGCATGCGTGCTGGGGACCAAGACCTGTACCCCTGCCTGGAGCTTTGCGGAGGGCTTATCCCGGGCCCCAGAGATAAATCCCAGTGACCCTGAAGCAGCACCCCGACGTTCCGCTCCCAGCAGCCACACCCACCGGGCCCTCTCCGGCGTCTGCTTTCCACAATGCAGCCCCCGCCCAGGAGGGCCCATGTGCTTACCCTGTTTTGCCCATGAAGAAACAGCTCAGTGTTGCGGGTCAATGCCCACATCACACAGCATCTAGCACGTAACTGCACCCCGGGAGTCGTGGGCATCTGCTGGCCTCCTGCCGGTCTCCTGCCCTGCTGACAGCTTGCTGTGCCGCCTGCCTGCCCCAGTACGAGCGGGCCCTGGACGTGGCGGCAGAGCCCAAGCACGAGCGGCAGCGCCGAGCCCAGATACGCAAGAACATCACGGAGACTCTGGTGTCCCTGAGGGTCCACACTGTGGATGACATCCAGCAGATCGCTGCTGCGCTGGCCCAGTGCATGGTAGGATGGCCCCACATGCTCACCCCGCCCCGCATGCCTGCCAGGGTACTGGGTTCAGCCCCCCAGGGCAGACGGGCAGCTTGGCCGAGGAGCTGAGCCTCCAGCCTGGGCTCCTTCATGCCATGGCGTTCCTCGGTCTCTGACCTGCTTCAGTAGCCTCAGCCTTTCTGCTGTCCTGTGTGAACGCAGGGTGCCTCTCGGGGGACCCAGGGTGTAAAGAGGGGCCCAGATGTGGGGAGGGACTAAGAAGATGCTGTTCTGTGCCTTCCACTCTCCCCTCCCCTCCCCCTTCCCTCCCCTAGCCCCTCCCCTGCCCCTTCCCTCCCCTAACCCCTCCCCTCCCCCTCCCTCCCCTTGCCCCTCCCCCCTCCCCTAGCCCCTGCCCCCTCCCCTCCCCTCCGCTAGCCCTTCTCCTCCTCCCCTCCCCTAGACCTTCCCCTCACTTCCTCCCGCTGAGCCCCTCCACTCCTCCCCCAGCCCCTCCCTCCCCTAGCCCCTCCCCTCCCCCTTCCTCCCCTCCCCCTTCCCATCCTTATCCCCCTCCCCCAATTCCCATTCTCCTCCCCCTCCCCCTTCCCTATTACCATCCCTTTTCTCCATCTCTCTCCCCTTTTCTCCATTTCCCCCCCGATCCTCCCCGTCCTTTTGTCCATTCCCCTCATCTTTCTTATCCCCCTTATCCTCCTTCCCCTCCCTTATCCCCTTATCCCCCTTCCCCTCCCTTATCCCCCTGCTCCTCCTCTTCTCCCCTTTCTCTTTTCTCTACCCTTTTCCTTCCTTTTTCCTCCCTCTCCCCATCATCCCCCTCATCTTCGTCCTCATCCCCATCCCCTTCCCCCTCCCCCCTCCACCACTCTCTCTCCAGCTTCCCCCTTTCTTCTGCCTGCACCTCGCTCTCTGCCCCCTCAGGTTCCCCCTTTCTCCCAGCCCCCACCCTCCGGCTCCCCCTTTTTGCCTGCCCCCACCCTCCCTCTGCCTCCCTGTCTCTGCACTGACCTCACGTCTGTCTGCAGGAGACCTCATCCACCTGGCCAGCTCAGACGTGCGGGCACCACAGCGCTCAGAGCTGGGAGCCGAGTCACCATCGCGGATGGTGGCGTCCCAGGCCTACAACCTGACCTCTGCCCTCATGCGCATCCTCACGCGCTCCCGCGTGCTCAACGAGGAGCCCCTGACACTGGCGGGCGAGGAGATCGTGGCCCAGGGCAAGCGCTCGGACCCGCGGAGCCTGCTGTGCTATGGCGGCGCCCCAGGGCCTGGCTGCCACTTCTCCATCCCCTAGGCTTTCAGCAGGGCCCCGGCTAACCTCAGTGACGTGGTGCAGCTCATCTTTCTGGTGGACTCCAATCCCTTTCCCTTTGGCTATATCAGCAACTACACCGTCTCCACCAAGGTGGCCTCGATGGCGTTCCAGACACAGGCCGGCGCCCAGATCCCCATCGAGCGGCTGGCCTCAGAGCGCGCCATCACCGTGAAGGTGCCCAACAACTCGGACTGGGCTGCCCGGGGCCACCGCAGCTCTGCCAACTCCGTTGTGGTCCAGCCCCAGGCCTCCGTCGGTGCTGTGGTCACCCTGGACAGCAGCAACCCTGCGGCCGTGCTGCATCTGCAGCTCAACTATACGCTGCTGGACGGTGCGTGCAGCGGGTGAGGCACACGCGGCCCCCTGGCCTTGTTCTTGGGGGGAAGGCGTTTCTCGTAGGGCTTCCATGGGTGTCTCTGGTGAAATTTGCTTTCTGTTTCATGGGCTGCTGGGGGCCTGGCCGGAGAGGAGCTGGGGGCCACGGAGAAGCAGGTGCCAGCTCTGGTGCAGAGGCTCCTATGGCCTTTCAGGCCCGTGGCAGAGGGTGGGCTCAGGAGGGCCATCGTGGGTGTCCCCCGGGTGGTTGAGCTTCCCAGCAGGCGTGTGACCTGCGCGTTCTGCCCCAGGCCGCTACCTGTCTGAGGAACCCGAGCCCTACCTGGCAGTCTACCTGCACTCGGAGCCCCGGCCCAATGAGCACAACTGCTCGGCTAGCAGGAGGATCCGCCCAGAGTCCCTCCAGGGTGCCGACCACCGGCCCTACACCTTCTTCATTTCCCCGGGGTGAGCTCTGCGGGCCGGCCTGGCAGGGCAGGGCAGGGCATCATGGGTCAGCATTGCCCGGGTTACAGGCCCTGTGGGGACGGCAGGCAGCGAGGGGACTGGACCGGGTATGGGCTCTGGGACTCCGATATCCAACCTGGCGGAGCCTGGGCTCACGTCCACTGCCCCTTCCCTGCCCAGGACCAGAGACCCAGTGGGGAGTTACCGTCTGAACCTCTCCAGCCACTTCCGCCTGTCGGCGCTGGAGGTGTCCGTGGGCCTGTACACGTCCCTGTGCCAGTACTTCAGCGAGGAGGACGTGGTGTGGCGGACAGAGGGGCTGCTGCCCCTGGAGGAGACCTCGCCCCGCCAGGCCGTCTGCCTCACCCGCCACCTCACCGCCTTCGGCGCCAGCCTCTTCGTGCCCCCAAGCCATGTACGCTTTGTGTTTCCTGTGAGTGACCCTGTGCTCCTGGGAGCCTCTGCAGAGTCGAGGAGGGCCTGGGTGGGCTCGGCTCTATCCTGAGAAGGCACAGCTTGCACGTGACCTCCTGGGCCCGGCGGCTGTGTCCTCACAGGAGCCGACAGCGGATGTAAACTACATCGTCATGCTGACATGTGCTGTGTGCCTGGTGACCTACATGGTCATGGCCGCCATCCTGCACAAGCTGGACCAGTTGGATGCCAGCCGGGGCCGCGCCATCCCCTTCTGTGGGCAGCGGGGCCGCTTCAAGTACGAGATCCTCGTCAAGACAGGCTGGGGCCGGGGCTCAGGTGAGGGGCGCGGCGGGGTGGCAGGGCCTCCCCTGCTCTCACTGGCTGTGCTGGTTGCACCCTCTGGGAGTGAGTCTCATCGCAGACGTCAGAACAAGGCAGTTTTTGCAGTGCTGTGTGAAGGGCTCGTGTGTTCATCCTGGGAATGACCTCGTGAGCACTCACTGTCCCTGAGGACTAGGACAGCTCCTAGCTGGAAGTAGGTGCCAGTCAGTCAGGGTGGGCAGCCCACATTCTGCACAGTAGCGTGGCCCCACAAGTGACATGAGCATCGCTACCACTGTGGGAGACCGTGCATCCACCCGCGATCCTGACTGCATAGCTCGTCTCTCAGACGGAGGCGCCAGCACCCTCCCCGTGGCTGTTTCTTCAATACCTCTATTTTCCTTTCATTGGAATTGCCCTTCTGGCATTCCCTTTTTGTTTTCGTTTTTCTTTTTTTGGAGACGGAGTCTCGCTCTGTTGCCCAGGCTGGAGTGCAGTGGCGTGATCTTGGCTCACAGCAACTTCCAGCTCCTGGGTTTAAGCGATTCCCCTTAAGCGATTCTCCTGAGTAGCTGGGAGTACAGGTGCACGCCACCACACCCAGTTAATTTTTCACCGTGTCAGCCAGGCGAACTCCTGACCTCAGGTGATCCGCCTGCCTCGGCCTGCCAGAGTGCTGGGATGACAGGTGTGAGCCACCACACCTGGCCGTGTTCCCATTTTTTATTTCCGTGCTGCTTTTATCTTCATTTCCCAGTTCTTTCTTTTGATTACCTACTTTTAAAAACTGTCGGCCGGGCGCGGTGGCTCACACCTGTAATCCGAGCACTTTGGGAGGCCGAGGCAGGCAAATCACGGGGTCAGGAGATCGAGACCATCCTGGCTAACGGTGAAACCCTGTCTCTACTAAAAAATACAAAAAAATTAGGCCGGCGTGTTGGCAGGCGCCTGTAGTCCCAGCTCCTCGGGAGACTGAGGCAGGAGAATGGCGTGAACCCGGGAGGCGGAGCTTGCAGTGAGCTGAGATTGCGCCACTGCACTCCAGCCTGGGTGACACAGCAAGACTCCATCTCAAAAAAAAAAAAAAAATACTGTCACCTGGGTCTGTCACTGGGAGAGGAGGTGACACAGCTTCACGCTTTGCAGTCTATGCATGAACTGAGGGACGGGTGTGTGGTGCGGGTCACTGGTTGTGGCGTGACTGAGGCGTGGACAGGTGTGCAGTGCGGGTCACTGGTTGTGGTGTGGACTGAGGCGTGTGCAGCCATGTTTGCATGTCACAAGTTACAGTTCTTTCCATGTAACTTAATCATGTCCTTGAGGTCCTGCTGTTTATTGGACAAATTGCAGTAACCTCAGCTCCTCGTGTATGGCAGAGCCGTGCAAAGCCGGGACTGCCTGTGTGGCTCCTTGAGTGCGCGGAGGCCAAAGCTGAGATGACTTGCCTGGGATGCCACACGTGTTGGGCAGCAGACCGAGCCTCCCACCCCTCCCTCTTGCCCTCCAGGTACCACGGCCCACGTGGGCATCATGCTGTATGGGGTGGACAGCCGGAGCGGCCACCGGCACCTGGATGGCGACAGAGCCTTCCACCGCAACAGCCTGGACATCTTCCGGATCGCCACCCCGCACAGCCTGGGTAGCGTGTGGAAGATCCGAGTGTGGCACGACAAAGGTCTGTGCGGACCCTGCCAAGCTCTGCCCCTCTGCCCCCGCGTTGGGGCGCCCTGCGAGCCTGACCTCCCTCCCGCGCCTCTGCAGGGCTCAGCCCTGCCTGGTTCCTGCAGCACGTCATCATCAGGGACCTGCAGACGGCACACAGCACCTTCTTCCTGGTCAATGACTGGCTTTCGGTGGAGACGGAGGCCAACGGGGGCCTGGTGGAGAAGGAGGTGCTGGCCGCGAGTAAGGCCTCGTTCCATGTTCCCACTCCGTGGGAGGTTGGGCAGGGTGGTCCTGCCCCGTGGCCTCCTGCAGTGCGGCCCTCCCTGCCTTCTAGGTCACGCAGCCCTGTTGCGCTTCCGGCGCCTGCTGGTGGCTGAGCTGCAGTGCGGCTTCTTTGACAAGCACATCTGGCTCTCCATATGGGACCGGCCGCCTCGTAGCTGTTTCACTCGCATCCAGAGGGCCACCTGCTGCGTTCTCCTCATCTGCCTCTTCCTGGGCGCCAACGCCGTGTGGTACGGGGCTGTTGGTGACTCTGCCTACAGGTGGGTGCCGTAGGGGTCGGGACAGCCTCTTCCTGCCCAGCCCTTCCTGCCCCTCAGCCTCACCTGTGTGGCCTCCTCTCCTCCACACAGCACGGGGCATGTGTCCAGGCTGAGCCCGCTGAGCGTCGACACAGTCGCTGTTGGCCTGGTGTCCAGCGTGGTTGTCTATCCCGTCTACCTGGCCATCCTCTTTCTCTTCTGGATGTCCCGGAGCAAGGTGGGCTGGGGCTGGGGACCGGGGAGTACTGGGAATGGAGCCTGGGCCTCGGCACCATGCCCAGAGCCGCCACTTTCCAGTGCTGCAGCCAGAGGGAAAGGCGTCCACCAAAGGCTGCTCGGGAAGGGTCAACACACTTGAGCAGCCTTAGCTAGACTGACCAGGGAGAAAGAGAGAAGACTCAGAAGCCAGAATCGTGAAAGAACGAGGGCACTTCGCTAAGCAGACGCCACGGACAACTGCACAGCAGCACGCCAGATAACTCAGAAGAAGCAAGCACGCGGCTGTGCACGCTTCCGAAATGCACTCCAGAAGAAAATCTCAGTACGTCTATAGCAAGTGAAGAGGCCGAGTTAGTCCCTTAGAAACCTCCCAGTGGCCGGGCCGGGTGTGGTGGCTCACGCCTATAATCCCAACACTTCAGGAGGCCGAGGTGGGCGGATCTGAGTCCAGGAGTTTGAGACCAGCCTGGGCAACATAGCAAGACCACATCTATATAAAACATTAAAAAGGACCAGGCACGGTGGCTCACGCCTGTAATCCCAACACTTTGGGAGGCCGAGGCGGGCAGATCAGTTGAGGTCAGGAGTTCGAGACCAGCCTGGCCAACACAATGAAACCCCGTCTCTACTACAAATACAAAAACTTAGCTGGGCATGGTGGCGGGCGCCTGTAGTCCCAGCTACTCGAGAGGCTGAGGCAGGAGAATGGCATGAACCCAGGAGGCGGAGCTTGCAGTGAGCCGAGATTGCGCCACTGCACTCCAGCCTGGGCAACGGAGCAAGACTCCATCTCCAAAAAAAAAAAAAAAAAATCCCACAAAGAAAAGCTCAGGCTCAGAGCCTTCACGATAGAATTTTTCTAAGCAGTTAAGGAAGAATTAACACCAATCCTTCACAGACTCTTTCCAAGAATACAGCAGGTGGGAACTCTTCCCATTCATACGGAAACGGGAGGCCGCACCCCTTAGGAATGCACACGTGGGGTCCTCAAGAGGTTACATGCAAACTAACCCCAGCAGCACACAGAGAAGGCGCATAAGCCGCGACCAGGAGGGGTTGCTCCCGAGTCCGTGGCAGGAACCAGAGGCCACATGTGGCTGCTCGTATTTAAGTTAATTAAAATGGAACGATGGCCGGGTGTGGTGGCTCACACCTGTAATCCCAGCACTTTGGGAGGCGGAGGCGGGCAGATCACTTGAGGTCAGGAGTTCCAAGACCAGCCTGGCCAACACAGTGAAACCCCGTCTCTACTAAAAATACAAAAAATCAGCTGGGCATCGTGGCAGGCACCTGTAATCCCAGCTACTCAGGAGGCTGAGCCAGGACAATCGCCTGAACGCGGGAGGTGGAGGTTGCAGTGAGCTGAGATTGCGCCAGTGCACTCCAGCCTGGGTGACAGAGCGAGACTCCATCTAAGAAAAAAAAAAATGAAATTGAAAACTCTGTTCCTTAGCTGCACCAGTCTGCTGTCAAGTGTTCAGTGGCACACGTCGCGAGGGGCTGCCATCACGGACGGTGCAGATGTCCCATATATCCAGCATTCTAGGACATTCTGTCAGATGGCACCGGGCTCTGTCCTGTCTGCTGAGGAGGTGGCTTCTCATCCAGGTCCTGAGCAGGTCTGAGCTGCCGCCCGCTGACCACTGCTGTCGTCCTGCAGGTGGCTGGGAGCCCGAGCCCCACACCTGCCGGGCAGCAGGTGCTGGACATCGACAGCTGCCTGGACTCGTCCGTGCTGGACAGCTCCTTCCTCACGTTCTCAGGCCTCCACGCTGAGGTGAGGGCTCTACTGGGGGTCCTGGGCTGGGCTGGGGGTCCTGCCGCCTTGGCGCAGCTTGGACTCCAGACACTGTGCACCTCTCAGCAGGCCTTTGCTGGACAGGTGAAGAGTGACTTGTTTCTGGATGATTCTAAGAGGTGGGTTCCCCTAGAGAAACCTCGAGCCCTGGTGCAGGTCACTGTGTCTGGAGTACCGGGGGTGTGCGGGCTGCGTGTCCTTGCTGGGTGTCTGTGGCTCCATGTGGTCACACCACGTGGGAGCAGGTTTGCTCGGAAGCCCAGGGTGTCCGTGCGTGACTGGACGGGGGTGGGCTGTGTGTGTGACACATCCCCTGGTACCTTGCTGACCCGCGCCACCTGCAGTCTGGTGTGCTGGCCCTCCAGCGAGGGAACGCCCAGTTGGCCGGACCTGCTCAGTGACCCGTCCATTGTGGGTAGCAATCTGCGGCACAACCCCCACTTACTGGGTCTCTCCTTTTACAACCAACACAACCGAAATCTAGGGCTTCTTTTTTTTTTTTTTTTTTTTTTTTTTTTGAGACAGAGTCTCATTCCATTCTGTCACCCAGGCTGGAGTGCAATGGTACGATCTCGGCTCACTGCAACCTCCGCCTCCCGGGTTCAAGGGATTGTCCTGCCTCAGCCTCCTGAGTAGCTGGGGTTACAGGCGTGTGCCACCATGCCTGGCTAATTTTTGTATTTTTGGTAGAGACGGGGTTTCAGCATGTTGGTGAGGCTGGTCTCGAACTCCTAACCTCGTGATCCGCCTGCCTCAGCCTCCCAAAGTGCTGGGATTACAGGCGTGAGCCACCATGCCCAGCCAAATCTAGGGCTGGAACATGGCTGCAGCATATAAAAAGAATTGAATTCCATACTTTTGTTAACCCTGTTTTTTGTTTGTAGTTGTTGCTGTTTTTGAGACAGAGTCTCGCTCTGTCGCCTAGGCTGGAGTGCAGTGGTGCAATCTCGGCTCACTGCAGACTCTGCCTCCCGGGTTCAAACTGTTCTCCTGCCTCAGCCTCCCAAGTAGGTGGGACTACAGGCGCCCACCACCGCACCCGGCTAATTTTTGTATTTTATTAGACACAGGGTTTCACCATATTGGCCAGGCTGGTCTGGAACTCCTGACCTTGTGATCCGCCCACCTCGGCCTCCCAAAGTGCTGGGATTACAGGCGTGAGCCACCACCCCCAGCCCCTGTTTTGTTTTTGTTTTGCTTGTTTCTTAGGGTTGTTTTTCTATTTATGGTAAAGGCATTGGCTTTCTATTTGTAGCATCAATAGAATATTTCCTGTTTACAATAACCTTATGTCATAGTAAATGGTAAAGGGATTTAAAGCAGTGGTTTTCAGCTGCCAGAGGCCTGAGAGAGTTTGGGCACACTCTGTGTGATTGGGCAGAAGGCCTGTGGGAAGTTTAGCTGAGGACAGGGCCAGGAAAGGTGATGGACAGTGGGGGTCTGTCCTGGTCACCAGGCCCCTGGGTCCTGCCCACCTGCTTGGAGCTCCCCACCCATCACACATGATGCGGCCAAGCCCTCTGGGTATTGTGGGCAAACACCTTAGGAGAGAAGCTGATGAACTTTGTTTCTTGAAATGCATAGATTCCTTGGACGTCCCTGAGAGGCCAGTCATGAAAGTCAGCTTGGTTTTCTCCCCCTCATTTGGGTTCAGAATTTAAAGTCCACACACACGGGCAGTAAGATGATATAGATAAGGACATCATCACTCGGTTTCGGATGTTAAAATGTCTAGGTGGGTTAGGGGTGATTTGAGATCACACAACCTTGTGCCACAAAGAGGAATTCCCAGGCCAGAGGGAGACATTTTATTGCCATGTTATGATCTCATCATTGAGTTGAAAGGCAATCTTGTTTCATTTTGGATTCTTTCTTATGTTTATGTCTTATAAGGGCACTTTGAATTTCCAAGCAAATAATAATTTTGAATTAGCTTTTAATCATTGACTTCTAGCACAGTTATATGATCAGAAACATGCTGTGTGATTTGATTGCTCTCAAATATATTGAGATTTGCTGGAACAAAATAAGTCAGGTTAATTTTTGTAAATGTACCATGCATGCTTAAAATGAATGTATGTACATTTGTTCCTGAGATACAGGTTGATGGACGGATGGCTACATGGATGTGATGGAGATGGTTTACTATCGGGACCTTCCGCATCCTGCTGATGTTTTGTTGCTTAGGATATGAATGGCTGAGCGGAGGCTGTAAAACCTGGCACTCTGCTTGGGTATGAGGTTCTTCCTGCCATCCTGCCATCATTTGTTTTTTATGTTTTGTCACCAAAAGTGACCTTGAGGAACCCTGGGAGCTCAGGAAGGAAGGAGCGCCCAGAAGCAGGGACAGGGAGCTGGTTGGGGTGGACCAGAAATCAGGTTTGTGAAGGTTCCAGAGAGGACCTGGTCTTGGGAGGAGCGTGGGGGACTGAGATGGGGGAGGGGTCATTGGGATGATGCGGGCGCTACTTGGAATGTCCATTGTGAGGCACCACCGGGGTCATCAGGGATTGGTGGAGAGAGAGTCTAAAGCCCCAGGGTTGCTAAGGGAGGGCCCAGACCGAAGAAGGTTTGGTGGAAAGCAGAACCTTTGTCTCCCTCTAATTGCTCCTAAGCCTCACGCTCCCTTGCCCCGCGTGTCCTGTTGCTTCCCTGATCTTCTCCGTGACCTGTAGCTAAACCTTCCACCAGCGCTTGAGAACTTAATTTGAACCGGATCCTTTCCCAGACCCCTTTCTTCTTCTCCTCCTCCTCCTCCACCTCCTCCAGGTACCCAACAGCCCCCTTCTCCTTTCCCTTCCCTTACTCCCCCCTTCCCCTCCCCTTCCCCTCCCCTTCCCCTCCCCCTCCCCAACTCAGATCCCGCCCAGTCCCCGTCCCCTTCCCTCCCCCCTGCCCTAAGCCACCTCCACCTCTGTCCTGGCCACCTCCGGGCGCCCTGAAAGGACCAGGACATGCGGGTGCGGTGGCTGCTCTTTTGGCTTCTCTTTTGGCTCCTGCTGGGATTTATCAGCCATCAGTCCACCTGTGTGAGTAGATGGGTGCTGTGGCTGCTCTTTCGGCTCCTGCTGGGATTTATCAGCCATCAGTCCACCTGTGTGAGTAGACGCTGGACCCGCGGGGTTTCTTCCTTTTTACTGGGCTGTGTCACGCGGCATGAAATTACACAGCTCAGGCCTGTAATCCCAGCACTTTAGGGGGCCGAGGTGGGCAGATCACTTGAGTCCAGGAGTTGAAGACTAGCCAGGGCATCATAGCGAAACCCCATCTCTACAAAAAATTCCAAAAAAGATTAGTCGGGCCTGGTGGTGCGTACCTGTTATCCCAGTTACTGGAGAGGCTGAGGTGGGAGGATCGCTTGGGCCCAGGAGCTGGACGTTGCAGTGAGCCGAGATGGCCCCGCTGCACTCTTGTCTCTAACAAACAAAACGGACCAAAACAAAGTGAAATGTCATTTGATTTGTGTCATCTGGTTTGATGACTTTTTTGTTTGTTTGTTTGTTTTTTAGACAGAGTCTCACTCTGTCGCCCAGGCTGGAGTGCAGTGGCAAGATCTCGGCTCACTGCAACCTCCGCTTCCGGGGTTCAAGCAATTGTCCTGCCTCAGCCTCCTGAGTAGCTCAGATTACAACGCCTGGCTAATTTTTGTATTTTTAGTAGACCACCACGCCTGGCTAATTTTTGTATTTTTAGTAGAGACTGGGTTTCACCATGTTCGCCAGGATAGTCTCCATCTCTTGACCTCGTGATCCGCCTGCCTCGGCCTCCCAGTGCTGGGATTACAGGCGTGAGCCACCGCGCCTGGCCAAAATATATAACCTTAAGTGTAAGTTTACTAACTTTGGAAAGTACATACACCAGCATAAACCAACCCCCTTTCAAGATCTACATTATTTTATTTATTTATTTATTTATTTGAGACAGTTTCTCCCTTGTTGCTGAGGCTGGAGTGCAATGGGCCAATATCAGCTCACCGCAACCTCTGCTTCCCAGGTTCGAGCGATTCTCCTGCCTCAGCCTCCCGAGTGGCTGGGATTACAGACATGTGCCACCACTCCCAGCTAATTTTGTATTTTTAGTAGAGATAGGGTTTCTCCATGTTGGTCAGGCTGGTTTTGAACTCCCGACCTCAGGTGATCCGCCCGCCTCGGCCTCCCAAAGTGTTGGGATTACAGGCGTGAACCACCGTGCCCAGCCAAGATCTACACTATTATGTCACCCCAGAAAGTGAACTCTCACTCTTCCCAGCCAGTCTCTTTCTTATCATAGGTTAGCTTGCTTATTCTGGAATTTCACGTATACAGATGCATGCCATGCCATAGGTACTCTTTTGTGTCTGCTTTGTTCTGCTCAACACCATATTTCTGAAATCATTACCATTGTTGTATGGTTCTCTAACTCCATCATTTCCATTTCAGACTCAGCATATGCTGAGTTCAACCTGTTGAAGGGCTATCTCTGTTTAATTCACCATCTTGAAAGAAACATTTAAAATTGAGATGTTTTCAAGAATATATAGTTAAATCCTGAGGAATCGATGTAGAAATGTTATCAGAAGCTGTCTGAACTTACTCAGGGGAAGTCTTCGTCTTCACTCACATAAGAGTCTAATGGAATTAATATCAACAATCTTAGAGAAATCCCACACTATTCATGCCATTTTCATGATCTCCACCTCGGTAATTTTTTTTTTTTTTTCTTTTTTTTGAGACAGAGTCTCGCTCTGTCACCCAGGCTGAAGTGCAGTGGTGCGATCTCGGCTCACTGCAACCTCTACCTCCCAGGTTCAAGTGATTCTTCTGCCTCAGCCTCCCAAGTAGCTGGAACTATAGGCGCGTGCCACCATGCCCTGCTAATTTTTTGTATTTTTAGTAGAGATGGGTTTCACCGTGTTAGCTAGGATGGTCTCAATCTCCTGATCTCATGGTCCACCCACCTTGGCTTCCCAAAGTGCTGGGATTGCAGGCGTGAGCCACCACGCCCGGCCCACCTTGTTAATTTTTAAGCACTAAAATTCGATACTTATTTGTGAATGAAGTAATCTCTTCATTGTATTTTTTTTTTTTTTTACTTATGCTGAGCTTTAAATGACAAAGATTCATATAATCCAAGAGAGAAGTATTATTTAGAGGGATTCTTTTACCATGTGATATATAATAAATGCATCCAATGTTATACATCAATTTAAAAAACAAGTAAATAACTAAAGAAAAGATAACTACTGGCCAGGTGCAGTGGCTCACACGTGTATTCCCAGGACTTTGGGAGGCCGAGGCAGGTGGATCATGAGGTCAGGAGTTGGAGACCAGCCTGGCCAAGATGGTGAAACCGTTTCTACTAAAAAGACAAAAATTAGCCGAGCGTGGTGGCAGGCGCCTGTAATCCCAGTTACTCAGTAGCTGAGGCAGGAGAATCGCTTGAACCCGGGAGGTGGAGGTTGCAGTGAGCTGAGATCATGCCACTGCAATCTAGCCTGGGTGACAGAGCAAGACTTTGTCTCAAAACAAAAAGAAAAGATAAGATAATTACTTTATACTTAGCTTGTCTTACCCATGAGTGACGGGCTGCATGTGGCCCAGGACAGTTTTGAATGCAGTTCAACACAAATTTGTAAACTTTCTTAAAACATTAGGAGATTTTGGCCAGGTACAGTGGCTCATGCCTGTAATCCCAGCACTTTGGGAGGCTGAGGCGGGCAGATTACCTGAGGTCAGGAGTTCGAGACCACCCTGGCTAACATGGCAAAACCCCATCTCCACAAAAAATACAAAAATTTGCTGAGTGCACTGTCAGGCACCTATACTCCCAGCTACTCAGGAGGCTGAGGCAGGAGAATCACTTGAACCTGAGAGGCAGAGGTTGCAGTGAGCCAAGAGCACACCACTGCACTCTAGCCTGGGTGACAGAGTGAGACCCCATCTCAAAAACAAACAACAAACAAAAAGAAAAAAAATGGCTGGGCACGGTGGCTCACACCTGTAATCCCAGCACTTTGGGAGGCTGAGGCAGGCAGATCGCCTGTCAGGAGTTCAAGGCCAGACTGGGCAACATGGTGAAACCTCATCTCTACTAAAAATACAAAAATTAGTCGGGCATGGTGGCAGAGACCTGTAATCTCAGCTGCTCGGGAGGCTGAGGCAGGAGAATGGCTTGAGCCCAGGAGCTGGAGGTTGCAGCGAGCCGAGATTGCACCACTGCACTCCAGCCTGGGCGACTGAGTGGAGCAGAACTCTGTCTCAAAAAAAAAAAAAACAAAAAAAATTTTTTTTTTTTAGATCATCAGCTATTGTTAGTGTTAGTGTATGTTATGTGTGGCTCAAGACAACTTTGCTTCTTTTAATATAGGCAGGGAAGTCAAAAGATTGGATATCCCTGCTTTATACCAAGAAAGACAACACCCCACATTTGCAATGCCTAAAAACACTACCAGCCATCTGAAAAACATGAGACTTCTCTAACTTCTGTTCTTTTTTGTAGCAGTGGAATCCCACGGTGATATCTGAGGGATGTGGTTACCTTTTGGAGGAGGTTGACGGTTTCTAAGGATGATTCTTTCTGAGTGAAATATTGTCAGTGTCATTGACCTTTTCATTATTTCAACTATTATTATTCCAGGTTATCAATACTCTGGCTGACCATCGTCATCGTGGGACTGACTTTGGTGGAAGTCCTTGGTTACTTATCATTACTGTGTTTCTGAGAAGTTATAAATTTGCCATCTCCCTCTGCACAACTTACCTTTGGGTGAGTATACTAACTTTCTGTAGAGGTATACTTGTAATCACAAATAAGAATAAATTATATGAAACACTTCACGTTTCTGGACTTCATTATGAATATGTGGTTTTACCCAAAAAATCAGGGAAATGATTTATTAGCATAAGAATTATGAAAATATCTGCCATTTACATTATGAAAATTAAATAGGTCGGTGTTTAATAGAATGTCAACAGAGCTTTTGGTCAAAAATAAGTTTTTTTAACCTTTGTGCTATTTGTCACAAATGGAGTATGAGGTTTCGTCACTTAAATGAGAAAGTCTTTCTAAACTATTCTGCTTTATAGTTCTATCGTATGGGTGGAAGGAAAGCTTCCAATCTCCTCTCTGAAGATTCACTGCAGAAATGAGCTGACAACAGACAGCTTAACAGGAAAAGAAAAACATAGAACAGGCATAAACATGGGAACCAGCTGAAAAATGAGACTGCTAGAAGGGCTGGATGGTTGATGCTTAAAGAGCACCCTCTTCTGAGGGGAGAGGGAGATAGATGGAGATGTAGGCCATTTAGAGGGGCAGCAAATGATTTTTAGGGGAAATGAAAGAGCCCAAGGAACAAACAGTTGGCCTGAGACAAAGTTCCTCTGAGGTCATAGGGACGAGGTGACAAACTGCCGGAAGGTGAAGGGCAGAACTGCACTGCGTCTCATGATGCAGAGAAAGCCCCAGAGAATCTCTTAGAACTGCCCTCCAAGAGAATCAATGAAAAGTGTGTCTGGGCAGGGTAATTTTGAATGACATCATTCAAAGTGCATGTTCCCACTTGCAACTGGAGAGAGATCAGTATGTCAAAAGTCTGTACTTGGTAAGAATTTGGCTGCTAAGTTGTGGCATAATTTGTCTTTTGAGCCTTTTTTCCTTTGGGTAAGTTGAGCTCTACATTTTGTCTTGCCACTCATGACAGTAAAAATGTGGTTGTGTGGGGGCTGAACCTCCTTCTGAACAATGATCCAAGATAAAAGTACTAATACCACAATGCTTTTTGATATTCAAGGGAAGAGGAAGTATGTTTCAGTTTTACCACCTAGATAATTACACGTCATTTGGCACTGCCTTTCAAGATATGTGGAAAACAGAAAATATATGAGTTATGAAGATATCTAGGCACATTTAACATTCTCTATGCCACTTAGTCCTGAACAGAGAATTTTTGGTATAAATTGGAGGAAGCTTTTTTTTTTTTTTTTCTTTTCTCACCCCCAAGACGAGTCTCCCTCTGTTGCCCAGGCTGGAGTATAATGGTGTGATCTCGGCTCACTGCAACCTCCACCTCCTGGCTTCAAGTGATTCCCCTGC
Organism: Homo sapiens; assembly: GCF_000001405.40. NCBI lineage: Eukaryota > Metazoa > Chordata > Mammalia > Primates > Hominidae > Homo > Homo sapiens. The sequence goes on along the minus strand of NC_000016.10, from coordinate 15,117,596 downwards.
CTCAGCCTCTCAAGTAGCTGGGATTACAGGTGCCCACCACCATGCCCAGCTAATTTGTGTATTTTTAGTAGACCACCACGCCTGGCTAATTTTTGTATTTTTAGTAGAGACTGGGTTTCACCATGTTCGCCAGGATAGTCTCCATCTCTTGACCTCGTGATCCGCCTGCCTCGGCCTCCCAGTGCTGGGATTACAGGCGTGAGCCACCGCGCCTGGCCAAAATATATAACCTTAAGTGTAAGTTTACTAACTTTGGAAAGTACATACACCAGCATAAACCAACCCCCTTTCAAGATCTACATTATTTTATTTATTTATTTATTTATTTGAGACAGTTTCTCCCTTGTTGCTGAGGCTGGAGTGCAATGGGCCAATATCAGCTCACCGCAACCTCTGCTTCCCAGGTTCGAGCGATTCTCCTGCCTCAGCCTCCCGAGTGGCTGGGATTACAGACATGTGCCACCACTCCCAGCTAATTTTGTATTTTTAGTAGAGATAGGGTTTCTCCATGTTGGTCAGGCTGGTTTTGAACTCCCGACCTCAGGTGATCCGCCCGCCTCGGCCTCCCAAAGTGTTGGGATTACAGGCGTGAACCACCGTGCCCAGCCAAGATCTACACTATTATGTCACCCCAGAAAGTGAACTCTCACTCTTCCCAGCCAGTCTCTTTCTTATCATAGGTTAGCTTGCTTATTCTGGAATTTCACGTATACAGATGCATGCCATGCCATAGGTACTCTTTTGTGTCTGCTTTGTTCTGCTCAACACCATATTTCTGAAATCATTACCATTGTTGTATGGTTCTCTAACTCCATCATTTCCATTTCAGACTCAGCATATGCTGAGTTCAACCTGTTGAAGGGCTATCTCTGTTTAATTCACCATCTTGAAAGAAACATTTAAAATTGAGATGTTTTCAAGAATATATAGTTAAATCCTGAGGAATCGATGTAGAAATGTTATCAGAAGCTGTCTGAACTTACTCAGGGGAAGTCTTCGTCTTCACTCACATAAGAGTCTAATGGAATTAATATCAACAATCTTAGAGAAATCCCACACTATTCATGCCATTTTCATGATCTCCACCTTGGTAATTTTTTTTTTTTTTTTTTTTTTTGAGACAGAGTCTCGCTCTGTCACCCAGGCTGAAGTGCAGTGGTGCGATCTCGGCTCACTGCAACCTCTACCTCCCAGGTTCAAGTGATTCTTCTGCCTCAGCCTCCCAAGTAGCTGGAACTATAGGCGCGTGCCACCATGCCCTGCTAATTTTTTGTATTTTTAGTAGAGATGGGTTTCACCGTGTTAGCTAGGATGGTCTCAATCTCCTGATCTCATGGTCCACCCACCTTGGCTTCCCAAAGTGCTGGGATTGCAGGCGTGAGCCACCACGCCCGGCCCACCTTGTTAATTTTTAAGCACTAAAATTCGATACTTATTTGTGAATGAAGTAATCTCTTCATTGTATTTTTTTTTTTTTTTACTTATGCTGAGCTTTAAATGACAAAGATTCATATAATCCAAGAGAGAAGTATTATTTAGAGGGATTCTTTTACCATGTGATATATAATAAATGCATCCAATGTTATACATCAATTTAAAAAACAAGTAAATAACTAAAGAAAAGATAACTACTGGCCAGGTGCAGTGGCTCACACGTGTATTCCCAGGACTTTGGGAGGCCGAGGCAGGTGGATCATGAGGTCAGGAGTTGGAGACCAGCCTGGCCAAGATGGTGAAACCGTTTCTACTAAAAAGACAAAAATTAGCCGAGCGTGGTGGCAGGCGCCTGTAATCCCAGTTACTCAGTAGCTGAGGCAGGAGAATCGCTTGAACCCGGGAGGTGGAGGTTGCAGTGAGCTGAGATCATGCCACTGCAATCTAGCCTGGGTGACAGAGCAAGACTTTGTCTCAAAACAAAAAGAAAAGATAAGATAATTACTTTATACTTAGCTTGTCTTACCCATGAGTGACGGGCTGCATGTGGCCCAGGACAGTTTTGAATGCAGTTCAACACAAATTTGTAAACTTTCTTAAAACATTAGGAGATTTTGGCCAGGTACAGTGGCTCATGCCTGTAATCCCAGCACTTTGGGAGGCTGAGGCGGGCAGATTACCTGAGGTCAGGAGTTCGAGACCACCCTGGCTAACATGGCAAAACCCCATCTCCACAAAAAATACAAAAATTTGCTGAGTGCACTGTCAGGCACCTGTACTCCCAGCTACTCAGGAGGCTGAGGCAGGAGAATCACTTGAACCTGAGAGGCAGAGGTTGCAGTGAGCCAAGAGCACACCACTGCACTCTAGCCTGGGTGACAGAGTGAGACCCCATCTCAAAAACAAACAACAAACAAAAAGAAAAAAAATGGCTGGGCACGGTGGCTCACACCTGTAATCCCAGCACTTTGGGAGGCTGAGGCAGGCAGATCGCCTGTCAGGAGTTCAAGGCCAGACTGGGCAACATGGTGAAACCTCATCTCTACTAAAAATACAAAAATTAGTCGGGCATGGTGGCAGAGACCTGTAATCTCAGCTGCTCGGGAGGCTGAGGCAGGAGAATGGCTTGAGCCCAGGAGCTGGAGGTTGTAGCGAGCCGAGATTGCACCACTGCACTCCAGCCTGGGCGACTGAGTGGAGCAGAACTCTGTCTCAAAAAAAAAAAAAAAAAAAAATTTTTTTTTTTTTTAGATCATCAGCTATTGTTAGTGTTAGTGTATGTTATGTGTGGCTCAAGACAACTTTGCTTCTTTTAATATAGGCAGGGAAGTCAAAAGATTGGATATCCCTGCTTTATACCAAGAAAGACAACACCCCACATTTGCAATGCCTAAAAACACTACCAGCCATCTGAAAAACATGAGACTTCTCTAACTTCTGTTCTTTTTTGTAGCAGTGGAATCCCACGGTGATATCTGAGGGATGTGGTTACCTTTTGGAGGAGGTTGACGGTTTCTAAGGATGATTCTTTCTGAGTGAAATATTGTCAGTGTCATTGACCTTTTCATTATTTCAACTATTATTATTCCAGGTTATCAATACTCTGGCTGACCATCGTCATCGTGGGACTGACTTTGGTGGAAGTCCTTGGTTACTTATCATTACTGTGTTTCTGAGAAGTTATAAATTTGCCATCTCCCTCTGCACAACTTACCTTTGTGTGAGTATACTAACTTTCTGTAGAGGTATACTTGTAATCACAAATAAGAATAAATTATATGAAACACTTCACGTTTCTGGACTTCATTATGAATATGTGGTTTTACCCAAAAAATCAGGGAAATGATTTATTAGCATAAGAATTATGAAAATATCTGCCATTTACATTATGAAAATTAAATAGGTCGGTGTTTAATAGAATGTCAACAGAGCTTTTGGTCAAAAATAAGTTTTTTTAACCTTTGTGCTATTTGTCACAAATGGAGTATGAGGTTTCGTCACTTAAATGGGAAAGTCTTTCTAAACTATTCTGCTTTATAGTTCTATCGTATGGGTGGAAGGAAAGCTTCCAATCTCCTCTCTGAAGATTCACTGCAGAAATGAGCTGACAACAGACAGCTTAACAGGAAAAGAAAAACATAGAACAGGCATAAACATGGGAACCAGCTGAAAAATGAGACTGCTAGAAGGGCTGGATGGTTGATGCTTAAAGAGCACCCTCTTCTGAGGGGAGAGGGAGATAGATGGAGATGTAGGCCATTTAGAGGGGCAGCAAATGATTTTTAGGGGAAATGAAAGAGCCCAAGGAACAAACAGTTGGCCTGAGACAAAGTTCCTCTGAGGTCATAGGGACGAGGTGACAAACTGCCGGAAGGTGAAGGGCAGAACTGCACTGCGTCTCATGATGCAGAGAAAGCCCCAGAGAATCTCTTAGAACTGCCCTCCAAGAGAATCAATGAAAAGTGTGTCTGGGCAGGGTAATTTTGAATGACATCATTCAAAGTGCATGTTCCCACTTGCAACTGGAGAGAGATCAGTATGTCAAAAGTCTGTACTTGGTAAGAATTTGGCTGCTAAGTTGTGGCATAATTTGTCTTTTGAGCCTTTTTTCCTTTGGGTAAGTTGAGCTCTACATTTTGTCTTGCCACTCATGACAGTAAAAATGTGGTTGTGTGGGGGCTGAACCTCCTTCTGAACAATGATCCAAGATAAAAGTACTAATACCACAATGCTTTTTGATATTCAAGGGAAGAGGAAGTATGTTTCAGTTTTACCACCTAGATAATTACACGTCATTTGGCACTGCCTTTCAAGATATGTGGAAAACAGAAAATATATGAGTTATGAAGATATCTAGGCACATTTAACATTCTCTATGCCACTTAGTCCTGAACAGAGAATTTTTGGTATAAATTGGAGGAAGCTTTTTTTTTTTTTTTTCTTTTCTCACCCCCAAGACGAGTCTCCCTCTGTTGCCCAGGCTGGAGTATAATGGTGTGATCTCGGCTCACTGCAACCTCCACCTCCTGGCTTCAAGTGATTCCCCTGCCTCAGCCTCTCAAGTAGCTGGGATTACAGGTGCCCACCACCATGCCCAGCTAATTTGTGTATTTTTAGTAGAGTCGGGGTTTTACCATGTTGGCCAGGCTAGTCTCAAAACCCGACCTCAAATGATCCACCCGCCTCAGCCTCCCAAAGTGCTGGGATTACAAGCGTGAGCCACCACGTGAGCCAGGGGAAGTTTTTAAATTTACCACTTTTTAACAATTCCATTTAGGAAAGTTCAGTTGAGCTGTTGGACTTGGACAACTTTGTACCTCTCATCTTTGTCCTTGTCATCTAGTCATCTATACCATTACCTCCTAAGCAGGGACATCATGGGTGCCATGAAGCATTCATGTGTGATGGCATTTCTTTGCTTCTCATTTCTTCATGTGTTTGACATTTCTCCTAGCTCCAAACTGGGCCAGCTACCTTTCCTATGAAATCTAGCAGTAGCTGTGGGATAGACGTGGTTGCTCTTTTCATCTTTTTAGATTACCCATTGCTTCTCTCGAAATCCTAGTACATGATTTTTTTTTTATCCTATGTGCAGAAATCAGGAAAAAACAAATTCTACAAAGAATTTGAAAGATATTATTTCAGGCCAGGTGTGGTGGCTCATGCCTGTAATCCCAGCACTTTGGGAGGCTGAGGCAGGTGGATCACTTGAGGTCAGGAGTTCAAGACCAGATGGGCCAACATAGTGAAATCCCATCTCTACTAAAAAGACAAAAATTAGCCAGGCATGGTAGCAGGCACCTGTAATCCCAGCTACTTGGGAGGCCGAGGCACAAGAATCGCTTGAATCTGGGAGGTGGAGGTTGCCGTGAGCCAAGGTAGCGCCACTGCACTTCAGCATGGTTGACTGACACTCCGTCTCAAGAAAAAAGTCATTTCAATGACTACCTCAGGAGATTCATAGGTATCTGACCCACATCTGAGATGGGATTTGCTTTGCATTTTAGCTATGATGAGAACAAATACTTAATATCTGAGAAGATTAAAAGCATACTGTGATAATATGGAAATTTGGTGGGAATTCAGTCATTAGTGAGAATGTTTTGCGTAAAGTTCAAACCAGCCTCAACGAAGCTGATGTGAGGGAAGGGAAAGTGAACTCTGAGTAGAGCAGGGACAGAAGAAAGATGCTCCAGTGCAGATCAGGAAGGAGCAGGGGGTGAAATGTTACAAATTCTAGAACTCAGAGAGCTGAAGGTAATTAATTCCTTCCTTTTCAAGTTGTGAAACATGTTAACCTGTGGTAAAATACTTACAAGATGATAATTACCATCTAACCGTGTTGAAGTGTACAGTTCAGTTGTGTGAAGTATATTCATGTCATTTTTTTTTTTTTTTTTTTTTTTGAGACGGAGTCTCACTCTGTCACCAGGCTGGAGTGCAGTGGTGGGATCTTGGCTCACTGCAACCTCTGCCTCTTGGGTTCAAGCAGTTCTCCTGCCTCAGCCTCCGGAGTAGCTGGGACTACAGGCGTGCGCCACCATGCTCAGCTAATTTTTGTATTTTTAGTAGAGACGGGGTTTCACCATGTTGCCCAGGATGGTCTCCATCTCTTGACCTTGTGATTCACCCGCCTCGGCCTCCCAAAGTGCTAGGATTACAGGCGTGAGCTACCACACCTGGCCTATTTTTTTTTTTTTTTTTTTGAGACAGAGTTTGAATTTTGTTGCCCAGGTTGGAGTGCAATGGCACAATCTCAGCTCAACACAACTTTTTCCTGCTGGGTTCAAGTGATTCTCCTGCCTCAGCCTCCCGACTAGCTGGGATTACAGGCATGCACCACCATGCCTGGCTAATTTTGTATTTTTAGCAGAGACAGCGTTTCTCCATGTTGGTGAGGCTGGTCTCAAACTCCCGACCTCAGGTGATCCGCCTGCCTCGGCCTCCCAAAGTGCTGGGATTACGGGAGTGAGCCAACATGCCAGCCTCGTCATTCTTGTGTGTTTTGTGTGTGTGTGTGTGTGTGTGTGTGTGTGTGACAGAGTCTCATTCTGTCGCTCAGGCTGGAGTGCAGTGGTGTGATCTCCGCTCACTGCAACCTCCGCCTCCCAGCTTCAAACGGTTCTCTGCCTCAGCCTCCCGAGTAGCTCGGATTACAGGCGCCCACTGCCATGCCCGGCTAATTTTTGTATTTTTAGTAGAGATGGGGTTTCACCATCTTGGCCAGGCTGGTCTTGAACTCCTGACCCCGTGATCCACCCTGCCTCGGCCTCCCAAAGTACTGGGATTATACGCATGAGCCACCGTGCCCAGCCGTCATTCTTATATTATTATTTCCTAGGTGTCTTTCCTGAAGACTATCTTCCCGTCTCAAAATGGACATGATGGATCCACGGATGTACAGCAGAGAGCCAGGAGGTCCAACCGCCGTAGACAGGAAGGTATGGTTCTGTTGGAGTCCCCATAGTGTGGAAATGAGTTTGCCCTGGAAAGGGAAAGAACAGCTTCTTGCCCTCAGGTTTCTCACCTTCTCCTCTCCTCACTCTCACCAAGGGCTGAAGTCCATTTGTATGCACACAAAGAAAAGAGTTTCTTCCTTTCCAGGAATTAAAATTGTCCTGGAAGACATCTTTACTTTATGGAGACAGGTGGAAACCAAGGTTCGAGCTAAAATCCGTAAGATGAAGGTGACAACAAAAGTCAACCGTCATGACAAAATCAATGGAAAGAGGAAGACCGCCAAAGAACAGTAAGATGTGCCTTGACACAAATACTGTTGTATGAACCATGTGCCAATCAAAGTAGACAACTGTAAAGTCCTTGAGAATATTTTCTACAATATTTGTGGCAAATTCAGTGGGTTCAAAATTGAGTTTGTCCTTTCTGCTTCATTAGTTTAAGCTGTATAATTCCTTTCCCTTCCTACATTCTTGTTTGTCATTTTTTCAGGGGAAGAGGAGTTGCTAGTACTGGCATTGGTTTTCCTTTGTCTCTCTCTCTCTTTTTTTTTTTTTCCTGAGATGGGGCTTTGCTCGTGTTGCCCAGGCTGTAGTGCAATGGCACAATCTCAGCTCACTGTCTTTTGGGTTCAAGCAATTCTCCTGCCTCAGCCTCCCAAGTAGCTGGGATTACAGGTGCCCACCACCACGCCCAGCTAATTTTTGTATTTTTACTAGAGATGGGGTTTCACCATGTTGTCCAGGCTGGTCTCGAACTTCTGACCTCAGGTAATCCACCCGCCTCAGCCTCCCAAAGTGCTGGGATTAGAGGCGTGAGCCACCACACCCAGCCTTTTTTTTTTTTTTTTAAATTTTGAGATAGAGTCTCGCTCTGTCGCCCAGGCTGGAGTGCTGTGGTGCAATCTTGGCTCACTGCAACCTCTGCCTCCCAGTTTGAAGCAATTCTGCCTCAGCTTCCCGAGTAGCTTGGATTACAGGTGTGTGCCGCCACATTCGGCCAATTTTTTTTTTTTTTTTTTTTTTTTTTTTTTTTTTTTTTTTTTTTTTGAGACAGAGTCTCACTCTGTCACCCAGGCTAGAGTGCAGTGGCATGATCTTGGCTCACTGCAACCTCCGCCTCCCAGGTTCAAACGATTCTTATCCCTCAGCCTCTTGAGTAGCTGGGACTACAGGCATATGCCACCATGCCCAGATAATTTTTGTATTTTTAGTAGAGGCGGGGTTTCACCATATTGGCCAAGCTGGTCTAGAACTCCTGACATCATGATCCGCACACCTCGGCCTCCCAATGTGCTGGGATTACAGGCGTGAGCCACCGTGCCCAGCCCAATTTTTGTATTTTTAGTAGAGACGGGTTCACCATGTTGGCCAGGCTAGTCTTGAACTCCTGACCTCAGGTGATCTGCCTACCTCAGCCTCCCGGTGTGAGCCACCGCACCCAGCCTGGATTGTTGAATTCAATGCTTGGGTCACCTCCAGATTCATTTTCACAGTCTTTCATGTTTTGGTCATATTACATTGTATTTTGCTGCCCATATGACTGATCTTTTTTTGTTAAATGTGAGATACTTGTTAAAAAATATTTAGCAATGAATTGAGGCCTAGTAGCATGTTATCTTGCTGCAGAAGAGATGGGAGTCTACTTCTGGGGGATGGTCAGGGGTCCTCCATACAGGCTGCAATTGAGGTCGTCGGTGCAGGCTCAGTCCCTACAAAGGCCACGGTATTTCCTGTCCACCTCTATTCTGATGCATGACTCTTCTGGGTCTCAACCAGAGCCAGTGGACTTCAGTATGGGTCGCTTTCATTGGCAGACCCTCAATCCACTTGTTTTCCATCTAACCCCACGCATGTGTGCAAAAGCTGCTGTGCTTCTTTGCATCTCAGTAGTTCCTTCTGGAATTCAGCAATGAAACTCAGGGAAATGGGTTCCAAATGCGAGGCTGACTTTCGTCCTGGGTTTCCTTCTTCTCCATCTTCACCTCATGTCTGTTTACTGCCATGTTAGCAATTTGATGTATTCAATCATGGGTTTTATATTCTGTTTGGTGTCCCCCATTGTTCTCATCGGAGATCAGAAGCTTCAGATGCACTTATGTCAACTCAAGAGTAGAATGCTTCCTTAGCTTCCCTCCAGAGTCAGGTTTTGTGTTTCTAGTTCCCAAGTGCACAGCAGGAGTAGTGATGTCCTCACTGGCTTCTCATTTGCATTAAACTGTGAGCTTCTTTAGCGTGGGGACAGGACCCTGCTCCCATTGCATTGTCAGCACCTCACCACACACTCCTTGTTTGAGGCCACTCCAGACAGCATGTGCTGAAGGATGCCCTGTGGTCAGAAACAAGTTCATTAACTTTCTCTTTGAAGTGTTTTCGTCCCTGTTTCCTAGCGTTCTGGGAATTTTATACATCCTTCCTATAAAACCAAGTATCAGGTGAGATCCTTAGGATCAGGACCATGAATCAAGTGGTGTGAGGGCAACACAGCAAACTTACCCTTTTGAGGCCATTTCCTTTTTCTGCCCTCAATCTCTGTGAACTGAACCTTGTTAAAGTCAGTCAACACCAGGGTGGATGGTTTGCAGTTGTCACCTATTTTCAGGACATGACACCCTGACTTAGGAGCCATTCCGATCATTTCTAATTCAATAGATGCGCCCAGCATTCAGATTGCCTTTTCAGGATCTTTAAAGTCGATGACAAGAGTTCCAGTCCTGAATCATGGCAAAGTGCAGTAGTGAACTGCGGGGTTAATGACACCATATTCTGGAAGGATCTCTCTATGGCTGATGGTCTCAGTTCCAGCATCAGCCTCTGACTGAGAATCAGGTCTCACACAGGAGGAGTCAGATGAGGAGCAATCCTCTGCTTCCGATGGAGTTAGTTGTGATGAATTGGTGAGGTCTGGTTTTTCACACTGAACTAAAATGAGCTTTCGCTGTGTCAAGCACAAGACTGACCCCAGAGACACACATAGTGCACCTCATAGAAGCTTTTAATAGTCTTTATATTTACTAAAGAATAGGACTAACTATGGAACTATGAAGATGAGCTGGAAATGACAGGTGACTTGCCAGCAGGCCAGAGTGTGATTTTTTTTTTGTCCCTCAATGGGAGGTGTCCATTCTCCCTTTGCTTGTGAGAATCAGTTGGTTCATTTGTGGGAAGGTTGCAGGGGGGATCTTTGAATCAGCCTTCAGATGCCAGAAGGGCAGAGGGAATCCCACACGGGCTGGTGGATCATGTGTGTGCATTTCTCTCCCTTCTAGTCTGAGGAAACTAAGCATGAAAGAACGTGAGCACGGAGAAAAGGAGAGGCAGGTGTCAGAGGCAGAGGAAAATGGGAAATTGGATATGAAAGAAATACACACCTACATGTGAGTTCAGAAACTGAACCCCACCCTCTTGGGAAACGCCCATTGGAGTGTTGTTTTTAACCTTTGTACAATGTTTAGACCCAGTAAATGCAGAAATAGAAACAAATGGTCAGAAGACATATCGTGAGAGAGAGAGAGTTCACAAAACAGAAAACAAAGCACCTTAATATTTACCAGTGACCAAAAGATGTGAAGTAGCAAAACGGCTCCTGACCCCATTGCCAGCTAGACTGTGTGGAAACTCGGTTCATACCAGCCATTCTAGGGGTGGGGTGAGTTGTTGTCATCCTTAGGAAAGTGTGTTGTTGTAGGATCAACCACATCCTTCAAAAGGACTATTCCTGTTTATAAGCCCAGCTGTTTCTGCCCTGTGAAACACAGTAAAGATATTAATACAAAGAGAATACAGCTTTATGATAAAAGATGCTCAATGAAGGATGAATTAGGGATATACTGAGAATGGGGAAGGAAACTATCATCTCAGAAGTCAGCAGGCAGTAAGCAAGAGGAGGAATCAATATAGCAACAGTTTGGATCAGACTGTACAGTTTTTTTGTTTTTGTTTTTGTTTTTCTGAGATGGAGTCTTGCTGTGTCACCCAGGCTGGAGTGCAATGACGTGATCTTGGCTCACTGCAACCTCCGCCTCCCAGGTTCAAGTGATTCCCCTGCCTCAGCCTCCCGAGTAGCTGGGCTTACAGGTGCCTGCCACCACGCCCGCCTAATTTTTTGTATTTTTAGTAGAGACAGGGTTTCACTGTATTAGCCAGGATGGTCTCAATCTCCTGACCTCGTGATCCATCCACCTCGCCCTCCCAGAGTGCTGGGATTACAGGCATCAGCCACCGTGACCGGCTCAGACTGTACTCTTACAGCCATCTGAAATACGTTTTCTAGGTAGAGATAGATTGTGTAAGGGTACAGTTGTGAGGATAACAGAAACATGGCAGATTATTTAAAATCATCCTGAAAGTGGTGCTTTATCTGATGAAAGTGATTGTAATCCATAGGGAAATGTTTCAACGTGCGCAAGCGTTGCGGCGGCGGGCAGAGGACTACTACAGATGCAAAGTAAGGAGCTTCCTCCCCGCAGTTGCAGGATAGTTCAGTGCTGATGCAGATGATGCCACGGCCCTTAGACTCTCTCAACATTCAATTTCTCATGTGTTGGCTTTTTCAGATCACCCCTTCTGCAAGAAAGCCTCTTTGCAACCGGGTAAGTTTGCTTGTTTTCCTTGCTTTTGGACATAGTCTGCCAGGTCAGGACATGGATACATTTTTCTCCCTACGGCTCTGTGCTCAAGCCCTGCAGAGGGAGATGGCAGAGAGGAAGGCTGCCTACAAGCATCACAGTCCCATCCCTGTTGGTAACCGTGTTGCGCAAAAACACCTTCATCCCCACCCAGTGGGGCCCCCATCTAATATTCTAAGTGTCAGAGGTTCCGTATTTGTAATAACAAATGGGCCCTGACTGTAAATTAGTGAAGAGTGAATGTAACTTATTACCCACAGGGACAATTCCAAATGAGGGCCTTAAATGATGCTCAGCTAAGCTGGTTCTTGTGTGGCCTCTGTACCTTCAAAAGCTGCCGAGTCCTATGATTACACGCGATGGGACTTGTACACTTGAAGTGAAACACAGTTTTAAAACTTGCTTTGTTTAGAATTCCCACCTCATTTTTCCATGGACAAAAGTATTCTTTATGTCCTAGTGCACTTACAATTTGGTATTACCTGGGAGTGAAAAGAAATATTACAGCCATGCCTAACTGACTTCTTGAGGTAAGATTGTTCTGTCAGAAAACCCTCTCCCAGTTCCCCTGCAGCTCTTCAGGAATCCACATCTCTCCAGAGCTCTTTGTTCTCATGGGTGGCACCTCCAGAGTGAAGAAGATCCTTTGTCAAGAAGGGAAACAGAGGGGAAATGAGAGGGTCCTGCAGGCAGAGCTGGAATCAACTTCCACTCTGCCTCTTGCAAGCTGTGTGACCCTGGGCACAATTTCTCCTTCCTCTGGAAACCTCTGTTTTCTTAGATTTGGAGCAGGGTGGTCACACTGACCTTGCAGAGTTCTGAGAATCAGAGACAGAACATAAAGGGCCTGGAAAACATTCTCCAAAAAGAAGCTGCAACATGTGTGGACAATGGGCTTTTCATGCCTCTCTTACTGTCTCTTACTGTCTGTTGACCTGGTGCAAGAAACATGCTCTGGTGATGGCTGTGAGGGAGGAATGAGGATAGACATAGACACTCCTGTGTCTCAAACATGCTTCTTTATTACTCTGTTATGACTCTGTCTTCCCTGGGGCAGGACCCCAGCCTGCCTACATTTGCAGACAGACACAGTGGCATGTGGAGACAACAGTGTGTCCCAGTGACTTTTCTTTACCCCCCAGCTGTCGGCAGTACTCAGTGGAAGGGTGATATGACACTGATACTGCTATTTTGAAACCTGGAGGATGGAAAGGTGCAAAAATCTATCACCAGCAACAGAAGGTGCAGACTGTGTTGGTGGCGGTAATTTTGTCCATCAAATGAATATGTGTGAAAACATTCCCTCCTTTGGCCCTACAGGTCAGAATGGCGGCAGCGGAGCATCGTCATTCTTCAGGATTGCCCTGCTGGCCCTACCTCACAGCTGAAACTTTAAAAAACAGGATGGGCCACCAGCCACCTCCTCCAACTCAACAACATTCTATAACTGATAACTCCCTGAGCCTCAAGACACCTGCGGAGTGTCTGCTCTATCCCCTTCCACCCTCAGCGGATGATAATCTCAAGACACCTCCGAGTGTCTGCTCACTCCCCTTCCACCCTCAGCTCCACCCTCAGCGGATGATAATCTCAAGACACCTCCCGAGTGTGTCTGCTCACTCCCCTTCCACCCTCAGCTCCACCCTCAGCGGATGATAATCTCAAGACACCTCCCAAGTGTGTCTGCTCACTCCCCTTCCACCCTCAGTGGATGATAATCTGAAGAAACTAACGAAGAATAAATAAATAATATAAAAATAAAATGAATACTGCAGTCCTTATGTTATTGCTTTGTTTCAATATCTGGTATGATTGCCTGAGGGACCTGAGGTTTTTAATCGTAGGGGTTTTTTTAATCTTTAGAAGTGGTTGGTTATGTAAAATATTATTATTTGTTTTTTTTTTTGAGACTGGAGTTTGCTCTGTCACCCAGGCTGGAGTGCAGTGGCTCGATCACAGCTCACTGCAGCCTCAACCTCCTGGGCTTCAAGCAATCCTCCTGCCCCAGCCTCCCAAGTAGCTGGGATCACAGATGTGTGCCACCACGCCTGGCCAATGTTAAAAAATCCTTTAACTTTTTTGTAGAGATGCACTCCTGGACTCAAGCAATCCTCCTACTTGTCCCGACCACCAGCCTCTTTCTGATAAACATTTACACTGTTTATTATCTGATGCCATTTCTATCTTCTTCCTTGTCATCCAGACATCAAAGAATTAGGTTTCTTCAGGGTTTTCTTTTTCAAGTGCTCAGTGTTAAAGATCACTCACATTAGGGCCAGACACCACGGCTCATGCCTGTAATCCCAGCACTTTGGGAGGCCGAGGCGGGCAGAGCACTTGAGGTGGGGAGTTTGAGACCAGCCCGGCCAACTTGGTGAAACCCCACCTCTACTGAAAAAATACAAAAATTAGCTGGGCGTGATGGTGCATGCCTGTAGTCCCAGCCACTTGGGAGGCTGAGGCATGAGAATCGCTTGAACCCAGGAGGCAGAGGTTGTAGTGAGCCGAGATCACATCAGCACACTCTAGCCTGGGTGACAGAGCGAGACTCTGACTCAAAAAATAAATAAAATAAATATCACTTACATTAGATATACCCAAGGGGTGGTCTATAGAGACTTGGAAGCAGTGGTTATTGCCACAGGGGCACGGAAGTCATCTGGCTATGCCAGGGTGCCCAGGGGATACTCGGGGTGGGTGGCATGGTGCTGCTGGGGACTCACCGCACAGGACGCTCTGATTGACGCACTGCCAGGAGTAGCGCTCTGTCTTGGGGCTGCAGCCGGCCTCCTCAGCTCGAGTGTAACAACAGTCGTGGCCATGGCAGCACCTGCGGATGTCACATGGGCAGGACAGCAGGTGGGTGAAGCTCTCTCCTGGCCCTCCTCTCTTGCCAGGACCATGGGTGACTGAAGACCCCCAGGGAGGCACAGCATCCTCTTATCTAAGATTTTTTTTTTTTTTTTTTTAAGAGACAGGGTCTTTCTCTGTCGCCCAGGCTGGACTGCAGAGGCACAATCATAGCTCACGGCAGCCTTGAACTCCTGGGCTCAAGCGATCCTCCCACTTCAGCGTCCCAAGTAGCTGAGACTACAGGCACACGCCAGCATGCCCGGCTGGTTTTTTAATTTGTATTTCCTTTGAGACAGCGTATCTCTCTGTTGCTCAGGCTGGAGTGCAATGGCTCAATCAGCTCACTTTAGCCTTGAACTTCCGGGCTCAAGTGATACTGCCACCTCAACCTCCCAAGTCTGCTACTACAGGAACACAAACTCCTTTTTTAAATTTTTTGTGGATATGGGGTCTCACTATGTTGCCTAGGCTGGTCTCGAACTCCCAGGCTCAAGCAGTCCTCCTACCTCAGCCTCACCAAATGCTGGGATTACAGGTGGGAGCTACTGTACACCTGGCCTTATCTAAGCTGTTTCCCTGAAAATCCCCGTCTTGGGTAATGATTCCTTTGGCCCCACCATGCCCTGTCCTGCCTTCCTGGCTGTGCCCAAGCTTGGTCCCTGCCTGCCTGCCTGCCTCCCTCTCTGGGTCTCGAGCTCCTGTGACACATGACTCCTCTCTCTTCCTGGAGTGATCCAAGCCCTGCCACTTCCTGACTTTGCCCACACTGTACCCTCTGCCTGGGGCAACTTCATGTCTGCCCATTGACCCTTAGGCCTCAGCCCAGGCACAAGCCCCTGCCTCCGGAGGTCATCCAGGCCTCACCAGGCTACACCCTCTCGTAAAATTGGATTTCCTCCCTTCAGGGCAGGTTTATAATGAAATCCTCCTCAGAGGCCAGGTGCGGTGACACCCATCTGTAATCCCAGCACTTTGGGAGGCTGAGGTGGGAGGATCACTTGAGGCCAGGGGGTCGAGACCAGCCTGGGCAACATAAGAGAGACTCTTGTCTCTATAACAAATTTAAAAATTAGCTCACCAGGCCAGGCTCAGTGGCTCATGCCTGTAATCCCAACACTTTGAGAGGCCGAGGCAGGTGGATCACAAGGTCAGGCGTTCAAGAGCAGCCTGACCAACATGGCGAAACCCTGTCTCTACCAAAAATACAAAATTAGCCAGGCATGGTGGCACGCACCTGTAATCCCAGCTACTCGGGAGGCTGAGGCAGGAGAATCGCTTGAACCCAGGAGGTGGAGGTTGCGGTGAGCCAAGATCACGCCATTGCAGTCCAGCCTGAGCAACAGAGCAAGACTCTGTCTCGAGACAATAAAAACACACAAAAAATTAACTCGCCATGATGGCACATGCCTATAGTCCTAGCTACTTGGGAGGCTGAGGTGGGAGGATTCCCTTCAGCCCAGGAGTTTGAGGCTGCAGTGAGCCACTATGATTGTGCCACTGCACTCTAACCTGGGCAAAAGCGAGACCCCAGGCTAGAGTGCATGATTTTGGGTCACTGCAACCTCCACCTCCCAGGTTCAAGTGATTCCCCTGCCTCAGCCTCTTGAGTACCTGGGACTACAGGCATGTGCCACCACGCCTGGGTAATTTTTGTATTTTTAGTAGAGACAGGGTTTAGTAGAGACCATGGTGAAACCCCGTCTCTATTAAACAAATCTCTACTAACCCCATCTCTACAAAAAACAGCTGGGCATGGTAGTGCACACCTGTAATTCCAGCTACTTGGGAGGCTGAGGCACGACAATCATTTGCATCTTGGAGGCAGAGTTTGCAGTGAGCCGAGATCGTGCCACTGCAGTCCGTCCTGGGTGAAAGAGCGAGACTCCGTCTCAAAAAACAAACAAACAAACAAAAAAGACCGTGCCTATCTGTCTATCTCCCTCATAGGTCAGTTTCCACCTGAGTGTAACCACATCAAGTATCCTAGTATATTTCATATTTACAGGAAAATAAATGGGCAAATACTGTCATTTACGGAGAACCTGCCCTGTCCTGTACACCGTGACATATTTTGTGGTTTGTGGTTATGTGCTCTAATCCTTACGATAGCTCTAAAATAGCTCAAAAAGTTATTCCCATTTTGTACATAAGAAAATTGAAGTTCTGGAAACATAAGGCAATTGCCCAAAGTAATAGAGTAAATTACAAAGCTAGGATTTCTTTCTTTCTTCCATTAATTAATTAACTATTTGAGATAGCGTCCCTGTTGCAGGATGCAGTGGGGAGATCATAGCTCACTGCAGTCTCGACCTCCTGGGCTCAATTGATCCTCACGTCTCAGCCTCCTGAGTAGCCGGGACTACAGGTGCACACCAACACTATGGCTGATTTTTGTATTTTTCTGTAGAGATCTGCCTAGGCTAGGCAGAGATTCTGGCTAGGCTGGTCTCAAGCTCCTGGCTCAAGCAATTCTCCTGCCTCACCCTCCCATATAGCTGGGACCACAGGTGTGTGCCACCACTCCCAGCTGACTTGTTTATACCAGTGGTTCTTAATTGGAAGAGTTTTGTACCCCAGGGACATTTGGCAACATCTGGAGATATTTTTGAATGTTACTGTGGGGAGGAGAGGAGTGCTACTGTCATCTACTGGGTAGAGGCCAGGGATGCTGCTGAACATCCCACAGTTCACAGAACAGCCTCCTCCCCACCCAACAGAGAAGTATCTGGTTGGCCCAAAATCTCAATGATGCCAAATCTAAGAAACTGCTTTGTATTTCTCTGAGATACTGGGATGAGGAACGCTCTAAATTAGTTGTCTTTGAGGATAATGTATGTATACATACACATATATGTGTATACATGTATATAACTAAAGATATATAGTTGAGATCTTGCATTTGTGTTAATGAATGTAGTTTTTATAAAGATAATTGACTCATACAATAATTGTTGACTCTTTGGAAAGGAAAAAGGACAAATGAGATACATGCTATTGGTTTTGTTATTTAGAAATTTTTCGTGTGGATCCGCCCTACCATTCAGCCATTTGCAAACCATTAGTTGAGCATAACTTAATCCCTTCTAGTTCACAGCAAAGATTCATCAAAAGCCATTTGGTATACTGTCACCTCATCTCTCTAACAGTGTTGATTAGATTACAGGAGGGTTACAGGAGGGCACCTTATCCAAATTGGCCAATGATAAATTCTTTTTTGGTACCTTACTATATATTTGTATCCTCAGAACAAATTCTCCTTTTCTGCTTAAGCTGGCTTGACTTTGTTTCTTTCACTAGCAAGCTAAGAGGCTTTGGCCAACAGAACTACTCTAGGGGTAGCTGTAAAATTTATCTCTAAGGAAAGGCTGCTGTTTTGAAATAACAGTTTAATGGGTCTTCTGGGTATATGATGATAGTAAAGCAAAATTTTGTTCTGGAATGAAGAAGCTGATTACATTGTTGTATTACAAACAATATATTACTCAGTGAAGTGAAAGGCCACACTGTGGGCAGGGTGGTGACTTTGCAGATAGCATGTTAATCCTTGCATGCTTTTTGTTGTTTCTCTTTTTGGAGGGGGAGGGTCTTAATTTTCTTTATCCCTCCCCCACCCCCTTTATTTTCTCTGGGGAAGGCAAGACTGGATAAGGAGGCTTTTATCCTGCCAAGATGAGTTGGCCCACAGGACAATTTGACTGAATAGAGGCTCCACAAAGAACGGACATGGTCAAAGAATTACAACAGAAATTATGCATTTAGTTTTAAGGTTTTCTTTTTCTCCTTTTTTTTTTTTTTTTTTTTTTTTTGAGACCAAGTCTTGCTCTGTTGCCCAGGCTGGAGTGCAGTGTTGCGATCTTGGCTCACTGCAACCTCTGCCTCCTGGGTTCAAGCAATTCTCCAGCCTCAGCCTCTCAAGTAGCTGGGATTACAGGCACCTGCCACCACACCTGCTAATTCGTATTTTTAGTAGAGATGGGGTTTCACCATGTTGGCCCAGCTGGTCTTGAACTCCTGATCTCAAGTGAGCCACCTGCCTCAGCCTCCCAAAGTACAGGGATTACAGGCATGAGCCACAGGGCCCGGCCAGTATTTTTCTTGTATAATGCTCAGAGTTTCCTTTAAATCTTTTTAAAAACTTGGCAGCCTTAGTCTTAGCTGTGCTTTGGGAAAATAAGGAGCTGCACTCAAGCTTAAGAAGATATTGCTGGAAGTGTACATTGGCACAGCCTTCAAAAAGCTTCTTGGTGCCCTCCTGTAACCCAATCGACACTGGCTAGAGAGATGAGGTCATATTGCATCAAATGGCTTCCAGTGATTCTTTGCTGTGGACAAGAAAGTTGCTCTTTTTTTTTGAGAGGGAGTTTTGATGCCTAGGCTGGAGTGCAATGGCAGTGATCTCGGCTCACTGCAACCTCTGCCTCCCAGGTTCAAGTGATTCTCCTGCCTCAGCCTCCCAAGTAGCTGGGATTACAGGCATGTGCCACCATGCCAGGCTAATTTTGTATTTTTAGTAGAGACAGGGTTTTTCCATGTTGGTCAGGCTGGTCTCGAACTCCCGACCTCAGGTGATCCACCCACCTTGGCCTCCAAAAGTGCTGGGATTACAGGCGTGAGCCACCATGCCCGGCCAAGAAGGTCACTCTTTATGCTCAACAAATGTATTGCAAATGGCTGAAAGGTAGGGAGGATCCAGATGAACAATTTCTAAATAGAAAAACTAATAGTAGCCAGACACGATGGCTCACACCTGTAATCCCAGCATTTTAGGAGGTCAAGGTAGGCAGATCACCTGAGGTCAGGCATTTGAGACCAGCCTGGGCAACATGGAGAAACCCCATCTCTACTAAAAATACAAAAATTAGCCAGGTGTGGTGGCGGGCACATGTAGTCCCAGCTACTCAGGAGGCTGAGGCAGGAGAATCGCTTGAACCCGGGAGGCAGAGGTTGCAGTGAGCTGAGCTTGTGCCACTGTACCCCAGCCTGGGCAACAGAGTGAGACTCTGTCTCAAAAAAAAAAAAAAAAAATCATAGATATCCAATTTGTTCCTTTCTCCTTTCCTAAAAGCTTTTGGTGCCCCCTCCAACCCAACAGTTCCACCCTAGAAAAACACTTGTACACATACATCAGGACATGATACAAGAATATTCAGGCTGGTCGCGGTGGCTCATGCCTATAATCTCAGCATTTTGGGAGGCCGAGGTGGGAGGACGGCGGGAGATCATGCCACTGCACTCCAGCCTGGGCAACAGAGGGAGACTCCGTCTCAAAAAAAAAAAAAAAAAAAAAGCATAATGTTGAAAACAAACAGCAGTATAATACAGCATGGAGATAACTTTATAAAATGCAAAGACAAATAAAAGTAAATATAGTGCATTGTTTAGGAGTATAAATATGATAATTATTCAAAGAAAACTAAAATGACTTTTAAAAATCATGATGGTGACTATTTTTGGGAGGAAAGCAGGTAGAAGGTGGGATCCGAGAGCAGCACAGAGTAAGTGTCAATTGTCCTAGTTAATGTTCGGCTTCTTAAATTGGGCGATATGTTCACAGGTGTTCATTATGTTCTTTTTTTTTTTTTTGGAGACGGAGTCTCACTCTGTCACCCAGGCTGGGGTGCAGTGGCGCGATCTCGGCTCACTGCAAGCTCCACCTCTCGGGTTCATGCCATTCTCCTGCCTCAGCTTCCCAAGTAGCTGGGATTACAAGTGCCTGCCACCACGCCCGGCACATTTTTTTTTTTTTTTTTTTTTTTTGTATTTTTAGTAGAGACGGGGTTTCACCGCATTAGCCAGGATGGTCTCGATCTCCTGACCTCGTGATCCGCCTGCCTCGGCCTCCCAAAGTGCTGGGATTACAGGCAGGAGCCGCTGTGTCTGGCCCATTATGTTCTTATAACTTACATTAACATATTATTTTGTACATATCAAGCTTTTTTTCCCTTTTTTTTTTTAAGAGATGAGATTTTGCTTTGTCACCCAGGCCAGAGAGTGTCGTGGTGTAGTCATAGCTCACTGCAGCTTCCAACTCCTGGGTTCAAGTGATTCTCCCACCTCTGTCTCCCAAATAATTGGAACTACAGGCACGTGCCACCATGCCTGGGTAAGTTTTTTAAAAGTGTTATTTGTAGAGACGGAGTCTGGCTGTGTTGCCTGGGCTGGTCTCAAACTCCTGGCTTCAAGTTATCCTCCTGCCTCAGCCTCCCAAAGCTCTGGCATTACAGGTGTGAGTCACTGCACCCAGACTCAGACTTTTTTTAAGGGAAAGAATGGGAGTGTAGGTGGGGAGACACACTTTGGGAGGCCAAGGTGGGAGGATCACTTGGGCCGGGGGTTCAAGACCAGCCTGGGCAACAAAGTGAGACCTCGTATTTACCAAAAATACAAAAAATTAGCTGGGCTTGGTGGTGTGGGTTCGGGCGGCTGAGGTGAGAGGATTGCATAAGCTGTAGGAGCCCGAGGCTGCAACGAGCCATGATCGCGCCATTGCGCTCTAACTTGGGCTAGACAATGAGATCCTGTCTCAAACCAAAACAAAACAAAACAGATAATTGTCAGATTGCTGTTTTGCTATTGTTGCTTTTTGTTTTTGCTTTGCTTTCCCTTGGAAGTGAAGAAGAGATTCTCATTTAAACAGTTATCTTGAAGTATCTTTGTGAGCTACGGTGCAATTATTTCCTCTGTCCTTGAGACACAGATGATTCCTGTCCAACATTCCCAAGGAACTCAGTAAGGACCAAATAGAGACTCAGGAAAGACAGTTACTGATTTTACACTGTTGCAAAACAGAGCTATGGTTTATGTTTAACAAACTGCTGGCGGGGCGTGGTGGCTCATGCCTGTAATCCCAGCACTTTGGGATGCCAAGGCGGGCGGATCACTTGAGGTCAAGAGTTTGAGACCAGCCTGGCCAACATGGTGAAACCCTGTCTCTACTAAAAATACAAAAATTAGCTGGGCATGGTGGCGCATGCCTGTAATCCTAGCTACTGGGGAGGCTGAGGCACAAGAATCGCTTGAACCTGGGAAGCAGAGGATGCAGTGAGCCAAGATCATGACACTGTACTCCAGCCTGGGTGACAGAGCGAGACTCTGTCTCAAAAAAAAAACAAAAAACAAAAAAACCAAATTGCTGTATTTTATGTTGTGAAATAGGGTCTTGCTGTGTTGTCCAGGCTGGAGTGCAGGGGTACAATCACAGCTCACTGCAGCCTTGACCTCCAGGGCTCAAGTGATCCTCCGTCCTCAGTTTTCAAGTAGCTGGGACTACAGGTATGCACCACCATATGTTGCCCAGGCTGGTCTTGAACTCCTGGAGAGAGATACATATAAACACACACACACACACACACACACACACACACCTTTTTTTTTTTTGAGACACAGTTTCACTCGTCACCCAGGCTGGAGTGCAATGGCACGATCTTGGCTCACTGCAACCTCTGCCTCCTGGGTTCAAACTATTCTCCTGCCTCGGCCTCCCAAGTAGCTGGGATTACAGGCACTGCCACCATGCCTGGCTAATTTTGTATTTTTAGTAGAGACAGGGTTTTGTCATGTTGGCCAGGCTGGTCTCAAACTTCTGGCCTCAGGTGATCCACTTGCCTCGGCCTCCCAAAGTGTTGGGATAACAGGCGTGAGCCACTGCGCCGGGCCCATACATATGCATTTTTAAAAACTTATTTATTTATTTCGAGACAGGGTCTCACTCTGTTGCCCAAGCAGGAGTGCAGTGGTGCTATCTCCCAGGCTCAAGCAATCCTCAGCCTCCCGAGTAGCTGGGACTACAGGTGTGTGCCACCACACCCAGATAATTTTTATTATTTTTATTTTTTAAATTTTTTGTAGAGATGGAGTTTCACCGTGTCACCCAGGCTGGATATTTTTGTATTTTTGATAGGCCTGTACAGTTTCCAAAGTTGCAACCTTTTCCCCTCCCTGAGAGTAGGGGCAGCCCCTGCTCTCCCTCTACATCCTCCACAGTCCCGAGGTTTTGGCCTCTGTTTCCTCCGTTTCCTATGCTTGGAACGCCAGTGGCTCTTTTGTTGGTCTGGCTGACTCCTGTTCCTCTTTTAAAAATTTAAGTTTGGCCGGGCGTGGTGGCTCATGCTTGTAATCCCAGCACTTTGGGAGGCCGAGGCGGGCGGATGACCTGAGGTCATGAGTTCGAGACCAGCCTGGCCAACACAGTGCAACCCCGTCTCCACTAAAAATACGAAAATTAGCCGGGTGTGGTGGCATGCGCCTGTAATCCCAGCTACTTGGGAGGCTGAGGCACGAGAATTGCTGGAACTGGGGAGGCGGAGGTTGCAGTGAGCTGAGATCACACCACTGCACTCCACCTGGGCAAAAGGGCAAGACTCGGCCTCAAAAGAAAATAAATAAATAAATAAATAAAGTCAAGGGGGTAACACCTCTTCGTAACTCTCCTGTTGTTTCTCATGCCAGCATCACCATAGCCTTGAGGCTCTGAGGTAGGTCACTTCGTCGAGCTCGTTTCCGTGAGGATAACGTTATCTTGGGTGTCTGTGAGACTGCTGCACTGAGTATAGAGCCCAGGCTCCTGGGTCAGCCGGGTTCGAATCCCCTTTCCTCCGTGAAGATCTGGGTCAGTCACAAGTGCTTCAGTTTCTTCGATTTGACTGAGGGAGGCTTTGACTCCAAAAAATTAACACTTGAGTGTACCCGGCCACAGCTTAGCACATCCAGGGTGTTTCCACCCTTTCTTCGGGATCCTCAGGGCTGGATGGAGCCGGTCCTTCCCGTCTCTCCTTATACTCACGCACTAGCGCTGGCTGGAACAAGTCCTCCAAGTAGAACGAGGAGCGGGTTTCAGCGGCGCTCTAGCCCGCCGAGAGCATACGCCCTCCCCACGCGGGGCCGCTGATTGGCTGAAGGTTGCGCTGGCACGCGCAACTTCCGGGACAGAGGCTGTGGCTGGAAGGAGCTGGGCATCCGGCCTGAGGCGCAGCGGTCGCGTTAGTTCGGCCCAATGGCGGCACCGCTGCTTCACACGCGTTTGCCGGGAGATGCGGCCGCTTCGTCCTCTGCAGTTAAGAAGCTGGGCGCGTCGAGGACTGGGTAAGATTCAGGCCGCTTCCTTCTGCGTATCTGGGACGAAAGCTCAGGACGGCGCTTAGAGGAGCGGATTGAAAGGATGTGGGACAAAGCTCATGGCGTGTGATAGGAGCACGGGGTGGAGGGTCATCTCACGTTCACAGAAATGAGCTCATTCCTCCTAACTGGGTAATAGACATGGGTGGGGCCTGGAAAAGTGACTATGTTCTCTGTTCTGGAGGCCCCCTTTCCCGACTGTGTCTCTTCGTGATTTCCCAGGCCTGGGTACTGCCTTCTGCGCCTTGACCCCTCTTCCTTCCCTCTTCTTCGTCCAAATTTGGAAGGGATTTCCCTGGGCTATGTGGGTTATCAGCCGAACGTCGTCACTCATGGCAAATTGAATATTACATCTTTTTTGTTTGGAATTTGTTTCGACACACGTATTTGTTTCGCAGTCTTTATTTTGCTCCACTTTTAAAATCCCTAACCCCCGTAGCACTCTTGGCGTTTAACTTTCAGAGTCATTAGGATGCTATGTTTTTTCATTAATTTACTACGTGTAAGTGAAGCAAACCTTGTAAAACAATTAGCGTAATATGATTCATAATAATTATCGAGCTCCTGCTTACTGTGTTAAACACTGGGGACAGTGGTTTATCCAAAGACACTAATGTCCCTGCTTTCTACAGAGCTTACAGCATAGGGGGGAAAGGCAGTACATAGGCCAATAAATAAACGAACACGATGATTTCAGTTATACAACAAGGTAATGGGGGAGGGAGAAGGGAGAGAAGGAGCTTTTGAGATTTCTCATTGGGAAGACATCTGTCATTTGAGCTTCCACTTGAATGAAGACAAAAATCTAGGCCGGGCGCGGTTGCTCACGCCTGTAATCCCAGCACTTTGGGAGGCCGAGGCGGGCGGATCATCTGAAGTCAGGAGTTGGAGACCAGCCTGGCCAACGTGCGAAACCTCGTCTCTACTGAAAATACAAAAATCAGCCGGGCATGGTGGCAGGTGCCTGTAATCCCAGCTACTCAGGAGGCTGAGGCAGGATAATTGCTTGAACCCGGGAGATGGAGGTTGCAGTTAAGCCAAGATCACACCACTGCACTCCAGCCTGGGCAGCAGAGCAAGACTCCATCTCAAAAAAAAAAATCCAGCCACGTAGAGATTTGGGAAAAGAGTATTTCCAATAGAGTGAACAGTAAGTGAAATGAAAAACAGCTTGGCTTGTTTGAAGAGCAGAAAAGACGTTATGGCTGTAGTAAAACAAGTTGTTGGAGATGAGGTGAGAGAGGTAGGCAGGGGCCAGATTAATGTAGGATCTTAAAGACCACACTGAGAGATTTGGATTTTTACTGTAAGTGCAGTGGGAAGACAGTTATTGGTTGCTGAGCAAAGGAAGGATTGTTGGTTAAGAGTGGAAGCAGGGAGACCAGTAAAGAGGCCTTAACAATAGTTCCACTGAATTATGTTGGTTCAATAAATGTTGGCTATTATAATTTTTATTATTTTCATGAACTTAATAGCTTGTTAATCTTGGTTCCACAGGATTTCAAATATGCGTGCATTAGAGAATGACTTTTTCAATTCTCCCCCAAGAAAAACTGTTCGGTTTGGTGGAACTGTGACAGAAGTCTTGCTGAAGTACAAAAAGGTAAGGGGAGATAATGTGTGAGGTTTGCTTTTGGTTAGGTCAGAATACAACTATTGCTGTTATACTAAAGACCAATAGAAATAGCAAGATTAATTAAGATACCAGTTGAAATCAAATATTTAATAATAGCATGATGCCGTCAGTGCAAAATTAGAGTAATAGTGTCCTTTTTTTCCCCCACCTTGGCCCATTTCACAGGTAATAATGAGAGAGTAATAATGTCTTTACTGAGGTTTCACCTCTTCAAATGCTTTATTTACGAAGCATCTTTTAACTTTAGCAAGTGCCAGAATTAAAAACAATTACACCATTTTATTTATTTATTTATTTGTGCTGGAGTCTTCCTCTGTCACCCAGGCTGGAGTGCAGTGGCGTGACCTCGGCTCACTGCATCCTCCACCTCCCAGGTTCAAGCAATTCTCCTGCCTCAGTCTTCCGAATAGGTGGGGTTACAGGCACACACCACCACACCTGGCTAATTTTTTTATTTTTTTAGTAGAGGCAGGGTTTCACCATGTTGGCCAGGCTGGTCTCGAACTCCTGACCTTGTGATCCACCCGCCTTGGCCTCCCAAAGTGCTGGGATTACAGACGTGAGCCACCATGCCTGGCCTACAGCATTTTATTTTTTGAGGAACTTACCTAAGCATTACTTTGGGACAGTAAACCAGTTCTCTGAGTAGGGATTTTTGTTTTTGTGGTAGTTTAGAAGCATTTCTACTGTATCTCAGCAGTAGAGGGAAAATGTTAAGTAACCATATGTTTATATGTAATATCCATTTGTATCCATATTTGAGTGAATACTTTTTTAGATCCTCCTGAATTAGATCATTATAGCTGGCTGTTTTTTTCCCTCATGCTTTTTGAGAATTCGCAGGAGTATCAACTATTATATTCAAATGTCAATACAGAAGTATAGCTAAATGTAGTTTATCATTTTCCTTTTTCCAAGCCCTCTGGCTGCACTAACATGAGTGTTTAAATTTTTGTAGTCATGATTTTATAATCCGCAATTGACATGTGAAAGTTAGTGTTCCTTTTATAATTTCATCTGATGTTAAAGTACGGTTAAAAGTCTTGCTGTTGATACTAAACAGGAAACAAAAGCATAACTTAATTCTTTCCCCTTCTTGTTAAGGGTGAAACAAATGACTTTGAGTTGTTGAAGAACCAGCTGTTAGATCCAGACATAAAGGTAATTAATTTTGTGTTTGATCATTAGCAAAATTATTGCCACTGTATACAGACATAGTTTGCTCTTTGGGTCCCATTCTGTCCTCCAGAACTTGCTCTCTCCATGGTCCTCCCTTATTTTAATCTGGTGGTTCTCAACCAGGGACAGTTTTACCCCCTAGAAGACATTTGGTGATGGCTGCAGATATTTTTGTCACAACTGGGAGGAAAGGGTGCTACTGGCATCTAGTGGGTGAATGACAGAGATGCTGCTAAACATCTCACAGTGCACAGGACAGCCTCCCAGAACCAAGAGTGATCCAGCCCCAAATGACAACAGTGTTGAGGCTGGGAAACCCTGCTCTAATGCTTCCTTTCTATTAGATTACTACCTCTTTCCTCCATGCTGCATGCAACTCTCTTGTCTCTTTAAAGCTAAAACAAAGCAAAAAAAAAAAAAAAACAAACCACTGATTCAGCATTTCCAGGTTCGAGATACACCTATCATGTAGTAAAAGCTGAATGCATTTTGTTTCACCATTCTTCCTTTACTGCCCAGTTTTGAAGAGAATGGTTTATTACTATGGCAGTGGTAGTTAGATTGCCTGGAATGAAATTCCAATTTTATTATCCAGTGTGTGATCTTGAGCAAATTGTTTTAACCTCTCTGCCTCTATTTTCCACTGTGTGAAACCAAGAAAACAATAGAGATTTAAAAAATATGGAGTGTTTTGTTTTTAAGAGATGTGGTCTTGCTGTGTTGCTCTGGCTATTCACAGGTGTGATCATAGTGCACTACAGCCTTGAACTCCTGGCCTCAAATGATCCTTTCTCTTCAGCCTTCTAAAAAGCTGGGACTATAGGTGCATGCCATGTTTAAAGTGCCTGGCTTTAAACATGGAAATACTTAACAAGGATTCAATGAGCTAATATGCAAGAAGCACTTAGAACAGTCTCTGACTCAAAGTAAGGGCAATAATTGTCATCTGTTGTTTTTGTTCCAGCTGACTGCGCTGTATCATTTCTCACTCACATTTAAGTCCACTGTTCTTATCACTGTAGTAATTACCCTGACAGGTTACCCATGTTTTTTTTTTACATGCTGATTTCAGTGGACTTTTTTTTTAAGACAAAGTCTCCTTCTTACCACGCAGGCTGGAGTGCAGTGGTGTGATCTGGGCTCACTGCAACCTTTGCCTCCTGGGTTCAAGCAATTCTCCTGCCTCAGCCTCCCAAATAGCTGAGATTACAGGCACCCGCCACCATGCCTGGTTAATTTTTTTTATTTTTAGTAGAAACGGGGTTTCACCATGTTGGCCAGGCTGGTCTTGAACTCCTGACCTCAGGTGACCTGCCCGCCTTGGCCTCCCAAAGTGCTGGGATTACAAGTGTGAGCCACTGAGCCCAGCCTCAGTGGACTTACTTTTTTAAGCCTTGTATTCCTTGTATCAGCCGACACTGTTGGCCACCCACTTCTTAAAACTTCAGCGTTTCTGATCCTCCTGTCTCCTGATCCTTTAATCTGTTTTTTTTTTTTTTTTTTTTTTTTTGCTCTGTCGCCCAGGCTGGAGTGCAGTGGCGCAATCTTGGCTCACTGCAAGCTCCGCCTCCCGGGTTCAAGCGATTCTCCTGCCTCAGCCTCCCAAGTAGCTGAGACTACACTCGCCCGCCACCACCGCCAGCTAATTTTTTGTATTTTTAGTAGAGGTGGGGTTTCACCATGTTAGCCAGGATGGTCTCGATCTTCTGACCTCGTGATCCGCCCGCCTTGGCCTCCCAAAGTGCTGGGATTAGAGGCGTGAGTAACCACGCCCGGCCAGTGATCCTTTAATCGCTAGTATTTCTTGATAGTTTCTTGATCTTAAATTTGGTGTTGATTGGGCTTCAAAACTTGACTCTTTTCTCACTCTGTTGATTCTTCTGTGTGATCTCCTCATCTCCCTTCATGGCTTTGAAATCTACCTGTGTCCTAATATATTTGTGTCTGTAGCCAAGATTGCTCTTGTGGGCTCCAGACTTATTTCATTTTCGTTTTTGGGGACGGGCAGAACAGAGTCTTGCTCTGTCACCTAGGCTGTAGTGTAGTGGGATGATCTTGGCTCACTGCAACCTCTGCCTCCTGGGTTCAAGCCATCCTCCCACCTCAGCCTCCCGAGTAGCTGTGCCACCATGCCCAGCTAATTTTTTTGTATTTTCAGTAGATTTGGGGTTTCACCATGCTGGCCAGGCTGCTCTCGAACTCCTGACCTCAAGTGATCCACCCGCCTCAGCCTCCCAAAGTGCTGGGATTATAGACGTGAGCCACTCCACCCGGCCTAGACTTGTTTCTTAACTGTCTGTTAGATGCATTTACCCAGAATCATCATAGATGCTCCAAACTTAGCATGTCCACTCTTGGCTGGGCTCCATCTTTCATGGAGCTTTCCCTGGTTCTCTCTAAGCACATGGTTGTTCCTTCATTGAGTCCATTTCCCACACTTCCAGATCTCTCTAGTTACAGATCTGGTTTACAAGGCCCCCCATGGTCTATTTGGTGCTTCTTTGTTCCCCAGATTTATTATCTGTTGGCTTGGTCACTATACATGCCTGCCATACTGAACGTTTTTCAGTTTTCTGAAAACATACTTTTCCTTCTGTAAGAAGCAGAACTTCCAGAAAAGACTCAACTGTGTTACTGTTTAAAGACAGCTGAAGCATCACTTTCTCTTTAAAGCTTTTCCTGACCCCTGCCTTCTTTCCCAGATACAAAGGGACATTTTCTTTGTGTTCCACTGTATTTTGTATCAGCAGTTCTCATTCTTGGTATTTTGACATACCAAGAATTGCACTAGTTGTGTGGAGTGTTGCAAGTAGAACTTTTTTCCATCTTGAGACAGGGTCTTGCTCTGTCACCCGGGCTGGAGTGTAATGGGCCCGATCATGGCTCACTGCAGCCTCAACCTCCCAGGCTCAAGCAATCTTCCCACCTCAGGCTCCCGAGCATCTGGGACCACAAGCATGTGCTACCATGCCTGGCTAATTTTTCTGGAGATGAGGTCTCCCCATGTTGCCCAGGCTGGTCTCAAATTCCTGGGCTCAAGCAGTCTCCTCCTGCCTTGGCCTCCCAAAAGTGCTGGGATTACAGGCATGAGCCACTGTTCCTGCCTGCTAGTAGAAATAATAATAGTTCAGTACTAAAGCATCAAAGTCTGCAACTGATTTACTTTTTTTTTTTCTTTTTGAGACGGAGTTTTGCTCTTGTTGCCCAGGCTGGAGTGCAGTGGCATGATCTTGGCTCACTGCAACCTCTGCCTCCGAGTTTTTTAAGCAATTCTCCTGCCTCAGCCTCCCGAGTAGCTGGGATTACGGGCATGCACCACCACGCCCAGCTAATTTTGTATTTTTAGTAGAGACGGGGTTTCTCCATGTTGGTTAGGCTCATCTCGAACTCCCAACCTCAGGTGATCCACCCACCTCGGCCTCCCAAAGTGTTGGGATTACAGACATGAGCTACCACGCCCAGCCTGATTTACTTTTAAAAATGGTACAGTTTAAATGTTATCCTTATAGTTTTGTTGCAGTCTTTTTAGTGGAAAAGAGATAGGATAGTTTATTTTATTTGTACACTAACTTAGCTTGTTTTCTACATGCCTTTGGCCTTAGTGAGCTACCGTTAATGTTATCCTTAACAGTTGTGGACATATGAAATTACCATAGTACAAATGAGTTGTGGTTTTACTTTATTTTACTGCCAGGCTACTTGGGATTTCATCAGAAAATGGTTGATCTGTGGGAGTTTGACACATGGATATGGCATAGTAAGCACTCAGTAGCTGAATTAAGGTGGGGAAAAGGGGACAGCTTCTTCTCCGCATATAGGGAGGCGTGTGGGACGGTGGACAGAGGATAGCCTTGACCGAGACAGACGGGTTTGGACCTGCTTCTTTACTGGCCTCTTGGTTGGGCAGATTGCTTATTAATCGTTCTTAGCCTCAGCTTCCTGAACAGCAAAATGGGAATAACTAAACATCTTGCAGAGTTTTTAGGATTAGAAGAAGATATATATGTGGAGTGTCAGGCACCATGCCTGGCATATGGTGTATTCTCACTAAATGATAACTCCATATGAATATCCCTGTAGGTATGACCTTGTGTTGCTTTTATTTATATGTCTAAGCCTTCCACAAATTAGGGGCTTTTTCTTAATGGTTTTTTTCCTGTGCAGTATATATGCATGAATATAATTAATATAGTAATATTTTACATAATTGACACTGTATTTTATACATTGCGTTTCAAATTTAGCAGTTCTTCTCATGTCACTAACAATTACTATGAACAGTAATTTGATTGCCCGAAAAATATTTCATGGAGGAATGGGGCTATCATTTATACAGAACAATCACATCATAATATATTTAAACTCAGCCACAGGTTTGGTTTAGAAAAGTTATGTTTATTCATGACCCCAATTGATCAGCCTCGACTGAGTTTTATCAGCATGCTTCCTGGTCAGCTTGAATATAGAGGAAATAGAGGTAGCTATTGTTCCTTTGTGATCTTCTAATATTTCAGTCTGCTAGAATGCTGCAGTTTTTAAAAGTCCCAGGTGTCAACATTTGAGGTGATTTCGCTTTTTCAGGGCAAACAGAAGTGATCAGGCTGAAGTATTGCATTTAAGTCTTTCTCCTGTGTATTAGAGTTACTAGATTACTTTCTTAAAACAGTTAAGTAATTTATTGTGACATCTTTTTCTGTTTTAATACCCAGTTTTGAGTTCCTTCCAAGTTTGTGACCTTTTCCCCCCAACCTATTCTTGATAAATGATTGATATAAGATAGCTGTAAATTTCTGTTATGTTAGAGGATTTGTGATTTTGAAAGTACTCTTTGTTTAACTTAAGGATGACCAGATCATCAACTGGCTGCTAGAATTCCGTTCTTCTATCATGTACTTGACAAAAGACTTTGAGCAACTTATCAGTATTATATTAGTAAGTTCACCATTTATTTTACTGTAAAGTATGTAATTCAGAACTTTGGTAATAGTATATGTTATATTAATAACATGCTGCTTTTATCTTTCTTCCCCCACTCTAGAGATTGCCTTGGTTGAATAGAAGTCAAACAGTAGTGGAAGAGTATTTGGCTTTTCTTGGTAATCTTGTATCAGCACAGACTGTTTTCCTCAGACCGTGTCTCAGCATGATTGCTTCCCATTTTGTGCCTCGTAAGTCATTGCTTGGAATTTTATTTTCTTTTTAATACTTCTTTATTAAAATACTACCTTCCCCTTATATATGAGAGACTGCTACCATGGAAGATTCCAGATGCATATTGGCACCAGGTCTGGTAGACATATATTCCCCGTAATGACCCCTATGGAGGTGTCTAGATTCATTTGTTGCTGTGAGTTTTATGAATTTATTTGCTTTATTGAACTCCTGGTGAAATCTAGGAATTTTTAGCCGTTTAAAAACTATAAAGTTGCTTTACTTTTTTTCAGATTGTGCGTTTAATTAATCATTGGGCTAACTTTGGATTATGGAAAAATAACTTTTTTTATAGCTGTTCATTGTCTAGGTCAGTAACTTTTTTTGTATAGCCATTCATTGTCTAGATCAATGACAGAATAACATATTTTCTTTTTCCCTCAAAAGCCCGAGTGATCATTAAGGAAGGCGATGTAGATGTTTCAGATTCTGATGATGAAGATGATAGTAAGTATAAAAAGGTTTAAAGCCTGGGCACAGTAGCTTTCACCCATAATCCCAGCACTTTGGGAAGCCAAGACGGGAGGATCACTTGAGGCCAAGAGTTTGAGACCAGCCTGGGCAACATAGTGAGACCTTGTCTCTGCAAAAAAACATTTTTTTTCAAATATTTTCTTAAAAAAGGCTTAAAGTAGAACTAGGCAGGGTAGTGTGTGTCTTTAGTCACAGCTACCTGGGAGGCTTAAGTGGGTGGATTGCTTGAGCCCAGGAGTTCAAGCCCTGCTTGGTGGCAAGACACTGTCTTCTTTAAAAAAAAAAGTAAAGCACAGAATACCTGGCACCTATTCTAATAAGTAGACTGCAACAAATGACAACCTTTGATGTAATCTTTTTGTTATATTTACCATTGATATGCAGTCATTTGTCCTGAATGCATTATTTATATAATTAGTCCATTTAATTTTCGTTGATGCTGGTGGAGAAAAATCTTGAAATTATTATTTCTCTGATAAATTATTCCGTTTTGGTTAGCATGTGTTTTTAGCTTCAAGTATGTCACTTTTTGTTTGTTTGTTTTTTGAGACAGAGTCTCGCTCTGTTGCCCAGGCTGGAGTATAGTGGTGTGATCTCGGTTCGCTGCAGCCTTCACCTCCCAGGTTCAAGTGGTTCTCCTGCTTCAGCCTCCTGAGTAGATGGGACTACAGGCATTTGCCACCATGCCTGGCTAATTTTTGTATTTTTAGTAGAGATGGGGTTTCACCATATTGGTCAGGCTGGTCTCGAACTCCTGACCTCAGGTGATCCACCCACCTCGGCCTCCCAAAGTGCTGGGATTACAGGCGTGAGCCACTGTGCCCAGCCAGCATTTATTTTTAGCTTCAAGCGTGTCGCCCTTCAGTTTTGTTTTGATGCTCATACTCTGAACTTTTCTCCTTTCAGATCTTCCTGCAAATTTTGACACATGTCACAGAGCCTTGCAAATAATAGCAAGATATGTACCATCGTGAGTATACTTTTCCTTATTTTGAATGTTTAATTCTCAAGAAAATTGTAATCAATTAGTAAAAATTATAAAATGTTAATAGTATTAAAGCTTGAGTCTTACATTGCATGTTTTTTTTGTATCCACTTGAGGAAACATTACATTCTACAAAAAGTGGCATTTCCATTTTCTATTTATTCTCTTTAATTGTTTTTCAAAGTTTGTATGCAGATCCTCCCCCAATTTTGTATGGTGGTTGGAATTTTGCTTTTATCTTCAACAGATATGCTATCCAAAATTTTTCAGTGAGAAACCCCTGGGTGTGTTTGTGTCATGCCATATGAATAAAAATTGCACTTCTAAGAAAAGCTTTTCAGGTTTGTGGGTTTCTTTTGGAGGGGTGGACCTCTAGTTCCCTCTGTCCGTTGATTATTTGTTAACTTAAAAAAAATCCAACTTGATGATTTTTTCTTCTTTTAAAAATAATATACATGTGTAGTGGGAAATGTCAGCAAAAGTGCTGTTAT
The DNA here is from genome assembly GCF_000001405.40 of Homo sapiens. Classification (NCBI taxonomy): domain Eukaryota; kingdom Metazoa; phylum Chordata; class Mammalia; order Primates; family Hominidae; genus Homo; species Homo sapiens. Next base: position 15,084,135 of record NC_000016.10, on the reverse strand, counting down.
GTTTCTGTGGGAGAGAAGCTCCCTCTTTGATTTGCTGTTGATATCAGAGTTAACAGAACCTTATTTTCTCTAAGTCGTTATAGATTTTCTCAGAAGCTATACATTGTAAGTTCCAGTTCTGGCCGGGCGCGGTGGCTCACGCCTGTAATCCCAGCACTTTGGGAGGCCGAGGCGGGCGGATCACCTGAGGTCGGGAGTTCGAGACCAGCCTGACCAACATGGAGAAACCCCGTCTCTACTAAAAATACAAAATTAGCTGGGCATGGTGGCGCATGCCTGTAATCCCAGCTGTTTGGGAGGTTGAGGCAGGAGAATCGCTTGAACCTGGGAGGCGGAGGTTGCAGTGAGCTGAGATTGCGCCACTGCACTCCAGCCTGGGCAACAAGAGCGAAACTCCGTCTCAAAAAACAAAAAAAGTTCCAGTTCTTTGAGGTAGGGGTTCCTGTTTGCCTCCTATGTCTATCAATATTTGCTTTTAGAATGGTAGTTTTCCTTTTTATTCCTTTTCTAGAAAGTAAAGTTAACATGGATTGATTTAATTTTTTAAAAATAGGACACCGTGGTTTCTCATGCCAATACTGGTGGAAAAATTTCCATTTGTTCGAAAATCAGAGAGAACACTGGTAAGAAATCTTTTCATTGAGAACATCATGGAAAAGTTGTTTGTACGATTTCATTTTAGATGATATTAGGTCTTTTTCTTTCTTTTCCAGTCTTTCTTTTTCTTTTTCTTTTTTGAGACCGAGTCTCACTCTGTCGCCCAAGCTGGAGTGCAATGGCGTCATCTTGGCTCACTGCAACCTCTGCCTCTCGGGTTCAAGCGATTCTCCTGCCTCAGCCTCCCCATTAGCTGGGACTGCAGGCGCCTACCACCATGCCCAGCTAATTTTTGTATTTTTAGTAGAGACAAGGTTTCACCATATTGGCCACACTGGTATCGAACGCCTGACCTTGTGATCTGCCTGCCTCGGCCTCCCAAAGTGCTGGGATTAGTGAACCACTGTGCCCAGCTAATGTTAGGTCTTTTTCTTAAAGGTTACTTTGTCTTCTAGACTTTAAACTGACGTCTAAGAATTTGACTCAGATTCCTTTCTTATAAAGCGGCTATTGGGGATTCCCAGTGCCTTTTTCTGTTATTACTATGTGCAAGTCAAGGTCTGAGTTCATTTCAGGAATATCTGTAGTGGCTTTATGCTCATATGGACAAGAATTACTAGAAGATAATAGTTCATGTATTACTAATTGTGAACATGCCTTATTTTAACCTGAAGACAAAGCCTTCCATAGAAGAATTCTGCTTAAGTTTTTGTACAATGTTCAGATCATCTGTGCAGTTTTTAATAATTAATAGTGGTTGCCTTAGTAGAAAACCGAATCTAGTAGCATACAAAAAGAATTATGTACCATGACCAAGTGCGACTGATGTTAAGAATGCAAGATTGATTTTTTTTTTTTCAGGGGTGGGGGGACAGTCTCCGTCTGTCACCCAGGCTGGAGTGCAGTGGCACCATCTCAGCTCGCTGCAGCCTCTGCCTCCAGGGTTCAAGTGACTCTCCCACCTCAGCCTCCCGAGTAGGTGGGACTATAGACATGGGGCACCACACCCCGCTAATTTTTGTGTTTTTGGTAGAGATGGGATTTTGCCGCGTTGGCCAGACTGGTCTTGAACTCCTGACCTCAAGCGATCTACCCGTCTCCACCTCGCAAAGTGTTGGGATTAGAGGCGTGAACCACCGTGACCGGCCGAGATTGAGTTAGTACCTGAAAATGAATTAATAAAATATTTTGTAGCAATAGAACAAAGGACAAAAACCACATAATCATCTCAGTAGATGCAGAAGTGTGTGACAAACACCAATATCCTTTTACGAGAAAAACAGAAGGAAATTTTCTCAACCTGATAAAGGGCATCTGAAAAACCCACAGCTAACATCATATTCATTGGTGAAAGACCAAAAGTTTTTTCCTAAGACAAAGAACAAAACAAGGATGTCCGCTCTTGCTGCTTGTCTAGCCAAGGCAGTTAGGCAAGAAAAAGAATTAAAAGCATCCAGATGGAAAGGAAGGCGTAAACTCTCTTTTGCAAGGTGATTTTATATGTCATTCTAAGGAGTTTACACACACACAAGAAATTTTAGAGATAATAAATGAGTTCAGCATGGTTACGGGACAGAAGACTAACATACACTAACCAGTTGTTCAAGACAATTGAATAGGGGAGAATAGTCATTTCAACAAATGCTGCTGGCAGAAGTGGATATGAACATGCAAAAGAATGAAGCATATGGATATCCATATTTAAAAATGAACTCAATAAAAGCCCTACATGAAGAGTAAAAACTGTAAAACTCTGAGAAGAAAACGAGTACATTTTCATGATGTTGGTTTAGGCAGTAATTTCCAGATTTGATGCCTAAGCACAAGCAACCAAAGAAAAAAATGCATCAATTGTACTTCAAAATTAAACGTTGTTATGCTTCATAGGACATCTTCAAGAAGATGAAAAGGATCCCCAAATAATGGGAGGAAATATTTCTAAATTTTATGTCTGGTAATGGACTTGTATATGTAAAGAACTCTTATAATTGAATAATAAAAGGGCAAATAGCCCAACTGAAGTGGGCAAAGGATCTGAATAGGCATTTCTGCAAAAAAAGCACATGAAAAGAAGCTCAACATCATTAGCCATCAGGGAAATGATTTCACTTCATGCCCACAAGGATGGCTATAATCAGAACGAGAAGACAGTAACAAGTGTTCACAAGGATATGGAGAAATGGGAAGTTGGAACTGTCATATGTTGCTGTGAGAATGTAAAATGGTGCAGCCATTTTGGAAAATAGCCTGGCATTTCTTCAAGGTTAAATGTAGAATTAACACGTGACTCAGCAGTTCCATTTCTGGGTTTATACCCAAGAGAAATGAAAATATATGTCCACAGAAAAACTTGTACATGGATGGTCATAGCAGCATCATCCATAATAGCCTCAAGTAGAAGCAACTCAAATGTCTGTCAACTGATGAACAGACAAAACATGGTACAATGGAATATTACTCAGCAATGAAAAGGAATGCTTTATATGTTACAACATGATTGGACCCTAAAAACATGCCAAAAGACTGTGTATTATATGACTCCATTGATATGAAAGGAATGGTTTACATGTTACAACATGATTGAACCCTAAAAACATGCCACAAACTGTGTATGACTCCATTGATATGAGAGGAATGGTTTACATGTTACAACATGATTGAACCCTAAAAACATGTATTATATGACTCCATTTATATGAAATGTCAAAGAGGCAGATTCATAGAAAGACTAGTGGTTGCCAAGGTCTTCATTTTTTAGGGGTGCACTAATGGATGTAGGATTTCTTTTTAGCGTGATTAAAATGTTACAAAATTGCTGGCTGGGCGCAGTGGCTTATGCCCATAATCACAGCACTTCAGGAGGCTGAAGTGGGAAGATCCAGGAGTTGAAGACCAGCCTGGGCAACATAGTGAGAAAATGTCTCTCTAAAAGGAAAAATTAACCTCATGTGGTGGTGTGCACCTGTAGTTCTAGCTACTAGGGAGGCTGAGGAGGAAGGATTGCTTATCCTGGGAATTCAGGGTTGCAGTGAGCTATGATTGCACCACTGTACGCCATCCTGAGAGAGAGAGCAAGACCCTGTCTCTAAAAGAAAAATAAATGTTCTGAAATTGATTATGTTGATGGTCTCATAACTGAATATATTAAAAACTTAAATTGTATACTTTAAGTTGGTGATTGTATGATATATGAGTTTTATCAATACAGCTACTTAAAAACCTATAGTTATGCAAATTAAAAATTTCATTTACTGGGAATAATTGAAATGATTATACCGAACATAATACATGTAGAAACAGTATAGTTTTTGTATTGCTGGATAGTCTGTTTTTTTCTTTTTAAATATTTGAAACTAAAGGTCATGTAATTGATGTTTTGCTTACATAACTGTGAAACGTTTATTCTCTGTTGAAATGTTTTATCTTACATTTTCTCCTTTAGGAATGTTACGTTCATAACTTACTAAGGATTAGTGTATATTTTCCAACCTTGAGGCATGAAATTCTGGAGCTTATTATTGAAAAACTACTCAAGTTGGATGTAAGTATTGAGTAATCTATTTTTATTTTCATTTACTGACTTGAATTTGTTATAATCACAGTATGTGGAAACAATAGTCAGTGATAGAAAAGAATCCACTTGGCCAGGCGTGGTGACTCACGCCTGTATTCCCAGCACTTTGGGAGGCCGAGGCAGGCAGATCACCTGAGGTCAGGAGTTCGAGACCAGCCTGGCCAACATGGCGAAACCCCGTCTCTATAAAAATACAAATAAAAAATTAGCCAGGCATGATGGTGGGTGCCTGTAATCCCAGCTACTCAGGAGGCTGAGGTGGGAGAATTGCTTGAATCCGGGAGGCAGATCTTGCAGTGAGCTGAGATCGTGCCACTGCACTCCAGCCTGGGCGACAGAGCGAGACTCCATCTCAAAAAAAAAAAAAAGAAAAGAAACCACTAGCACCATTCTTTGCTTCCTTTCTTTGAATGTGTGCATGTGCTGGGAGTTGTAGACAGTTCCTTCTCATGATTGGAGAACAAGGCGTTAAATACATAGTTATCCAAATGTAAAAGTATGGTTGTGGAAAATGCTATGAATGAAACATACATTATGAGTTAGAGAACCTGATAGAATCACAGTGGGGTCAGGAAGGGATTCTTACGGAAGTGATTTTTCCTGTTTGGCCTTTCTTAAGGGCAGATTATAATTATAAACAGTTAAAACTTTGTTTAAGGAGGCCCGCACTAAGGTGCAGTGGGAATGAAAGGAAGTAGTAGATTCTAGTGACATTGTCAGGAAAGATGAACTGGTGCTTGAGACTGGTTTGGAGGAGGGGAGGCAGACAGTAAGGGAAAGGAATCCTTCAACTTTGCTCCCTGTGGAATTGAATCTTGGTGTTGCCATTAATGGTAGTTAGAAATATGAAGAGGAGGCCGGGCGTGGTGGCTCACGCATGTAATCCCAGCACTTTGGGAGGCCGAGGCGGGCGGATCACGAGGTCAGGAGATCGAGACCATCCTGGCTAACATGGTGAAACTCTGTCTCACTAAAAATACAAAAAATTGGCCGGGTATGGTGGTGGGCACCTATAGTCCCAGCTACTCGGGAGGCTGAGGCAGGAGAATGGTGTGAATCCGGGAGGTGGAGCTTGCAGTGAGCCGAGATTGCGCCACTCCGCTCCAGCCTGGGTGACAGAGCAAGACTCTGTCTCAAAAAAAAAAAAAAAAAGAAAAAAATACGAAGAGGAGGCAGTTGGAAGAGTAGTTCCATCTTGGCCAGGTTCAGTTGCTGGTGGGCAGCCTACCAGAGAATACTCACAGGCAGTCGTGGCTGCAGATGGGGACCTGAGCATAAACCTTTGGAAAGATGCAGTTTAGGACAGGGGAGGAGAAGGGTGATCAGAAGTATGGGGAAAACCAAGAGCCTGGATGCTCAGGAAGGATCCGCCGGAAGGAGGAGTTTGGTCAGCAGCATCAGATACTGCTGTCATTTTTTAGAAAGATGAAAAGAGCAACAGTCCTTGGATTTAGTGGTTAGAAGGTAGTCTTTGTTGCTTTCTGGAGGACCATGTCAGTGAAGACGCAGAAACTGCATTTCGGGAGAGGATGTGGATGGTGGGGAAGCAGAATTGGGGCTGTTAGAGACCTTGGTGCAGGGTTGTGGTGGAAGGAGGGGATGGAGCAGGGCTAAGAGGCGTGGTTTAGGAGTGGAGAGACGTGAGCAGGTTTGTGGACTGAGGGGAGAGGAGCTTTGGTGGAGGAAAACATTGATGCTATAGGAAAGCAGGAAGATGGAACAAGGTCTCAGAAGAGCTGGAGCTTGGGCTCACTGGTGCAGTGCTCACTTGGAGTTGCACCTCTCTGGCCAACTGTATATGTACTCTTTATAGTCTTTCTCTGGTATATACTTAAGGAACATTTTAGAATGTTTACAAAGAAGGTCAAGCATAGATAATAAAAAATGGCATGGTTTGAGTGGTATGTTAAGATATTTGAATGGTGATATACCAAAATAAATATTGCATCATGCACATTTGGCTGGCAGTTCATCATTTTTCTGCTCAGTTGATTGACGATATGTTTATTACACAATGTGTCTGTGAGTGTCTTGTGCATAGAGATTGTATTAGTCCATTTTCACACTGCTGATAAAGACATAGCTGAGCCTGGGAAGAAAAAGAGATGTTTTTGTTTGTTTGTTTGAGATGGTGTCTCGCTTCTTGCCCAGGCTGGAGTGCAGTGGTGCGATCTCGGCTCACTGCAACCTCCACCTCCGGGGTTCAAGCAGTTCTCCTGCCTCAGCCTCCTGATTAGCTGGGATTACAGGCACATGCCACCATGCCCGGCTAATTTTTTGTATTTTTAGTAGAGATGGGGTTTCACCGTGTTAGCCAGGATGGTCTCAATCTCCTGACCTCATGATCCGTCCACCTCGGCCTCCCAAAGAGCTCGGATTACAGGCGTGAGCCACTGCACCTGGCCAAAAAAGAGGTTTAATTGGACTTACAGTTCCACATGGCTGGGGAGGCCTCAGAATCATGGCGGGAGGTGAAAGGCACTTCTTACATGGTGGCGGCAAGAGAAAATGAGGAAGATGTAAAAGTGGAAACCCCTGATAAAACCATCAGATCTCTTGAGACTTATTCACTATCACGAGAACAGTATGGGGGAAACCTACCCTATGATTCAAATTATCTCCCACCAGTCCCCCCCCAGCAACATGTGTGACTTACAGGAGGAGTACGATTCAAGATGAGATTTGGGGCCAGGCGCGGTGGCTCATGCCTGTAATTCCAGCACTTTGGGAAGCTGAGGCCGGTGGATCACCTGAGGTCAGGAGTTCGAGACCAGCCTGACTAACATGGAGTAACCCCATCTCTACTAAAAATACAAAATTAGCTGGGCACAGTGGCACATGACTGTAATCCCAGCTACTCGGGAGGCTGAGGCAGGAGAATCTCTTGAACCTGGGGGGCGGAGTTTGCGGTGAGCCGAGATCTTGCCATTGTATTCCAGCCTGGGCAACAAGAGCAAAACTCTGCCTCAAAAAAAAAAAAAAAAGTGATTTGGGTGGGGACACAGAGCCAGACCATATCAGAGCTAGAATAAATGTTGAATTTGTTGAGGCTGCCTGGCATAGAGCATCATGTGATAGTTGTCGATTTTATATAAGTATGTAGTAAAAGGGGCTTGGTTTATTATATTTAAATTCCTTCATGACCTAGGTCAGTTTACAGGCTTGCACCATAATTGTGTATTGTGTTGGGGTGTGATATAAGGCACTAATCTGGACACCTTGAACATGCGTATATCAGATGAATTTCCATCCCAAAATAACATAGTTGTATTTTTTAAATCCTTTTATTCTTTTTTTTTCTCCCTTTGTTATAGGTGAATGCATCCCGGCAGGGTATTGAAGATGCTGAAGAAACAGCAACTCAAACTTGTGGTGGGACAGATTCCACGGAAGGATTGTTTAATATGGTTAGCAGTTTATTAATGAAAGTGGAGATGAAGTTTATCATAAAGGGTGGAAACAGCTAGTGCTGCTCATCTTTGTTAAGGCTTTAGATTGAAAGAATTAAAATAGTTCAGCAAACTTGAAAACGATTCCTTATATGAGTAATTTGCTGCCATGTCATTTAGCACTTAGCATAGTTGGTCTATTTCCAAGGCTTTGAATTTGGGTTTGGTGAAGTATGTTTCACTTTTGTTCTTGTAACTTTCAGTGTTTGTTTTTGTAAGCCAGATGCTGTCTGTGAGGGCGTGGTTAATAGAAAAGCATACCTGTTTAATTTCTGCATTTTACCACTTGTACACTTTATAGCATTACTTCTTTTGGGTGGTATCTGAAGTTGGGTTCAGTGGAAGGAGAGTCTGAGACAGGGATTCAGGTGCCCTTGGGACAGAGGGTGTCAGGGAGCAGAAGAGGGCAGGGGAGCTAAACGGGGGCCGGGTCTCACTTGGGAGGTCGCTACAGCCTGCTCCCACCAGGCATTCTGGGGCATGGATTGGTCTACAGAGTTTGTTCCCAGCTTGAGACCAAGGAGATGTCCTTTTCTGATGCCTTGTCAATCAGTCATTGGTTCTAAGGGGGAGGGGCTGGAAAGAGTGCAAGGGTGGTCCTGGCTCCTTTCTGCTCAGGGCAGCTCTGGAGAAAGTAGGCGGCTGTGAGCTATTGGCCGCCAGTACTCACAGCAGTGGGGAGGTGGATATCCCGACCTGCAAAAGGGGGCCCGGCACCAAAAGCACCCGCCATGGTGGGCACCAGGAGCAGAGGTAGGGGGCATCTGTGATTTTTGCATGGATAGGTCTCATTGGGTCTTCTCAATGAGAATCAGAAGCTGGTGCTGTGAGTCTTGGCTTTTATTTTAAATTTCACTGGTGGTTCTGATTCACATCCCTGAATGAGACCCCTGCCTGGAAAGGTGTCTGCATTTCTTTCTTTCTTTTCTTTCTTTTTTAATTTGAGACAGGGTCTCACTCTGTTGCCCAGGCTGGAGTGTGGCAGTGTGTGATCTTGGCCCACTCCAGCCTCGACCTCCTGGGCCCAAGTGATCTGCCCACCTCAGCCTCCCCGAGTAGCTGGGACTACAGTGTACCACCGCACCCAGCTACTTTTTTTCTATTTTTGTAGAGACAGGTCTCACTGTGTTGCCCAGGCTGGTCTCAAGTTCCTGAGCTCAAGTGATCCTCCTGCCTTGGCCTCCCAAAGTGTTGGTAATTATAGGCGTGAGCCACTGTGCGTGGTCCATTTCTTTGTTTTAGTTTAGTTTTTTTTTTTTTTTTTTGGTGGGGCACAGAGTCTTCCTCTGTTGCCCAGGCTGGAGCACACGAACTCGGCTCACTGTAGCCTCCTCCACCTCCCAGTTCAAGCTATTTTCCTGCCTCTGCCTCCTGAGTAACTGGAATTACAGGCGTGCACCACCATACCTGGCTAATTCTTGTATTTTTAGTAGAGACAGAGTTTTACCATGTTGGCCAGGCTGGTCTCAAACTCCTGACCTCAAGTGATCCCCCCACCTCTGCTTCCCAAAGTGCTGGGCTTATAGATGTGAGCCGCTTTCCCCAGCCTCTTTGTTTTATCTTTTAAGGGAAATAATCACTTATGACAGTTTTCCTACTAAACCACTTTGACATTGAATTTTTTAATGTTAGTATTTACTTTTTGTCTTCAAAGGATGAAGATGAAGAAACTGAACATGAAACAAAGGCTGGTCCTGAACGGCTCGACCAGATGGTGCATCCTGTAGCCGAGCGCCTGGACATCCTGATGTCTTTGGTTTTGTCCTACATGAAGGATGTCTGCTATGTAGATGGTAAATCACAGTAGCTACTGTTTATTGAACACCTGCAGTGTACCTGGCTTTGTGCTGGGCATTTTCCATCCATTATCTCTAGTAATACTAAAAATCCTGTAAAAATATCTATTGAGTATGAGTTTAAGATGATTTAAAGAGGTCAAGTTACTTGCCAGTCACATAGCTTGAAAATGGGACTGGGATTCTGGCTGAGTTATATTTGTCTTCTGTCTTTTCACTGATTGTTGTATTGAAAGATTATATATGGAGTTTGGCCAGTTTTAGATCAAATTACGCTCAAGTTGCTGAATGCACTGAAGAATGATGTAGGGTGCACTAATATATGGTGCTCCGTTATGTATTGAGTTTAGAGGGTCTTTGCCTGGCACCATTGTTGTGCCAGTGTTAGTACTATATGTGCTTCTTGACTTCATGGAACTTTAAAGGCTTTGCCAGGCGAAAACAGAATTTTTTTCCATTCACATTGCTAAGATTTAAGATGAGCTCAGTGAGTCAGAATAATAGAACTGGAATCTGAGTTGACTGCATTACTGTTTTAACGGTCTTGCTGTTATAAAAATAATACATGTTGATTAGAGAATTTGGAAACTACAGGAAAGGATAAAAACAATTTAAATGGCCACATTTCTACTCTTCAGAGAACCATTGTGAGCATTTTGAAGTTTGACTTTTTTCCCTTTTCTGTTAGCGTCTGTATATGTAGGAGAGTATTTTTTAGTGAATTTGGGTGTCACACTAAACACAAGTGTTTCATAATCTGCCCTTTACATGGATGCTGAAGATAAACATTTTCTCATATCATTGCCTGTTTTAAAATAATTGTTATTGAATCCCAGCACTTAGGCCAAGGTGGGAGGATCACTGAGGCCAGGAGTTCAAGACTAACTATCCTGGGCAACATAACAAGACCCCATCTCTAAAAAAAAAAGTCGTAATAATAAATGTTGTTGGTCACATGGGTTTAACTGTCTTTTACTGTTTTCACCATGATAAGTAACAGTTATAATGAACATACTTGTGCCTATATATTCAGCTGTTTACTAACAGTAAAATGATCGGATTAGAGGTCTTTTGCTACACGAATGATAGAATTGCTCTTCAGAAGGGTTTGCATTTCTGACCTTGCCACAGTGTGTGAGGTGAGGGCCTGCTTCCTTGCAGGTGTTAGATTATTATATTCAGAGGAAAATCTGTGTAAACTAAAAGTAGCATTTTGTTTTAATGGTATTTTAATGGATAATGTCTGTCTTTCTTTTTTTTTTAAATAGCCACGGTCTTACTCTAACCCAGGCTGGAATGCAGTCGCACAAACATGGCTTACTGCAGCCTTGACCTCCTGGGCTCAAGCGGTTCATCCGCCTCAGCCTCCCATGTAGCTGGGATCACAGGCGTGCCACCATGCCTGGCTAATTTTTTGATTTTTTGTAGAGACAGAGCTTCCCTGTGTTCCCCAGGCTGCCCTTGAACTCCCGGGCTCCCTCTCACTTTGGCCTCCCAAAGTGCTGGGATTGCAGGCAGGAGCCACTGTGCTTGGCTGGATAATGTTGTTTTTTAATGGTGTTGTGTTTATAAAAAATATGGCAGATGAAACTTGAAAATATGTCTTTATAAAAACTGAGATGCCAGATTTTCTCCATAGGTAAGGTTGATAACGGCAAAACAAAGGATCTATATCGCGACCTGATAAACATCTTTGACAAACTCCTGTTGCCCACCCATGCCTCCTGCCATGTACAGTTTTTCATGTTTTACCTCTGTAGTTTCAAATTGGTGAGTAAGAATGTGATTAACATTATCTTAGCTTACTTTGTTTTTGCCCAAAAATTTTCCCTAAAAACTGGGGTGGACGGAGACCATGAAGTAAATAATTCTTTTCTTTGAGCTTACTTGCTAGTCTGCTTAATAAAATCGCATTCTCCTTTCTTTTTTTGTTTTCTTTTCCTTTCTTTTTTGAGACACAGTCTCGCTCTGCTGCCCACTGCTGCAACCTCCACCTCTTGGGCTCAACGGACTCTCAGTCCTTACCCTCTCGATAGCTGGGACCACAGGTTACCATGCCTGGCTAATTTTTGTATTTTTAGAAGAGGTGGGGTTTCGCCACGTTGGCCATACTGGTCTTGAACTCCTGACCACAAGTGATCTGCCCGCCTCCTGCCCCGCAAAGCGTTGGGATTACAGGTGTGAACAACTGTGCCTGGCCCACGTTCCCTTCTCAGTACACTTGGAGAGAAAACAGATTGCTGCCTGCCAGCCCAGCTAGGTGCTCCGAAAATGTCATCCTGCCTTTTGGTCACTAGGTGGTGCTCTTCCCTTAAGCCTTTCTCTATTAAAATCTCATATGGGGTAATTAACTGTATTTCCTTTATTCTTTCCAAGGGTTGAGTTGTAACTAGCCCAAACCAACTTATTAATCTAGAATTTTAAAAACTTTAGGCTTTGTCTTTTCTTCTTCTTCTTCTTTTTTTTTTTTTTTTGGTGGGGGAAAGAATGTAGAAGGCTTTTCCTTCTCTGCAACGATTTTGTGGCTTCCTAGAGATCAGGAGAGTGTTGGTCATGGGAAAGAAGGTTGAATTCAGTCTGCCCACATGGGTGTGCCTAGCTTTAGAACAGCGCTATTTAGGAGAAGTTGGAAGTTACACCCTTTGGTGAGAAGCTGTGTCTGTTTTTTTCCATGATTGGCATAATTAACTCAAATACCAGCTGTGCGTTAGTCCGTATTTCTGTTCGTGGTTGAGTTCAGTGTGTCCAGAGACCGGAAGGTGCTTTGCACTCACAGGAGTGCCCATGTGGAGCTCCATGGGATGTGAATTATTGTTGGTCACCAGTTCTGGCTGACATTGGAATCACTTGAAGAGTTTTTGTAATATGTGGATTCCAAAGCCCTGTCACAAACCTATTGAATTTGTACCTCCCAGGTTGAATTTTTTGTTGTTTTTTGTTTGTTTGTTTTTTGAGATGGAGTCTCACTCTGTCACCCAGGCTGGAGTGTAGTGGCATGATCTCAGCTCACTGCAACCTCTGCCTCCTGGGTTCAAGCGATTCTCCTGCCTCAGCCTCCCAAGTAGCTGGGATTACAGGCACCTGCCACCATGCCTGGCTAATTTTTGTATTTTTAGTAGAGACAGGGTTTCTCCATGTTGGCCAGGCTGGTCTCGAGCTCCTGACCTTGGGTGATCCACCCGCCTCGGCCTCCCAAAGTGCTGGGATTACAGGCGTGAGCCACTGTGCCTGGCCCCGGGTTGATTGTGATGCTTAGCTAGGTTTGGGATCCACTGGATTATTTAACACCCGAGGTGCCTTTTGTTTTTAATGATATTCTCTCAATGTGTTTTAAAAATGAAGCCCATGAGATAGTTATGAGATAGTAGAACTTTTCCCTACATTGGTGAAGTAAAAATCTTGGGATTTTGATAGCCAGATTATCTTAGGCATTAAAAAAGATCACACCGACGCCCTCTCTTTTTATAGGGATTCGCAGAGGCATTTTTGGAACATCTCTGGAAAAAATTGCAGGACCCAAGTAATCCTGCCATCATCAGGCAGGCTGCTGGAAATTATATTGGAAGCTTTTTGGCAAGAGCTAAATTTATTCCTCTTATGTAAGTAGCCTAATTTTCCGAATACTTTTTAATATCATGCTTTAAAAAGAGTATAGCATTGTCTCAAGTCAGAAATATCTCCCATTTTTTTTGGCATGTTTTTAAAGTGAATAAAATCCCTACTCTGTGCAAGATGTTTATATTTCTAAGTGGTGATTTTAGAATAAAGTGTCTCCTTTTTTATATATAAAACCCTGTATGTAAGGCTTTTGTCATCTCTTTTGGTTGCACTTAAAGATCCATTTGTTTTGTGGATAGAGGACAGTGTTGTATACTGTTTTGATTCTTTTTGTAGGTTTGTCATTTTTTCATTTGCATTCCAAATCTATTGTATCTGTTAAAGCTGAAGAAAAACCCTTTTAAAGGTAATAGACCTATCTAGGAGGCCAGTTTCTTCCAGTGGCCCATAAAGATACCTTTGGACAAGGATGCTGTTGAAACCCTTCCCCAACCACAAAATTATTCACCATAGGACTTGACTAGGATGCATCAGGGAATACTGAAGTCCACCAGACTGTCTTTCTCTTGAGAGGTGTTGGTGAACGTGTCCTGTTTGGCCAATCACCTTAAGAGGGGTGCCTTTGAGATGGTTAGGAGAACCTGCTTTCCATCCCTTGGGACGTTCTTAGGGGCTCACCTGTTCCTAGAAGGTCAGAGCTACTCTGCCTTGTAATTGGAAGGTTGTCTTCCTACGCACCCATCCTTATCCTTCCTTTCTTTGCTTTTCCTCTGTACCCATGGGTATTATTTAAAGAAACCTATGAACTTACTTAGCATGGTTTGTAATGAAAGGCAGTTGTGTGTTTTTATGTTATTCTGGTTTTTTTATGATGTGTAAAGTTGACTTGAATTTTTCTTTTCTCTAGTACTGTAAAATCATGCCTAGATCTTTTGGTTAACTGGCTGCACATATACCTTAATAACCAGGATTCGGGAACAAAGGCATTCTGCGATGTTGCTCTCCATGGACCATTTTACTCAGCCTGCCAAGCTGTGTTCTACACCTTTGTTTTTAGACACAAGCAGCTTTTGAGCGGAAACCTGAAAGAAGGTCAGTGTTGTGGGAGTGCTGGACTGGATTTTCCTTGTGTTCTTGTCACCCTTCAGAATGGTGATTCATTACTTTTTTGAGATTTTTATAAAAACTGGATTCAGAAAACTGCATGTGCACTCAAACTTTTAATAATAATTTCAAGCAGCTCATAGGCCCCTACAAACCCCTTAAGATAGATTTGAGCTTGAGAACCCTACAAACCCCTTAAGATGGATTTGAGGTTAAGAAAGAGGTTTCTGCCTTTGAAAGTTTGAAATGTGAAGATGTCTCCAGAGGTGAGGCTGAGCCCTGGGCTGTGCCAGCGCCCTGTACAAAGCTTCAGTTGGATGCACCTTCTCTTTGTTGTCCTTGTAACAGCCCAGTAAATGGCAGGTATTCTCCCTTTACAGACAGCACTAAAGCACAGGAAAGTCATTTTCCCAAGATCACATGGTTAGTGGCAGGATTAGAAAACTGAAGCCAGGTTTGGCTGACCCTAAAGTTTGAGTTTATATAGATTAAACTCTGCCTGAAGCCTTGAGACTTAATTGACCAGTATTGTTTTGCTAATTTCTAAGAGTTACTTATAATTCAAATCTGTCAGTTGAAACTTATTAGATTAGTGTATTTTAGTTGAAGAGAGTCTCCAAGAACAGTGTTTATAAGTCATTGTAAATTGTTCTGTTTATGTTTATGAATAATTCTTATGGTTTTGTGGGTCACTTCCTCTAAACCGGGGTCTCTGAACCCTGCACGATTGCCATTTGGGCTGCATCATCCTTCATCGTCGGGGGCTGTCCTCTGCACTGTAGGATGTTTAACAGCCTCCACCTACTAGCTGCCAACAGCAGTCCCCGACCACCCCCAGCTGTGACAACTAAAAGTGTCTCCAGATACTGCCAGGTGTCCTCTGCGGGGGTCGCAGTCTCCTTGGGTTAACAGCCACAGCTCTAAACTGAAAGTTGTATGTGTTGCATTATATATGTTTACCTACATCCTACATGCTTCTAAAAGATGTTGTATGAACTAGTAGGATGAGGTTTTATCACAAGGTAAGTAAATACAAGCTCTGCTTTTCTTTGTATAAATTAATGCCAGGAATCTGGATTAAATATCTTGTTTTTGTAAGCTGTGACATCCCATTTAGGTAATTTTTATTGAAATACGTATCAAAGAAACTCCTAAGAAAATATACTTAAGTACAAGTTGGTCAGCTTGCCTCTTAAAATAAATGTGATGTCTTTATTTTACTCATGTAGAAAAGAATTATATTCATTAAGTCTAAGAAAGTGGTTTCTGTCTAAATTTGCCGTCCGTTGAGGTAGAAGGCAAATTTGGAGTTTTCTTGTTTAGAAAAAAAACTACAGATGACTACTGTGCACCTGAAAACAGCACTCAGCTTCACTAACAAGACATGCAAGCTAGAATCAAATTGCTGTTTTGTTTTGTTGCCTGTCATGATTGTTAGCTGAAACCAAATCACAAGGTCTTTTCTCCCTCTGTATTATCTCAGCATACACTGAGCTTGCAAACATATGAATTTCACATTGTCGTGGAATCTTACAGCCTGCTACTTCCTAAGTTTTCTTTAGAGAAGCTGCCTTGGTGACCAATGAATGTGGTTAGCCTAGTGATACTCTTCTGGGCCATATACTGTGTGACTATCTGCATGGACCTTTATTTAAAGCATTTCTGCAAATAATTTTTTAAAGTTTTTTTTAAATGTGTGATAATTTGTGCTTTTAAAAGTATCTTACACTTTTCACTTATTTGTACCTTTAAAAAAATCTTTTTTTTTTTTAAACCAAAGGTTTGCAGTATCTTCAGAGTCTGAATTTTGAGCGGATAGTGATGAGCCAGCTAAATCCCCTGAAGATTTGCCTGCCCTCAGTGGTTAACTTTTTTGCTGCAATCACAAAGTAAGTTATTTACGCTTTCTTGATGGGAGTTATTTAAAATATTTTTATTTATGTTTATCTAGTATTGTAAGAGTGTTAAATTTCTATGAAATTAGTAACATTATAAAAGGCCAGGCGTGGTGGCTGACACCTGTAATCTCAACATTTTGGGAGGCTGAGGTGGGAGGATTGCTTGAGGCCAGGAGTTAAAAGACCAGCCTGAGCAACATAGTGAGACCCTATCTCTACAAAAAAATTTTAAAAATTAGCTGGGTGTGGTTGCCTGTGCCTGTAGTCCCAACTACTCAGGAGGCTGAGGTAGGAGGATCACTTGAGCCCAGGAAGTCAAGGATGCAGTGAGCCCTGATTGTACCACTGCACTCCAGTCTGGGCTCCAGAATGAGACCCTGTCTCTTAAACAAACAAAAACAACCCAGTCCTTGCAGGAAATACTGTGATACAGCTATTGTTTTTATACTTTGATGGCGTTGGAAATTACTACTACTTCTTATCCAAAGGGCAGCACTTTGAAATAAGTATGGCAACCAGTAAGCTGAGAGGGGCAAAGCCATAGATGCTTATTAGAGTGACTCCTGTAATAGTAATAGAAATAAACTGGACATGAGGCAAATGTTGACCTGTAAGAGATTGGTTTAGAGAGTTCTGTTCTCTCAGGTCTGGTAGCTATGGCTAATCCATAGCCTTTCCTCTGTGCCAGGCAGTTCTAAGCACTTTACATAGAACTCATTTGATCCTCTAGGATGAAACCCTGTTTATCAACAGGGAGGTGGAGGTACAGAGAGGTGAAATCACTTGCCTAAAGTCATAGAGCTAGACTGGCAGCACAGATTTAAATGTAGTCTGGCTCCTTTGTAAGCTTTCACTAAGTTATTCTGCTTTATGGAGAAAGCGAATTGGAGAATTGAATATTCAATGAGGATATTTAGGCCGGATCATAGCTTAAAATCTTCAACAGATAAGAGCCAACAGCTTGCTGAGCTCCGTCAGCCTCTTTAGTTCTCCTTTGCTAGGCGTCTGGTTCAAGGTGTCCTCTCTTCTGAGTCTCAGTGATAGTAAAGGATTAGGAAAAGGCATAAAGAGACCAATAAGCAACGGCAGTGAGTGGGTGGAGGCTTCAGCACGTTGGTTAAGATGGTGAGCAGCTCAAAGAGTGAGGATGGATGAAGCAAAGCAGAGGCCGCTGCCCCTGGTATGTTCTCGGGGTGGGGACAGAGGACTGCATTTGTGAACCATCTGGTCCAGGGGCTCTCGATTTGGGGTTGGCATGCGCATTGGAGGCACAGAGTGTGATGCGATGTGAGGCTAAGAGCAGGGGATTGAAATAAAAGTCTCTGCCTAGGTACAGATATGGTAAATAAAGGCGTGTACCATTCTGTAGCTGTTGCTTTTGCCTGCTTGATGCTTTTGAGATTGAACCATATTGACACAAAGCTTTATTTTGATTTTAACTGCTGTGTTATGTTCTGGGAATCTTTTTTATTGAGTCTTTGTTGGGATTTCATCTGTTAGTTTTTGTCTTTTTTTTTTTTTTTATTTGAGACAAGGTCTTGCTCTGTCACCCAGGCTGGAGTACAGTGGCGTGATCTTAGCTCACTACAACCACCACCTCCGAGGCTCATGCAGTTCTCCTGCCTCAGCCTCCCGAATAGCTGGGACTACAGGCGCCTGCCACCACGCCCAGCTAATTTTTGTATTTTTAGTAGAGATGGGGTTTCATCATGTTGACCAGGCTGGTCTCAAACTCCTGAGCTCAAGTGAACCGCCTGCCTCAACCTCCCAAAGTGCTGGGATTACAGGTGTGAGCCACCGTGCCCAGCCGGCTGTGTTAGTGTTTTAGTGCTCAGGAACATTCTTGTGTGTGGGCACATGCTTCCTTGTCACACACCCGGAAGTGCGGTCAGCTGCGGGGTTGTAGGAGATGCAGATCTTCAACTTTACCTGATAGTGCAAACCACCCTCCAGTGTGGTTTTGCTGATGTGTCCTCCACCAGGAGGAGGGGTCAAGTGCTGTGAGCCTTGGCTAACAGGACAGAAATCAAAGTATGTGGCTTGAAGTTGCCATGGTGACCTGAGAACCTGAGATGGAGAGTGACAGAAGTGAGATCTGAGTCCTCATCTTGGAGAAGCTGTCCAATAGATAATTTTTCAAGTTGCTCAATCATTTAGAGACAACTACTGGAAAAATTAAAAACATAATTGTCTTTATTTTATGTTTTCTTCTATGCATTTAACTGTTCTCACTCGGCATGCCTAGTCCTTTCTGTGCCTGTTTTTGAGGTCATGACTTAGTCAACCCCGTGTCCCTCCTTCAGTAAAGGCTTATTTCTTTTTCAGTGCTTCTTCAGCAAGTCTCTTCACCAACCACTATTTCCTCCTGAGTAACTCCTGAATCCCTTTACCACCAACCTTCTAATTCTTTTGCAAACAGTAAAAATAAAGACACCTATAGTTACGTAATCTAAGAGTTTTGCCTTGCAAACATTTATTTTTAATGAATAGTATCTATTACTCATTAAAATATAATGAATAATATCTATTACTCATTAAAATATAAGCCCAGTTTCACATTCTGAGTGATAGCCACGTTTTCTTTCTCCTTAGCAAACTTGCAAATAGAAGACCCATAGAACGGTACCCTAAAAGTGTTACTTTCTGCTTTATATTGTTATTTTTACTAGCACTTGTTATATTCAGCAATTTCTCTGTGGTAGGTACAGTTGTCACACGCAGCTCACATCTGCACCGAGTCACTCCAGCATGTTAATGCCTCTGTCTGTGTTGTTTTTTTGTTCCACAGTAAGTACCAGCTCGTCTTCTGCTACACCATCATTGAGAGGAACAATCGCCAGATGCTGCCAGTCATTAGGAGTACCGCTGGAGGAGACTCAGTGCAGATCTGCACAAACCCGCTGGACACCTTCTTCCCCTTTGATCCCTGTGTGCTGAAGAGGTAGGTACTTTTAAACATTGACGCTGGAGGAGGTGGATTTTTTTTTTTTTTTTGAGACGGAGTCTCACTCTGTCGCCCAGGCTGGAGTGCGGTGGTGTGATCTCGGCTTACCGCAAGCTCCGCCTCCCGGGTTCACACCATTCTCCTGACTCAGCCTCCCGAGTAGCTGGGACTACAGGCACCCACTGCCACGCCTGGCTAATTTTTTGTATTTTTAGTAGAGACGGGGTTTGACTGTGTTAGCCGGGATGTTCTCGATCTCCTGACCTCGTGATCCGCCCGCCTCGGCCTCCCAAAGTGCTGGGATTACAGGCGTGAGCCACCGCGCCCGGCCAGGAGGTGGATTTAAACGTGATACATGTTTGCTTTTCCCAAAATTGGGATTTAGGGCTCTTCACCAGAAGTGGCCCTTCCTCGCTGTTGATGAGCATCTCGTGGTCTCCCTGCGTATATTTCACCAGATGCAAAGTAGAGGATGCCTAGCAGGACTTGCCGAGTGGCGCAGGCACCCCAGAGTGGGTAGATCTTTGCCTCACTAGGAGCCAGACTGACATCAAGGGTTTTTTGTTTTTTGTTTTTCTTTAAACTGTTATTTAAACATGTAAGGTTAATGGGGATAATGGTGCCAGGATAGGGGAGGGTGCTGTCTTTTCTTGCTTCATAATTTTCTGCCAAGTGTCTTGTTCCTTCCTCTAGAGACCACATACCATTCTGTTGCACAGGATAAACGAAAAACAAACGATTGGCTGGGCGTAATGGCTCATGCCTGTAATCCCAGCACTTTGGGAGGCTGAGGCGGGCGGATCACTTGAAGTCAGGAGTTCAAGACCAGCCTAGCCAAGATGGTGAAACGCTGTCTTTACTAAAAATACAAAAATTAGCTGGGTGTGGTGGTGGCGCCTGTAATTCCAGCTACTCGGGAGGCTGAGGCAGGAGAATCTCTTGAACCCGGGAGGTGGAGGTTGCAGTGAGCCGAGATTGCACCAATGCACTCCAGCCTGGGCGAGAGAGTGAGACTCTGTCTCAGAAAAACAAAACAAAAAAAAAACAAAAAGCGATTTATCTAGATGAGTTGTTCTAGAAAACCACTGGGCCAGCCTTAACTTGGCACTTGTATAAGGAAGCAGGATTTTTGCTTATTATGGTTTCTAAAATAACTAGCAGCATCATGACCATCTGGGATTGTCTGGTCCCTGAAGTCTTGGTTGACTGAAACCAGATTAGTTGTTTTTCCTAGACTTACTTTTCAGCAAATTACTACAGAAATATAAAAAAGAGAGTTCCAGAATATTACGGTTTCATTTCCATTTGGATATACTGTATCTAACTGACTTGTGAGTCTTTGTAAAGTTTAGAAACAATTTCACATGAAAATGGAAAGATGAAAAACGGTAGTTCAATACTCCATCGACATGAGTGAATGAACTCTTATACAGAAAGAGCCACATTAGTTACAGCATTTACATAGAGGGTTGTTTTTTTGTTTTGTTTTTTTCTTTTTTTTTTTTTTTTTTGAGACAGAGTCTTGCTCTGTCTCCCAGGCTGGAGTGCAGTGGCGCGATCTCGGCTCGCTGCAAGCTCCGTCTCCCAGGTTCAGGCCATTCTGCCTCAGCCTCCCGAGTAGCTGGGACTACAGGTGTCCGCCACCACACCCGGCTAATTTTTTGTATTTTTAGTAGAGATGGGGTTTCACCGTGTTAGCCAGGATGGTCTCGATCTCCTGACCTCATGATCTGCCCACCTCAGCCTCCCAAAGTGCTGGGATTACAGGCGTGAGCCACTGCACCCAGCCAGGTTTTTTTTAAATGTAATTATTTAAGCTGTAGTTTTCACTTCTTGGTTTTGGGTAATAGATCTTGTGAGAAAAGATCCAAACCAATTTTGACTTCTGCCGAAGTATTTAACTTGACTTTGAAATGTGATCTTTGTTGACAGGTCAAAGAAATTCATTGATCCTATTTATCAGGTGTGGGAAGACATGAGTGCTGAAGAGCTACAGGAGTTCAAGAAACCCATGAAAAAGGTCAGTTTGTGATTGATTGAGCACACTCTCGGAATCTCCTTTCTGGTTCCAGGTCACAGTGAGATAGTAAGTGGCAAGTCGTTCGTGCGTGTAATCCCCGCACTTTAGGGGGTCAAGGCCAGAGGATTGCTGGAGACCAGCCTGGGCAACACAGTGACACCCTGTTTCTACAAAAATTTTTTTAATTAGCTGGGCGTGGTGGTGCACACCTGTAATCCCAGCTCCTCTGGAAGCTGAGGTGGGAGGTCAAGGCTGCAGTGAGCTGTAAATGCAGCATGGCACTTCATCCTGGGCAACAGAGCAAGACCCTGTTTTCTTTAAAAAAGCACACCAAAACCGTGTCTTACTCATTCTGCCTTTATAAAATTCCAGGCCCAGGTTTTGTTGTTATTTAAAGAGTCTATGGCTTTTTTGGATAAATTGCTTAAACCAGACACTTCACATACTGACATGTGAGAAGCGAAGGTTAATTACAAATTAGCTGAATGAATTTAGATCTTTGCCACTTGCGCATTCTTACCAAGTAACAATCTCCAGTTGACTCATGTTGAAATTGCCCCAGCAGTTTACATTAGTTTTATAGATCTTCATGAATGGGTGGTGAAGACGCAGGTTGCAACATACCCTCCAGGTCACATGAGGTGGAGCTGAGACAGTTACAGTTAGAGAGGAAAGTTAGAATCCAGTAATAAAGAATTTCGCTGCTCTGTTGCTTGGGAGCACATTTGTTTTCTCATTAAAAGCAGCTTCAAGATGGCTTTTTTGTTGTTGTTTTTAATAAGTAATCATTGGAAAGCCCCTTTCATCTTTTTCTTTATGTTTCATTTGTTGAGGGGCGTGTAATTCATTCACATTGTGTTAGGTACAAGAGTTCCTAACACTGGGCAAGAATGACTCGTCATGTTTCCTGTCCCCATTGAGCTTCAAATCTGTTTGCAAGTCAGACTTGAAACAAATGATTACAATGTGTGATGAGCAGTTATGTGGGTATGTTGGTAAGAAGGAAGTGCTTATCAGAGGGAGCTTTTGTTCTGTTCTGTTTTTCTAGAGACATGGTCTCGCTATGTTGCCCAGGCTGGATTCGGAACTCTTGAGCTCAAGCAGTCCTCCCACCTCCACCTCCTGAGTAGCTGGGACTACAGGCGTGTGCCACTACACTGGCTTTCTTTTGAAATTAAGATATTTTCTTCACCATCTTTACAAACGTTAACACCTTCCTGAGGAAGGAATTGTTGAAAGCTTTTCAGTCAGCACTGGTGATGTTACTGATGATTTCTGATGTTTCTGCAGGACATAGTGGAAGATGAAGATGATGACTTTCTGAAAGGCGAAGTGCCCCAGAATGATACCGTGATTGGGATCACACCAAGCTCCTTTGACACGCATTTCCGAAGTCCTTCAAGTAGTGTGGGCTCCCCACCCGTGTTGTACATGCAACCCAGTCCCCTCTGACGGCAGAAATTTGTGACTGAGATGTGACATTTGGGATTCCCCATCACTTGTCATGCCCTCAGCACCCAGCTTGTGCCATTGGGCATTGATGGCATTGAACTAGAGCGAGTGCCTGCCTCGGCTGTGGCACTTCCAGGTTCGACTGAATCAAGCATCTGAAGACTGGGTTTTTTTGTTGTTGTTGTTCCCCTTACAGACAAAATGAAGACTATCATGTGCAATCTTTTACAGTGGGGTTGATGATACATTTGGAAGGATTTGCTTGTTTAATATGTACATTTTTTGTGTTAACAGCTTTTTGACACAATTACTGGGTAATTTCTAATATAGGCAGCAGACTGTTTTACGGGTTGCTGTTTTAACATGGGTTTTTGTCAGATCCATGGTCTTAGGACTTGACTGATGAGCTTTCAGTGAAGAATCCTCTAAGATAAAACTTCTATTTAAAGACTTTAACTAGAAAGTGTTTATTTTGGCTACATTGTTCACCTTCTGCTGTATTGGTATTTGTCTGTTGGGATTTCAAGGGAGTGTAGAGAAGACAGAAGGAAAGCTGAGAGCTGGCCCGACATGGTCTGGGACACAGAGTTGGAGCTGGCACTGAAGATCTCCAGGGACTTCAGAGACCAATAAAAGCCCATAGGGAAGAGAGAGAGGATATAGGGAAACAGAATCAGATGTGTAATATACTTGGCACAGCGAAAAAATGGATTTAAAAGACAAAAATGGAGGTCCAGGTAGATGTAATTCACACAGACTGAAAGTGAGTTCGGGCTTGTGTAAAACACATGAGATTGGATTTGACCCCTTGGCTCTCAAGTGTCCCCTTAGATCTAGAACTGCTCCTTGGTGGCCATTAGATCGAGTCAGTTTTGATCTGCATCACTTAGTTATTGGGAATTTCTTTGTTGGAAACAGGAAAATTTTTTTAGATTATTTGGTGTACGGTTTTGCTCACAACAATAGGTGGAAGTTGCTAGTGCAGTCTTGGTCTGATGGCTGTGTGCATCGCACATTCGGCTTGGTGAAATCCTTCTCTAAAGCCTCTTTTTGTATTTTTATAACTAAACAGAGGAAGTCTTCAGAAGACCTCGCTTTAAAACAAATTTGTGCAAACACTGCTAGAGTCATTTTGAAGCTCAAGCATTTTCACTTTGTTTCTTACATGTGTACTTTTTTGTTTACTTGTGAAAATGGCCATCTTTAAGCATATTTATTTTCTGCCACTTTATTTAAAGGCAAGCAATATTTTCTTGATCATAAATATTTTGTAATGAAATACTTCCTCTTTTCCAGGGCTTTGTATGCACTTGTATAATTACATTGATGGCAATGTAGAGTTTGAATTTCAGTCTGTAAATACTTTTTTGGAAAATAGAAATTTTTATTGCTTTAAAGTTTTGGATATGGGTGGTTTTCTTTTCCGGGTTTGGTGGAAAGTAATTTGAGAACTTTAAGGTTGTCTTTTTAACTGCTGGCAAAATGTTGATTTTTTAATATTAGATAAAACGAGTAAACGAAATTCCCCAGAAATTAGTAGTAAGTGGGGTCTTTGTGGGTTGGGAAGTAGTTTTAATGTAGAAAGACATTTACATATAAGTCTGTTTAATTTCAAAGGAGTTTGTGAAAAAAAATCCATGGTGAAAATGAAACAATGACATGGTTAATCTGGAACTTACGTTCTTATACCAATAAAAGGTACCTCAATACATGTTCTTTCAATTTCTGTTTTGTTTTTTTTTTTTTAATTTAATGTATTAAAGCATTTTGCAGTGGAAAACTCCTGAGGCATTGCTGTTGAAGAGGGAGAAATAGTGCTGGTGTGGCGGGGAGCTTGATGGAATTCATTGCATGCCGGGGTGAGGATGGTTTCCGTGTGCACTATATGAAGTATCCGCGACTCTCCTTAATCACACCCAGCAAAGAGTGATTGAGGCTTGAGCAGGTCCAAGGGAAGCAGACACTTCTTTCAAAAAGTTACATGCTTTGAAGGGACATCTATGGGGAAAAATACTGTGAAATCTCCTTATAAATTACATGCCAACAATGGGAATTTTTCCTTTCACTAAAAAGCTGTCAGTTGTAGGAGTCTCCAGGGTCTGTCCTTTTGTCTGTGTGCTCTGGTTTGGTCTTCCTTGATGAGAAGTGGCTGAATTTTTACAAGTCAACTTACCAAGTGCCATGGGCTTCCTTTCCTAGCTAGCTGTTTGACGTTGAGCAAGTTACCTAACCTCTCTGAGCGCTAATTAAACTGTAAAATGGGAATAAGATACTAGTGTAAGGCTTTAAGGATTCGATGCATGTACAAGTTAATGGCTGTTGTTTTCTTGCAAGAAAGGAAGCACTTCCATGGGAAGTTTTTTTTGGTTAAAGATAACTTCTATTTCTTCCATAATACCTACCTCCCTGGTACCAACTTAGATCTGAACTGGAGAGGAGGAACCAGCGTGTTTCCCTTGCCGGGCAGTGCTTACGATGGTGGTTCTTAACCCTGGCTGTGCCCTAGAATCAGTCCCTTGGAGTGCTGAGAAACTAAGGATGCCCAGGCTCACGTCACACACCAACTCAACCTTTGATTGAATCAGTCTCCAGAAGAGGGGTCTGGACATGGATGGTTTTTAAAGCCCCCTGGTGATTCGAAGGTGCAGGCTGCCTTGAGAACTGTTCATTGGTGTACAACTGCATACTTTTCTTGTTTCAACTAATTGAACATCCAAAGCTCCACCATGTTTTCTTCCATCAAATGCTTTTGTGTGTTTCAGTCTGACTCTGGATGGTTGAGTAGGATTTATAATGTATCTAATAATTTGGGGCCAGGTGTGGTAGCTCATGCCTGTAATCTGAGCACTTGGGGAGGCCAGCAAAAGGATCTCTTGAAGCCAGGAGTTTGAGATCAGCTGGGGCAACATAGTGAGACCCCCATCTCTACATTAAAAAATTTGAAACACAAATTGGGATCCTTTCACTAAATATTTACTAAGGTTCTGTATAATGTTCATCATTCTTTTTTTTGAGACAAGAGTCTCACTCTGTCACCCAGGCTGGAGTGCAGTGGTGCAATCACAGCTCAACAACTGCAACCTCCGCCTCCTGGGCTCAAGTGATCCGCCCACCTCAGTCTCCTGAGTAGCTGGGACTACAGGTACGCACCACCATGCCTGGCTAATTTTTGTATTTTTAGTAGAGATGGAGTTTCACTATGTTGGCCAGGCTGGTCTTGAACTCCTAACCTCAAGCAATCTGTCCGCCTCGGCCTCCCAAAGTGCTGGGATTACAGGCGTGAGCCACCATGTCTGGCCTCAAAAAAGTGTAATTTAAAAAATATTTCCCTGTATATATTCTTTGAACTTTGCCATCAGCCATCTTGTGAGGCAGGTTGGTTTCCTATCTTAAAGAAACAGGCTTTCCAACATTGTAATTAGTGCTTTCTTTTTCTTTTTCTTTTTTTTTTGAGACGGTCTTGCTGTAATCACCCAGGCAGGAGTGCAGTGGCACAGTCGTGCCTCATTGCAGCCTTGACCTCTAGGGCTTGATTGATCCTCCCGAGTAGCTGGGACTACAGGCCTGCCACCATGCCCAGCTAATTTTTGTATTTGTTGGAGAAGCAGGGATCCCTGTGTTGTCCAGGCTCGTCTCGAACTTCTGGGCTCAAGTGAGTCCTCCTTCGGCCTTTCAAAGTGCTGGGGTTACAGGCATGAGCCGCAGTGCTGGCCACACACCTGCTATTGCTTCCTCATTGCCTGTAGACCAAAATTTGTGGAGCTGGGTGGGAAGAGAGGTAGGGGAGTGGTTTCCTGCTTGTTATCTGGCTCATTTAGTCCTTTAACACAGTACTCAGCCTAGGAGATTGATAACCTGAGATTACTTGAAAAAAGATCACCCAAAAGTGAAAAACCAGTTAGGCAAACTGCACCAGCCCCAGGCAGAACCCACAGAACCTTGTTCTTCACCTTTGCACTTCCAAATGCCTCACTTTGATTGACTACTCTTTGCTCTGCAATTCCAATAATAGCTATCTTTAGTGTTTAGTATGTACCAGGTGAAACAAACATGCTATTCTACAAAACCAGTTCAGGGAAGTTAAGTAACTTGCTCCAGGCCAGCCTGCTGGTCATTGATCACCCTGGTTTCAAACCCTGTTTTTAGCTCCGAGCTTCCTAGTTGGGACTTACTTAATGTCACCTGCATTAGAATGAGTTGTTTACAGTACAGTCTAGGAGCATCTTATAGTGATGGAGAGCACTGCCTTTGGAATCATGCAAAGCTAGGTTCAGTCTTCGTTCTACTACTTATTTCTACCACTTTGAGCAAGTTACTGTATCTGTTATAACGGAGGTGTTGATAGTAGCTCCTACATTTGTGAGGACAAATGACAAATGAGGTGTTGATAGTAGCTCCTACATTTGTAAGGACAAATGAGAAATGTAGGTGTAATAATACAGAGAAATAATTTCCTGGTAGCTAGAAATAGAGTTATTTTGGGTGAGAAGTTGGGTAACCTGGCGATGGGAACACCATCTTCTACAGTCATTTCTTTAGTAAATTTCCTGGTATTTTTGTTGAACGGGGTGTGTAAGCTGAGGGGGAGATTTATGAAAGAAGACGATGAATACAGATGATAAAATTCTAATAAAGTTTCTGCTGTATCATGTGGCTCCTCTGTATCTTTTGTAAAATTACTTTTTGTTAATGTGCTGCAGAGTTGGATGAATTTGAGCAATATTTCCAAGTTTTAGAAGAGAGCTCCACGGTGAGACGCCTCTCACCTTGGGGACCTGTCCTCAGATTAGGGGCTCTGCAGTCAGTATCCGCAAATCCTTCCCCCACGGTTCCCAGCCCACCTGTGAGTGGCCTATTGCATTCCAATCACGACGTGTTAATCGATGATCTCTTTAGTACGTGGGGCTAGCACAGTTCAGGATCTATTTTCTCAGTTTAAGACCGTTTACATTTATTTTTATTATTTTCAGAAACAGAGTGTCCCTCTGCAGTGCCCAAACATAGCTCATTGCAGCCTCCCACTCCTGGGGTCAAGAGATCCTCCCGCCTCAGCCTACAGAGTGGCTGGGATCACAGGTGCATGCCACCGTGCCCAGTTAATTTTTAAATTTTTGGCAGAGACGAGGGTATGGGGGAGGGTGGGTCTCACTATGTTGCCCAGGCTGGTCTCGAACTCCTGGCCTCAAGCGATCCTCCTGCCTCGGCCCCCCAAAGTGCTGGGATTACAGGCGTGAGCCACCGTGCCCGCCTGATTAGGTTTATTATTACTCATTGAATGCAATCCTACGGAGCTGCACAGCAGGGTCCCAAACTCAAGCTTGTGGAAGGTCACACACCTGGGAAGCGTGGAGCAATGACCTAAAGCGCAGCAGTCGGAGCCAGAACCCGCCCCAGGAACTCGCCCGGAGGCTCTCTTGGCTGGTGCAGCTGCTCCCTGGCAGCTCTCCTTTCCCCGCTCCTTCACTCCCACGCTTTTGGGACTACACTTCCCAGCGCCCCTTGCGGAGGAGGCGGGCCGCGCGCTGCTTCCAGGGCCACTTCCTGGCTTTGGACTACATTTCCCGTGAGGCCTTGCGGCCATGTCCTGGATTTCTCCAGTCTCTTCGGCCGGCACCGCCTCCGCCTGGACTCCACTTCCCGGCAGCGCCCGCGGTGGGGCGGGGCAGGACGAGGCGGGACGCGCGGCCCGAGGGGCGGGGGCGGCGGGCGGCCCGGGGCTGCAAAGCGGGGGGCCGCCGCCTCCCTGGGCCTGCCTGGGCGGCCGCCTCCGCGATGCCGCTGCTCGTCGAGGGGCGGCGAGTGCGGCTGCCGCAGTCAGCCGGGGACCTCGTCCGAGCCCACCCGCCTTTGGAGGTGAGTGGGGCGCGGCGCGGGGCTTCGGGGCGGGCCCGAGGGGAAGCTGCAGGGCGGGCTAGCGCCCCCCTCACGCGACACAGACTTGAAACTTGGCGCTGTTGGCACATCCGGAGCCCCGGCCGTCGGCTCGCGTCTTCCCCTTGAGGGGTCGGGGAGTTTTTGCCTTCTTTAGACTTCAGCGGGCTGCCCCGGAGGCCACTCTCTGACAAGGGAGGGGACGGGGGCCCAGAGAGGTTAGGTGACTTGCCCAAGGTCGCACAGCACTGCGGCTCGGGGACACGCCGGGACCCCCATTCCCCGACGGGGCGGCTGCAGCCCCCATAGGGCTGGGTCCGTTTAGGCAAATCCGGCCGCCCGCCTTCGGGGACCCGCAGCCTGCG
This sequence comes from Homo sapiens, assembly GCF_000001405.40. NCBI lineage: Eukaryota > Metazoa > Chordata > Mammalia > Primates > Hominidae > Homo > Homo sapiens. Next base: position 15,055,507 of record NC_000016.10, on the reverse strand, counting down.
GTGAACGTTGCTTCGTCCTTGCGTCCCCGTGAAGCAGGAGGTTATTCCAGGGTGGGCTTCGGAGAGCGTTTGGCCTGGGGGATCTTGGCGGGGACCCCCAGTCCTTCCTCCTCTCTCTCCCCTACCCCCGGGGCGTAGGGCGCCGAGTTATTTTTAGCCGGGAGAGAGAGCCCTGCTTTCCGCAGCTGGGCCATAGGACCACGCCCTGATGCACGGGTTTTGTTTTTGTTTTTTCTGCTTTTGTGCTCAAATAGATCTCTGAACTCTTGTCCACGCTTATGCAGGGACTGTTGGCAAGGGGGTTCTCAGGTTTTAAAAAGAGCGGGGCGTGGCGGCGGGGGCAGACGTCCTATTTGCCATAGATCCTGTTAAAGGGGAATCAATCAGTTCCTTGATTTGAGAGTCAAATATCGAGCCCCTAATATCTGTTGGGCAACGTACTGATCACTGTCCCTGCCCTCGGAGTGTTTATAGTCTAGAAGGGAGAATGGTTTCTGATGAAGAAGGCTCAGATACTATAAACTGTTAAGTACCATAAAGAAAAAGCGTCCCCTTTCACTCTGAGATGGGAAGCACAGGAACCTGACCAAGTGTGTTGGGTTGGGGAAGGCATTTAGAGGTTTCATCTGTCACAGCTGTACAGTTTGTGATTATTTTGTTTGCTTGTTTGTTCTCTATTGGTCTGTCGCCAGAATGTAAGCCTCCTGAAGGCAGATAAGAGTAGTGTCCTCACTTTTGTATCCTCAGAGTGTAGGACGGTCCCTGGCATAGAATTGGCGCTCAGTAAAGATTTGCTGCATAAATGAGGTCACAAAATGACCCCTGAACGTGTTCTGAAGGGTGACAAGGACTTACTGACGGGGAGAAGGCAGACAGCTCTGTGTGATTCTCAGCTTGCATTTCAGGACCGACCATCGTCTGTTAGCCAACATGCACCGAGCTAGGCGTGGTGGCGTGTCACTTTATCCTTGCGTTGTGTTACTGTCCTGTTAGCTAGCGAAGTCAAGAGTAGGACTCACCAAGGAAAAATAATTTCAGCCGCCTGAAGAATTTAGGGGATGCTCTACTTTTATGTCTGTTTGAAAATGTCCGTGATAGAAAGTTAGATGGGTGTCCCGGGCTGCACACTTAAGTGTGGAGGGAGATTTGGTGACATACCGGGGCTGCTTCTCTCGAAGGAAGGTTTTGGCCTATTTAAGAAGACATGTCCTAGAAAGGCTGTGTACTGGGGACCAGTTTGTGTTACAGGAACTTTGGAAGGGGGCGATCACTTTGATTTGCGGCAGTGTAAGTGAAGAAGGATGCAGGCACGAGAGAGATTTGAAAAGGAGAAGAAGGGTGAGGGCATCGCAGCTGGGCAAGCCGCCTGGGGCGCGGCGGGCAGGAGGGGAAGGGCCCAGTGGGTGGGTGTCCTGGCCAGTTTCTCCGGAGCAGCCCGGGTGAGGAGGGGAAGCATGGAAAGTAACCTTACAGGGGTGGATTGTACCCAGATGACCAAATGACCAAGGGGCTTAGATGGACCTTTCACCTACTTAGCAACAGGGAGACATTAAAGGTTGGGTTTTTTGTTTGTTTGTTTGGTTGGTTGGTTTTTTTGAGACTTAGTTTTGTTCTGTGGCCCAGGCTGGATTGCTGTGGCACAATCTCGGCTCACTGCAACCTCTGTCTCCCAAGGTTCAAGCGATTCTCCTGCCTCAGCCTCCCAAGTAGCTGGGATTACAGGTGCATGCCACCACACCCAGCTAATTTTTTTATTTTTAGTAGAGACGGGTTTTCACCATGTTGGCCAGGCTGTTCTTGAACTCCTGACCTCAAGTGATCTGCCCGTCTCGGCCTCCCAAAGTGCTGGGATTACCGGTGTGAGCCACTCCACCTGGCCTGGATTATTTTTATATAATAAAACAGGGTGTCCTCTTTGTAGGAAAGCAAAATATAATAATACAGAAAAAAAAGTATGACTACAACCATTCTTTAGTTTGGTGAAAGTCCTAATGAAGGTTTTTCTTTGTATATAATTTACTTTTTTTAAAAAAATGATAGCTTACTATATGTTGTTTTATAATGTGTCTTTTTCATGTAACGATGTGTTCTGAGTATGGAGTACCAACAGTTAGAAGCCTGTGTGTAGCTATGACTAGCAAATAATAACAATAAGTCATACAGTGGAAGCTGCCAAGCACCACAGCAAGAGTTACTGCTATTCCCATTTTACAGATGAGGACTGTGGGGCACAGAGAGGCTGGGAAACTGGCCCCAGGCCCCACATCCTGGGAGTGGTGAAGCCAGGATTGGAACCCTGGCAGCCTGCCCTTGACTCTGGAGCTGCGCTATTCAGTACAGTAGCCACGAGCCATCTGGTTACTTAGGATTTAACTTAAAAATCAATTAAAATTAGATAAAATTGAAACTCAGTTCCTCAGTTGCAGTAGCCACATTTCAAGTGCCGAGCAGACAGCATGGCTACTAATGAGACAGTGTGAATATAGACGGTGGCCATCCCAGCATGAAGTTCCTTTGGCCAGAGCTGTTTAGAGCCCTCCCTTAGTCACTCTTAACCAGTCACTGGGTACTCGGTAACCAGTCCTGCAACATCTTGGGTAATACGGTTCCACAGAGTCTACAAGATGCTCGCAGCGTAGCTTAGTTCCTGCTTTTATTATTTATTTATTTATTTTTTTTTTGAGAGACAGAGCCTTGCTCTGTCACCCAGGCTGGAGTGCAATGGCACGATCTTGGCTCACTACAACCTCTGCCTCCCAGGTTCAAGTGATTCTCCTGCCACAGCCTCCTGAGTATCAGACATCTGCCACCATGCCCGGCTAATTTTTGTATTTTTAGTAGAGATGGGGCTTCAACATGTTGGCCAGGCTGGTCTGAAACTCCTGACCTCAAGCGATCATCTCGCCTCGGCCTCCAAAGTGCTGGGATTACAGGCGTGAGCCAGTGTGTTGGGCCTCATAATTTCTTATATAGCATTGTGCTTTACAGTTCACAGATCACCTTCATGCCCCTCTCCTGTTTATAAAGGAAGAATTGATAAACAGGACAGCAGGGGTGAGGGTCACATGATCATCCCCCAGGTCACAGCTAGGTGATTGGCTAAGACACAGGTCAACAAGCCACAGCTCATGGGCCGGACCCTGCTTATGTATAGCCTATAGGCCAAGAATGGTCTTTATATTTCTCAAAGGTTGAGAAAAATCAAAATAATATTTTGTAACATGGGAAATGGTATTGAAATTAAAACTTCGGTGTCACCTATAAATAAAGTTTTATTGGAACACAGCCACATCTGTATTGTCTATGGCTGCTTTCACTTCATAATAACAGCAGAGTTGAGCAATTGTGACAGAGACTGCGGCCTTGTAGAACCCCAAATATTTACTGTCTGGCCTTTTTCAGAAAATCTGCTGGTCACTGGGTTAAGAGAATACTGCCATTGAATAGGAACTGGGAAATAGGGATGAGGGACTGAGGGAAAAGCTTTTTTTTTTTTAAGCAAATATTAGTGTCTAGAGCATATTAGAGGTTAAGAAAACTGGGACTACTTGCATATGAATTTATAAAGTAGGACTGTGTGGTTTTCCAAAGAAGGGAAGTTTGGCTAAACTCTTTTTACTACTTAAAAGAGCAAAAATTAGCCAAGTGTGGTGGCGTGCGCCTGTGGTTCCAGCTACTGCAAAGGAGGCTGAGGTGGGAGGATTGCTTGAGCCCAGGAGTTTGAGGTTGCAGTGAGCTATGATCTGGCCACAGCACTTCAGCCTGGGCAACAGAGTGAGGCCTTGTCTCTAAAAAAAAAAAAAAAAAAATTAAAAATAAAGTAGAGGCTGGGCACAGTGGCTCATGCCTATAATCCTAGCACAAGTGTGGTGGCGTGCGCCTGTGGTTCCAGCTACTGCAAAGGAGGCTGAAGCAGGAGGATCACCTGAGGCCAGGAGTTCGAGACCAGCCTGGGCAACACAGGGAGACCCCATCTCTACAAACAGTACAAAAACTAGCCAGGTGTGTCGGCTCATGCCTGTAGTTCCCAGCTCCTTGGGAGGCTGAGGTGGGAGGATTGCTTGAGGCCAGAGGCTGCAGTGAGCCACGATCTCGCCGCTGCACTCCAGCCTGGGAGACAGTAAGACCCTGTTTAAAAAAAGAAATTAAAAAATAGAGCAAAGCAGTCTACTGTTTTAGTTTTCTGGCATTCTCTCTTCTGATAATTTTTGCTTTTATTTCTTTGGGAAATCGTAGGAGCTGTGTTGAAGAGAGACATGATTTTTGGTCTTTGTGAAAGCAGTAATTAATTTCTCACAAATAGCTTTGCTTTTGAGTGGTGACCCAATTGTGAACATGAGTGTTAAAAATTCGCCTTTGCGCCCTCCCTTCTCTTCCCTTCCCTCAAAGAACAAAGCAGAAGGTAAGTATCTCAGGAGTAATCAAGAGGGAATTCTGAATTCTCCCCTGTTATTCTGAACTAAGATGAGGCAAGAAGTGGAATGAGAAAATGAGAGGCTGTCACCTGTACAGGTGTTCTGAGTTTTAGAGCAGTCACACCTGTTTCTCACTGACTTCTGGAGCAAGCAAGGCTGTCTTGCCCATCTAATTTTACACTGCAGTTCATTTAATCTTTAGTTTGTTTCTTAAATTAAGGGGCTTGTCTCATTTTCATTGATACCTTGCTTCCAGTTAATGGAAGTTTATAAACAGAAGAAAACACCATGTAAGTAATCAAGCTGATCATTATGTTTATTACATCTCTTCTTTTAGTTTAATCTTAATTTTTTTTTTTTTGAGGCAGGGTCTTGGTCTGTCACCCAGGCTGGAGTGCAGTGGTGCAATCATGGCTCGCTGCAGCCTCCACCTCCTGGCTGCAAGTGATCCTCCTACCTGAGCCTCCAGAGTAGCTGGGACTACAGGCACATGCCACCACACCCAGCTAATTTTTGTAATTTTTGTAGAGACAGGATCTTCCTTGTTGCCCAGGCTGGTTTTGAACTCTTAGGCTCAAGCAGTCCTCCCTCCTCAGCCTCCCAAAGTGCTGGAATTACAGTTGGGAGCCATCACACCCAGCTGCTCTTATGTTTTATTAAGTGAGCGCTAACCTAAATTAGCACCAGTCATGCGAAATGGCAAGAAGCTGATAGAAGACTAAGACTGCAAAACTGTCTTCCTGTGTAGGCAATACATACATACGTTGTCTAGACATTTGAGGAAGATTTTGTTCATCCAGGAGTTTGTTGCAAGTAAGAAGGAAATTATGATACATTGTAGTGTTGTATCAATTTAATATTTTGAAAAAGTTTTTGTTAAATAACCACTGAATTTTTAACCACTGAATTTTTTTTACAAGCTTACTAAATAAGTGTGTACAAACACTCAGATTATTGACACTTAGTATTAACATACCTTTCGTAAATTTGCCTTATCCATTTTGTTTTTGTATTCTAACAATAACTATGTGATAGAACATTGAGAGAAGAGAGGACAACAGCAACAGGAAATCACTCATGTTTGCTTTTTTGGCACAGCCATGGTTGTACTGGTGAAATTTCCTTCCAGTATTTTTCTCTATGGGTATAAGCATTTAATCATTGTTGTATTATGGCACATTTATAGCTCTTTAAAACATTTTTTATACTTTTGTATCTTGCTTTTCAATTAGCATTTCAAAACTCTTTTTCCCATAGTTTTCATTTCTCATGACTGTGCAGTTAGTGGCTGTGACTTGGTTCTGTGCCCAATTTACTTACCTTTTCCATTGCTGCTCCCAGCTTTTTGCCATTACAAATTACACAGGGGGCTGGGCATGGTGGCTCATGCTATAATCCCAGCACCTTGGGAGGCCAAGGCAGGTGGATCACTTGAGGCCAGGAGTTTGATACCAGTGTGGCCAACATGGCGAAACCCAGTTTCTACTAAAAATACGAAAAGCTGGGCATGGTGGCGCACACCTGTAATCCCAGCTACTGGGGAGGCTGAGGCACGAGAATCGCTTGAACCTGGGAGGTGGAGATTGCAGTGAACTGAGATCACGCCACTGCACTCCAGCCTGGGCAACAGAGCGAGACTCTGTCTCAAAAAAAAAAAATAAGATAAAAGAAATAACACAGGGATGAACATATTTTGAGTTATTTCCTTAGGACAGATTTCCAGAAGTGAAATTACTAGGTTAGGGACTAAGGTAAAAAAGCGGAGGCCAGGTATGGTGGCTTATGCATGTAATCCCAGCACTGTAGGAGGCCAAGGTGGGTGGATCACTTGAGTCCAAGAGTTTGAGACCAGCCTGGGCAGCATAGGGAGGCCCCATCTCTACAAAAAGTATAAAAATCAGCCAGGTGTGGCGGTGTGTGCCTGTACTCCCAGCACTTTGGGAGGCCAGGGTGGGTGGATTGCTTGAGCCCAGGAGTTTGAGACCAGCCTGGGGAGCATAGGGAGACCCCGTCGCTACAAAAAGTATAAAACTCAGCCAGGTGTGGCGGTGTGTGCCTGTACTCCCAGCACTTTGGGAGGCCAGGGTGGGTGGATTGCTTGAGCCCAGGAGTTTGAGACCAGCCTGGGCAGCATAGGGAGGCCTCATCTCTACAAAAAGTATAAAAATCAGCCAGGTGTGGTGGTGTGTGCCTGTACTCCCAGCACTTTAGGAGGCCAGGGTGGGTGGATTGCTTGAGCCCAGGAGTTTGAGACCAGCCTGGGGAGCATAGGGAGACCCCGTCGCTACAAAAAGTATAAAACTCAGCCAGGTGTGGTGGTGCAAGCCTGTAGTCCCAGCTATTTGGGAGGCTAAGGTGGTAGGATCGCTTGAGCCTGGGAGGTGGAGGCTGCAGTGAGTTGAAATTGTACCACTATACTCCAGCTTGGGTGACAGAGTGAGAGACTGTCTCAAAAAATAAAAAAGAGGGGATGTGATTTCAGAGCCATCCATCCACTATTCCTGTGTAATCTGATTCTCTTTACAATGGTAAAATTGTTAAGAGTCTCACACTCTTTAGTAAAGAACTGTGATAGCTGGGTGTGGTGGGTCATGCCTGTAATCCCAGCACTTTGGGAGGCCAAGGCAGGAAGATTGCTTGAGCCCAGGAGTTCAAGACCAGCCTGGGCAACATAGTGAGGCCCTGTGTCTTTAAAAAACAAACAAACAAACAAAAAACTATAATAAAGGATTTTTGCATCTCATTTCATAGGTTACTATGACATCCGATTTCATAGGTTAAAAAAACCACCGCGCAGAACCGCATCGTTTTCTCTGCATTGTTCTGAATGACCGTGGCTGCTGCCTTTTTCTTTGAGCCTCTCTGTCCACTAACACACTCCCCACACACTAGCGTGCTGCCCACGCAGAGCCCACTTTGGCTCTCTCCACATCTTTAGTTTTTCCATCCTCACTAATTTACATCACTATTTTATTTTTTTTTTAATTAAACAGGAAAGAGCCAGACTTCTCAGAGGTCAGTCTGTTCAACAAGTGGGACCCCAGGGCCTTCTGTATGTTCAGCAAAGAGAGCTTGCAGTGACCTCCCCAAAGGATGGTAGGTTAGGAAGCAGTGAATTGGGCGTTATCCCAAAAGGCTATTGGATATTTTATTTTATTTCTTTTTTAAACAGGCTCCATCTCCATTCTGGGTTCTGATGATGCCACTACTTGTCACATTGTGGTCCTGAGGCACACAGGTATGATGAGAGAGGTGAAGGAAACCATTACTTAAACTGACCCAACCTTTGGGACCATTGAATTTCTCGTGTTGAGTTTCCTGGTGTCTTGTTGGAAGCGGACTCCGCTTACCTTTTTTCTGGTCTGCATGGTGTCTCCCTGGTGTCCTGGTCAGAATGGGTTGGCTGGGGAGCACAGACCTGTCCGTTTTTCCCCTACAGGATATTCAAAGATGAGGCGGTCCGGAGGGACAGGCGGAGTCTCGGCCTGCGCACTGCACTCGCATCAGGGAATAACTTGAGTCCTTTCACCCTTGTTCTTCAGGTAATGGGGCCACCTGCTTGACACATTGTGACGGAACCGACACCAAAGCTGAGGTCCCCTTGATCATGAACTCCATAAAATCCTTTTCTGACCACGCTCAATGTGGAAGGTGAGATCTACGCTGCTCTCATAGGTGAATTGAGATCTTGGAACCGTCGCATACAGGACGTGGCTGTGGAAGCTGTTAGGGGAACACAGGATGCCACCACTGCCGTGTCTGCCTCGTTCCCCTGGAACAGAACCTGGCACGACGTGGGCACTGCGTCAGCAGTGGTTGAGTGAATGAGTGGGTGCTGGGCACAGGCAAGGAGTCTGTGCTGGATTTGAGATGGAAGGCTTGACTTTGAACTTGATGTCGTCTCAGGAACGTCGAGGTTGCGATTTTCACATCGTTTTGCTCTCCCCCGGGTGTGGTAGCTCTCCATGCAGTCATTCCTCCCGCAGTTGCTTGTTAAATGCTTCCTCTCACCTACACCTTGTAGTTTCTAGGGACACAGCAGTGAAGAGTAGACAGAAAGCCCGGCCCAAGGTGTTTGTATTCCGAAGCCGAGAGACTGTACACAAGATGGGGTGTTGGGTGGTGAGGCGGGGCTGTGGAGAAAACGAGGCCAGGAAGATGTGGGGACCGCTAGGGGGCGAGGCATGTAGTTTTTTTTCTTGTTCTCTTTTTGTTGTTGAGATAGGGTCTTGCTGTGTCGCCCTGTCTGGAGCACAGTTGTGTGATCTCAGCTTACTGCAGCCTTGACTTTGTGGACTCAGGTGATTCTCCGACCTCAGCCTCCCAAGTAGCTGGGACCACAGGTGTACACCACCATACCCAGCTAGCTTTTTTTTTTTTTTTTTTTTTTTTTTTGGTAGAGACAGGGTTTTGCCAAGTTGCCCAGGCCGGTCTTAAACTCTTGGGCTCAAGTGATCCTCCCAGCTGAGGGGTATAGTTTTAAATTCCAGCAGATTGGTAGTTTCCCCAAGGATTGCTGGATAAGAAGCGGCCTCTAGCCTGGGTGCCCCCACAGCACCTCATCCTCTCTCACTGCAGTAAAGTAGCCGCTGCCTCCATTTGACAGAGACGGGCAACTGAGGCTCGATGTGCTGGAGCACACAGGAGCTAGGTGGAGGCCGACGACACAGGCCTGCTGTCAAGACCACTGTTCACACACCTGTCCCCTCTCCTTGCTCTTTGTGGAGACCTGGCAGGTGTTGCTCTCATTTTACTGGAAGTCTAAGGCAGCCATTGAGTGAACTACTCCCATCATATACGAAGGCTTAATCCTAGGAGTCTAAAAAGGAAAGAGAGAGTTCTCTGGGAGAGATTTGCTAGTCAATACTGGTCGATTCTAAATTCTCCCTCTGTGGTCTGTGCCAAGGCTGGGCTGGCTTCATGGACACGTGACCCATGCAGGCCCAAAATGGTATTTTCATTTTCCTATCATCTTGGCCCCCGCAGGGGGACGTAATCAATGCCATTATGTTGCCACACACTCTGCTCCGTGGTTCTCAGAACGTGCTTGTCAGCTCTTCCTGATCTGTTGTAGAACTGTGATCGCTCAGGGAGTCAGAGGCAAACCTGGTGGCCCAGTGGCAAAGCCATGGTGGTCGCAGCTCTCCTTACTGCTACTACTTGGAGTTTATTATGAGGCCCCTTGAGGCTGTGCCCTATGTTGGGTACATCCAAGCTTCTGGTTCATCCCTTAGGAAGATTTTGTGTCTGAGAAGGCAGCGTAAAGTCTGGCAACACTTTGCCGAGCGTGAATTCGCCCACTTGACGGGCTGTGGAAAAGGGGGTTAGTAGATGAGTGTGGGAAACACTGGGTTCAAGAAAGTTAGTTGGATTTTTCAGTCGCAGGACTTCTCAAGAGCTTCACTGTGCAATGCGCAGTGTGACTCCTAAGGAGGGCTTCCAGCAGGCAGTTGCCCAGTCTTTTTGTTTTGTTTTGTTTTTGTTTTAGAGCCGGGGTTTCACCCTGTCACCCAGGCTAGTCTCAAACTTCTGGGCTGAAGCATTCCTTCCACCTCTGCCTCCCGCGTAGCTGGGAATAGAGGTATATGCCAGCACACCTGGCCTCAAACCTTTTTTTTTTTTTTTTGAGACAGAGTCTGGCTCTGTCACCCAGGCTGGCATGCAGTGATGCAATCTTGGCTCACTGCAACCTCTGCCTCCTGGGTCCAAGTGATTCTCCTGCCTCAGCCTCCCGAGTAGCCGGGATTACAGACGCCCACCACCACGCCCAACTTACTTATTTATTTTTTCCCCCTGAGACGGAGTCTTGCTCGATTGCCCAGAGCTGGAGTGCAGTGGCGCGATCTCAGCTCACTGCAACCTCTGCCTCCCAGGTTCAAGCAATTCTCCTGCCTCAGCTTCCCGAGTAGCTGGGATTACAGGTGTGCCACCATGCCCGGCTAATTTCTTTTCTTTTTTTTTTTTTTTTTGAGATAGAGTCTTACTCTGTAGCCCAAGCTGGAGTGCAGTGGCACGATCTTGACTCACTGCAACCTCTGCCTCCCAGGGTCAAGCAGTTCTCCTGCCTTAGCCTCCCAAGTAGCTGGGACTACAGGCACATGCCATAATGTCCAGCTAATTTTTTTTTGTATTTTAGTAGAGATGGAGTTTTACCTTGTTGCCCAGGCTGGTTGCAAACTCCTGAGCTCAAGCAATCTGCCCGCCTCAGCCTCCCAAAGTGCTGGGATTACAGGCGTGAGCCACTGCGCCCGGCCTAATTTTTGTATTTTTAGTAGAGATGGGGTTTTACCATGTTGGCCAGGCTGGTCTCAAGACTCCTAACCTCAAGTGATCCGCCCACCTCAGCCTCCCAAAGTGCTAGGATTACAGATGTGAGCCACTGCACCTGTCCTGTGCCTGTGCTCTTCCAGAGCAAAGTTCCCCACTGGTGCATGGAGGCGGCATCACATTTGTGTTCAGATACGGATCCCCTCAGTCATCAGGGCCCCTGGGCAGGGTCCCCAGAAGCTCGCCACTGGCCTTGGCAGTGTGCTGCCGATACTTTCTTTTGCGGTGGCACGAAGATGACCTGCAGCTCTGCTGTAGAGCAAGTGTTCATGGAAACTGAGAATGAAAGTTCAAAGTGAGACCAGCGCACGCACCGGTGTCTTCTTCTGGCCTCTGACCCGTCTCATCTCTTTGCCAGGCTGGAAGTACACCTTGTTGGAGGCTTCAGTGACGACAGGCAGTTGTCACAAAAACTCACTCATCAACTTCTTAGTAAGTTCATTTTTTTTTTCTTTCCCCCAAATTGGACATAAATATGTACCCATATTTGCTTGGGTTAAAAATCCCAATTGGTACAAAACCCAAGAAGGGCACACCCACTTGGAGCAGCACAGAGAAACAGACTGCCCAGCTTGGAATTTCACAGAAAGACTGAATGCGTGGAGCTCATGTGTAGGGAGGGGTAGCAGGGCTGGGGACAAGATTTTCTACTAAAACAGCAGTGAACACATTCCAAAATAGTAAGTGCTCTGAATTGTGTGAAAGCAGAGCCACCCTCCCTCCTGGCAAAAATGTCCATTTTAATCTGCAGAAAATTAAAACACTGATGATACCATTTTTTCCCTATTAGCAAATTTTTTCTTTTTTTTTCTTTTTTTGAGATGTAGTCTTGCTCTGTTGCCCAAGTTGGAGTGCAGTAGCATGATCTCGGCTCACTGCAAGCTCTGCCTCCTGGGTTCAAGCAATTCTCTTGCCTCACCCTCCTGAGTAGCTGGGATCACAGGCGTGCGCCACCACACCCACCTAATTTTTGTATTTTTGGTAGAAATGGGGTTTCACCATGTTGGCCAGGCTGGTTGTGAACTCCCGACCTGGTGATGCACCTGCCTCGGCCTCTTAAAGTGCTGGGATTACAGGTGTGAGTCACCACACCTGGCCTAAATTAGCAAATATTTTCAAAAAAGAAAGAAAGAAAACATTGTCGTGTGTTGACTAACCACCAGGCCATGAAGCAAGCTTACTCATATGATGGTACAGCCTGTCTGGGAAGCAATTTGGCATCATGACTGAAGGCCTCACTCTGCCACTCAGGCTGTAGTGCAGTGGCGCCATCATGGCTCACTGCAGCCTCAACCTACTGGGCTCAAGTGATCCTCCCTCCTCAGCCTCCCAAGTAGCTGTGACTAGGTGCATGCCACCATGCCCAGCTGATTTTTAAATTTTTTGTGGAGACAGGGTCTCGCCATAACTCTTAAAAAAGGTTCATATCCGGCCGGGCACGGTGGCTCATGCCTGTAATCCCAGCACTTTGGGAGGCCAAGGCAGGTGGATCACCTAAGGTCAGGAGTTCGACACCAGCCTGGGCAACATGGTGAAACTCTGTCTCTACTAAAATTACAAAAATTAGGCCGGGTGCGGTGGCTCATGCCTGTAATCCCAGCACTTTGGGAGTTCAAGGCAGGCCGATCACTTGAGGTCAGAAGTTCAAGACCAGCCTGACCAACATGGAGAAACCCCGTCTCTACTAAAAATACAAAATTAGCCAGGCATGGTGGTGCATGCCTGTAATCCCAGCTACTTGGGAGGCTGAGGCAGGAGAACCGCTTGAACCCGGGAGGTATAGGTTGCGGTGAGCTGAGATCACACCATTGCACTCCAGCATGGGCATCAAGAGCTAAACTCCATCTCAAAAAAAAAAAAAAAAAATTAGCTGGGCATGGTGGCGCACGCCTGTAATCCCAGCTATTCAGGAGGCTGAGGCAGGAGAATCGCTTGAATCTAGGAGGTGGAGGTTGCAGTGAGCTGAGATCACACCACTGCACTCCAGCCTGGGTGACAGAGCGAGACTTCGTCTCAATAAATAAATAAATAAATAAATAAATAAATAGTTCATCCTTTGACCCAGTAATTCCCCTTGTGGAAATATATGCTAAGAAAATAATCTGAAATGTGCATAGAGATTTGAACCTGAAGATGAGCGGTAGAACATTACTTATAACAGGAAATCTGGTGTCATCAGAATAATAATTATGTAGTCGCTAAAAAATAACACATGAAAGGGTGAGAATTACATGGGAAAATACCTATGCACAAGCAAATCAGGATATAAAATTGTCGACTGGGCGCAGTGGCTCATTCCTGTAATCCCAGAACTTTGGGCAGCCGAGGCAGGTGGATCACTTTAGGTCACGAGTTCGAGACCAGCCTGGCCAACATGGTGAAACCCCATCTGTCTCTACTGAAAATACAAAAATTAGCCAGGCATGGTGGCGCAAGTCTGTAATCCCAGCTACTTGGGAGGCTGAGGCAGGAAAATCGCTTGAACCTGGGAGGTGGAGACTGCGATGAGCAGAGATCGCTCCACTGCACTCCAGCCTGGGTGACAGAGCAAGACTCCATCTCAAAAAAAAAAAAAAAAAAGATATAAAATTGTCTTTATAGTCAGCTCTGCTGAGCTTAGAAAAATATGGAAGAAAATACACTAATTATTAACAGTGTTAGGATTATGGACATTAAAAACCGACTTCCTTATGTTCTCTTGTATTTTTCAGATCTGTTACAGTGGCCAGATTTTTGTTTTTGTAATTCTGATAATCAGGAAAACAGTTTAGTTAGGAGAAAAGTAAAAATCTTATAAATCCATGGGTCCCCGCAAAACTCTCAGAATGAAGAGAAAAATGGGAAGGCTCAGCCCAGGCTCCTTCGGGCCTGAGGCTGAGAATGTGGCCATCTCCTGGCGGTCAGGGTTCTGTGGTGTCAGCTCCCTAGTGTCTGGCCCCATAGGCCAGGCTGTGGCAGTGTGGGCGCGGGCTGTAGGGCGGAGCACACTCAGTTGGCTGCCGTCCCTCCCTGTCGTTGGCTTGCTCAGCAGTTTGTTCTGGTAACTAGAGGAACTTTTCTGACTTCTGGTCTTAAAATTCTCATCATAGGTGAATTTGACAGGCAAGAAGATGACATTCACTTAGTGACATTATGTGTGACAGGTAAGTCCTGCCATTTGCCCCAAAGCAAAGATGTGGGTCTCAGGACCGTTTTGTCCCCAGTCTTGCAGTGGGCCCAAGCACCGGCACACACTGCTGTCACTGCTTGGCCACCATCTGTTCCGGCTCTTCCTGTGGTGGGATGGCCTTCCCCTTCCCCTTGCCCTCGTCCACCATCTGCCGAGCCTCAGTTCCAGTGCAGCCCCCTCGTCTACCAGGAAGGAGGGCACTGGATCTCAGAGGAGCTGCCACCCGTGTGGCAGACAGGGTGCACAGAGAAGGTGGGGTGGGAGTGGGGACCGATTCTGCAGCTGCCAGTTTGTTCAGTATAAACCCCCCTGCCTTGGGACAGGGTAGGGAAACAGGGCCACAATCCCTTTCATTTTCTGGAATTTTCCTCCCTTTCTGCATCGAGGAGCTCCTCCTTCGCCTTTATTATACAAAGTAAAAATAATCATTTGGTATTTCTTTAAAAAGTGTATCTTAAACATTCTTATTTTGTAGAATTAAATGACCGGGAAGAAAACGAAAACCACTTTCCAGTAATATATGGCATTGGTAAGTAGTGTGCATCTTTTGTGGGTTGGAGTCTTGGTCACATGTGCAGTTAAAGTCTAATTCAGCAAACCAATGACCCCACTGCTGTCAGGATGGGACAGCTTTGGGTTCAGATCCCAGCTACTCCGAACATCTGCTGTGAGGCCTTGGGCAAGTAGCTTAACTTCTCTAAGCTTTACCTATAAAACTGAGATAACATTCACTTCTTAAGACTTTGAAGAAGCAACGTGGTAGCAAATAGAAAGGACAGGCCATGCCCACCCTTCCCAGGAGCTGGGAAAGTGCCTGGTTTTGTTTCCCTCTCCCCCCAGCACCCCAGGCCCGGCGTGCTTTTCTCCTGCCAGTGCTCTGGGGGAGGAAGGCAGGCACTGGAATCCTTTTATACATCAGGAACTGAGGAAGGTTTTGCTTGAGAACAGAAATCCTCCAAAGTGTAAAACTCTTAGGCTAGAGAAAACCTAGAACCATCCTCCCTGCTTGGCAGCCCCAGGACTCCCGCGGAAAAGGCATCATGGAATCGGCTCTATTTCCGAGGGCTTCTGCTGTAGCGGTGATACTTGATTGATTTAGCTGGGTGGTAGGTACACAGTGTTCACTGTTCTATTCTCTGTAACTTCGTGTATGTATAAAATACTAAATTGTGAAGATTCAAACAGAACGATCACAGTTCACCCAGCCACCCCTGGCCGTACACCAGTAGGGATGACCAGAGGTTTTGCTACATGTCCGACTGAAGGAATGGCTGCCTCCCATGTGGAAAGCAGCTCTTGGTTTAGAACAAAATCTCACCGAGTCCAGCTCGAGCCTCAGCGATTTTCACCGAGATGCTTGGGGTAAAGGTTGCATTTTCCCCCTCCAGGGAGGGGGAAGTCCAGATACTTAGGAGCCATTCTGTTCACTTTCCTATCTTTCTCTTAGGAGTGGTGGTAGAAATGTAAGACTGTGCAGACTTTCCGCTTTGGTCTTTTGTCAATTCAGAGTCATCCTGTTGTCCCTCACAGCTGTCAACATTAAGACTGCAGAGATTTACAGAGCATCCTTTCAAGATCGGGGTCCGGAGGAGCAGCTTCGTGCTGCGCGAACTTTAGCAGGAGGACCAGTGAGTTTCAAATCATCTTTGTTAAGGGGTTAAAAAAAAAAAGGCATCAAATGTCAAGGCCTTAAGTTTTTGGGATCTTAGAAAAGTTTATGCTGTCAGCTTCTTTATAGCCGTACATTATCAGGGACCAGCACATACATATACCCCTCCCCACACTTGCTGTCTCAAAATAGTAATGAACATCTTTAGGTCATCAGCTCCAGTTCTCTGCCTAAAAGGTGTGGGAGGTAAGTGTGAACCCCAGCATCCGAATTCAAAGAGAACAAACTTCTGTTACTTTGTAAGAGCTTTTCTATAAAGTTCTACAAAGAGAGGAGAACTGGGACGCAGGAGAGAGGTTTCTCCCCTCTGCACTCAGGACTATGCATTCTTTTGGACCGGGTCACTGAAGAGCAATTTGCTGGAACAATTTAATTAACCCAAAATAATGATCAAATTAATTTAAAGTCTGATTCCCTTAGGGTGCTTAATTAAATTACACTGTAATTTTAAAAGTTAGAAAACTGAAAACCCAAGGTTTATATGCCATTTGAGGAATGGGTGAAAGAATTCTTTAAAAATGCTCAAAGTGTGAAAAAACGGAAATCACATTCAGGCCACCCCAAAGAAATCTTCTCATTTATGAAATGCTGATGTTTTCACTGGGAAATGTGTTTGGATTCGGAGCCAACCCTTTTAACATTTTTAGGACTTCTCAAGGAGTGTAACAGGCCTAGTTTAGTTGATATTCAGAACATATTTCAGTGTCAGTTACCAAAGTGAATATTGCTAGGTAAGCTGAGGCTGCCATTGGCAAATTTGGGAATTCAGGGACTGGATCATTTGGCAAATTAGCTTCTTCTTTTGATGGGGCAGCAGGCACTGTATGCTTTTAAATTGCAAGGTGATCAGTTGTTTGGGGTATAAATAATGAGGCAATGGGAACACAGACTTTAGTCAGAAGCGCCTGGGTTTGAGGTCCAGCTCTGAGGCTTACTGGACACGTAACCTGGGAAATGGGCCTTGTTTCTCTGAGCCTCAAGTTTTCACCCCAAATGGGAAAAAACACCCTCGTCCTGTGGGACTGCTGTTGGCGCTCAGCAGTCGTGCGTGCCCCACAGTGTGCAGAAGCAGACACACTGGACGTGTTCAGTAGCTGGCAGCTTTTGTTATTTGAGACAGGTTTTAAGAAGCTTAGGCAGATAAATGCATGAAAGGACTACACTGGAGCTTGCGTTACTGGGAGGGTTTGAAAAGTGGGTGACATTCCTGAAATTCTATCCTTGACACGTTCTTTTTTAGATGATTAGCATTTATGATGCAGAGACAGAACAACTTCGTATAGGACCGTACTCCTGGACACCATTTCCACATGTGGATTTCTGGTTGCACCAAGATGACAAGCAAATACTAGAGGTGAGAGTTTACAGGCTGGGTAAGTCTTAAATCTCTGCACCCTGGTTTCCCCATCTGTAAGAAAAAAAGGGTTTAGACCAGGTCATAGCTGCTTTCCCTTTGGCGGGTAGTAACTTTTTGGATGCCATTGACAGACCCCATTTAACTTGTATATCAAATGGGGATATGTCAAGTCCTAGATGGAAATGTGTGTGGGTAAAGCAGTAAGCAATCAACTTTTTTCTTACTAATTCAGGCCACCTCATTTCTTAACGTATTTTATTATATATATTTGTGTCCAAGAACAAAGATACTTTGACATCTTTATCACAGCAGGGGACAGTAAGGTTGGCTTCTCTAATGCCCACCATCTTGTGTTTTCAGAATCTTTCCACTTCGCCTCTGGCTGAGCCACCCCACTTTGTTGAACATATTAGATCTACCTTGATGTTTTTAAAAAAACACCCATCTCCAGCTCACACACTGTTTTCTGGAAATAAAGCCCTACTCTACAAAAAAAATGAAGATGGCTTGTGGGAAAAGATCTCTTCTCCAGGAAGTTAAAAAACATGAATTACCAAAGAAAGCACCTTCTTGGCCTGACAGACCATTGGTGGGGCTGGCACGAATCCAGATCTGGATCCTACATCTGTTGGGTCTTAGGCCTCCTTCCCTCCTCAGTGTCTTTCAAATGACTTTCATCAAATGACTTTCAAAATAAAACCTTATTTTGGCAAAGGCATTTGTTGAGACTTATTTTTTGGTTTACTAAAAAATTGATGTCCAGTTTTTTTTTTGGTCGGTAATAACGGGCAGAGGAGAACCTACCTCTCACTGGTCTATCGGCAGCTATTTCAGGTACGTGGGTAAGTCTTTTGTAATAAGATTTATAAACTGAATTCACTGGTAACAATTTCAAGAACCTTTATTGAAACCAACATTCAAATAATATCTCAAGGGTGAAATGTTTCAGCAAAACCAATTTAACAATTCCAAATATATATAAAAACATGTAATTTTCTTGAAGGTGATAATTTACCCCTCCCCCATTTTATCTGCTATACTTCATTGCACCAAATAGGGAAGACTGTTTAATCATCTGCACCAAAAAAAACCCCCTGCATTTTGACAAGTGTAAATGTCAAAAATCCCATCAAATCAGAGTATAATTATAGGCTTAATATACTATAACTAAGGCTTCCAATACTACAGTCCAGAAACCCAGTGTGAATTTTCCCATTTTCAGGTCTCCCAAAAGCTTGACTGCTGGATTAAGAAGGCACAGGGGCCATTACTTACGACAAAGTGACGCAGTACTTCGGAAAAGTAGGAACGGGCAGTGCCAGCGAGCTTCTACTGACTTAAGCAGGGTGCCCGGCTGGATCAGCGTGAGAGAGTGCTCTGCTGGCTCCTGTTTCTGAGTTGGGCCCAGGCGAGCTGCCAGGGCAGTAGAAGCTTCAGTGGGAGACAGGTCAAAGGGGTACTTGTTTTCAGATTTTAACCAGGTGGGTGCTACGTAGCACACGGAAGAGCAAGCTCTTAAGGGTAGCATCTATCAGGTTTTCAGATACTAAACAGAAATGAGCACAGTCTGTACTTGTGTGCCAATTTTAAAAGCTTTGCCAGTATTTAAAAATATATGGTCAGGAGGAGACTTTACAGTTTCTCTTTACAAACGGTATATAATGGGAGAAATGGCCTTGTGGCAGAGGACAGTCCCAGACAGCAGCCTTGCCACAGCTCAAGTAGACACAGTCCTTACTAAGTCTCCACGAAGAGCAGTAGCTGGGGAGGGCTTCTGATGCTCTTATTTACAATCCCACAATCACTGCTCTCCTTCAAGTCTAGCAGTCCCACTGTATATTGCAACTTGATCGTACTAAAGACCGACAGCAAAGGATACAGCCAGTCTCGCCTCTGTGAAGTGTTGCAGAGAACCTGGAGAGTGCTAATGAAAAGCTGTTTTACCAAAAAGTTGCCACGGGCAACCTCATATACTTAGGCTTATGTTTAGAAAGAGCAAGGGTGCTACTGGTAGACACTTGAAATTCGAAGTGTTTTTTGTGAATAAAATGTGTTTATGGTAACTTAGGGAAAAGTCGTAGTAGGACAGCAAACGTGGTTCTACATGTACATGAAGTTAGACAAGCTGACTCCCC
Organism: Homo sapiens; assembly: GCF_000001405.40. Taxonomy (NCBI): domain Eukaryota; kingdom Metazoa; phylum Chordata; class Mammalia; order Primates; family Hominidae; genus Homo; species Homo sapiens. Next base: position 15,036,435 of record NC_000016.10, on the reverse strand, counting down.
TCCTAGAAAGCCTACCTTTCAGGCACATATTTGTGCCAAAATCCCAGTGAAGCACAAACAACAGTAATTTATATTAGTATGTGGCACAGTTCACATTTCCAATAGAACTTCATCTTCCCTGAAACAATACTCAGTACAGTCTCAAACCACACAATGAGTCTCATCTTAAGCTCTCCGGTCCTTCTACCTGTGAGTGGTCATCTTCTGGGTGTGGGACCCCTTTCTGGAAGGCCTCGGTCTGGTCGGTGTGCTGAGGGCTGGGAGCCCCTGGGTGTCCCTCAGTGCTGCTGGCCTCGAGGGTGATCTGCTCCGGCCCACTGGATAGGCGCTCCACCTTTTCTAAGTCTTCAATGTGACTGACTGAGCTGGTCTCACTCAAAGCATCTGAACCTCGCAGGGACCTTTTAAAAGGCTTCTGGCCTACAGAAAGGGCAGACAGACTGCGCTGAAACTCAGTGAGGATACTTCTGCAACACAGGCTGTCTCTGCAACAGATAATTGCTTTATTTCACAACACAGCTTCAGCAGAAACCTTTACTGGCTCTGAGGTGTTTTAGGAGATGAGAAAACCGAGAGCTGCTAGCTTGACACCAACATGCTCCCCAGGCCGGGGAACTCTAAGGTCATCTTCATTAGGAAACGCCCAGGAGGGTAAACACCACAGTGACAATGTCATCTTTCAAGACCCCAACTTCCCCTTAGCGCACTACCGTGGGATTTCTTCAAGGCTGAATCCCACGGCTACCAAGATGGTTAAAGAGATGGTAGTAGTTGGTCTTAAGAGAAATAGACCTCTGGAGTTCAAGAACCCAGAAAACAAACGCAAGTAACAGTCAACAGGGGAAACCTGTTACCTGAACTCGGTGCAGAGGCGTCACTTACCTGGAAGCCTCTGCTTGGTGCGACTGCCCGAGGGCGTTGGAGGCAGCGTGACTCCTGCACCTTGTGCTTTGTAGACATATATGGGTTCTGTGGACTCCAGAGAGCCTGCGGGAGAGGAGAGGGCTGGGTAGAAGCTACAGGCACAGGCTGCCCTTGAAGACACCACCTGCCCTCACACAGCCTTGCTCCCCAATAACCTCCTTCCAGCCACTGAGCCTGCCACAGACTGGTGGAGAGAAGGGCACTTATGAATGTGCCGTGAGCTAGAGAAAGCCACCTCACAGGGCCAGTACCGCCAGCATCCGCCAGCAGTATGGCGTAAGCACACCCAGGGAGCCAGGCCCAACAGGGAAACGTACTGTAGCCACAAGAAGTGGGTGCCTTTTTGCTGAAGGCTAAGGCTTGGCAGATTAGAAATCAGATTATCTTTTGCTTTCATGACAATGGAGTCATCGTTTCCTGGGAAAGAATGAAGGAAGGGGCTCGAGTGTAGGAAATTATTTCCTTGGTAGAACAGGAAAGGAGTCACGGACTGTTAACACCCTCCCCACATTCCAGCGGCTGAAACGCTTGCTGGCTGCCTGGTTCAAAATAAACCGTGCCAGCACTCCATGCTTCAGTCTCTGCATTGCCACTTGCAAAAGCTGTCCTCTGCTGGGGCAGAACACACATGAAGACAAGAAGTATTAACCCTGAACCAAAATGCCCAAGACACAGCACCCTGAGAGTCTGCACGGCTGAGTGGGCGTGTCCTCATGGCCTTGCGGTGGTGACAGCTGTGGAGAGTGGGTAGCTGCTTCCTTGCTGTTTCAGCCGCCAGGGTGCGGTGGGGAGGAGGACAGGGCACACCAGAACTTGTCTCCTCAGATGTCCGGCCCACACCCAGTGATGAAGAACGGGAACCAGGGCGGGATTCTCAGTGGGAAGTGTTGGGACCCAAGGGCATTTGGTGAAACCTCCCAAGGTCAGCAAGACCTGGGAAGAGGCTATGCCGTCCTACCTGCTGTCAAGTTAAAAGTTCTTCCCTTCTGTAAAGCCTGGACCGGAGAAAACCAATTCAGCACGGAGCCCACTACAGGGATCTGCCGCAACACCCCCTGCAAGACAGGACCAGAGTTCAGGGCCACCTGGCCTCACGGCGGCTCCCCCAGCCTGCTGCCCATCGGGGGCCTCACCTCTTCCAGAAGCCGTTCTTCACTTGCCTTCTGCAGCTCCACTTGAGCTTCCTGAATGCCTTTCCGAACCACTTCTGTCATGTTTTCCAGAAGCTGTGGCAAGACCAAGAAAGACATTACTTGTTTAAGGTTCTCACCTGGGGCCCAGAAGAGCTAGTAACACAGCACTGAGGGAATTTTTCAAAAGCAGGTCAATGAAATCCTGCATTGAAAAGCCGGCGTAAAACGAACAGAAACTCAAAGACAAGCAGATAACATGCTCATAGAGGCCTAGGCAGACACACCTTGGTGACCAGCCTCATTTGCTACGTATTCTTGAAAACAGAGAAGTCATAAAGTCAGGCTGGAAAGAAACCTTAAGGAGTCCACCCAGAAAGGAATGAAGCTGGCTTCTCGGCCGCATGTCCAATGGCTCGTGTCTCTCTCCTTTCAGAGCAGTCTTACCTTGGTCCCTCTTCTCTCCTTTTGAGTGATTTTTAGGGAAGTAATCATCTGTTTGGAGGATACCTTATCAGCCTTGTATCCTGGTCCTCCATGCTAAGGGACCCACAGCAGTAGGTCTATTCCTGGTGGGAAGTGCTATAGGGAAGGGGTGTAGGGGGAACCACACATACAACAGCCCATTTCATTCACCCTCAGGACACAGCTCCAGAGCAGAAGTCCTCCCTGACCTTGGTGGCAGGGGTGAATGTGTCTGCCTGAGTGTCCAGCTACCCGCCCTCTTCTCTAAGGCAGGGTTACTACACAGCGTGGCTATGTGGATCTTTCCCCCTGAGCTTGTGAGATCACTGGGGCATGGGCTGTGTCAAACCTACTTGGCATCTCTGACACCTGGCACAAGGCCCAGCTTACAGGAAACATTGACAGACTTTGAGAGACAACGAACAGACATCCCAAGGGCAGCTGCTTTCCTCGTGGCCCCTGCTGTTTGGTGGGACAAAACTCAGAAGAGGAATGAACACTGATGGGTGCTACGGACCCTCGAGTTCTCCTCTATCTCCCGGGCTGTGGCCGCAATGGTCTCCACGAGCTCAGCAGCATCGACGTTGTCGCTCGCCATGCCGACATAAAGGCAGCTCTTCATGCTCTTATACTCAGGGCCTGCAAAGGTAACGAGACAAACTTGAGTTTCTCAGTCCTCTGTCATGGGTGAGACGTGGACCTACTCTCCTGTTCAGGGTCCTGACCACACACAAAGGGGTCTCCTCCATGGAGATTCTAAGGGCGGAGAGAAAGGCCTGGCAAGGCTGCAGAAGGGGAGGGAGGTCTCAGAACCGCATCTTCGCCTGGAACCCAGCCCGAGAGGCGCTAGCCCGCTAAGGGATGAGCCGTCGTCTTCAAAGCCGGTTACCAAGTGTCCTTCCAAACCCCACAGCTGACTTACAAAGTAAGCAGTTACCTATTTTAAAGGTTAGGTCAGATTCCAGTTCATTTAACTTCTTCAGGAGTCCAGCATGGATGTTTTCCCCTTCGGGATCTGATTTCAAACTGCTCTTATCATCATTAGCATGTTCATACCTAAAACAACATCAAACCACAGCATTTCAGCTTAAAAGATCAAATGTCTCTTCTGATACAGGATTAGAAACCTCTAAATATTAGCAAGACAATGCAGTGGAACCAGTGGGCAAAAGAGCTACTGCGAGTGTCTCCAGACCACAAACTTTCTGGAAGTGTGCCAGGAGTAAAGAGAAAGTCACAGGAAAGCCTTTTTTTTTTTTTTTTAAAGCAGGGTCTCACTTGGTGGCCCAGGCTGGGGTGCAGTGGCATGATCTTGGCTCACTGCAACCTCCACCTCCTGGGCTCAGTTGATCCTTCCATCTAAGCTTCCCGAGTAGCTGGGACTACAGGTGTGCACCACCACCTCTGGCTAATTTTTGTATTTTTTCTAGAGATGGGGTTTCGCCATGTTGTCCAGGCTGGACTCAAGCTCCTGGCCTCAAGTCATCTATGCTCCTGTTGGCCTCCCAAAGTGCTGGGATTACAGGCATGAGCCACCGTGCCCAGCTGAAAGCCTAAGTCTTTAGTTCCATACAAGGTCTGGAAGTCTCATGGGCAATACAAAAAGAGGTTTGCCTCACCTCTGAAGGCGAGAAAGCAGCCATAGGACTGCACCCAGTTCTCTCCCCGAGAGCTGGGTTCTTTTTCTTACTGATTTGCAATTCTCTATATGCCCTGGATAGTAACCATTCTCAGTGAGTGATATATACCTGTTGGCATCTTCTCCTAGGTAGCTGAGAGTCGGCACCTACAGACAGAACATTCAGCAACTCCCCTCCCTGAGCGCCACGCTGGCCAAATTGCCTGCTTGCACTGTGCTTTTGTAAATGCCCAGAAAACCGAGTTGCATTTTCGTTAAGCATATTGTGACTACACGTTCATCTTGGATTTCTAAGGTGGTTCAGAAAATGACCCACTCATGTTCTTTATACAGAAAAGTCTCCAACATCAAGCGGCAGGCCAAGACTTTACCTGACAACCCCTATTCCAGACCAGTTAGGGTCATCAACATATAGGAGACCTGCTGTTGCTTCCACTTCCTGCTTGAACTCTTCACGCAACTGGAGCGTACAGCACAGCACTGGCAGTTTGCTTTCTATGCAGGCTACGAGCTGATCCACATCCTCTCCCCGAGTTCCTAAAACTGAAGATGTTCACAATGTCAGAGAAATGCTCACGAGATGGCCAATGACAAGAGGGCAGGGCTCCCTCTTCCACTACTGGGAAGGTCAAAAGCTCGAGGTACTCCAGTTACCGGGAGCCATGGAGATTTAAACAAAAAAAGGCCCTCAACACAGATATGGAAGAATTAGGGTTAGAAACAGACACAGCTGGCTGTAGCAGGTGTGGAGTGTTTCTCTCACAGATGTGGCCCACAATGACATACTCCAGTGTTAGAAATCACTCTTCCCACAGCAAGCCTACTTCAGGCAGGCTGGAGACATCACACCATAGGTTCAGCACAAAAAGGCAACCACAGATTCTGTACATTCCTATGACTGAGAGAAAGGGAAGTACTGTGGTGGGCTGCTGTCCCCACACAGGAAGGACAGGGAGATGGTGACAGCGCCGGGCCTCAGGGCTCACTGGCTTACTTTTGCAGTTTTAGAGACTAAGTATCTAGAGCTGTGGCCAGGCAATCCTTATAGTGGCCAGTGCTTTGGGAATCTGAGCCAGGAGGATCACTTAAGGCCAGGAGTTCAAGAGCAGCCTGGGTGACAGAGTGAGACCACGTCTCTATGGAAAAAAAAAAAAAAAAAAAAAAATAGATGTGGTGGTGCTCGCCTGTAGTCCCAGCTCCTTGGGAGGCTGAGGCAGGGGATTGCTTGAGCCCAGGAGGTCGAGGTTGCAATGAGCTATGGTGAAGACACTGCATTCCAGCCAGGGTGACAAATGAGACCCTGTTTCTAAAAAAAAAATAAAAACCAAAACACAGATCCCCAGGCTCCATTCTAGAATCTCTGGGGGTGGGCGGCCACTGGTTGTGTGTAAAGCTCCCGGATGACTCTAATGTGCAGTGGGGAGTGAGAACCCTTGTAGTGGAAAATCGAGAGTCACAAGACATCAAAATATAGGAATTCCAGCCTGGCCAACGTGGCAAAACCCCATTTCTACAAAAAATGCAAAAATTAGTCCAGTGTGGTGGCTCATGCCTGTGGTCCCAACTCCTCGGGGGCTGAGGTGGGAAGATCACTTGAGCCCAGGAGGTCAAGGCTGCAGTGAGCCATGATCGCACCACTGCACTCCAGCCTGGGTGACAGAGCAAGACCCTGTCTCAACAACAACAAAAAAGGAATTCATGTGATGACTTTTTTTTTTTTTTTTTTTTTTTTTGAGATGGAGTCTCCTCTGTCCCCCAGGCTGGAGTGCAGTGGTGTAATCTCAGCTCACTGCAACCTCGGCCTCCCAGGTTCAAGTGATTCTCCTGCCTCAGCCTCCCAAGTAGCTGGGACTGCAGGTGTGTACCACCATGCCTGGCTAATTTTTTGTATTCTTAGTAGGGGCGGGATTTCACTATGTTGGCCAGGCTGGTCTCGAACTCCTGACCTCAGATGATCTGCCTGCCTTGGCCTCCCAAGGTGCTGGGATTACAGGTGTGAGCCACCATGCCCGGCCAATTCAGGTGACTTCTGAATTCTCATTCTGATTCTGGTAAGTTACATGGGAATGCTAATCTACCTAAATTTAGCCCAAAAGAAAAGAAAATGCCCCTCCAAAAAGAGCTGCTAATAACTCTAGGAGAATGGAGTATCATAAGGGCAAGCTAATCTACCCAGCAGCCCCAGAACAAAAGCAAGGGATGTCCACCAAGCCTGGTTTACCTGCTGCGGTCATCAAAGGGCTGAACCGCAAACACGTGCCCTCAGCTTCCAGATCCATGACTGTGAGGCCGCTTGCAGGCACCAGCTGCTTCAGCTGTTCTCCCAGCTGTGAGGAGGACACAATGAACACCCTCCTGTAACAAGGGACTCAGACGTCTTCAGGACCCACCCTCATCCCCTCGGCCCCAGACCAAAGAGCCTCCTGGAGAGCTGATTCCTGCTCTTTTGACTGTCTGATTACTTAGAGCAGCTTTTTAAAAACAGTAAATTTTATGGTTTTTTCTTATTAATACAAGTTCATTGTAGAAAAATTTAGGAAATACAAGTAAACAAAAAGAAGAAAATAACAATGACCCACAATATATTACTAAGCGACACCCACTGCTGACATGTGGTCTGCCCCCAGCGTCTTTTCTCCTAGTGGCGGGCAGGGAGTTGTAGTTGTTGTCATAAAACATGCTACTTGACACTGCTTAGTAACCTGCATTGATTCATTTCGTTTATGACCAGTTCCTTTCTGCTTGAGACACTCAGCTCTGTGGTCTCTCACAGCTGTGCTGAGCCCCAGCATGGATGTACCAGGACTTATCTGCCAACCCTGCTAGGCTGGGCGTGTCCAGCATTGGCTAGAACTGCTGCTGCCGCCATCCCACACTGTTCACAAGACCCTTCAGACTCAAATCCTAGAGCTGCTATTCAGTGCCCAAAACGCTATCAAAGTGCAGGCCTGGCTCCACACTGCCAGCTGCAGATGCTCGGCAGACTCTGCCTGGGGCTCCCGGCTGTGCTGCCCAGGCTCACCAGAACCCACCGCAGCTGCCCTGCAGCCCACCTTTTGCCTGTTGTCTCACAGCCTTATACAGCAGCAAGGAAAGTGAGGGAGCAATGCCAGAAGGACTTGCCAGAGGTGACCCAGCTCGTGAGGTGGTAACGCAATGGGGAACAGAACTCCAGAGCAGGCCCAGCACTGGCAGGGCGGCTCCTCCTGTGGGCCTCAGTTCCCATACACGAGCACGCGTCACCCTCACCAGCAGGTCGGATGGTGATGGACGGGGACCTGAAAGGAAAGGGGGGTGACTGCCATTCTCACCCAGCGATTCAGCGCGTCACACGAGTGCCTCTCCCGGCCGACTCCTGAAGGTGTCATGTTGGGCACTGGGACGGCTTTAAACACCGGATCTGACACCAAAACACAGAAAGGGAGTCACTCCCAGAAACACGGCTGACCAAAAAAAACACCCTCCAAACCCCACATCATTCCCATCCCAATATTAGCCCCAGGGCACTGACTCGTATTACTGAATTCTCATGTATTATCTGACAGAAGGGCTACATTTCTTTTTCCTCGTGATCTATGTAACACTTGAATACATTCACATAAGACAGAATTATTAATTTCATTTTTGAAAAGGTTTGCTTTCAAGGGATTTCAAGGGGAAACAGCAATTGTTTTAAGTTACTAACTAGTTTACCAAGCACCGTGCGAGGTCTGTGAGTGCCACGATCATCTAACTAGGCCTCACAGTGGGTGCCAACCCGTGCCAGGCACAGAGCCCGACACTTGGGACAGAAGGCAGGTAAGGTTTCTGTCATCTTGGAGCTTACATTTTAGTTGAGGAAACAGACCATAAAGAAAGAAAATCACTCCATGTGGTTGTTAGTGTCACAAGTGAAGCTGGGGGCTCTGATAGAAAATGATGGAGTCCCCTCAGGCACGATAGGCAGGGAAGGCTGAGGATGTGGATACTTAGTGGAGACCGAAATGGTGAGGAGGAGCTGGCACCAGAAGAGAGAAATGTGTGTAAGACAGAGGGAACGCCGAGTGTTAAGCCCTTGCGGTAGGAAAGGGCAGAGTGTTCTGGAGCGCGGAGAAGACTGGTCTGACTGAGGCACAACGAACAAGAGGGAGAGTGGAAGGGGGGAAGGCAGAAGCGAATTCGGGGCAGAGTGTGCAGGCCTCATGGGGCATGGGAGAGCCTGGCCTTTGTTCGACCGAAATGGTAAGATACCCAGGGGCTCTGGGCAGGGAAGTGACACTGATACGGGAGTGCTGGGAAGGGAAGAGCGTGGTCCCTTTAAATGACACAGAAGCGGGGAAGGGAAGTGCTGGGGAGAGAAAGGCGGGTCCCTGGCTAGGACTCTACCCCCACGGACCTAGGTGAGGACAAGCACTCCTGCCTTCCCCCAAATGTTGCATTTCCCAAGACCACGCTGGCCCACCACACCACCATCCTGGGCCTATAAAAACCTGAGACCCTAGTGGGCAGACAGAAGTGGCTGGATGGCCAGAGGAACACATTGGTGGAAAAAGACACAAGCGGCTGGTCATGGAGAGCAGGCCGGCAGAAGAGCACCCCGACAGGCCCCGGCAAGCCAGCAGGCCATCAACCACGGGGACGAGGCGGAGTTTGGCCAGGGCCGCTGAGCGGCCCAACTCCAAGGGAAATCTGTCTCCCTTCTGGCTCCCCCATCAGCGGAGAGCTACTTTCATTCAATAAAACCTTGCACTCATTCTCCAAGCCCACATGTGATCCCATTCTTCCGGTACACCAAGACAAGAACCTGGGATACATTAATCCCTCTGTCCTTGTGATAAGGAAGGGGGTCTAAGTGAGCTAAAACAAGCTGCCTACAGACGGCTAAATTAAAAGAGCACACTGTAACACATGCCCGCTGGAGCCTTAGGAGCTGTAAAACATTCACCCCCAGATGCTGCCATGGGGTCGGAGCCCCACAGCCTGCCCGTCTGTATGCTCTCCTAGAGGTCTGAGCAGCAGCGGGGCACTGAAGAAGCGAGCCACACCCCCATCACATGCCCTGCGAGGGGGACAAGGGAACCTTTCCGGTTTCAACACCATGTGACTTCCACTTATAACCCTCTCTGCCAGGTGGAGAATGGTCTGGAATGGGCTGTGTAGAATGTATGAAAGTCAGAGGTCAGTTGACAGGGGACAATGGCCAACCAGGTAAAAAAAGAGTGGTGCCCTGGACTAGACTGGTGGCACTTGGGTCATTCTTTAAGATACAGATTCCTGGGCACAACCTATTGACTCAAAATATGTGGGAAGTAAGACCCACAAATCTTTATGTTCAAGCAACTCTTTCTTAGCCATTCCAGCACTGGTCCAGGGACTGGCATTTGGGAACCCCTGGTTTAATCACCGCAAACTATCAGCAAATTGCTAAGGCGTTTCGGACTGTAGTTTTCATGAAAATTATTACATTTTTCTGAAATGCTGACTGAAGATTGTCAGCAATAAAAATATTTTGAACTATTTAACTTGAAATGGTATCAAATTCAAAGCCTTTAACACAGATATGAAAATAACCCTCTTTTAAAATTCACCGACCTGAGCCTGGTAATTCCTGGAAAAATCTGAACACCACCACTGGGGAGCTGAGCTCATCTTCCACCTGGAAGAATGGAAGTCTCATATCACCAAGTAACATTAAACTCCAGACGCCTTCAAAATGAAATGCTGAGTTCAAAAACTCGCTTAGAAATGCTCTATTTGTAAATAAACACACTAAAAAGTTCAGAGGTTAATTTCAGTTGCTAGAGAAAAATCAAATGTTTAGTAAAATTTTAAAAAATAACTATGAGCCAGCCTTGAGAGTACACTGTGAATTATAAGATGTTTGACCCTGGTACATTGAAATTAAAGCAGGGGGAAATTTTAATAAGGGATAAACATAGGTCTAACATTAAAGATTAAAACCAGTAAGAAGCAGTGAAACTAGACTCAGTGCGGAGAGAGCCCATGCTTTCAAGAATCCCAGAAATTATGCAGGATTTATTGAAACTTAAACGGTTTTTTTAGAGATGGGGTCTTGCTATGTTGTCCAGGCTGGCCTTGAACTCTTGGCCTCAATTAATCCTCCTACTTTGGCTTTCCAAGTGTTGGGATTACAGACGTGAGACACCGTGCCTGGCCAACTAGAATTTTTCATACTCATAGAAAAAAAGAGGGGGCAACAAGTACTTTCCTCCCCTTTGCAAAACTTTCAGAACAAGATGCAAGTCCTGCTGGTGATGTAGACAAGCACAGCTGAGAACTGGATCTGTGTATTTTCTAATATATTTAATTATTATTAAAGACAGGCCGAAGACGACTAACTTCATTAGTGGGTTTCCTAACAGTTGAAAACATCCACTGCATTATGTATTATGATAATCCAGCAGCGAGTTCCTGTTTTGCATCAAACAGTATACCCTGACTTGGTCAAGCCATGGGGTCAGGGTACCGTAAGCATCCATGTCCTTGGCAGGCTCTGTGGTACTGTAGGGGAGTGTGGGTGGCCCTGGAGGGGGAAGATCTCTAAGCATCCAACAATCCCAGTACTATAGCTCTAGTAATAAAACTTATGTTCCAAGGCTCTGAGTGTGATGACTCACTGGTAGGGCCGCAACAGGAAATGCTAACTTGGAAAGACAAGAAGCAGTGGCCCAAGATCTTTTCTACTAACTTTTCAAAGGACCGTGTGGACAGTATTCATACCAAGCAGGATGTGAATTCAAATCTGCCAATTATTTAGGGGGCCAGTCCTGTGCTAAGTGCCTTCACATCTATCATCTTTAACTTTCACAGAGACAAATAAAACGTGATACTTTTAAAGGTACGGCGGCGGGCGGCAGGGGGGCGGTGCTTAATATTTAAATAGGGGCGCACGCCCAATAAGCAAGGAGGAACAAAAAGGCAACAAAATAATCCGCCCATTCTCCCATCCTCAGCTAGGAGATGGCAGAATGAGGTGAGTGCCAAGACTGCTATGAATATTATGATCATCTTTTCTTTCTTTGAACTCAGTGGTCTCAAATGTCAATGTGTGTAAGAAATAGTATACAGGGTTGGAGACACTTCTGGTTCTAGTAACGTGATAGACTGAGTGAACACTGAAGTTGTCAATTCTGAATATCTGAAATACTGGATTAAATATAACCAAGAACCAAAAAAAGGTTAAACCATGGCTGGGCTCACACCCAAAAAAAGGTGAATCCACAAAGAAGAGGAAACAGAAAGAGGACTGTAAGCTGAGTGGCAGGGGATGGGAGCATGTCTGGGGCCTGGCACTGGGCTTTCAGGGCTAGGGTCTTGGGTGTTAATGCCCAGGTGAGGCACAGTGGTGAGTCTGTATAAGGCCTTTACAAACCTTCTATAGGAAAAAACAAACAGATTTGATTTCAGATAGTAGTAAGAGTGATGAAGACGACCCAGGGGGATGGAGTGATGTCTGACGGTGGGAGATGATCTTAGGGTGGCCAGGAAAGGCCTTTCTGAAGAGGTGAGATTTGAATTAAGATCTGAAAGATAAGAAACCAGTCATGAGAAGAATTGGGACTGGGGAGGCTGGGCGCTTTGGCTCATGCCTGTAATCCCAGCACTTTGGGAGGCTGAGGCGGGTGGATCACGAGGTCAAGAGTTCAAGACCAGCCTGGCCAACATGGTGAAACCCCATCTCTACTAAAAATACAGAAATTAGCTGGACATGGTGGCATGCGCCTGTAACCCCAGCTACTCGGGAGGCTGAGGCAGGAGAACTGCTTGAACAGGGACCCAGGAGGCGGAGGTTAGAGTGAGCCAAGATCGCACCACTGCACTCCAGTCTGGGCTACATAGTGAGACTCTGTCTCAAAAAAAAATAAACAGAAGAATTGGGGACGGGGGGTGGGAAACAGTGTTTCCAGGCAGAGAGAACAGCACATACAAAGGAGACTGTTGGGAGGGTTAAATGAAATAATTCATGTAAGGTACTTAGTACCACACATGAATTTCACAAGCAGCAGCTGGAATGGTGGTGATGGTGATGGTGATGATGAGGACTCACAGGCCATAATGCCTCATGGTATTAGCCAATTATTGTATCCTCTACTGAAAAAACAGCCATTGGAAGAAGGGACAGAGCAGGCTTTCTGCCTGGGCCAGTGTGGCCTACAGAGATGCTCCAAAACAACTGGTGATTAACTAGCACCACTGGGTCCCCCAATTTGAGAATAAGGGAGCAGCGATGACTGAGGAAAAGCCAAGTGCGCTCAACATGGCAGGGGCAGGAAAGCAGATGGGCCCAGCACCGCCTGGATTCTTAACAGCTTGCTCAATCTAGGCCATAATTTGCTTCTCTGTTTGCAATCAGAGGAGACCAACCGGCATACTTTCATTTGACAGTCAAGCTTGGAAAGAAAATGACTCAATGTCACAGGGCCACCCTGTGGCACTGCTCAGAGCAGAGCCCAGGCCTCTGAACTTAGATTCATCCCTTCTGCTTCTCCAGTGGTCCACTTCCTCGTCCAAGGATAGAACTCCCACTGAGCTAGAACTCGGGTCAACTGGCTCCAGACTCCCACTCAGAAGGCAGAGTAGCCACACCCCCTTCAACCAAACCATGCATTTTTTTTTCTTCCTTGAGACAGGGTCTCTGTCACCCAGGCTGGAGTGCAGAGGCGCAATCTCGGCTCACTGCAACCTCCGCCTCCCGGGTTCAAGCAATTCTTTCACTTCAGCCTCCCCAGTAGCTGGGACTACAGGCGTGTGCCACCATGCGCGGCTACTTTTTGTATTTAAACCAAACCATGTTCTAAAAGAAAAATAAACCTACTGACTTGAACCCCAAATACACTCAAATGTTAAACTTAAGCATACCTTGCAGAATTGTCAAAGAAACACTCAATGAACCTATTTAAATCAGAATTTGACATATATTTCCTGAAGTTCTAAAATACCATGAAGCAAAACACAAAAACTTTCAAACCTGAACTGATCCCCATTCTCTCCTAAGTCCTTATTTCCTTGTCTAGTTATGCCTAGGGAACAATCTGTTGGATTCACTTCAGGAAGATATCAGAAGACAAGAGCAGGGCCATTTGCTTTTCTCTTTCTCCCACTTCATGCAAATGAAAACTGATGGCAGAAGGTTGCAGAAAGAGAACCCCAAAGCATTCTGAGGCACAAAGTGACTTTTCATTTTGGGAAGAAGAGTGTGCCCAAGGCCTTGGGCAGCTGAAGTCAATGGTGTTTATCTTTGTGCAATTCTGAACTTTAACACAATAAATGAAGTACATGAAAAGCACCATAGGAATTAAACATTGTATGGTTCAAATTTCTTCGCTTCAGACTCACTGTATAAATATAAGCAGGTTTTTTTGTTTTTGTTTTTTGTTTCGTTTTTTTGTTTTGTTTTTTTACTGGAGCTGCCACAATTCCACTGAAATGTGGAGAAAATCATTCTAAAGTTCTAAAATCATTCAAAGTTGCTGAGGTTCAAAAAAAGTTATATTTTGAAAACAGATGAACTTATATACTATACCAAGATTTTGATGTAATTCACTTTCTTCAAACTTTCCTGCAACCGTTGACTCTGCAAATGACAAAAAATAACACATGTAATTAGATGGACGTGGGACATGAAGAAGTGGTTTTCACCAGGGGCTGTGGAGGTCTGTGAACACGGATGTCAGGCAAAGTCACCTGCCACTTGGTGGTTTCTAAGTTCAGCCACCTGTTTTTGTATTTCAACAACTGTAAATATTCACCAATCCTTCAAGTTACATGTAGTAATTCAAGAAAAGCAGTTTCTAATAAGACATGGAAATCTGTTGTATTTGCAATGTAAGTCTGTCATTCAAAAGCTACTGAGTATAAACACGTGCAAGGCACAGTACTGAACACTAGGGGAGACCAACGACAAATGAGAGGATGCAGCACGCTCAAGAGCTGGTGATAAGAGCACAGTGCTGCCACTCATCACCTGCAGGACCACGGATAAGTCAATTCATCTGCCAGTCACCAGCTATGTAACCTGTCTATGCTTCAGTTCCCTCAATTATAAAATGGGGAGGATAGTATGTATCTCACATTGCTGTGAGGATTAAATGAGTTGATATGCAATACAGGAAGTGCTTAGAAACAGGGTCTAGAATGTAGTGTCATTAGACTAATGTCTCAATCCCAGGTCCCTCATCACTAATCATATCTAACTCATGGGATTGGAGTATATTAATTCAACAGATATTCACTGAGTACTGGACAGTAGAAAGCCCCTCAAGAAATTCCTTTTTGTTTTCTTAAAGAAAATTAATTCTGAATACACTGTCATCAGTGGAACTGACATTCTAGTGAAGTTGCAGGGATCAAATGAGATGATGCATGAAAGTACTTCATGGTGCCTGACACTGAGGTGAATGCTCAATAACTACTGAAGACGAGAAAGAAGAGAGGGAGAAGAGAAGGAAGAGGAGGATGAGGAGGCGAATGCTGATTTACGCTCTCAGGAAATGTATGCTCCACTGTGGACTATAAGGCATGGCTATATACAGATCACCATGTCTGCTAAATGTCCAAGTAATTTAACACATGCATTTATTAGCCTGTGAGTCAGCAGCAGGACAGCATTCAAATCCTCAGGAGTATACGGTTCTGCCTGCAGGAAGATGCCAGAGCTGTGCTGACCTCAAGGGTCTGGTAGTTAATGGCATCATTCTCCCGCACTCCATAGCCACGGGATATTGAAAAAATCTCCCGAGTGCCCAAGTCGTCTCTAAACTAAGTTACTAAGGCTTCTCTTTCCTAAGAACCACATCTCAAGAAGTGAGCTAATAGCACAGTGAGACACTTTTCAAAAAATGCAGTGCTTTTGTAAACATAATGAGCATCAATCTTTTTTTCTTTTTTTTTTTTGAGACAGGGTCCTACTCTGTCGCCCAGGCTGGAGTGGAGTAGTGCAGTAGTGCTATTTGGGCTCACGGCAACCTTGACCTCCTGGGCTCAAGTGATCTTCCCACCTCAGCCTCCTGAGTAGCTGGGATCACAGGTGTGTGCCACTACACCTGGCTAATTTTTGTATTTTTTGTAGAGACAGGGTTTGACCACATTGCCCAGGCTGGTGTTGAACTCTGAGGTTTAAGTGATCCACCTGCCTTGGCCTCCCAAAGTGCTGGGATTATAGGCATGAGCCACTGCACCCAGCCCAGAGCATACTTAAAACTGTTGAACTATCCTAACATATGATGAACGAAGGGACTACTGCTAGAGCACTACGCAAATACTTTTCGTGTGTGTGTGTGTGTGTGTGTGTGTGTGTGTGTGTTTAGATGGTGCCACCCAGGCTGGAGTGCAGTGGCACGATCTTGGCTTACTGCAACCTCTGCCTCCCAAGTTCAAGCAATTCTCCCTGCCTCAGCCTCCTGAGTAGCTGGGACTACAGGCGCCTGCCACCATACCTGGCTAATTTTTGTATATTTAATAGAGACGGAGTCTCACCATGTTGGCCAGGCCGGTCTCAAACTCCTGACCTCAGGTGATCCACCCGCCTCGGCCTCCCAAAGTGCTGGGATTACAGGCATGAGCCACCACGCCCGGCCTATTTTTCTTTCTTTTTTTAAAAGACTGAGTTTCGCTCTGGCTGGAGTGCAGTGGCGCAATCTCGGCTCACTGCAAGCTCCGCCTTCTGGGTTCACGCCATTCTCCTGCCTCAGCCTCCCAAGTAGCTGGGACTACAGGCACCCGCCACCATGCCTGGCTAATTTTTGTATTTTTATTAGAGACAGGGTTTCACCGTGTTAGCCAGGATGGTCTTGATCTCCTGACCTCATGATCTGCCCACCTCGGCCTCCCAAAGTGCTGGGATTACAGGCGTGAGCCACTGCACCCGGCCACCTATGTTTCTTAAATATAGAAATGATACTTGAGGAAGTGCTAACTCCCCAAGAATATATTTAAAACAAAGATTTCAACCCACGTGCATAACTTACTATATGAACAGACACTACTGCAAGAGCTCTACCTGTATTCGTTCCTCGAGCCATCCTGGCAATCCTTGTCATATAATTTATATTTCACAGGTAAGAAAATGGAGGTGACGCACTTCTGAGCTTAGGGAGGGCTCAGCTCTAACCCTGAGTAAACATGACCCTGTTTTTTGGCTTTTTTTTTTTTTTTTTTTTTTTTTTTTGAGACGGAGCCTCGCTCTGTCACCCAGGCTGGAGTGCAGTGGCGCGATCTCGGCTCACTGCAAGCTCTGCCTCCCGGGTTCACACCATTCTCCGGCCTCAGCCTCCTGAGCAGCTGGGACTACAGGCGCCCGCCACCACGCCCAGCTAATTTTTTGTATTTTTAGTAGAGACGGGGTTTCACCGTGTTAGCCAGGATGGTCTTGATCTCATGACCTTGTGATCCACCCGCTTCAGCCTCCCAAAGTGCTGGAATTACAGGCGTGAGCCACCATGCCCAGCCTGTTTTTTTGCTTTCTAAATGCTATGATCTGAATATTTATGTCCCCACAAAATTCCTATGTGGAAACCTAATCGCAAATGAGTTGAGGCCTTTGGGAGGTCATTAGGGCATGAGGATGGAACCCTCACAAACAGGACTAGTGACCTTCTGAAAGAGGCTCAAGGGACTGTGCTCACCCCTTCTGCCATGTGAGGCCACATGCAAGGCACTATCTATGAGGAACGGGCCCGACATGGAATCTCCTGGCACCTTGATCTGAGACTTCTCACGTCCAGAACTGTAAGCAATAAATGTCTGTTGTTTATAAATTACCCACTCTAAGGTATTTTGTTATAGAAGCCTGAATGCTCTAAAACACTGAAATATAGCATAATTATATATTTTTCACAATTAGAACACACCTAAAATGGAGAGAGAATTAGAATTGTCCCCAAGAGCCCTGCAATTTGGAAACCCAAGCCAGCTGGTTTATAAAATATCCATGCCCTCCATAACCACCTTGTAACCTTCCTATTCCCTCACCGTAGTCAGTCAATCAAGGGGAACACTCGCTCCCCACCCCTCCACCTTTTGCACCCTTCTCCACTCCTTGGAAGTCATCTGTGACTTCTTTTCTGATCCCATGCTGACAGTGGTGTTCCTTTTCATCTGATTTCATCTGCACACAAATGCTGGGACAGACAACCCAGCACTTTCTCCCAGAACTTTGAACAAGAAATATTTACATGCAGGGCGATTAGTCTCTGGCTCACGAGACAGTCAATCCAGACAACACCACTCTGGATGGAAGGTACAGAAATGAGATGTTTTTCTGTCTCTGCTGTGGCCAAGGAGTCTTTCATTTAAATGTCAGGCTTCTACTCACCAGTTGACAGGCATGCTTGATCCTCTCCACAAACCCATCAAGTCCCAAGTATTGTAAAGATAACCACAGAGGCAGGGCACGGAGTTTGTCTGTGGGCTTATTTGATGTAAGACCAGCAACTAAAGTCTAAAAAAGCCAAAAGAGGTTTATTAATCAAAGCCATTGCAATCTCATAATAGAACTAACCAGCTACCATTTGCTACCCACTTAGTGTGGGCTAGATGCCATACTAGTCACTAGGCTTGCATTATCCATGTGATCTTCCAACAACTCTGTGAGCTAAGTATTCTAGGTAACTTCACTCAGAGACCTCGGTTTGTCCAAGGGTTCACAGCTCAGGAGTGGCAAAGCCAGGAAAAGCCAGTGGAAAACCCAGATGGGTCACATCCCAGAACCTAGGAGACTCCCCACTTCGAAGGTAGCTCTGAGCATCCTCAAACACCTGGCCATTATTAGCTGAGCAAGACAGCAGTGTTTTAGCAGAAATCACTTAAACCTTATTTTGCACGCTGACCTATATTATCAAGAACCACATTATTATTATTATTTTTTGTGACAGGTTTCGTTTTCATTCTGTCGCCCAGGCTGCAGTGCAGTGGTGTGATCATAGCTCACTGCAGCCTTGATCTCCAGGGCTCAATCAGCCCTCCCACATTAGCCTCATGAGTAGCTGGGACTACAGGCTCACACCACCATGCCCAGCTAATTCTTTGTTGTTGTTTTTTCTTATAGAGATGAGGTTTCACCATGTTGCCCAGGCTGGTCTCAAACTCCTAGGCTCAAGCGATCTGCCTGCCTCAACCTTCCAAAGTGCTGGGATTACAGGCATGAGCCACCATGCCTGGCCCACAACTACGATTAAAAAAAAAAAAAAATGTGGCCAGGTGTGATGGCTCATGCCTGTAATCCCAGCACTTTGGGAGGCCGAGGCAGGCAGATCACCTGAGATCGCGAGTTCAACATGACCAACTTGGTGAAACACTGCCTCTACTAAAAATACAAAATAAGCCGGGCGTGGTGGCGCATGCCTGTAATCCCAGCTACTTGGGAGGCTGAGGCAAGAGAATCACTTGAACCCAGGAGGTGGAGGTTGCAGTGAGCCAAGATCATCTCACCATTGCACTCCAGCCTGGGTGACAGAGCGAGACTCCATATCAAAAAAAAAAAAAAAAAGTTAAAACCTATTGGGCAATGTGGATCAGGAGGCTTAAAACTCCCCCACTCAGTCATTCCACATCTGGGAACCTATTCTAAGGAAATAATTAGAAACACAGAAAGACGTTCACTGCTTCATTATTTCAGTAACAAAACTCTGAAAACATCCTATAAGTTCATAAATGGAGAATAATTAAATTGTGACAGAATATTATACAATCATAAAATGTCATTAAAAAAAGTCTCACAAGTTTCTCTTTAAAAAAATGAAATAGAAGTGAAATTATGGGTATTTTTCACTTTTTCCTGTATTTTTCTGGATTTTGCCCCCAAAGCCAATAATGTGTATTAGCCACACCCACTCCCTCCCCAGTGAGTGGAAACTTACCAAGGCAGGGTCATCGTGTTTATACAGTGTCACCGCAGGAACAGCTGGCAAACCCAGCCACGGGCCAGGAGTCATCGTCATGCTATCACATTTGGCTGCAGCCTACCAAAACAAGAACAACTCTTTGTTAGATTATCAGAATACACAAACCTAACACCCTCCTCCATTCATAAAAACTGTGAAGAGCCATGAGGGACTGAGTGACTTTAAATTCATTCTTAAAAACACCAATATTCAGTAAATCAACAACATACCAGCACTGATGAGGAGACATAACCCAGAGCCAATGTTGCCAGATTCACACTGGAAGAAAAAACACCAGTCCAAGAACTAATTATTTAATGTTGCTTACTCACCATGTACTTAAAAAAATAAAGGCTGTGCTGTTGCAAGTTGACACTTAAGTATATTTTTAATGTTATTAGCTTTCATTAACAGCAACAGAAGGTGTGCTTTATACATATGAAGGAAAATCCTGAAAATGCACTTTAATAAAAATGTGTCTCAGGAACTATCCCCGCTCATTTAATATAATGGGAGTATTCTTCTCTTTCATGGATCTTATTTTCCAGTTATCATTCTTTACTTAGGGATCAAAAAGAAACCTCCCTGTATGATGTGGTGGATATGGGCTACTCTGGCTGCCCACGTCCGTTCCCCCTGCTTCTCTTAATGGCCCTACAATAGCCTTCCAGGGCGCCATCTCCATTTCTTCCAGCAGAACATGAGCTTTGTGGGGAGGAGACACCACTATCTGCTCCAGAGGAGAGCAAAGAACCTCAACTATCAGAGGATTACTTCTCCCTGGCCACAGTGGCTGGTTCAATACGAGACTTCTGTTAGGACTTCCAGCTGACCACGAAGCTGGAAAGAAGGCTGGAGTTTCTGCAGCTACTTTGCACTGTAACAGGAAGATCTGTCCACAGATAGAGGAAACCAAGCCCAGTGCCTGTGACTGGGGGAGCAGAGGTGGGAGTAACACACTGGATCCTGGTTGATGTCGTGCCTGAGGCAGTCATAACACTGCTCTTTGTAGTTATGTGAGCCAGTAAGATCTCTTTGGGCTTAAGCCAATTTGGGTTATTTTGTGATCTGTGACCCAAAGAGCCCTTCGTGATAAATGTCACCAAAGTGAGAGCCTGGATGTCCAGTCCTCATAAGGACTCTGTGCAGGCCCGAATGGAGCCACCAGCCTCACCGCCGGCTTACCCCTCCACATGAAGCCATATGCCATACTGCTCACAGAGTTCTTTCAATCTCCCAATCTTGTCTGTGTGTCCTACTGCTGCCGTTCCTAGGATAAAACACATCAGGGCATTAAAAGGAACAAATGTTTTCTAAGGCTTTATACCTTAAACACTTTTATACACATTATCGCCCTAGGAGGGAAGTGACTTATTATATCCCTATTTTATTGAGATTTTCTTTGTGGAAGGACTTAAAATCAGTGTTTGTGAGTTGACTTATTACAAGCTTTGAAGAGTATGTAATCTCTATTACATGTATCTAATTGTGTCATTGAATTCTTTTATATACTTATTTTCTATCTACTTGATCTGCTGACTCATGAGAAATATATTCAAATCTCCCACCAAGATTGTGGTTTGTCAATATATACTTGTGTTACATCAGACTTTTCCTTTAGCTTTCCTTTATATATTTTAAAGTTATGTTCACAAGCATTCATAACTGTTTTTTTTTTTTTTTGAGACGGAGTCTCACACTGTCGCCCAGGCTAGAGTGCAGTGGCATGATCTCAACTCTGCAACCTCCACCTCCCAGGTTCAAGCAATTCTCCTTGCCTCAGCCTCCCAAGTAGGTGGGATTACAGGCGGTGGCCACCACGCCCGGCTAATTTTTTTGTATTTTTAGTAGAGACGGGGTTTCACTACGTTGGCCAGGCTGGTCTCGAACTCCTGACCTCGTGATCCACCTGCCTCGGCCTTCCAAAGTGCTGGGATTATAAGCATGAGCCACCGTGCCCAGCAGGTATAACTGTTATTTCTTTTAGGAGATTACATCTTTCATCAATATGAAGTCTATTTTATCCCACACTAATATGGCTATGGTACTTTCATTTTGTCAGCATTTGTCCAAGATAAACTTTTCCACCTTTTTATTTTATTGTCACTTCCTGGATTATTTTGATTTAGATATGCCCTTTATAAAAATCATATAGGTGGGCTGGGCACAGTGGCTCACATCTGTAATCCCAGCACTCTGGGAGGCCCAGGCGGGTGGATCACAAGGTCAGGAGATGGAGACCATCCTGGCTAACACGGTGAAATCCCGTCTCTACTAAAAATACAAAAACAAAATTAGCCGGGTGTAGTGGTGGGCGCCTATAGTCCCAGGTACTCGCGGGGCCGAGGCGGGAGAATGGCGTGAACCTGGGAGGCAGAGCTTGTAGTGAGCCGAGATCGTGCCACTGCACTCCAGCCTGGGCAACAAAGCAAGACTCCAGCTCAAAAAACAAACAAACAAAACATATAGATGAATTTGTTTTGTTTCCACCCAGGTTCCTTGTAATACAGAACATGCATTCTGAAGCCAGCTTAAGCATATTAAGCACTTTCAGCCGCTCCCTTGGTAATTGATTGCACTACAGATTTTGCTGGGGAGATCCCTTTTCAGAGAGAGCTTAGTTAAAACGTTGAGTCAGGCATTCCCCCAACCGTCCTAAATTTCCAGTTAGCAGTAAGCCAACTAAAAAGATTTCAAACACTCACCAACGGCCTCAACAAACACAGCTAAAGAAAGTAGTTCTTTTGTAAGGTCTATGCCAGGAAAAGGGCTGAAAACTTTTTCCCCTCATACCTAAATCTACCTCAAATTAAAAAAAAAAAATCTTAACAGACACATTTAGTTTAGCTGAAACAAGATCAAATGTCAATGCATGGGCTGTGCCACAGGCTCTTCCAGCAAAATAAAAGCGTACTGCTGTGTTAGTGCCTGGATCGCATGCAGATTCTCTTTTCGTATTTCTTGGCAATGTCTGGTGACTAACCCTTGACATGTGTCTGCTGACATCTGCAACATAATCACACTGGCAAGTCACTCAGTCACATGCAAACTGCAGCCCCTCCAGTTTATCATGTGATTGAATATGGGTGAATTTGTGTTTTTAAACAATAAGGCAGGAAGTGATGGTTTTCCTGTTGGCAATAAAGTGAATATTTATGTGGTTTTTCTATTTTGTCTTTTTTTTTTTTTTTTGAGACAGAGTCTCACCCTGTTGCCCAGGCCGGAGTGCAGCAGCGCAATCTCGGCTCACTGCAATCTCAGCCTCCTGGGTTCAAGCTATTCTCCTGCCTCGGCCTCCTAAGTAGCTGGGATTACAGGTGCCTGCCACCACAACCAGCTAATTTTTATATTTTTAGTAGAGACAGGGTTTCGCCATTTTGGCCAGGCTGGTCTTGAACTCCTGACCTCAGGTGATCTTCCCGCCTTGGCCTCTCAAAGTGCTGGAATTACATGCATGAGCCACCGCACCCGGCCTAAATAAGCAGTTTTATTGTAGTATGATTTTTTTTTTTTTTTTTTTTTTTGAGACAGAGACCCTTTCTGTCGCCCAGGCTACAGTGCGGTGGTGCGATCTTGGCTCACTGCAACCTCCACCTCCCAGGTTCAAGCGATTTTCCTGCCTCAGCCTCCCAAGTAGCTGGGACTACAGGTGCACACCACCACACCTGGCTAATTTTTGCATTTTTAGTAGAGATGGGGTTTTACCACATTGGTCAGGCTGGTCTTGAACTCCTGACCTTGTGATCTGCCTGCCTCAGCCTCCCAAAGTGCTGGGACTACAGGCATGAGCTCTCATGCTCGGCCTATTGTAGTATGATTTACATGCAACAAAACTCACTCATGTAAGTATACGGTCCAATGAGTTTTGACAAATATATAGAGCATGTAACCATCAACACAATCAAGATTCAGAATACTTCCATCAACCCCCAAATCCCATCAACCCCAATATAATTACCCTTTCCCTGACTCCTCACTGGCCCTGGAAAATCCTGATCTGCTTCTGTCACTGTAGTTTTTTGCCTTTTTTTTTTTTTTTCTTTTTTTTTTGAGATAGGGTCTCACTCTGTCGCCCAGGCTGAAGTGCAGTAGCACAATCTCGGCTCATTGCAAGCTCCGCCTCCCGGGTTCAAGCCATTCTCCTGCCTCAGCCTCTCAAGTAGCTGGGACTACAGGTGCCCACCACCACACCTGGCAAGTTTTATTTATTTACTTATTTATTTTTTACAGAAACAGAGTCTCACTCTGTCACCAAGGCTGGAGTGCAGTGGTGCGATCTCACCTCACTGCAACCTCTGCCTCCCGAGTTCATGCCATTCTCCTGCCTCGGCCTCCCAAGTAGCTAGGACTACAGGTGCCCACCACCACACCCAGCTATTTTTTTGTATTTTTAGTGGAAACGGGGTTTCACCATGTTAGCCAGGATGTCTTGATCTCCTGACCTCGTAATCTGCCCGCCTCGGCCTCCCAAAGTGCTGGGATTACAGGCTTGAGTCACTGTGCCTGGCCTGACATTATATTTTAAAGAATTTTTTTTTTTTTTTTTTAAGAAAGGATCTGGCTCTGTCACCCAGGCTGGGGTATGGTAGCACAATCTTGGCTCACTGCAACCTCTCTCTCCTGGGTTCAAGCCAACCTCCCACCAAAGCCTCTGGAGTAGCTGGGACTACAGGTACACACCACCACACCTGGCTAATGTTTAGTATTTTTTGTAGAGATTTCCTAGGGGTTTCGCCATGTTGCCCAGGCTGGTCTCGAACACCTGAGGGCAATTGATCTCGCAGTCTCAGCCTTCCCAAGTGTTGGGATTACAAGTGTGAGCCACCTGTAATTTCTCCATTCTAACAGACATGTAGTAATGTCTCATGGTGATCTTAATTTGCATTTCACTAATGACTAATGATGTTAAACATCTTTTCAAGTGCTATACATTTTCATTTTCTTTGATGAAGTATCTGCTCAAATCTGTTGTTCATTTAAAAAATTGTATTGTGGGCCGGGCACAGTGGCTCACACCTGTAATCCCAGCACTTTGGGAGGCCAAGGCAGGCAGATCACCTAAGGTCAGGAGTTCAAGACCAGCCTGGCCAACACGGTGAAACTCCATCTCCACTAAAAATACAAAAAACTAGCTAGGTGTGGTGGCACATGCCTGTAATCCCAGGTACTCGGGAGGCTAAGGCAGAAGAATCACTGGAACCCGGGAGGCAGAGGTTGCAGTGAGCCAAGATCGCACCACTGCACTCTAGTCTGGGCAACAGAATGAGACTCCATCTCCAAAAAAAAAAAAAATTGTATTGCTTGTGTCCTTATTGAGTTGTAACAGTTCTTTATATATTTTAGATACAAGTTCTTTGTCAAACAAATGTTTTGTAGCTTCTGGGGAAAAGAATGAAAAAGAAATTTTAAAAGAAGACAGGACTGGGACAGTGGCTGGCTGAGTGTGGCGGCTCACGCCTGTAATCCCATCACTTTGGGAGGCCAAGGCAGGTGGACCACCTGAGGTCAGGAGTTTGAGACCAGCCTGGCCAACATGGCGAAATCTCGTCTCTACTAAAAATACAAAAATTAGCCCGGCACGGTGGCGTGCGCCTGTAATCCCAGCTACTCGGGAGGCTGAGGCAGGCGAATCGCTTGAACCTGGGAGGCGGAGGTTGCAGTGAGCCAAGGTCGCACCACTGCACTCCAGCCTGGGCAGCACAGCAAAACTCCATCTCAAAAACATAAAAAATAAAAATAGAAAAAGACAAAAAAAAAAAAAAAAAAAGAAAAAAATGTTTTGCAAATATTTCTCCCAGTCTGTAACTTGCCTTTCATCTTCTTAATAGGGGCTTTCAAACAGCTAATGCTTTTAATTTTTGATAAAGTACAATTTATGGTTCACATATTTTGTATCCTAAGAAATGTAACCTAAGGTCACAAAGATCTCCTGTATTTTCTTTGAGACATTTTATTGTCTTAGATCTATGCTTAGGTTGATGAACCATTTATAGTTAATATTTATATATACAGAGAATAAGATAAGGGTTAAGATTCAGTTTTTTTCCATATGGATATCCAAGCTCTAAGACCACTGATGGAAAAAGATGGTCCTTTCTCCCTCGAATTACTCAGGCATCTGTAAAAACCTGAAGTGTCCATATACTTCACATGAGTCTATTTCTGAATTCTCTATTTTCTTTGGTTAATCTCACACAGTCTTACTTGCTACTTTACAGAAGTCTTGAAGTATGACAAGGTAAGTCTTCCAATTTTGTTCTTTTTCAAAATCCCTTGGGCTGTTCCTAGATCCCTTGTATTTCTATATAAACTTTAGAATTAGCTCATCAAGTTCTATTAAGAAATTGTAGCCTGCTGAGATTTTAAGATGGATCAAGTTGAATCTACAGATTAGTTTGGGAAGAACTGACTTAATACTTAGTCTTCCAACCCGTGTGTATGGCATATCGTTCTTGGGTCTTCTTGAATTTCTCTCAGTAACATTCTTAGTTCTCAATGTACAGATCTTGCATATATTTTGTTAAATTTATCCATAAATTTTTCATCTTTTTTGATCCTATTATAAATGACATTTAAAATTCAATTTCCAATTCTTCTTTGCTAGTATGTAAAAATCCAGAAAATGGTTTAGATTTGATCATTAGTTCCAGTAGCTTTTCTTTAGTTTTCTATCTATACAATCATGCCTGCAAACAAAGTTTTATTTCTTCCTTTCTAATCTGTCAGTTATTTTTTTTGCCTTATTGCACTGTCTTAGATTTCAAGTATGATGCTGAATGAGATAAATGGAGCAGCAAGTGGTAGTTGCTCTGCCGCCTATAAGGTAGATATTTAAGTGTGACATCTTATGAATTTTCTTGTTTAATTTTTACAACAATCTTACAACGTCAGTACAATTATTTTTATTTATTTATTGAGATGGGGTCTTGCTATGTTACCCAGACTGGTATTGAACTTCTGAGCTTAAGCCAACATCTTGCTTGTCTCCTGAGTAGAGGGACTATAGGCATGTGCCACCACACCTGGCTTAAATGTGTCATTTAAAAATTCAGGCCAGGCACAGTGGCTCATGCCTGTAATCCCAGCAATTTGGGAGGCTGAGGCAGGCGGATCACCTGAGGTCAGGAGTTCGAGACCAGCCTGGCCAACATAGTGAAACCCTGTCTCTACTAAAAATACAAGAAATTAGCCAGATGTGGTGGCATGCACCTGTAATCCCAGCAATTCAGGAGGTTGAGGCAGGAGAAACACTTGAACCCGGGAGGCAGAGATTGCAGTGAGGTGAGATTGTGCTACTGCACTCCAGCCTGGGCAACAGAGTGAGACTCTATCTCAAAAAAATAAAATAAAATTCAGTTTAGAACAGGGAAAAGAAGTACATGAAGGAGAAGATAGAGAAGCATTTACCATCTAAATGAAAAAGTATACACACACATAAAATAACTTCCAAAACAAACCAACGATTAAAGAAAAATCTAACGAGCCAACCTTACTATTACAGTTTTTGCTACAATGTGGATATGGACTATCTTAAACATGTGGTACACACACATTTCTTAAGACTTTATCTTTTATAGGCTGAGGACGTAGCCTCGCTCCTATATATTCAAAATGGTAGATTCAGCATCATGCTACCTACCTGCATTTGCGACAAGCAACAGGGGCAGTCTTCCTCGCTCTATATCATCTTTAATCAGTTTCTCCAGGAAGGCAACATCCTGGAACCAAAACAAATCATTAAAAAATGAGGTGCCCAGTATAAAAGCTATAAAATGAAAAATTATGACTTACAAAAGAAGCAGATAACTCTCAAAAGTAATGTCAAATCAATTCTTACTCTTGACAATTTTTCTGTTTTCTCTCATCATAGATGTGAAAATCAAATAGTTTTCCTTGAAGACTAGAAAAATCAGTTAAACAAAATTAAAGGTAAAAACTGTACATATGCAGGAACATTTCTTTGATTTTAAACATTTACATTTAAATGAAATGTTCTCTTAACTCTCCTAAAACAGCCAAGAATGTATCTCTACTATTACTCACTGATGTACCTGAACTAGAAAATAAAACTACCTTGACAAAAGAAATAAAAAACTCTAAAATCCATCCCTTCCTTTTCCTTCTGGAATCATTAAGGAGAGATTTATCACCTGCATGTCTGAAAATAAGCAGAACTCAATTCCATGATGACAATGAAGAACCTCATTTTCAAAATCTGCCCATTCATAAATCCAGGCAACAGTGCTAACTCATTAAAAGTAGGAGCTTCAGAAGAAATTTCTGGTGCTTAATTGAGCTGCCATGTTTCTACTTAAAGCAGGTGATACAGTAATTACAAGACTCCTTAAAAGCCAGGTGCTCCTGACCTATATACCAACCAACCTTCATGGACATTCACATATTAACAGAAGCATATATTACACAATGTAAGGATCCAAGCAATACATGAGTAAGTTACTAATTATCTGGAGGCCAGCAAAAAGAACTTCATTTGAAAGGCAGTTTCAAAACACAATCCCACATGATTTTACAAACCAAAAGTAGAACTCACCATCTGATGCTGGGATCCAAACACAGTGTTACAGGGTACACGGCACAAGCAGGGGAAGGGCAAGCCGAGCTGCAGGAAGAAACATATGACTTGACAAGAAAGCTCTCTGCACCATTCACTTCAGATTGTGAAAGGCTGTGGCTCTAAGACAAGACACGATTATTCTTCTAAGAAATCTCTCTCCTTAGGAACTCTTAATATTATAAATTGATGTTAAAGTACATTTAGAAAGCCAAGCCGAAAAAAAAAAAAGGGTGAATTTCCAAGTGCCTTATAAGAGGATATAATGTAAAATTTTCTAAATGATTCAAGTAATTATCTTTGGTATATTCTAGAATATACCAGAAACACTTTGACAAACACAGAAACAACTGGGTCGTGAGCATTTTAGTGGGGGTAATTTTGGATTCTTTCTCCAAGCATTACTGGTAAATAACACCAGCTAAAGGCATTCAAAGAACAGTATCTTATTTATGGGTTCACCCACCCCTAAAAAGTAATAAATATGGATTAGCAGATGCACATTTCTCAAGAGAAGTGAAGTCAGTGTTATGCAGGAGACAGTGATTGTCAACTTAATTTTATATTCTTCATGTTTAGCCTCCAAGTCCTTGAGGAGTTTACAGTTTTAGGAATTGTAAACAGTTGCAGCATATTGTTCTGTATGACTAAGACTTGGTAGCATTCAGAGACCAAAAATTTAATAAGCACATTTTTCTCCTTAAAGGATTAAAAATTATGAATGTGACACCCAAGTAAAACAAATCCTCAAAAAAAATACAGGTATTAAAAGTGAAAATGCCTAGCCCCCTACCCTATAAGCCACCAATCCACCCCGTTAACAGTTTAATACATAACCTTTCAGATATTTTCTAGGTATAAATTTACGTATTTTTCTAGGTACAAAAACATAGGTATAAAGGATACACACACTTTAAAAAACGTGAACATAACCATCTTATATATGCTGCTCTGCCAGCTGCCATTCCCAACAGAACACTCTTACACATCTTTTGAAGGTTAGACTGTTGTCCCCAAACAGCCTTGTGTCTGCAAGAGCCTGGCTTGCAGTAGACACTAAGTAATTCATTTCACGTTTCAGAGGATTATTATTAAACTCCCCATTTTGTACACCCCTCAAGAAGAGGACATAATTTCTTAACACCAGTGATCACAGCTCAGAATCAATTTAAAAGTCACTAAGTGTCTCCCATACATCCCCCTGGGACTCCTACAGCTTACAAAAGAGGAACCCTCCAACCCTATGGTTTTGCTTTCAAACGTTCTTGGCAAAGACGGTTAACAATGTCTTATCTCGATGTAGTCCTCCCAGTTGGGCTAGAAGCACCATGAACTTTAAAAATAGTCATGCTCGGCTGGGCGCAGTGGCTCACACCTGTAATCCCAGCACTTTGGGAGGCTGAGGTGGGCAGATCACGAGGCCAGGAGATCGACACCATCCTGGCTAACACGGTGAAACCCCATCTCTACTAAAAAAAATACAAAAAAATTATCTGGGCGTGGTGGCGGGCACCTGTAGTCCCAGCTACTTGGGAGGCTGAGGCAGGAGAATGGCATGAATCCGGGAGGCGGAGCTTGCAGTGAGCCGAGATCACGCCACTGCACTCCGGCCTGGGCGACAGAGCAAGACTCTGTCTCAAAAAAAAAAAAAAAAAAAAAAAAAAAAAAAGTCATGCTCTTTGATCCAGCAATTCTAGACTGACTCTGAAAATCCATCTGAGGACCATAACCCTAAATAAAATACAGGAAGAGCTTTATGCACAGAGAAGTCCTTAACAGCACTACACAAAGAACATTACCTGAAAATGGTCACAGAAAGCAAGAGAATGCAAACACTCTTAGTTGTCCAAAAGGGCAACAGTTAATTACTATATATTCACTTGAAGGAATACCATGAAGACATTAAAAATAAACTATACTTTGAAAAATTATTATTAAAATGATATATTCCTGTTTTAACAATAAGTGAAAAGAGCCAGATACAACCATATAAACACAAACACACCCCCTTCGATTAAAGTCTGGGAAAAAAGAGAAAATGTTGACTGTGGATGCCCCTGGGTAATCTATCCCATATTCCTTATTTCTAAATTCAGTAATTTTTACAAATATGACAAAAGCATATAAGACCATCTTTCTTTTCACTCAGCAAGAACAGCAACTAGACAAACGGGTCAACTTTAAAACTTTCAGAACAAAATAAGACATTATTTCTTTAAAATAGCCACCTGATACCACATTACCTGATTACAAAGGTATTGGCCCAGGCCAGGTCTAGCAGCAGCACTAAGATATATGACAGGCTTCTTGTTATATAACACATTGAAGCCATCCACTACGAAGTCTTCATATCGAGAATGAATGGCAAGCCTACATATCTTTGCAAGTCCTTCTCTTTCCTCTTCGTGGAAATAAGCACACCCATTTTCATATCTGTTAAGAGATACATATTAATATGCTCTTATTTCTAGTTAAGGATTGTATAAGTCAACCTTATAATCATGGAGACAATTCTTTTCTCAAGCTAGGAATTGTCACTTTTATCAGGCAGAGAGGACAGGAATGTGAAACATCCTCATCATAGATGGCTGACACCTCATTACAGCTGAGGTTACCAAGCAGCGAGACAATAACCCTCCATCCATACCCAATTCCATAAAGAGCAGAAACTATGAAAACAAGTAGAGACCAGGAATTCTCAGATATAAAAAGCCTGAAGATCATGGTTCTGGCTTATTATGAACTAAGGCCAGCACTGGATAACACAGGCATAGTTCATAGCAGAGTTTCAGCCCTAAAACATCCAAAGTAAATAAAACTGTCAAAAATGCTAGTTAGAGGCTGGGTGTGGTGGCTCACGCCTGTAATCTCAGCACTTTGGGAGGCCAAGGCGGGTGGATCACCTGACCAGGAGTTTTGAGACTAGCCTAGCTAACATGGTGAAACAACTGTCTCTACTAATTGCGAGGTGTGGTGGTGAGTGCCTGTAGTCCCAGCTACTCAGGAGACTGAGGCAGGAGAATCGCTTGAACCCAGGAGGTGGAGGGTGCAGTGAGCCGAGATTGTGCCACTGCACTCCAGCCTGGGTGACAGAGTAAGACTCCATCTCAAAAAAATAAAAAAGCTAGTCAGGCTAGCTTTTGGTTTTACTATAATCTGCTGAGGCTCCATCTCCTAGAGGAGGATGGACAATTTCAATTACAGGCAGTAGATTTTTACTAGAACAACAGAACACTGCTCCTTTAATAAAGTTGGGCAAACTTATACTCCTGCTTGGCCAAGTTCTTTCCCAACACTGAAAGTCAGGGTCTCTCAAGATAAATGTCTCAAGTTAGGCAAACATTCCTTCTCCATAAAAGTAACAGCATAAACCCAATGCCACTAGTCCTATGTCTCCTACTGAATCCTTCACCTGTTGTAATTCCTTAGTACTGCCAGGATTATCACAGAATAAAACAAATTTCAGTTTCATAGCACATTTTCATCTTCCTTATGACAGAGTTTTCTTTTTTTTTTTTTTTTGAGACAGAGTCTCACTCTGTCGCCCAGGCTGGAGTGCAGTGCCTCAGCGTCCAGAGGAGCTGGGACTACAGGTGCTCACTACCACGCCCGGCTAATTTTTTTGTATTTTTAGTAGAGACAGGGTTTCACCATGTTAGCCAGAATGGTCTCGATCTCCTCACCTTGTGATCCGCCCACCTCAGCCTCCCAAAGTGCTGGGATTACAGGCGTGAGCCACCGTGCCTGGCCTCAGAGTTTTCTTTCTAATAAAAACACAAGCTAATATTTTCAAAGCACAGCTGGCCCTCTGAACCTATGGGTTCTGCATCTGTGGATTCAACCAAGCATGAGTAAAAAATCTTCAGAAATTTAAAAAGATGGGTGCCTCTGTACTGAATATCTACAGACTTTTTTTCCTTGTCATTATTCCCTAAACAATACAGTGTAACAACTATTTACACAGCATTTACATCGTATTAGGTATTATATGTAATCAAGAGATTAAAGTATATGGGAAGATGTGCCTCAGTTACATGAAAATACTGTGCTATTTTATATAAGGGATTTGAGCATCCATGAATTTTTTTATCCATAGGGTGAGGATGGGAGGTCAAGAACCAATCCCCCAAGGACACCCAAGGATAAGGGACAACTGTATTTGAATCCAGATCATTGCTCTATCTTCTACCGACATGTGCCAATTAGATACCCCACAAATAAATAACTGCTGACCCTATCAAACACATATGTGCTTCTATTCTCCACCCTTCACATGTATTAGTCCATTAGCTCATTTAATCCTCACAACGCTTCTATGAAATAGGTATTAATACTATCCCCATCTAACAGATGATGAAACAGGCATTGAGAGGTTAAACACCCCTTTCAAGGAGAAGGAAATCTGAACCCAAGTAGTACAGCTCCAGAAAAAAGATCTTTCAGTCTACACCCGACTCATAAAAGTCTTCACTGGAAACTCATCATGTCTTTACCTGAAAATTCTGCATAGCCATAAGGTGGTATCTGAAAGTATCCTAGTTGTAAGTTTTCTCAGCTTCTCTTTGTCCAGAGTTGAAATATAAGCTCCCAGACTATGTCCCAACAAAGCCATATGACCTTGTTCTCCAATATTTTGGATTCTGTTAAGCAAAATTAAAGTATTAGAGTCAAACCATAAAAAAGGACATAGAACTTAGAGACACAGAATTCCACAGAAATATCTGTCAGACTCGAAATCTACTTAATGGCCCAGAAGGCAAATCAATGCATAAACAGTAGTGATAGTTTGGTGAGAATTTTTTCTATTTTTTGAGATGGAGAAAAAAATATATTTTTTTTTCTGAGATGGAGTCTCCCTCTTGATGCCCAAGCTGGGGTGCAGTGGTGCGATCTCAGCTCACTACAACCTCCACCTCCTGGGTTCACGTGATTCTCCTGTCTCAGCCTCCCGAGTAGCTGGAATTACAGGCGCGCACCACCAAGCCCGGCTAATTTTTTGTATTTTTAGTAGAGACGGGGTTTCACCATGTTGGCCAGGCTGCTCTTGAACTCCTGACTTCAGGTGATTCACCTGCCTCGGCCTCCCAAAGTGCTGGGATTACAGGCATGAGCCACTACTCCTGGCCAGAAAAATATTTTTATAATTTGAGTTCCAGGAGATAAATAGCCCTTTTTAAATTGAGTACCTACAAACTGTTTTAAAATAATTTCCTATTAAAGTATTTTAAAAATTAAATACCAGCCTTAAGAATTGTGGAGGGTAGAGCTAAGGTAAAATGAGCTGAAAGCATTTTTTAAAGAACTAAATCCTGGCCAGGCGCAGTGGCTCATGCCTGTAATCCCAGCACTTTGGGAGGCCAAGGCGGGCGGATCACGAGGTCAGGAGATTGAGACCATCCTGGCTAACATGGTGAAACCCCATCTCTACTAAAAATACAAAAAATTAGCCGGGCCTGGTGGTGGGCACCTGTAATCCCAGCTACTCAGGAGGCTGAGGCAGGAGAATGGAGTGAACCCGGGAGGCAGAGCTTGAAGTGAGCCGAAATGGCACCACTGCACTCCAGCCTGGGCAATAGAGTAAGACTCCATCTCAAAAAAAAAAAAAAAAAAGAATTAAATCTCAGGTCTATGCATCAAATAAGAATTATTTATTGCAATAATACAGCAAATTCATGGGGGACTAGGTATTATTTTATATATAATTAAAATTGATTATATAAAATGTTTTATATAGAATTAAAACTAATTTTCCTTATAAAGAATAACTGTAAAAAAGAAGGAAAAAGTTTACAATTGTTAACTGTGAATAATAAGAAAAAGACAAATCACCTAATAGGATCATGGGCAACAGACAGTTCCTAGAAATATAAATGGGTCTTAAAACATACAAAAAGACACGTCACTTGGTTCATAATTTAAAAAACCTGCAAATTCGAATTATGCTGAAACACCATTTCTCACTTATCAGATTTCTCATCAGAATATCACTTATCAATGATCCTTCAGTCTGATAACGCCTTTGCAGGTGAAAAGTGTGGAAATAAAGTACTCTCATACATTGCTGGTGGGACTGCTAAATGCCGCAACTCCATGGAGGGAAATTTGGCAGGATCTATCAAAATTACAAAAGCACACACTGTCTGAGACAGCAACTCCACTTTCAGGACTTTGTCCTCCAGACACCTGCTTCTATGAGAAGTGACACATGTCGAAAGTTGTTTGCTGCAGCAATGTTTGTAACAGTGCAACATGACAGGGGACCAATAAAATAAAATATGGTTCATCTGTTCAAAGTAAAACACATAGCTCTGACAAAGGAGAAAGTTCCTGTGCATTAATATGCAGTGAACTCCAAGACATAAGTGAAAAAATGCAAGATGCACAGCATATGCATAGTAATTATGTATTAGAGAGGGTGGGCATAGACATTTTGCTGGTGTATAATACATATAAAATCTCTCTGGAAGAATACACAAGAAACTGGTAATGTCTGTCTCTAGAGAAGAAAACATGGTAGGGAGATAGAGGTAGGAAGGAAAATTCCCTTTGTATATCATTTTTCATTGTCTGAATTTTGAACCAAGAGAATAATTTTACTTATTTCAAAACATTAAATTTAAAATAATTGAAGAGAAAACTAACTAAATACCTAATGAATACAACTACAGCAATTCTTAGGAAGCAGAAGCACAGCAGCAGAAAGACATCCGACACTCACTCTTCAGTCCTTCTGCCAGCGCCTCTCTAAGGCATGATACCATAAAAACTATGGGATCTAATTTCAATAAATGCCTTCATTTCACAAAATATATATTAATATAAATGTCTTTCTGAAAATAAAAAGGATTATTTTAATATCATATGTAACTCAATGAAATATAGCTTCTTATTTGAGCAACTTGTCAGAGCGCAATCACTACTGAAATCAAGAACACATACACTTGAAAAGAGAAGCTGCCAGGTTCATTACCTGGGGCTCTGGGGCTCCTCATCTTCATCTCCATGCATGAGATTCTGAACTAACTGGAGGATGCTCACCATATCTTGCCCACTGCAGAATAAAAAGAGTTGATGGGCTGATGGGAACAGCACACATCCCCCGCCACTCTCCCGCTACTTCCCTCATTCAACTAGCGTTGCTTCAAGTTTTTTTTTTCTTTCTTAAGCAACTATAAGAGAAAGAACGTGGTATATAGTTTATGCTTTTTAAAAAACAAAGCTCAAATTATAAACTGAATTCCGATATAAATTTACTTGTGGTTAAATAAATCTTCTACCTAATTATGAGTTTCATTTTAATAAATGTCACCAGTCTTTTTATTTTTATTTATTTATTTTGAGACAGGGTCTCACTTTGTCACCCAAGCTGGAGGGAAGTGGCATAATCTGGGCTCACTGCAACCTCTGCCTCCCGGGTTTAAGCGATCCTCCTGCCTCAGCCTCCTGAGTAGCTGAGATTACAAGCTTGCGCCACCACGCTCGGCTAATTTTTGTATTTTTAGTAGAGATGGGGTTTCACCATGTTGGCCAGACTGGTCTTCAACTCCTGGCTTCAAGTGATCCACCCTCCTCGGCCTCCCAAAGTGCTGGGATTACAGGCATGAGCCACCACGCCCAGCCGTTTTTTTATTTTTGGTAGAAACAGGGTTTTGCCATGTTGCCCAGCCTGGTCTCAAACCACCAAGCTCAAGCAATCCTCCTGCCTCAGCCTCCAATAGTGCTGGGATTACAGGCCTGAGCCACCTTGCCCAGCCACCAGTCTTGCTCTAGCAACATTTCTATACATTTCATTTGAATCTTGGAGTACAAGACAGAGAATATTTAATAAGCATGTAATAAGAGCAAAAAGGCCTTATAATATGTACTTATAATATATAAGTGTATTATATACTATACATTATATAAAATATAAAATATATTATATAAAATATAATATATAATCATCCTTAGTATAGTATAATGCTAGACAGTCACAGAACACTCCAATGCCACTGGTATATCTAATTTTCCTCCATAGGGATCTTGTCCGTTTGGACTAACAGCCTCTAACAATGCAAGCTTCATTTATTACCAGCTCTTCCCCAAGCTGGGAACCTTGAGATCTGCTTAGAGTATAAAAACATTTTACTTCTATCCAAGATGTGTTGCTATGAAATGCTCATTACATGAGGAGATGGAAAGTTACGAAAAGAATTCGAACGGCTGAAGTAGCAAGCAATGGCAAGGCAACTTGCAACAGGAATAACGCAGGGCTATTCGTCTGTTAATGAGAATAGACTAAAAAGAGGTTTCCTCTTTCAACAAAGGAAGCGCCATCAAAACAGTGTCCCCAAACCAATTGTCCCCAAGGTGCTGCCCTTCAAGTGAGAGGGGCTCTGGGCCTTGGACACTGTAGAGATCAGAGCAGGCAGGGGCCCTTGAGGCACACTGGCTGCCTGCCACATGACCTCGAGCAAGCTATTCCAACTTGCCAAGCCGGACGTTATGGATTTGGGAGGCTTCAGACAGTGAAGGTATGGCACTTAGCTGTGCCTGGCATGTTACTAGTCTTGAATGCTGGGTGGTAGCACTCCTAAGTGTGAATCCTCCTAGTCAGTGGCTTAAGGCTGAGAATTACAGATGCTGCTGGGAGTATCTCCCCTGGGAAAACTTCCGTGGAATTAGGAGACTAAACCTTAAAACCTTTGGTTTCCATCAGTAGGCCTGGAATGAGGAGATTTTATAGGGCCTGCCTCCTGTTCTGAGCTGAGAATGCACTTCACACCTAGCTTCACATCAGCATTATTCATGCTACGAATAGGAGTGACTTTTAAAGTATTAGTATCTCAGCGTGTTATTGGCACACTGTGATCCTTCCTCCATACTTTTCTTTTGCAACCTGGTTCAATTTATATTCAAGTCAAAGGATATTTAAGGGAGTTGTACTGTTTACTTATGTGCAGTTTCCTGGTTATAACAGGAAAAAAAAAAAAGTTTGTCTCAGGGAAGCTGGGCTGGGATACTAATCCCAGATTAACTGCTAATGTCTTGTGAAAATTTTAGTCAGCTACTTACTTTTTTGCTATTTTTCCTCCTACTCAAACATGACAGATTTGCTTCAGTTGCCAAAAAATAAGTAATTTGACATTTTCCTTTCATTTACATTATGAAAACAATAAATCTTATCAAATTAAAATACCTCTTAGAATAAAACTCAGTCTACCAAATAGATGACAGGTTTCAAGAGTGAACTAAGTATGACACACCAGTTATAATGATGAATTTGTATATCACTTTTATTTTATTTGATAGGGTCTCGCCATGTTGTTCAGGGTGGCCTCGAACTCCTTGACTCAAGCCATCCTCCTGCCTCAGGCTCCCAAGCAGCTGGGACTACAAGTGTGCACCACGGTGCCTAGCTCCATGTATCACTTTTGACTCATGAGGTTGTATTAAATTGTTGGTTTTCTAAAAAATTTTTGGCCAGGTGCGGTGGCTTATGCCTGTAGTCCCAGCACTTTGAGAGGCTAAGGCAGGCGGATCACCTGAGGTCAGGAGATGGAGACCGTCCTGGCCAACATGGTGAAACCCCGTCTCTACTAAAAATACAAAAATTAGCTGGGCGTGGTGGTGGGTGCCTATAATCCCAGCCACTCGGGAGGCTGAGGCAGGAGAATCACTTGAACCTGGGAGGCAGAGGTTGCAGTGAGCCGAGATCACACCACTGCACTTCAGCCTGGCGACAGAGCGAGACTCTGTCTCAAAATTAGAGAGTGTCTCTATCACTCAGGCTGGAGTGCAGTGGTACAATCACAGATCGCTGTAACCTTGAACTCCTGGGCTCAAGTGATCCTCTGTCCTTGGCCTCCCAAAGTGCTGGGATTACAGATGTGACCCACTGTACTTAGCATCTATTAAATTCCAAATGGGAGAGGGAGAGAAGCCAGCAGGTGCAGCAATATCACCAACCAGCCAACGACACTTCAGTTTTCTAATGTTATACTGCACATAAGTCTATTTAAATTTGCTATGTGTTCATTAAAACTAAAACCATAAATCAATGATGATAAGACACTGGTTTAAGAAAAATGTAGGCCGGGCACAGTGGCTCACACCTGTAATCCCAGCACTTTGGGAGGCTGAGGTGGGCAGATCACCTGAGGTGAAGGTCAGGAGTTAGAAACCAGCCTGGCCAACATGGCAAAATCCCATCTCTACTGAAAATACAAAAATTAGCCAGATATGGTGGTGCACGCCTGTAATCCCAGCTACTCGGGAGGCTGAGGCACAAGAAAGAACTGCTTGAACCCGGGAGGCGGAGGTTGCAGCGAGCCCAGATTGTGCCACTGCACACCATCCTGGGCAACAGAGCACGACTCCATCTCAGAAACAAACAAAAATTTACACCTTAACTAAAGGTATGGATCCTCAGTGCCACCTACCTGCCCTGGAGTGGGCCTGGAATATCTCCGGATATGAGCTTCTTTCCATTTTCCTCTTCTGTTCTTCTAATTTAAAGAAAAGAAAAAGCTGTTCATTTGTTTCATCATACCAAATTTCTAACTCCTGAATATGCAAACATGACCATGTTGCCTATAACCTCCCAGTGACTGAGGCAGGATTTCAAACACATTTATCACATCTCCCTGCCTCCAGTTTCAGGTATCGTTTGAATTTCTGGAAAAGACAAGAATATGCAACAAAAAAGTTCCACCCACTTCTTGTTTACTTGGTGCTCTATATGACCTGAATATATAATAAGTATTTATAGAGTCAAATCAATATATTAAGTAAATGAAACTCTTAATAGACAGAATTAAATAGTATAAGTCTTTCCTCTCAATTTCAAAATCCTTTAATTACAAGGCACCTTTTACCCAAGACAAATACCAATTTTCAAGTCAGCCAAAGCTGTGTGTGACACTGTGAAGCCAAGAGGCACCTTTAACAGAAAGGACCCAGAGCCACTGGCTTCACAGCAGGCTGAACTCGTTGAACAGGGTCACCTCTGTCCTACTCACCTCTGACTGTCCTCCAGCATCTTCACTGCCTCCTTCAAGTTTTTTCCCATTTCAGCTAACGTGGGGTCTGCTATCTGGGAAACAAAAAAAAAAAGAAAGAAATTTTAATAATCCTCTATTACCTCTATAACACAATTCACCCAGAAAAATTAAGTGCATAATTTCTTCTGGATTTACTGTGAAATACATGATTTTAAAACTTGCAATAGTACAAAAGTATAACAGAAAAAGTAAAAATCTTCCAGCCCCACTTCCTAGAGGAAGCCGCTGTTTTTATTTTTATTTTTTGAGTTGGAGTCTTACTCTGTTGCCCAGACTAGAGTGCAATGGCATGACCTTGCTCACTGCAACCTCTGCCTCCTGGGTTCAAGTGATTCTCTTGCCTCAGCCTCCCAAGTAGCTGGGATTACAGGCACACACCACCATGCCCAGCTAATTTTTGTATTTTTAGTAGAGACGGGGGGGTTTCACCATGTTGGCCATGCTAGTCTCGAACTCTTGACCTCAAGTGATCTGCCCGCCTTGGCTTCCCAAAGTGCTGGGATTGCAGGTGTGAGCCACCGTGCCTGGCCTCCTTAAGTTCCTTTTGAATTTTAGTGCCATGTGTACACCTATCTCCCATCCAAAAAGTAAACAAAATAGAATTTAAATTTTTCTGCAGAATTATAATTTTTTCACCATTCATTCTGGGAAGAACCAGGTGAGGCCAAAACCAAGGACCCTACCCTTCTTCACTTGGTACCACCTTCCCACTTGACAAGTTACAAGTCCCATGGGGGTAACCACAAGGTCCCCTCAGCCTGGCCATTGTACACAGCCCCAGGGTACCGGCAACGCATGACCTACACTCCAAGGCAACTGGACAACTTGGTCTTTGGTAAGATCACTTATGATAACAAAGTGAGTCAGCTTCGTTTCAAACAAGCAATGTGGCAGTGATACAAAGACAAGCTATTTTGACAAATATTATTTTTGAGGCAGTCGCTCTGTTACACAGGCTGGGGTACAGTGGTTTGATCGTGGCTCACTGCAGCCTTGACCTCCAGGGATCAAGTGATCCTCCCACCTCAGCCTCCTGAGTACCTGGGAATACAAGTGCTCGCCACCATGCCTGGCTAATTTTCAAAATTTTTTTGTAGATACAAGGTCTCATTATGCTGCACAGGCTGATCTCAAACTCCTGAGCTCAAGTTATCCTTCTGCTGGGATTACAGGCTGAGCCACTGTGCCCGAACTTTTTGCAGAATTAAAACATACGCATTCCTTTCCTTTTCCTTTCTCTATTCTTAATCTCTGTAGTTATGTTTAGGGAGAAAATTCTTGTTGACTTCAATCTCTATGTAGTATGAGTTGTGTTATAACAATAAATTATATATTATATATTATATTACATATAATACATATAATATCATATATAAGTTATAGCTCTTTTGTTCCCCTCTTACTCTTCTAAGTGTGCTGCTTAAAGGAAGAGCTGTGTTTACCTTTTCCTATTGCTCACTGTATCTAGCAATATGTTACAGCATGGCATACAATACGTACGTATTTAAAACTGCATTGCCTCCTCAAAATTGTTTTTAAGAAATTCCACTCCATTTATCAATATAAGATTCAGAAATTGTTACATTCTAGAAGGGACCTAAGGGATCTAGTCCAGGGATTTTCCAGCTGTGTTCTCCTGAGCTTTAAGGTCCCTGGGAGGACTCTGAGAAGGAAGGGTTAGGTAAGCAGTTGGGGCTTCTAACTCCCTAGCAGATCAGCTCTGTTTTGTATAACAGGGTTTTGAGTAAAGTAGTAAAGTTTTTATTTGTAAAAAGTTTCATTGAATGATAAAGGGGATATCACCACCAATCCCACAGAAATACAAACTACCATCACAGAATACTATAAACACCTCTACGCAAATACACTAGAAAATCTAGAAGAAATGGATACATTCCTCAACACATACACCCTCCCAAGACTAAACCAGGAAGAAGTTGAATCTCTGAATAGACCAATAACAGGCTCTGAAATTGTGGCAATAATTAAGAGCTTACCAACCAAAAAAGGTCCGGGACCAGAGGGATTCACAGCCAAATTCTACCAGAGGTAAAAGGAGGAGCTGGTACCATTCCTTCTGAAACTATTCCAATCAATAGAAAAAGAGGAAATCCTCCCTAACTCATTTTATGAGGCCAACATTATTCTGATACCAAAGCCTGGCAGAGACACAACAAAAAAAGAGAATTTTAGACCAATATCCCTGATGAACAT
Source organism: Homo sapiens (assembly GCF_000001405.40). Lineage (NCBI taxonomy): Eukaryota > Metazoa > Chordata > Mammalia > Primates > Hominidae > Homo > Homo sapiens. Next base: position 14,995,570 of record NC_000016.10, on the reverse strand, counting down.
CGATGCAAAAATCCTCAATAAAACACTGGCAAACTGAATCCAGCAGCACATGAAAAAGCTTATCCAGCATGATCAAGTGGGCTTCATCCCTGGGATGCAAGGCTGGTTCAACATACGCAAATCAATAAATGTAATCCAGCATATAAACAGAACCAACAACAAAAACCATACGATTATCTCAATACATGCAGAACGGCCTTTGACAAAATTCAACAACCCTTCATGCTAAAAACTCTCAATAAACTGGGTATTGACGGACCATATCTCAAAATAATAAGAGCTATCTATGACAAACCCACAGCCAATATCATACTGAATGGGCAAAAACTGGAAGCATTCCCTTTGAAAACTGGCACAAGACAGGGATGCCCTCTTCTCACCACTCCTATTCAACACGGTGTGGGAAGTTCTGGCCAGGGCAATGAGGCAGGAGAAGGAAATAAAGGGTATTCAATTAGGAAAAGAGGAAGTCAAATTGTCCCTGTTTGCAGATGACATGATTGTATATCTAGAAAACCCCATCGTCTCAGCCCAAAATCTCCTTAAACTGATAGGCAACTTCAGCAAAGTCTCAGGATACAGAATCAATGTGCAAAAATCACAAGCATTCTTATACACCAATAACAGACAAACAGAGAGCCAAATCATGAGTGAACTCCCATTCACAATTGCTTCAAAGAGAATAAAATACCTAGGAATCCAACTTACAAGGGATGTGAACGACCTCTTCAAGGAAAACTACAAACCACTGCTCAATGAAATAAAAGAGGATACAAACAAATGGAAGAACATTCCACACTCATGGGTAGGAAGAATCAATATCGTGAAAACGGCCACACTGCCCAAGGTAATTTATAGATTCAATGCCATCCCCATCAACCTACCAATGACTTTCTTCACAGAATTGGAAAAAACTACTTTAAAGTTCATATGGAACCAAAAAAGAGCCCACATTGCCAAGTCACTCCTAAGCCAGAAAAACAAAGCCGGAGGCATCATGCTACCTGACTTCAAACTATACTACAAGGCTACAGTAACCAAAACAGCATGGTACTGGTACCAATACAGAGATATAGACCAATGGAACACAATAGAGCCCTCAGAAATAATGCCGCATATCTACAACTATCTGATCTTTGGCAAACCTGACAAAAACAAGAAATGGGGAAAGGATTCCCTTGTTAATAAATGGTGCTGGGAAAACTGGCCAGCCATATGTAGAAAGCTGAAACTGGATCCCTTCCTTACATCTTATACAAAAATTAATTCAAGATGGATTAAAGACTTAAATGTTAGACCTAAAACCATAAAAACCCTAGAAGAAAACCTAGGCAATACCATTCAGGACACAGGCATGGGCAAGGACTTCATGTATAAACCACCAAAAGCAATGGCAACAAAAGCCAAAACTGACAAATGGGATCTAATTAAACTAAAGAGCTTCTGCAAAGCAAAAGAAACTACCATCAGAGTGAACAGGCAATCTACAGAATGGGAGAAAATTTTTGCAGTCTACTCACCTGACAAAGGGCTAATATCCAGAATCTACAATGAACTCAAACAAATTTACAAGAAAAAAACAACCCCATCAAAAAGTGGGCGAAGGATATGAACAGACACTTCTCAAAAGAAGACATTTATGCAGCCAAAAGACACATGAAAAAATGCTCATCACCACTGGCCATCAGAGAAATGCAAATCAAAACCACAATGAGATACCATCTCACACCAGTTAGAATGGCAATCATTAAAAAGTCAGGAAACAACAGGTGCTGGAGAGGATGTGGAGAAATAGGAACACTTTTACACTGTTGGCGGGACTCTAAACTAGTTCAACCATTGTGGAAGTCAGTGTGGCGATTCCTCAGGGATCTAGAACTACAAATACCATTTGATCCAGCCATCCCATTACTGGGTATATACCCAAAGGATTATAAATCATGCCGCTATAAAGACACATGCACACGTATGTTTATTGTGGCACTATTCACAATAGCAAAGACTTGGAACCAACCCAAATGTCCATCAATGATAGACTGGATTAAGAAAATGTGGCACATATACACCATGGAATACTATGCAGCCATAAAAAATGGTGAGTTCATGTCCTTTGTAGGGACATGGATGAAGTTTGAAACCATCATTCTCAGCAAACTATCTCAAGGACAAAACACCAAACACCGCGTGTTCTCACTCATAGGTGGGAAATGAACAATGAGAATACATGGACACAGGAAGGGGAACATCATACACTGCTGCTTGTTGTGGGGTGGGGGGAGGGAGGAGGGATAGCATTAGGAGATATAACTAATGTTAAATGAAGAGTTAATGGGTGCGGCACACCAACATGGCACATGTATACATATGTAACAAACCTGCATGTTGTGCACACGTACCCTAAAAATTAAAGTATAATTTTAAAAAATTAAAAAAAAAATTTTTTTTTAAAGTGTCATTGAAAAGAAAAAAAAAATTCTTTGGGAGGCCAAGGCAGAAGAATCACTTGAGGCCAGGAGTTTCAGATCAGCTTGGGCAACATAGTGAGAAATAAATTAGCTGGGTGTGGTGGTGCACACCTGTAGACCTAGCTACTTGGGAGGCAGAGGTAGGAGGATCGCTTGAGCCTGGGAGTTTGAGGCTACAGTAAGCTATGATTGTGTCACTGCGCTCCAGCCTGGAACAGAGTAAAACCCTGTCTCAAAAAAAGAAAAAAAAAAAAAAGTATAGCATAAAAACGTCTGATTCTGGTCTAACATTTTGGAGGTGAGGAAACTAAGATGCAGAGAGGTTAAGCGACTTGCCTATGGCCATAGAGCTAATAAACGACAATGAGGTGCCAAAACCTAGGGTCCCTGACTCCTGTTTCTGACCTCTATTATATCACACTGGCTCCCACAAGGGCTTACAAGGTAATCATTTAGCCATGACCAAATTTTTAGATAAAATAGACAAATTTTAAAACAAGTGTTTTCAATAAAATTCACCACTTTAACTATGAGAAGGCTCAGAAAGCACTCGAAAAAGGCCTCAGTGCAGACAGTGAAGAGAATGAGGAATATGATGGTCAAGAGAATTTATCTTCACCCCTGAGTCAGCTGGTGATGCTCCTGACGATCCTCACTGCTGTGACACTCCCGTGTGTCCCCTACCACCTAGCCAAATGATAAACAGTTTGGCTTGATTCACACCTTCATGCTCCCAACGACCATAGTGTCTGAAATATCCTCATGACTTTTATCTATCTCTCTCCTAGCACCTATTCAATTACAAGTCAATAATTCCAGGAAGCCTTTACAGATAAAGCCACTTTTGCTCTTTCCCATCCCCTCTAATGATACTGATGCCTTTTTTCCTAAACCAAAAATCTAGACTTGTTGCTTGACAATGTTGGTTGTATTTATGGGGACAATGGGACAGAATGCTTGCAGTTGTTGCGGCTGCCATTTATCCTCATGATTCCTTACACCCTTTACTGTGAATTGTTTTATAGATGTGCTTTCCAGTATAAATGTGCTCTCCAATTAGATTACAAGCTTCTTGAAGGCAAGGATTCAGACTCCTACTAATTTTGACTTCTCTTTAGACCACGGGTCTAAAGTTGGCTCAATTCTCCAATTGTCATATTAACCTGAAAATCCCTTAGGAAGGCATGCCAGAGTGGATATCAACATACTGTTCTCTAAATGCAACACAGCTATTTCTTTCAATAGAATTATAATGAATATTTCTGTTAAGAATAGATAAAATACGCCAGGTGTGGTGGCTCATGCCTGTAATCCCAGCACTTTTGAGAGGTCAAGGAAGGAGGATCAGTTGAGTCCGGGAGTTTGAGATGAGCCTGGGCAACATGGCAAAACCTCGTCTCTACAAAAAATACAAAAAAAGTAAGCCGGGCATGGTAGTGCATGCCTCTGGTCTCAGCTACTCAGGAGGCTGAGGCAAGAGGATTGCTTGAGCCCAGGAGGTCAAGGCTACAGTGAGACAAGATTGTGCCACTGCCTGGGTGACAGAGCAACAACCTGTCACCAAAAAAAAAAAAAAAAATAGACAAAATACAGCTTAGGCAATATGACAAAACCCCATATCTGCAAAAAGTACAAAAATCAGCCAGGTGTGGTGGTGCACGCCTGTAGTCCCAACTACTTGGGAGGTTTAGGTGGGATGATCACTTGAGCCTGGGAGGTTGAGGCTCTGGTGGTGAGCCATGATCACACCACTGCACTCCAGCCTGGTCAACAGAGAACCTGTCTCGACAACAACAAATACACACACACACACACACACACACACACACACACACACATATCTATATACATATATAATACATATATATACACACAAAATAGTTTAGAAGCCACATTGTGTGAACATGCATTTATAAACACTAAAATCCCGTGTAATGACAAGATGCTTAAACTGAAAGGCAGGAGGGAAATGCAGATTCACAATCCCCAGGTGAATCTCTGACTCTGGAGTGTACATGCAGTTTACGTAAACGTAAACTGGCTTATGTTTAAATTGTTCTTGCTGGCCGGGCGCAGTGGCTCACGACTATAATCCCAGCACGTTGGGAGGCCGAGGTTGACGGATCACCTGAGGCCCAGGAGTTCGAGACCAGCTTGGCTAACACGGCAAAATCCCGTCTCTACTAAAAATACAAAAATTAGCTGGGCATGGTCACGTATGCCTGTAGTCCTAGGTACTCGGAAGGCTGAGGCAGGAGAATCGCTTGAACCCAGGAGGCGGAGGCTGCAGCGAGCTGAAATTGCGACACTGCACTTCAGCCTTGGCGCCAGACCAAGATTGTCTCAAAAAATTAAATAAAAATAAATAAATCATTCTTGCTCTTCAGGGAGTAAGCCCAGGGGGGAGTGGGTGGGTAGGAAAAGCAGCACTGATAGTTAAGTTTGGGTGAATAAATGTGAACAATGACTCCAATGCCATAGACCCTCACGTGTTTGTTGCATTAATTGGATAATTCAAAATATAAAGTATTATCCAGTTTCAGGATAATATTAAGATCTAAACCAATGAATGCTCTATGAAAAGTTGTAGATTAACTGATCCCTTAAAACTAAAAACAGCGTCTTCATAAGCTTCTACTGGGGGCAGCTACCACTTTCTTCATCACATTTCTTATCCTCAATAGCTGTGGGCAATGCCAAAATAGCTGTATGATCAACATTAATAAACAACACCAGGGCAACAGCCAGACACAAACCTAAATGAAGAATTAAATTGTAGGAGAAGGAGGAGGAAGCAGCGATGGCGGCTGCTGCGGCGGTTGCGGCGGGGGCCGGGGTGGGCGCCGCGGTCTGGGCCGGGCAGTGAGGCACGGGCGGCCGGGCCGGTGGGCTGGGCGGCGGGCCCGGCGGCCGCCCTCGCGCCCTTGCCCGCGCCTGGCGGCCCGATGTGGCTACAGCAGGGGCTCAAGGGGCTGCCGGGACTGCTGTCGAGCAGCTGGGCCCGCCGCCTCCTCTGCCTGCTTGGCCTCCTACTGCTGCTTCTGTGGTTTGGGGGGTCCGGCGCGCAGCGGGCGGCGGGCGGCCTGCACCTGCTTCCCTGGTCCTGGGGTGAGCCGGGCGCCACCGAGCCGTCTGCCTGCCTGGAGGCGGCCACCCGCGCCTGGCGCGGCCTGCGGGAGCGCGGCGAGGCGGTACCGCTGGGCCCTGGAGTGCCGGCCCTGGTGGCCAACGGCTTCCTGGCCCTGGACGTGGCTGCCAATCGGCTGTGGGTGACTCCCGGGGAGCGGGAGCCCGCCGTGGCGCCGGACTTTGTGCCCTTCGTGCAGCTGCGCCCGCTGAGCGCGCTGGCTGAAGCTGGAGAGGCGGTGCTGCTGCTGCGGGAGGGGCTGCTGCGCCGCGTGCGTTGCCTGCAGCTGGGGTCCCCAGGTCCTGGCCCCGTGGCCGCCGGCCCCGGGCCCGCCTCCGTCTCTGGCCTTGCCGCGGGGTCCGGCCGCGACTGCGTGCTGCTGCAAGAGGGCTTTCTGGCGCACAGGGGCCGACCCCACGTCTACCTGCAGCGCATCCAGCTCAACAACCCCACGGAGCGCGTGACCGCGCTGCAGACTGTGGGGCCCACTGCCGGCCCAGCCCCCAAGGCCTTCACCAGTACCCTGGAGAAGGTCGGAGACCATCAGTTCCTCCTCTACTCAGGCCGGTCCCCGCCTACGCCCACTGGGTTGGTGCACCTGGTGGTGGTGGCCGCCAAGAAGCTGGTGAACCGCCTCCAAGTGGCTCCCAAGACGCAGCTGGATGAGACGGTGCTGTGGGTGGTGCACGTCTCTGGCCCCATTATCCCCCAGGTGCCCAAAAGCAAAGCAGCCAAGGAGCTCAAGGCGCTGCAGGACTTGGCACGGAAGGAAATGCTGGAGCTCTTGGAGATGCCAGCGGCGGAGCTGCTTCAAGACCACCAGCTCCTCTGGGCTCAGCTCTTCAGCCCAGGAGTGGAAATGAAGATCACTGACACCCACAGGCCGTCTGGCCTCACCGTGAACCTGACGCTCTATTACATGCTCTCCTGCTCGCCAGCCCCGCTGCTCAGCCCCTCCCTGAGCCACAGGGAGCGAGACCAGATGGAGTCGACGCTCAACTATGAAGATCACCGCTTCAGCGGGCACGCCACCATGCACGCCGAGAACCTGTGGCCGGGGCTGCTGTCCTCCGTCCAGCAGATCCTGCAGCTCTCTGACCTGTGGAGGCTGACCCTCCAGAAGAGTGGCTGCAAGGGGCTGGTGAAGGTGGGTGCCCCAGGCATCCTGCAGGGCATGGTGCTCAGCTTCGGGGGGCTGCAGTTCACAGAGAACCACCTCCAGTTCCAGGCCGACCCCGACGTGCTGCAGAACAGCTATGCATTGCATGGCATCCGCTACAAGAACGACCATATCAACCTGGCCGTGCTGGCGGATGCCGAGGGCAAGCCCTACCTACACGAGTCCGTGGAGTCCCGTGGCCAGCCTGTCAAGATCTATGCCTGCAAGGCAGGCTGCCTGGACGAGCCAGTGGAGCTGACCTCGGCGCCCACGGGCCACACCTTCTCGGTCATGGTGACACAGCCCATCACGCCACTGCTCTACATCTCCACCGACCTCACACACCTGCAGGACCTGCGGCACACGCTGCACCTCAAGGCCATCCTGGCCCATGATGAGCACATGGCTCAGCAGGACCCCGGGCTGCCCTTCCTCTTCTGGTTCAGCTTGGCCTCCCTCATCACCCTCTTCCACCTCTTCCTCTTCAAGCTCATCTACAACGAGTACTGTGGGCCTGGAGCCAAGCCCCTCTGCAGGAGTAAGGAAGATCCCAGTGTCTGAGTGAACTAACAGTCCTGCTTTCAGCCACCATTTGCACAAGACACCCAGCACTGAAAGTCCCACTGCCAGGAGCAAGGGATCCTTTGGAAGCACCCGCCCTTTGTGCCTTGTTGGGGGAAACCAGTGACGCAGAAGCGAGTGTGGATACACCAGAGTTTGCATTGGAAGGAATGAGTGTCACGTGGGGAGGGAAGGGGCCAGTGGACCTTTTGTAAGCTTTCCACTCAATAAAATGAACCTGTATGGCAAAAAAAAAAAAAAAAAAAGAATTGTATAAAGATGTATAAAGATGTCTATTAGTTAGTACATAGGAAAATGTTTGATAATGTTGGCAGAAAAAAAAAACAGGCCAGGCGCAGTGGCTCACACCTGTAATCCCAGCACTTTGGGAGACCAAGGTTGGTGGATCACCTGAGGCCAGGTGCTTGAGACCAGCCTGGCCAACATAGCAAAACCCCGTCTCTACTAAAAATACAGAAATTAGCCAGGCGTGGTGGGGGGTGCCTGTAATCCCAGCTATTCGGGAGACTGAGGCAGGAGAACTGCTTGAACCTGGGAGGCGGAGGCTGCAGTGAGCAGAGATGGTGCCACTGCACTCCAGCCTAGGCGACAGCAAAATTCCATCTCAAAAAACAAAAAAACAAAGGAAAAACAGTATTCTATGTCAAGTTCCTCGGAAGAATGTCAAATAATTTCTGAATCCCTTAGCACTGAGTGCAGGGTCAGACACAGAGTAAATATTCAATCAGATTTATGATCCTTATAATTACTAATACTTACTGGGTTGCTTACTATATTCCAGGCATTGTGCTAATAATTAACGCCTCTACACACATTACTTCCTCACAAGCCCCAAATCATAGTACATTTTAGAGCCAGAATTTAAAACTAAGTAAAATTCTAGGACCAGTGCTCTTAACCACTGGGCAATACTGCTTCTCAATTTTATCAAGTAAGTAAATGAAGCAACTCAACACTTTAAAAAAGCTTGTACTCAAAAATCATATTTAGAACTAAGGTTTAATTTTAAAGATTATCCTTGCTTGATTAATGTTTTCACCTGGGAAGAAAGTGACACTTTACAGGGAAAATTTCTACTTTACAACAGTCTCAACCAGATGGCCGTAAACTCATCATCCAGATCAGGGCATTTTTTTTTTTTCCTTTTTCCACCAACTCTTAAACCCAAGCATTTTTAAGAGTGAAAGCATGGCCACGCATGGTGGCTCACACCTGTAAAACCAGCACTTTGGGAGGCCAAAGCAGGGCAGATCACCCAATGTCAAGAGTTTGAGACCAGCCTGGCCAACATGGTGAAACCCCGTCTCTACTAAAAATACAAATATTAGCTGGACGTGGCGGTGTGCGCCTGTAGTCCCAGCTACTCAGGAGGCTGAGGCACAAGAATCACTCGAACCTGGGAGGCGGAGCTTGCAGTTAGCCAAGAACGCGCCACTGCACTCTAGCCTGGGCAGCAGAGCAAGACTCTGTCTCAAACAAAAATCCCAAAACCAAAAAAAGTGCAACAAAGCATTTACAGAGTGGGTATATCTACATGCACATTTTCTGATAGATACTAATTGCTGAGAATTTAGACACAGTTTTACCTCTCTACAAATTCATAAATTATATTTCAAGTACAGTTAATTCTGTTGTATAAATGACGTGGGTTCAATATTTTTGCTACAATTTTATCTAACACAGTTGCATGATAGGTATGATTTAATTCTCCTTTCCTAAGAAGAGCCATTCAATTGCATGCTCACTGTCACAGAACTGAGACTTTTTTCGAGATGCAGTCTCATTCTGTCTCCCAGGCTGGAGTGCAGTGGCTTGATCTCGGCTCACTGCAACCTCCGCCTCCCGGGTTCAAGTGATTCTGCTGCCTCAGCCTCCTGAGTAGCTGGGATTCCAGGTGCCCGCCATCACGCCCAGCTAATTTTTTTGTATTTTTAGTAGAGACGGGATCTTACCATGTTGGCCGGGTCAAACTCCTGCCCTCAGATAATCTGCCTGCCTTGGCCTCCCAAAGTGCTGGGATTACAGGCGTGAGCCTCTGCACCCAGCCAGAACTGAGACTTTAATAGTTAGCTCATTTTATAAAACAAGCCCTACTATTCATACCTTCGTGAGCATTTTTTACAAACTTTTTTTTTTTTTGAGACATGACCTCGCTCTATTGTCCAGGCTGTCACAGTGGCGTGATCATAGCTGGCTGCAGCCTTGAGTTCCTGGGCTCAAGTGATCCTCTAACCTCAGCCCCCTGAGCAGACATGGCTACAGGCACATGCCACCACACTTAGCTAATTTTTAAAAATTTTTTGGAGAGACATGGTCCTACTATGTCACCCAGGCTGATCTCAAACTCCTGGCTTCACGAGCAATCCTCCTGCCTTGGCCTCCCAAAGTGCTGAGATTAGAAATGTGGGCCACAGTGCCTGGCCAAGAATCGTTTTTATGCTAGGCGATTTTTATCAGACAGTATGGGATATTAAAATACTCCCTCACTACCAGAAGAAATATTACATATGTAATGTTAAAATTGCTTAAAAGTTCTGACAATTTAAATGTTGGAGGAAAAGTCAAGAATCAAATGCAAGGTAAGATGGTAAAGGAGGTCAAGGAGCAACTCTCAACTTTTCAAAAAAGCTAACGGAAAATTATAAATTGGCAAGGCCAGGCGCGGTGGCTCACACCTGTAATCCCAGCACTTTGGGAGGCCGAGGCAGGTGGATCACGAGGTCAGATGGAGACCATCCTGGCTAACACAGTAGAAACCCCGTCTCTACTAGAAATACAAAAAATTAGCCAGGTGTGCTGGCGGGCGCCTGTAGTCCCAGCTACTAGGGAGGCTGAGGCAGGAGAATGGCGTGAACCCGGGAGGCGGAGCTTGCAGTAAGCCGAGATTGTGCCACTGCACTCCAGCCTGGGCGACAGACCAAGACTCCGTCTCAAAAAAAAAAAAAAAAAAAAAAAAGTTGTTTATCATATCTTCCAAAACTGGTAACTACAATAGAAATAAAAGGTGTCTTTAGAGCCTAAGATTTGGGAATTAATGAACTAGTCACTTTAAAAATTTTTTCATCTTAGGCAGTGGCTCACACCTGTAATCCCAGCACTTTGGGAGGCCGGGGTGGGCAGATCACGAAGTCAGGAGTTCGAGACCAGCCTGGCCAAGATGGTAAAACCCCATCCATCTCTACTAAAAATACAAAAACTAGTCGTGTGCAATGGCGGGCACCTGTAATCCCAGCTACTCAGGAAGCTGAGGCAGGAGAATCGCTTGAACCCAGGAGGTAGAGGTTGCAGTGAGCCAAGAATGCACCACTGCACTCCAGCCTAGGTGACAGAGCAAGACTCTGTTTCAGGGGAAAAAAAAAAATTTCATCTTTTGAAAACACACGAATCAACACTTTTCCTCAGTTAAACCAGTTCACCAAAGTGTGAATTTAAAAAATTATACATTTGGCTGGCAGCGGTGGCTCATGCCTGTAATTCTGGCACTTTGGGAGGCAGAGGCGGGCGGATCACGATAGGAGTTTGAGACCAGCCTGTCCAACATGGTGAAATCTCGTCTCTACTAAAGATACAAAAAATTACCTGGGCGTGGTGGTGTGCCTGTAACCCCAGCTACTCAGGAGGCTGAGGCAGGAGAATCGTTTGAACCCGGGAGGCGGAGGTTGCAGTGAACCGAGATGGCGCCATTGCACTCCAGCCTGGGCGACAGGGTGAGAGTCCGTCTCAGAAAAAAAAAAAAAAAAAATATATATATATATATATATGTATACACACACACACACACACTCTCTCTCTCTCTCTCTCTCACTTTTATGTGATTTGGAAAAAAAAAAAAAAACCCACACAAACACACACCTCAAATCCCAGAATTTAGAGACATTACAGTTGAGGACAAATCTAAGTTAAAAAAAAAAAAAAAAAAAAAGGCGGGGGTGCAGGGATGGGATGGGTGGGTAAAGAGGTCTAGAGTGACAGAAAGCAGGGCAGGGATCCACTGCAAAGGGACATAGGGACATTTTCAGGGAGACAGAAATGCTCTGTACCTTTTTTGGGGTGGGTGGGTAGGGGACTTATTTTCTGAGACAGGGTCTCACTCTGTCACCCAGGCCAAGTGCAGCGGCACTATCGTGGCTCCCTGCAGCCTCACCCTCCTGGGCTCAAGCGATCCTCTCACCTCAGCCTCCCAAGTAGCTGGGACTACAGGTGCATGCCACCAAGCCTGGCTAAGTTTTTATTTTTTATAGAGATAGGAGTCTCACTGTGTTGCCCTGGCTGCCCTCAAACTCCTGGGCTCAAGAGATCCTCCTTCCTTGGCCTCCCAAAGTGTTGAAATTACAGGTGTGAGCCACTGCACCAGGTCAATGCTTTGTATCTTGATCATGCTGGTGGTAATATCACTATATACAACTTCCAAAACACAAACTATATAATTAAAATGGGTCTATTTGTTGTAAGTAAACGGTTCCTCAATTTTTCATAAAGGGGGAGTAAATTGATGTAAAGTAGATTTAAAAGAAAATACTAAGCAAATAATAGTATAGGTGGTACAGTGATGTGGCCAAATTCACAGATGGTACATGAATAACTGACATGAATAACTGCTGTTTAAGACATACAGAGCTAAGCCTTCAAAGAGAAGGCTTTTTTTTTTTTTTTTTTTTTTTTTTTGAGACGGAGTCTTGCTCTGTCGCCTAGGCTGGAGTACAGTGGCATGATCTCGGCTCACTGCAACCTCCGCCTCCCGGGTTCAAGCGATTCTCCTGCCTCAGCCTCCCAATTAGCTGGGACCACAGGCACATGCCACGACACCCGGCTAGTTTTTTTGTATTTTTAGTAGAGACGGGGTTTCACCATGTTAGCCATGATGGCCTCGATCTCCTGACCTCATGATCTGCCCGCCTCGGCCTCCCAAAGTGATGAGATTACAGGCATGAGCCACCATACCCGGCCAAGAGAAGGCTTTTAAGAGAAGCAGCCTCTATAACAAAGAAAGTCTAAAATTTATTTTTAAAAGTATATTAATTGTAACATTCATCAATGCTAGAAGTATATAATACTTTCGTTTCAACAAAGTTTTTTTTTCAGGAGAGGAATGTTCTTATTTGGGGGACTTTTAGGACTTATTTCAGAGGCCTCTTAGGGCTAACTAAAGAGAAACCAGCTGCTCATATTAGAAGACCTTGGAGTTATGAGATGCTAGTTTATACCATATGCATTAGACATAAAAAAAATCACTACCTACCTTCGGCTGAGATAAAAAGCAAGAGGTAAAGCTCCAGACAGCTGTTCCTAACTTAACTACTCTTGCCTCCCACAGCTTTCTGAACAAGGTAAATCCTGAATAGTGATCATCATTCAACCTTCATCTCTGCAAAAAGCATTTCTTTTCCTCCCAGGCGAAAACAAACAGTGCCTGCTGTCTAGCACTAGTTAAACAAGTTCCCCAAACACCACACACGTCTATTATAATACATACCACTGAGAAGCCACAGCAAGAACATAATGTTCCTTATGGGCCAAGGATGAGAGAAGAGGACAGGAATCCTCCAAGCTGATACAGTGACTTGTAAACCTGGTTTATCTTATTGGAGTCTCAGTTTCTACATTTGTAAGTATTTTTGCCTGATTCAACAGTACAGTATTTAAGAACCAGAACTTTTGTCTCCTCCCATCTTCTTTTTTTTTTGAGATGGAGTCTCACTCTGTTGCAGTGGCACAATCTCCTGAGTAGCTGGGACTACAGGCGTGAGCCACCACACCTGGCTAATTTTTGTATTTTTAGTAGAGATGGGGTTTCACCACGTGGGCCAGGCTGGTCTCGAACTCCTGACCTCAGGTGATCCACCCACCTCGGCCTCCCAAAGTGCTGGGAGTACAGGCATGAGCCACCATGCTCAGCCGTCTCCTCTCATCTTCTAAGAACTGGATATTGTCATTTGAAAGTCTTATTTTTAACCATCATGGTCTCTACGCTTGAGTGTGTCTGTGAGAATATGAAGACATACTGTAATTACTGGCTCATTAAGATTAAGCATCATAATCTTCCTAGTTGAAAAGGGTTAGCCAAGTACTGTATAAGGTGTAACTATAAGTATTTAACCTTACAAATTCCTCAAGAAGATAGGCAGAAAATAGGAAAGAAAAGGGCAAAAATAGGCCGGGTGCAGTGGCCCACCTGAGGTACAGAGTTCAAGACCAGCCTGGCCAACATGATGAAACCCTGTCTCTACTAAAAATACAAAAAATTAGCTGGGCGCGGTGGTGGGCGCCTGTAATCCCAGCTACTCAGGAGGCTAAGACAGGAGAATTGCTTGAACCCAGAGGCAGAGGTTACAGTGAACCAAGATCGCACCACTGCAGTCCAGCCTGGGCAACAAGAGCAAAACTCCATCTCAAAAAAAAAAAAGAAACAAAAGAAAAGGACAAAAATACCCAACAGTGGAAAGGAGGCAGCAAAGTTAACTGCACAGATCACATCTCAGTCAGAGAGCAGTATGTGAAGGAGGGAAAAAGCCTCTAATCACTTGACTCAGATATACGTTGGAGATGCTAGAGATCCAACTCCGTGTTCCAAAAACCTGTGTTCCCAGAGACCACTACTGCAGTGTCAGTTCACACAGATCTTATAACACGAGTAAACACTTCCAGATAATGACACTGATGGAAAAATAGCATACAATAGGGAAGCTCTATTTCTAAAAACTTTACTGTTTACCTGGAATCACACCTTTATTCTGGAACAAAAAGAAAACTGCTAAACAGAAGCAGATACTGTTATAACTCTTCCTTAAGATAAGCTTTATAGGCAGTGTTTAACTAGTTTAACTAGTGCTAGACAGCAGGCACTGTTTGTTTTTGCCTGGGAGGAAAAGAAATGCTTTTAGCAGAGATGAAGGTTGAATGATTATCACCATTCAGGATTTACCTTGTTCAGGGATTGTTAGGGAGCGATCAAATCGGAAAGGTAAAGATGAAATGCTTTTCCTGTTTCTTGATTTTTATCTACCAGCAATAATATGAGGCACACTCGTAAAGTAAAGGTTTGCATTATATTTACAATTAAACTCTAGAAAAGCATAATTCTGAGCTAAATATTCTGCCTAAAGAATCTCTTTCACATAATCCTTCCTGGTCACTTGCTCCTTGCACTCACAATTTGTTTCTTAATTCCTATGCTTTTTATCCCTTTCTATACAAGGATTTGTCCAAAAAAAAGTATACTCCCTTACCAGAACGCAACCTCCTGCAGGGGCCACATCTTACTCACCTTGTGTCTCTGTCAGCACTCAGCATTGGGCTTTGACCACAGCTCACCTTCGATTAATAAAAATTATAAATCAAGGCCGGGTGCAGTGGCTTACATCTGTAATCCCAGCACTTTGGGAGGCCAAGGTGGGCAGATTACTTGAGGTCAGGAGTTGGAGACCAGCCTGGCCAACATGGCGAAACCCCGTCTCTATTAAAAATACAAAAATTGGCCAGGCGCGGTGGCTCATGCCTGTAATCCCAGAACTTTGGGAGGCTGAGGTGGAGGTCAGGAGATCGAGACCATCCTGGCTAACACTTGGTGAAACCACATCTCTACTAAAAATACAAAAAATTAGCTGGGTGTGGTGGTGGGCGCCTGTAGTCCCAGCTGAGGCAGAAGAATGGCGTGAACCTGGGAGGTGGAGCTTGCAGTGAGCCGAGACTGTGCCACTGCACTCCAGCCTAGGCCACAGGGCGAGACTCCATCTCAAAAAAATAAAAAATAAAAAAAACAAAAATTAGCCGGGCGTGGCACAAAAATAATCCCATCTACTCGGGAAGCTGAGGCAGGAGAATTGCTTGAACCCAGGGGGCAGAGGTTGCAGTGGGGCAGAGGTCGCATAGAGCTGAGATCGCACCACTGCACTCCAGCCTGGGTGACAGAGCAAGATTCCGTCTCAAAAAAAAAAAATTATAAATCAAAACAGGTTTCTGCTTTAGGTGACAACAGATGAAATCAAGCTCAACCAACTTCTACCTATAACTCATATAATCCTAGATATAGTGGAGCAAAGACGGAAATGGGACCATCAATAGCTCTGCCACTGACTTCCCCTGCAAAATTGAATAAATCAAGAATGAACAAAGCCATAAATATCTAGGATCAGGAACTTTGTACTATGGCCGAGTCCCATCAGTTTTCCCTGACAGCCAGTATTAGATAATCATTTACAGCCATAGCCACCATGCATCTGTATGCAAAACCCTCACATTGTAACATTGGAATTGGCTTTATATGAAAGCTACAATTACAGCCTCTCATCTCCTCTCATTCTATATAAAAGAGTGGGATCTACAAAGCCATACACGGAAACTGGTCATTTCAACCTTGCCTAACAGGGGTTCTTTTCTCATGCTTTTTAAGGAAGGAGCAGGAATAGAAATTCTCGGAGTCCTTATCAGTAAGTAATGATCAGGAATGTTCCATTGATGCTGCTATAAACCTCTAGCATAACAGCAAGGTGACAAAGAATTTTCTAAAATCAGTCCCAAATA
Source organism: Homo sapiens (assembly GCF_000001405.40). Classification (NCBI taxonomy): domain Eukaryota; kingdom Metazoa; phylum Chordata; class Mammalia; order Primates; family Hominidae; genus Homo; species Homo sapiens. Next base: position 14,979,717 of record NC_000016.10, on the reverse strand, counting down.
GCAGGAAAGAAACACTTAGCTCAGGATGAGTTCAAGAACCAAAAATGGGCTGAGTTGTGCTGATTTAGGTCAGAAACAGGGTCAAAGTTGCCTCTTTCAGAGATGAGAATTAGATATAACAAGTAATTGGCTGGGCACAGTAGCTCATGCCTGTAACCCCAGCACTTTGGGAGGCCGAGGCGGGTGGATCACTTGAGGTCAGGAGCTTGAGACCAGCCTGGTCAATATGGTGAAATCCCATCCCTACTAAAAATACAAAAATTAGCCAGGTGTGGTGGTGGGTGCCTGTAATCCCAGCTACTTGAGAGGCTGAGGCAGGAGAATCGCTTGAACCCGGAAAGCAGAGGTTGCAGTGAGCAGAGACTGTGCCACTGCACTCTAGCCTGGGCGTCAGAGGGAGACTCCATCTCAAAAAAAAAACACGAATTGCCAGCTCTTAGCACTGTCCAGTGGAACCTTCTTTGCGATGGAAATGTTCCACATCTGTGCTGCCCAGTGTAGCAGACATCAGCCACATGTGGCTGCTGAGCACTTGAAATGTGGCTAGCATGACTGAGGAAATGAATTTTAAATTGTGTTTAATTTTAATCTCAATGTAAACTGCCAAATATGGCTAGTGGTGACCAAACCGGAACTGTAGCTCTAGATTCCCTAAATTAGGGACTTTCAATGACAGGCAATTCCCTCTACCCCTTGGGGGACAACTGCCCCCATCTTGAGACATTTCTTATTGTTACAACTGGGTGTAGGGAGTGCGACTAGCATCTACTGAGCAGAGGTCTGGGACACTGCTAAGCATGCTGCCATGCACAGGCCAGCCCCCATAACAGCAAATTATCTGACCCAAAATATCACTAGTGCTGACGCTGAGAAACTGCTTTAAGTTTGCTCAAGGACAGAATTAAAGTAAATGCAAACAAACTGCAGTATACCTTGCCTAAACATAATACCCAGGAAGAATGAGATCTTTTAACCAACAGAAAAAGGTCTGGGCTATTCTACAAGTTTAGAGTAGCAGGTTTTGGCCTGGCACGGTGGCTCACGCTTATAATCCCAGCACTTTGGGAGGCTAAGGCAAGAGGATGGCTTCAGCCCAGGAGGTTGGGACCAGCCTGGGCAATATAGTGAGACCTTGTCTCGAGAACAAAAAAATTGTTTTAATTAGCTCAGTGTGGGGGTGAGTGCCTGTAGTCCCAGCTACTCAGGAGGCTGAGGCGCGAGGATCACTTGAGCCCTGGAGACGGACGTTGCAGTGAGCCGAGATTGTACCACGGCTCTCCAGCCTGGGTGACAGAGAGAGATCCTGTCTCAAAAATAATAATAATATAACAGGTTTTTACTGGAAGGTGTGTTTAATAACTTAAAATCTTCATCATTATAGTGATTACTTCCTGTGGCATTTTCCTTATTGAATATTAACATAAGTACACACTGTGAGACTCTGCTACAGGGCCTTGTTCCTTATGCCTTGGACATACAGTGGGGGGCAGGGGCAAAGCCCCTACTCCTACTCTCCTAAGTTTGAATTTCCTTTGCCTCCTCAATTAACCCATCTGATTTATTGGGACATCACTGATCTCAGATACAAGAAAACTGATACTGTTGTGGAAGAAAAGCAAATCGTGACGAGAAAATGGCTCTGTTATCACAGGTCTGCACGTTTACATAACAGAAAAAGCAAGGGACAGAACTATATTTGGACCAAATCCAAATCACTGAGTGATTCTACTAAATGATGATCGCATACTACATTTTGTTTTTGTTTTTTCACATACATTTTAAAGTGAGAGATATTATTTTAAATTTTAGAGGGTGAGCATCAAATAACATTGTGGTTTCTGTAATCAGTATAAATTATGCAACAATCAGTTTAAATGGGATCATTTACAACTGCTCACATAGCTCTTGAGTTTATATTAACAATGTAGAATTTAACGCAGGATAGTCTATTCCTCAAAGAAACAGGAATAATGAACACAATTAAATGTTTCACTTTGACCCAGACTATTTTTCAGAACATAAAGTCATCAACATTCATATTACAGCAATGCTTTTTCTTTTCTGCCCAATTAGCACCAATATAAATCGTTTATTCCATCTAAGGCCCTGTATTACTTCAGGGAATATAAATCTAAGTCCCGGCCAGGTGCAGTGGCTTACGCCTGTAATCCCAGCACCGTGGGAGGCTGAGGCTGAAGGATCACAAGGTCAGGCGTTTGAGACCATCCTGACCAACGTGGTGAAACCCCATCTCTACTGGGAATACAAAAATTAGTCGGGTGTGGTGTCACACGCCTGTAGTCACAGCTGCTCGGGAGGCTGAGGCAGGAGAATCACTTGAATCCGGGAGGCGGAGGTTGCAGGGATCCGAGATCGCCTCACTGCACTCCAGCCTGGGCAAGAGACCGAGACTCCCTCTCAAAAAAAAAAAAAAAAAAAAAAAAAAAAGTAAGTCCCATAGTTCTGAAAAACTTACACTCAGAATTTTCACATTGACCTAAGGCAGAAACCTCCAGCCCACACGTTCTGAATTCCTAAAAGATCACTACAATTTTTGTGAATGCTCCAATATTAAACACACTGGAATTTCAGTCCCTCTTGCGATCCTCATTGAGAGAGTTTAAGATCTTTTATCATCAATTAACACTTAGGGAGCAACTACTGTAACCTACTGATCAAATGCCAGAAAAGTAATATTTAAAGCAGGATTCTGACCCACCCTGCAGATTTTCCTATAAAGGCTAATTATTCCTGGAGGAAAGATCACCCCAGTTCTTCAGGATTCCAATTACAATCACATGAAGCCCACCCACCTTCTTAGGAAATTGATAACACCACTTTGCATCGTTTTGTACTCAACTGCTGGTGTTATAAACATGATCTTGACCAGGATTTCTCAGCCTCAACACTGCTGACATTTTGGGCCAGAGAATTCTCCAGCGTGGGGGGCTGTCCTGTGCAACGTAGGATGTTTAGAGGCGTCCCTGGCCTCTACCCACTAGGTACCGGCAGCACCTCCCTGCCCCCATTGTGACAATCAAAACTATGTCCAGAGATAGCCAAATGTCTCCTGGGGAAATAAATTGCCCCCTGCTTTAAGAACCACTCATCTGGACAAACTCAAAGTACCAAAAGGTAGACACCCTGCTAATCAGACGACCGGAAAGACTTTATTCCCAGCCAGGAAAACACGTAACATTCACCCCAGAGATGGCACAAGAAAACCATATTATCTTTTTCTTGTCTTCCACCCAATTTATGCTAAGCAACCCAGGAGTAGGCTATACCACTGTGAGCACATGAAGACATCTGGCCCAACCTTTACAATTATTGCCTTCAACTCTCCAGTGACAAGTGAACAAAATCTACAGCAGCTGCTGCCTTGAAAAAAGACAAAATATATTATTCCTACCAGCTCAAAATTAAAATGTAGCCGTCTTAAAACACGAGCATTGCTCCTGAATGCCACATGCATGAAAAACCGGGTATGCACTGGATTGGACAAGCAGACTCCCAAGCTGGAACAGACAGAAGGGCTTTGAGGGAGGGCAGAATGTCAGGTACCGAAAGCAGGAATCCGTGAAGAAACCCAAACTGGTTTCCATTTACAAGCCCTAACACTGGGACAATGAGAATCCGTTTCACATGGTAGAGCAGTCAGCCTGGTACACCACGCTGCCGTTCCCCCAAGGGGAAACCAGAGGTAGGCTCTGTTACCAGTGGATTTCGAGTTGACTCGGGGATCCCTCCTCGCCACTGGAATGGGGGAGCCAGGAAGTTGTGGAGCAGCTGCGATCCCCAAAACTCAATTCGCAATCTACGCAACACCCACCCCTTTCTGGAACTCAGAGGTTCTCGCCCGGTGATCGCAGGCTCAGCATCAGAATCACCTGCGTGGGGCGGAGTGGGAGCGGGGCGGTGGCGGTTAAACACGCAGTTCCCGGTCCCGCCCCCAGAGGTTCTGACCCCGGGACTGAACCTCCGCATTTTACCAAAGGCCCCAGGTGATTCCCACTCAGGCTGAAGTTGGAAAACCACTGCTTTGGCAATTTTCATTCCTAACTCGGAGACCAAGAAAAACCTACAGGTTTGCAGCTGGCTCTGAAATAACTGCGGCTTCTTTCCGGGAGCATCTGGGGCCGCCAACGGAGAGCTCCCGGTCCTCCGAAAGGGCCAGCCGAGCTCAGGCCGGCCACTCGCGGAACCTCGGCAGGGCCCAAGGTCGGCCCCGCGGTCCCAGTCCTGGGCTCCGGGCCCGTCGCGGCCCCCACCGAACCCCGCCCAGCCTCTTCGGCCCACGGGGACCCAAGAGACACCCGGCCCCGTGACGCGCCCGGGCCCCAGCCGCCCTCCCGGCGAGGCCTCCTCAGGCAGGGCCTGTCAGCCCGCGTCCCCCTGTCCGGGTCACAATGGCAGCTCGCGACTGGGAAACAGTTGCCTCGGAAGCGGGAGCCCCGGGCCGCAGCACCGTCCCCATCGCCCCCTCCCGGCACGGACCTTCTCCAGGGACGCGTCCATGGCTGAGGCGGCCGGTGGTGGCCTGGCGGTCCCGGGCTCTACTTCCTCCTCCCGCGCCCCGCAGCTCCTTCCACGCTGGCAGCGCTGACGTCCCCCGCGCCCGCGGCCGGCGGGGCGGAGAAGAGGAGGAGCTGCCAGGCGGCGCCGCGGGCTGCCGAACCTGATGGTTGAGAGGCGGCGGGGCGGGGCCCCGTAGCGCTGGGCGGAGCCCTCTGGGATTCCGTACCTGGGCGCCACGCCGGCCCTCCCTAACGTGCGCAGGTGAAGGGGGGAGGATGCCCGGTGGATTGTTCACCAAACTCTTTCCAGCAGCCTGTTGCAATCATCAAGGTAGAAGTATAATAATCACAAAGTACTATTCATGGAGTGAAAGGCTGGAAATACTAGTGACGCACCTCACTTCCGGGCCCAGGCTTCCAAGTCTCCCGCCTCACCTCCCGCCGGCATCCCTCGAGAATGGAACAGGCCATTCGCCAAGGAGGCGGTGAGCGAGTGGGCAACCTTGCGCATGCGCAGGACTCGCAGCGTCCTCGGCGCCCGGGGACTTGGGGGTTTTGGGGTTGGGGGCTGCTTAGTGAACGCTGTTCAGAGAAGGCACTGATCTAAGCTGAGGTGTTGTCTCAGACCTTACCGCCGAATTCTAGACGGAAAAAATTGTTGTAACAACCGGTCCAGCCTCTTTCATGTCACAATTATCACTTGTCAGGTAATGGGTAGTAGTAATAATGATAATATTAATACATCAGCTGCTGTTCTTCCATTTTCCTATTTCAGCAGCTCTAGGAGATCATTATCCCCATTTCGCAGTGCCGATCTAGGTAGGATTCAGACCCAAGCCCCATGAGTCCACATACTGCTTCCACTCCTACTTTACTTTAAATGTTTTAAAAAGTTAATTTTTTATTAATTTTTTTATCTTGTTAACCGATGAACTGAAGAGAAAAAAAATTAAAATCTCATTTTAATAGAGAAGGTAGGGGTGTCTCACTATGTTACCCAAGCTGGCTTCAAACTCCTGGCCTCAGGCGATCTTCCCGTCTCAGCTTCCCCAAGTGCTGGGATTACAGGCATGAGCTACCACGCCCGGCCACTTTTGCAATTTTACTGCAATGTGTTTCGAACGAATGGGGAGGGCGTACATTTGCTTAGTAGATTCCTCCCACCTTAATGTGGGAAACTGATATAGACTACCACAGTGGCAATCAATGGAACACTTCACCTCTGCGATGACGCTACAACCACAATCTTACTCCTTTTCTCTCCTGTTTTATACTCTTCGTCCCGAAATCTGTGTAAACAGGGTCACATTTTCAGCGCAGTAACTCCATGTTTTGAGCTATCTACGTTGTATTTGGTAAATTGCCTGGTTATGTTAATAAAATTATTTTCTACCAAAAAACCCTTGTGTGCTGGTTTAGACTGTACTGTGGGGATTATTCTGACTCTCTAAAGAGCTTTCCAAACAGAAGGAAAGATAGATTTATGTCTTTCAAGAATTGAAGATTGAATGTACCCCTGCTTGAGCAAAACAAGTCACTTTTCCAACGTGTTATGAAATTTTTCAAACGTAGAAAAGTTTAAACAGTTGTACAGTGAACAACCATATACCCACTACCTAGATTCTACAGTTAATTTTCCCTATATTTGCTTTAATCACATATGCATCCATATATCCATCCATCGATATATGTTAGTACATTTCACCTCTGAGCACCTCAGCATGGGTATCATTCAAAACTAGTAAATTTTACTAAAGTCACCTCCAAGTTTCTGTGGATTACATTACAAAGTATAATAGATTCTACAAAACAAATACTAGAGAGAAAAGTTAACTTTACTGTTTTAAAAGTAGACTTTGAAAACCCAACATGAAAAAGTGGAAATAATCAACCGTATTATTTATTATATTTAGCCAAACATTTATTGACTGCCATCTTGGACAGTTGTGCTGGAAATAGTATGTAAAAGAATAAGAGGCTGGTTCAAGAGCAGCCTGGCCAACAGAGTGAAACTCCGTCTCTACTAAAAATACAAAAAATTAGCTGGGCGTGGTGGCAAACACCTGTAATCCCAGCTACCTGGGAGGCTGAGGCAGGGGAATCACTTGAACCCCGGGGGCAGAGGTTGCAGTGAGCCGAGATTGTGCCACTGCGCTCCAGCCTGGGCAATAAGACGAGACTCCATCTCAAAAAACAATAAAAATACAAATAAGAGGCTGGGCCGGGCGCGGTGGCTCACGCCTGTAATCCCAGCACTTTGGGAGGCCGAGGCGGGCGGATCACGAGGTCAGGAGATCGAGACCATCCTGGCTAACACGGTGAAACCCCGTGTCTACCAAAAATACAAAAAGAAATTAGCCGGGCATGGTGGCGGGCGCCTGTAGTCCCAGCTATTCTGGAGGCTGAGGCAGGAGAATGGCGTGAACCCGGGAGGCGGAGCTTGCAGTGAGCAGAGATCGCACCACTGCACTCCAGCCTGGGCGACAAAGCGAGACTCTGTCTCAAAAACAAAATATAATAAAAAATTTAAAAATTTAAAAAAGGCTGGGCGCGGTGGCTCATGCCTGTAATCCCAGCACTTTGAGAGGCCGAGGTGGGCGGATCACCTGAGGTCAGGAGTTGGAGAACAGCGTGGCCAACATGGTGAAACCCTCGTCTGTACTAAAAATAGAAAAATTAGTGGGTGTGGTGGTGTGCGCCTGTAATCCCAGCTACTCGGGAGGCTGAGGCAGCAGAATCGCTTCAACCTGGGAGGCGGAGGTTGCAGTGAGCCAAGATTGCACCACTGCATTCCAGCCTGGACGACAAGAGCAAGACTCCGTCTACACACACACACACACACACACACACACACACACACACACACACACACAAAACAAAGACAAGCTCTCTGCCCTGAAGAAAAACACTATTTTGGGTAGAAGTTTTTACTTTGGGATGCAGATGGAGGTCTCTGAAACTATACTCAACATTTTGTGTGTGAGTGAGTGCATTTTTCTGGGGAAAACATCCATTGTCTTCATTATATACTCAAGTCTGTGATTCCCCCATCCCCGAAAAAAAAAAAAAAAAGTTGAAACCATTTGGCTTGTGGATGCACAGATAGGAAAACTGATACATTATAATGCAACATTCTATGGACTAGTGAAGAGAGATAAGCAGAATATTGTACAGTTTGGAGCATGAAGCCATCAGTTGTGGGGAGGTTTAATCTCTACTGACATATGGCTTTATGTGCTGCTAACAGACCTGTCTTTTTCTTTCTTTTTCTTTTTCCAGACGAGTCTCACTCTGTTGTCCAGGCTGAAGTGTAACGGCGCAGTCTTGGCTCACTGCAACCTCTGCCTCCCCGGTTCAAGTGATTCTGCTGCCTCAGCCTCCCGGAGTAGCTTCGACTGGAGGCGTGCGCCATCGCACACACTGTATTTTTAGTAGAGACAGGGTCTTACCATGTTGGCCAGGCTGGTCTCAAACTCCCAACCTCAAGTGATCCTCCTGCCTCGGCCTCCCAAAGTGTTTGGATTACAGGCCTGAGCCACCGAGCCTGGCCTCAAACACTTCTCTTTTTTCCTTTTTTTTGAGATGGAGTCTCGTTCTGTCGCCAGGCTGGAGTGCAGTGGCACCATCTCTGCTCACTGCAAGCTCCGCCTCCCGGGTTCAAGCAATTCTCCTGCCTCAGCCTCCTGAGTAGCTGGGATTACAGGTGCGTGCCACCAAGCCTGGCTAATTTTTGTATTTTTAGTAGAGACGGGGTTTCACTAGTTGGACAGGCTAGTCTCCAACTCCTGATCTCAGGTGGTCCACCCACCTCGGCCTCCCAAAGTGCTGGGATTACAGGCGTGAGACACCAGGCCCAGCCTCAACTGTAGACTTTTAACTCAAAGGTACAAAAATTGGATTATGTCTGGGCCAGTTTTTTCCCTTGTCGATGGTATAGCCCATTGGTTAGAGTTCAGACTGTGGCTACAAGTAGAACTGGATTCTTTTTTTTTTTTTTTTTTAAGCTGTATAAGTGAAAACTACTTGGGCAAGTTACTTAACCTCTTGGTATATTAGTTTCCTCATCTGTAAAATTCTGGTTATGCTTGCCTTTTAGTGTTTGTTAAACATTCTTATGCTCAAAAAACAAGCAAATAAAAACTCCTTATCTTCATCCACATCCCCTTCTGGTTACACCTAATGGTCTCAATTTTCTCATCACACAAGCACCACCAACTCATCTGAATCTAGCTTCGGCCTTGTTCCCTCCACCCAAACCAGTGTCACTAAAACCATCTCAGTCCATCACACCTGACCTCTCAGCAGCCCTAGAACCAGATGATCACTTTCTTCTTGAAACTGACTTTCCATGCTTCCCACAATATCAAATTCTCCGGATCGTCACCTTCCCTTTCTGCCTGTTCCTTCTCAATGTCTTTTGGAGTTTCCTCCTCCTCCACCCAATGTTTCATTGTTGGATTTCCTCAGCACTCAGCTGGCAAGCCTTTTTTTTTTTTTTTTTTTTTTTGAGACAGAGTCTCGCTGACTCACTGCAACCTCCACCTCCCAGGTTCAAGCGATTTTCCTGCCTCAGACTCCTGAGTAGCTGGGATTACAGGCACGTGCCACCATGCCCAGCTAATTTTTTATTTTTAGTAGAAACGGGGTTTCATCATATTGGTCAGGCTGGTCTGAAACTCCTGACCTTAGGTGATCTACCCACCTCAGCCTCCCAAAGTGCTGGGATTACAGGCGTGAGCCACTGTGCCCAGCCTGGAAAGTCCTTTTGATTTCTTCTTCTACATAATTTCATCCTCCATTATTTCAATTAACATCTATATCAAACTGAGAGTAGTTCATCAGTGGGTTGTGATATCAACCATTGGGTCATGAGTAGCAATTTTTTAAAAAATGAAATAGGATGCAAAACATCAGAGCATATCACGTGGATTAAGGATAATTGGGCAGTAACCCAAATGTCCATCAACAGACAAACAGGTAAACAACTTGTGGCCTATCCCTACAATGGAATGGAGTACTGTACTGCAAGTAAAGGGAGTACATTATTGATCCATGGGACACCACAGATTAGGAGTTGGCAGACTTTTTCTGTAAAGGGCCTGGTTGTAAATATTTCAGGCTTTGCAAGCTGTAGTTTAGGTTCTTGCGATCTCGGTCTCAAGTATTTGATTCTGTAGCATGGAAACAGCCACAGACAGTATGTAAACAAGTGAGCGTTGCTGTGTTCCAATAAAGCTTTATTTATAGACATTGAATTTTGGATTTCATTTAATTTACATGTGTCACAAAATATTCTTCTTTGAGTTTTTTTTCAATCTCTTAAAAATATAAAGTCATGCTGAGCTCTTAGGCCTTTGCATAATCAGGTACTGGGCCAGATTTGGCCCACAGGCCCTAGTTTGCTGGTCCCTGTCATAGATGAATCTTAAAAACATTATGCTGAGTGAAAGAAGCCAGATACATGGCCTGGAGCCTGTAATCCCAGTACTTTGGGAGGCCGAGGTGTGAGGTTTGCTTGAGCCCAGGAATCTGAGGCCAGCCTAGGCAACAAAGAGAGACCCAGTCTCTACCAAAAAAAAAAAAACAAAATTAGCTGGGAATGGAGGATTTCTCAAGCCTGGGAGGTTGAGGCTGCAGTGAGCTGTGATTGCACCACTGCACTCTAGCCTGGGTGACACAGCAAGACCCTGTCTCCAAGGAAATAAAAAAGCCAGATACAAGTGAATACCTATTTCATATGTATACTGTATATATGCTCTATGGTTTCATTTATATGGAATTCTAGAAAATGCAAACTATAATGACAGAAAGCCTGGGGCTGAGATGGAGGGGGAATTGACTGCCAAGGGGTGCTGGGGAGTTTTTGGAAATGACAGAAGAGCTCTGTATTTTAATCGTGGTGGTTACACAGGTATATACATTTGTCAAAACCTGTTGAACTGTACATGTAATATGGGTGAATTTTATTATATTATGTAAAACATATGAAAATCTATTATGTAAAACATACTTCAACAAAGTTGATTAAAAAATATCAGCGCATTGGTTGGTTATTTTACTATTGGGTAAAAAAATTCTTTTCTTTTTTTTTTTGAGACCGAGTCTCACTCTGTTGCCCAGGCTGGAGTGCAGTGGTGTGATCTCAGCTCACTGCAATGTCTGCCTCCCAGGTTCAAGCGATTCTTATGCCTCAGCCTCCCAAGTAGCTGGGACTACAGGTGTGAGCCACCATGTCCAACTAATTTTTGTATTTTTAGTAGAGACAGGGTTTCACCATGTTGGCCAGACTGGTCTCGAGCTCCTGACCTCAAATGATCCAACTCAGCCTCCCAGAGTGCTGGGATTACAGGTGTGAGCCACCATGCCTAGCCAAAAATTTCTTAAAAAAAAAGAAAAAAGAAAAAAAATCAGAGCATCTTCTATGGTAGTAAGGGTACTCATTGCTTCTGAAACTTCTGCCTCAGTTGTACACATTTATAGCTGTGCCTTGATTGCACTGAACTCGTCTTCTACCCTAAACCACGGATTCTCGCACTCCACATCCCATAAAAGCTCCCCATCATCCACCCAGCTGTTCACGCCAGGAACCAGGGTGTCTTCCTCTCTCTCACACTTTCCCTTCCCTAACCCCTTCCAATCAGTGTTGCCACTTCCACCTCCTAAATATCTCTCAAAGCTGTCTGCATCTCTATTTCCGTTGCTACCGCCTTGACTACTGCCATATCTAAGCAGTCTGTGTAGCCAAACCATTCTCAATACAGAAACCAGAGTCATCTATTTAATGTAGAAATCAGATCATCTGCTTACAAACCTTCAGCTGTCCATGGAATAAAGCGAGCATCCTTCACTTGGCCCATGAGTATAGAATATGGCCCCTGCCTACCTCTTTGGTCTCTGGCTGTCATTATTCCCTTGATTATTCTCTTGGTCTTTTTGTTGTTGTTGTTGTTTCTTTTTGTTTTTGTTTTGAGACAGGGTCTCACTTGGTTACCCAGGCTGGAGTGCAGTGGTGTGAACACAGCTCACTGCAACCTCCACTTCCCAGGCTCAAGTGATCCTCCCACCTCAGCCTCCCGAGTAGCTGGGACCACAGGTGTACACCATCATGCCTGGCTAATTTTTTTGTATTTTTGTGGGTTTCACCATGTTGCCTAGGCTGGTCTCCAACTCCTGAGCGCAAATGATCCACCTGCCTCGGCCTCCCAAAGTGCTGGGATTACAGGCGCGAGCCACAGTGCCCCCCTTGGTCTTTCTGTACAGCAAGATCTTTCCTGACAAGCTGTTTTCTTCGATGAGACTGTTCTTTTTTTCCCTTCCCTTTTGTCTTGTGTAACTTCTAATCCCTTTGGTAGAAGTGTAAGTATCATTTTCTCAGGGAAATCTCATGAGTGCTTATAGGCACCTGTCTTTCTCCTTTATGTACTTGGCACAATCACGATTAATTAGTTGCTTAATGTCTACCTCCCTTGATAGATTATCAATGCCATATCCGCAGGGACAGAATCTGTCTTTAATATTATTGTGTCCCCAAGTGACTGCAAATAGGCTCTCAAAAAATAGTCATAGAATTAATGAGTAATGAATCCACATACTGGCACAGTGTGTATATTTTATTTCCAAAACATTTCCATTGTTTTCAATCTGGTTTTAATGAGCATCATACTTTATTTTATTTATTTATTTTTTGAGACAGAGTCTTGTTCTGTCACCCAGGCTGGAGTGCAGTGGCTTGATTTCAGCTCACTGCAACCTCTGCCTCCTGGGTTTGAGCAATTCTCCTGCCTCAGCGTCCTGAGTAGCTGGGATTACAGGTGCCCACCACCATGCCTGGCTAATTTTTGGAGTTTTATTAGAGACCGGGTTTGACCATGTTGGCCAGGCTGGTCTCGATCTTGTGACCTCAGGTGATCTGCCCGCCTCAGCCTCTGAAAGCTCTGGGATTACAGGTGTGAGCCACCATGCCCGGCCGAGAATCATATTTTAAAGACACTACATGGAGGCAGAGGCATTTACCTCCCAAGTCTAGCTAATCCAGTGCCTAGGATGCAGTGGGAGTTCAATAAATAATTACTAAATGCGTGAATTCAACAAATATTTTCTGAAGGTGCATTATATACCACACAGTATTTTAGAAATTGGAGATACAATAATCATTAAAAGGGATTAAGTCTTTGCCTTTTGCGGATTTTTTTTTTTTAACTTGAGGTAGGTAGGTCTCACTTTGTCCCTCAGGCTGGAATGCAGTGGCATGATCCTGGCTCACTGCAGCCTCAACCTCCTGGGTTCAAGTGATCCTTCTACCTCAGCCTCCCAAACTGCTGGGACTACAGGCATGCACCACCACGCCCAGCTAATTTTTTAATTTTTGAAGAGGTGGGATCTCCCTATGTTGCTCTGGCTGGTCTTTGAGCACCTGGGTTCAAGTGATCCTCCTGCCCTGGCCTCCCAAAGTGCTGGGATTACAGGCATAAGCCATTGTGTCTGGCTATTTTTGTGGATCTTATATCCTATTGTAACAGAGAGATAAGTAGCTATATAATGTATGTTAATTACTTGTAAATACCATAAGAAAAATAAAGCAAAATAAAAGAGAGTAAATTATGCATGAATCCGTCCCTTGGCTGTCAATTTGAAATCTCTGCTCTGAAACATCGAAAATGTTTTAGAAAATGTTTGTTCAGTGATAACTAGCTAGATATAGAAGAAAGCAACACCAGCCACTACCATCAATGATTTGTTGATTTATTATTAATTTTCAAGACCTTGAGGAAAGTATTCCCATTGACAATTTTTCTGGTACTCAAAGGACCTTTTTGTTTTTGTTTTTGTTTTTGTTTTTTTGAGCTAGGCTCTCACTCCTGTCTCTCACGCTGGAGTGCAGTGGTGTTTCAGCTCACTGCAACCTCTGCCTCATGGGCTCAAGCCATCCTCCCACCTCAGCCTCCACAGTGGCTAGGACACAACCACCGCTGGCTAATTTTTGTATTTTTGGTAGAGATGGGGTTTCACCATGTTGTCCAGGCTGGTCTCAAACTCCTGAGCTCAAGCATCCATTCACCTTGGCCTCCCAAAGTGCTGGGATTACAGGCATAAGCCACCACACCTGGCTGAAAATAAGAATTTTTATTAGCATTTTAAACTATAATTGATGTTTAATTTGTTTCAGATTTATTTACATTTCATGAAAGTGAACAGGCTTCTCTAAAACTGTGTGCCCAGAAGGCAAATGGGCAAAGACATTAACCGACAATATAAAAAGGAAAAACATGCAAATAGTCAACATGACAAAAAGTTCAACATTACTAGTGACCAAAATTGCAGAAATGGATCAAATAGCATTTTTGCCTATAATTAGCAAAGTTTTTTTAAAAAATAATAACATCCGGCTGGGCATGGTGGCTCACACCTGTACTCCCAGCACATTGGGAAGCCGAGGCAGGCGGATCACGTGAGGTCAGGAGTTCGAGACCAGCCTGACCAACATAGTGAAACCCCATCTCTACTAAAAATAAAAAATTGGCCGGGTGTGGTGACGCATGCCTTGTAGTCCCAGCTATTCAGGAGGCTGAGGCAGGAGAATTGCTTGAAACCAGGAGGCGGAGGTTGCAGTGAGTGGAGATCGTGCCAATGAACTCCGGCCTGGGCGACAGAGCGAGACTTTGTCTCAAAAAATAAAATAAAATAACATCCCGTGTTAGTGTAGACGGAAATAAGTATTCTCGGCCGGGCCCGGTGACTCACGCCTGTAATCCCAGCACTATGGGAGGCACAGGCGGGTCGATCACCTGAGGTTGGAAGTTTGAGACCAGCCTGAGCAACGTGGAGAAATTCCTGTCTCTAGTAAAAGTACAAAATTAGCCAGGCGTGGTGGTGCATGCCTGTAATCCCAGCTACTTGGGAGGCTGAGGCAGGAGAATCGCTTGAACCCAGGAGGCAGAGGTTGTGGTGAGCCGAGACAGTACCATTGCACTCCAGCCTGGGCAATAAGAGCGAAACTCCGTCTCAAAAAAAAATAGAAGAAAATAAGTATTCTTATGGATTGCTGGTAGAATTTCAGATTGTTATAAAACCTTTGACGTATTTCATTTGTGTTGAACTGAATGGAACTGGGCATTCAGTAACAAAAACACTTAAAATATACCTAGGTTTTGTACTTAAAATTCTACTCCCAAAGTGTAAACTAAATACATAAATATGTTAGAGGTTTAACTATAAGACCGTCCACAGTAGCGCTGCTTATAATGAAACAAAATTGAAAACAAACTATATATACAACAAAATAACAGGGAATTGGCTAAATAGTGGTACTTCCATAAAACTGGTTAAGACACAAGCTGTAAAAAAAAAAAGTGCCAGGTGCGGTGGCTCTCGCCTGTAATCCTAGCACTTTGGGATGCCGATGTGGGAGGATCACTTAAGGTCAGAAGTTTGAGACCAGCCTGGCTGACATGGTGAAACCCCGTCTCTAATAAAAGTACAAAAAAATTAGCCGGACATGGTGGTGGACACCTGGAATCCCAGCTACTTGGGAGGCTGAGGCAGGAGAATCACTGGAACCTGGGAGGCACAGGTTGCAGTGAGCTGACATCACGCCACTGCTCTCTAGCCTGGGAGACAGAGTGAGACTCCTTCTCAAAAAAAAAAAAAAAAAAGTGATGCAGGTACACAGTTGTTAATATGGAAAGTTGACACTGTTAACTCAAAAGGGCTGGTAAGAACACAGCATGTGTAATATGAACCTAATTTTTTTTTAAATGAAAAACTACATGCATAGAAAAGACTATAAAAAATTCATAAAAAATGAAAAGAGTGGTTAACACTAGAGATGTTAATTTTGTTTTTTTTTTTTTTGGAGATGGAGTCTGTCTCTGTTGCCCAGGCTGGAGTGCAGTGGTACAATTTCGGCTCATTGCAGCCTACACCTCCCAGGCACAAAGGATTCTCCTGCCTTAGCCTCCCAAATAGCTGGGATTACAGGCACCCACCATCACTCCTGGCTAATTTTGTATTTTTAGTAGAGATGGGGTTGTGCCATGTTGGCCAGGCTGGTCTCGAACTCCTGGCCTCAGGTGATCCGCCTTGGCCTCTCAAAGTGCTGAGATTACAGGTGTGAGCCACCGCGCCCAGCCAAGATGTTAATTTTCTTAATTACACTTTTTTGTTTTTCATACTTGTAGAATTATTTTTTAAAACCACTAAACAGCCAGGCACAATGCCAGGAGCCCATGGTCCCAGCTACTCAGGAGATCGAGTTGGGAGGATCACTTGAACCCAAGAGTTTGAGGCCAGCCTGGGCAACACAGCAAGATCCCATCTCTAAAAAAAGAAAATAAAAAACATCAAAACAGTCAGTTTTTGATCTATTGCCTTCCAGCTCCAAATCCATCCTTTTTGCCTTCTGGGTAAAAATGGATCTGGGCCCTTTAAATAGCTTTCCTTTGCCAGGAGGCACAATGTTATTTTAAGTTTTGTCAGTACAGGGTGCTGGAGAGACACTGCAGGAGGAAAGGGTTTTGCTTATTGGTTCCTGCTGATGGCTTCTCCAGTGCCCAGCTCCTATACCACTCATTGGCAGGCAGCTTCCCCTGGCACTCCCCTCTGGTGGTCTTGCAGCAGAGTACCTTCAGTGAGACACCTTGCCATGAAAAGTTTACCCTGAGGGTAGATTTCCAGCAAGTTCCACCAACCAGCAGGGCATCACGTCAACTGTCTTCTTTGCTATTCAGTGACCCAGGGCTGTACCCTCTCTACCTGGTCAAGATCTCAGCCCTCCAGGGGTGATTGTTTCCGTAAGTGTCATATCTCAGTCCTAGGGGTAGTAGCTGTTCCTTGTATCTACTACTTGTATACTTTTTGGTTTTTTTTTGAGACAGGGTCTCACTCTGTTGCCCAGACTGGAGTGCAGTGGTACAATCTCGGCTGACTGCAACCTCTGCTTCCCTGGCTCAAGCAATCCTCCCACCTTAGCCTCCCGAGTAGCTGGGACTACGGACATGAGCCCCCATGCCTAGCT
Source organism: Homo sapiens (assembly GCF_000001405.40). NCBI lineage: Eukaryota > Metazoa > Chordata > Mammalia > Primates > Hominidae > Homo > Homo sapiens. The sequence goes on along the minus strand of NC_000016.10, from coordinate 14,963,187 downwards.
AATTAAAAAAAAAATTTTTTTTTTTTTTAGAAATGGAGTCTTGCTGTATTACCCAGGCTGGTCTCCAAATCCTGAGCTCAAGCTAATCACCTGCCTCAGCCTCCCAAAGAGCTGGGATTACAGACATGAGCCCCCTGCATCTGCCTGTATACTCTTCAGAGTTCCCTTCTTACTACTCAAACCCTCATTATTCCAGTCTCCTATTAACAATTCTTCATACAGTCCATCCTCATTATTCATGGGTTCCATATTTATAAATGTGTCTACCTTTCTAAAATGTATTTGGACCCCAAATCAATACCTCTGGTGCTTTTGCTATTATCTGAAGACATGTACATGCAGAGAGCAGCAAAATATTTAAGTCACATGATGCACCCATTCCCAGCTGAGGTCCAACAAGGTGACACTCTGCCTTCTTTTTTTTTTTTTTTTTTTTTTTTTTTTTTTAAGACAGAGTCTTGCTCTGTCGCCCAGACTGGAGTGCAGTGGCATGATCTTGGTTCACTGCAGCCTCCACCTCTGAGGTTCAAGCAATTCTCCTGCCTCAACGAGTAGCTGGGGCCACACACGTGCCACCATGCCCGGCTAATTTCTGTATTTTTATTTTTATTTATTTATTTATTGAGACAGAGTCTTGCTCTGTCTTCAGACTGGAGTGCAGTGGCGCAATCTCAGCTCAGTGCAACCTCTGCCTTCCAGGTTCAAGCGATTCTCCTGCCTCAGCCTCCTGAGTAGCTGGGACTACAGGCGGGTGCCACCATGCCTGGCTAATTTTTGTATTTTTAGTAGAGATGGGGTTTCACCATGTCGGCCAGGATGGTCTCGATCTCTTGACCTCTTGATCCACCCGCCTTGGTCTCCCAAAGTGCTGGGATTACACGCGTGAGCCACCACGCCCGGCCAATTTCTGTATTTTTAGTAGAGACAGGGCTTCACCATGTTGGCCAGGCTGGTCTTGAACTCCTGACCTCAAGTGATCGTCCTGCCTCAGTCTCCCAAAATGCTAGGGTCACAAGCATGAGCCACTGCACCTGGCCACACTCTGCCTTCTTGTCTCAGCTTTCAGACTGCAAACAAGTGTCCTCTCTGCAGTGTATTCAGTGTCACATCTTTCACAGTTCTGTGCTTTTTGTGATTTTGCTGCTTAAAATGGCCCCCAGCCAGGTGCGGTGGCTCTCACCTGTAATCCCAGCACTTTGGAAAGCCACGGCTGGTGGATCACCTGAGGTCAGGAGTTGGAGACCAGCCTGGCCAACATAGTGAAACCCTGTCTCTACTAAAAATTAAAAAAATTAGCCGGGCATGGTGGCGCATACCTGGAATCCCAGCTACTCCAGAGGCTGAGGCAGGAGAATCGATTGAATCTTGGAGGTGGAGGTTGTAGTGAGCCGAGATCACGCCACTGCACTCCAGACTGGGGAATAGAGCGAGACTTCATCTCAACATCAACAACAACAGAAGGCCCCTAAGTGTCCTCCTGAAGTGCTATCCAGTGTCTCTGAGTGCAAGAAGGCTGTGAAGTACCTAATGGAGAAGGTACATTTGTTAGATAAGCTTTGTTCAGGCATGAGTTACAATGCTGTTGGCCGTGAGTTCAATGTCAATGAATCAACAATATGTATTAGATAAGGCGTCCTTTAACACACACACATAAAAGAAGATTATGTATTGATTGCTTTATAAAAATGTTGCGACCAGAGGCTTGGAGACACCCAATCCTGCATTTCCTTTAGAGCAAATGATTCAATATTCACCAATTCAGTGTCCTTGGTGACTTTTTTGAATGTAACTATCTTGAATAATGAGAATCAACTATATTAAACTTTCCCTCTTCTAGCTGGGTGCAGTGGCTCCTGCCTGTAATCCCAGCACTTTGGGAGGCTGAGGAGGGCAGATTGCTTGAGTCCAGGAGTTTAAGACTAGTCTGGGCAACATGGCGAAACCCTGTCTACAAAAAACACAAAAATTAGCTGGGCGTGTAGTCCCAGCTACTTTGGAGGCGGAGGTGGGAGAATCACTTGAGCCTGGGAAGCAGAGGTCGCAGTGAGCCAAGATCGTGCCACTCCACTCCAGCCTGGGCAATGGAGTGAGACTCTGTGTGAAAAAAAAAAAAGAAAAAGAAAAATTGTATGGAAAATTTGCAGAAAGCGTAGCAGCAAGAGAGCACATCCCCAAGGTGGTCCGGGCGCAGCTTGATTTTATACATTTTAGGGAAGCATGAAACATTAGTCAAATACATTTAAAGATTTACATTGGTTTGGTCTGGGTTATAGATAGATTAAAAATTTTCTGGGCTGGGCGCGGTGGCTCATGCCGGTAATCCCAGCACTTTGGGAGGCCGAGGCAGGCGGATCACAAGGTCAGGAGATCGAGACCATCCTGGCTAACACGGTGAAACCTCATCTCTACTAAAGATACAAAATATTAGTGGTGTGTGGTGGCGGGCGCCTGTAGTCCCAGCTACTCAGGAGCCTGAGGCAGGAGAGTGGCGTGAACCCAGGAGGCAGAGCATGCAGTGAGCCAAGATCGCACCACTGCACTCCAGCCTGGGCGACAGAGCGAGGTTCCGTCTCAAAAAACAAAAAAAAACAAAAAAAAAGAAAAAAAAGAAAAAAAGATTTCTGATGGGCAATTGGTTGAAAGAGTTATTATTAATAGAAAGGGATATATGGGTTACAATAAGAGGTTGCAGAGACTAAAGTTTTATCTCATAGATGAAGCATTCAGGTAGCAGGCTTCAGAGTAAATAGACTGTAAATTTCAGAGTGAATAGATTGTAAATGTTTCTTTTCTTTTTTTTCTCTTTTTTTGAGATGTAGTCTCACTCTGTCGCCCAGGCTGGAATGCAGTGACACGATCTCAGATCACCGCAATCTCCACCTCCCGGGCTCAAGCAGTTCTCATGCTCAGCCTCCCAAGTAGCTGGGATTACAGGCACATGCCACCACGCCTGGCTAATTTTTTGTATTTTTAGTAGAGATGGGGTTTCACCATGTTGGCCAGGCTGGTATCAAACTCCTGGCCTCAAGTAATCTACCCCCGTCAGCCTCCCAAAGTGCTGGGATTGTGCCACTGCACTCCAGCCTGGGTGACAGAGCGAGACTCCAACTCAAAAAAAAAAGGATAGAAAAGAAAATCAGGAAGGAGGGAAGATTACATATCATTTCCTTGCCAGCCTCTCTCCATTCTCATTTCAGGTGACAAAGAGGAAGGCAGTTGCTTTAGTTTCCTGCTCTGTGTCTGCACATATGAACAAGTCTCAGAGGCAGATGTTGAAGAAACTTCAGTGCTACATTTTTTGAGGGGTTGGCCTTACTGGTTGATTCATCTGCTTCATTGCAAAACAGTCCTTTTGGTCTTAAACATGTTGCGTGTTGGCCGGGCATGGTGGCTCACGCCTGTAATCCCAGCACTTTGAGAGGCCGAGGCAGGCAGATCTCCTGAGGTTAGGAGTTCTAGACCAGCCTGGCCAACATGGCGAAACCCCATCTCTACTAAAAATACGAAAAAATTTAGCCAGGCGTGGTGGCGCATGCCTGTAATCCCAGCTACTCAGGAGGCTGAGGCAAGAGAATCGCTTGAACCCGGGAGGCAAAGGTTGCAGCAAGCTGAGATCGTGCCACTGCACTCCAGCCTGGGTGACAGAGTGGGACTCCATCTCAAATTAATTAATTAATTAATTAATTAATTGTGCATCGTAGTCTTTTGTCAGTAGAAATTTCAGGATTCGCAGAGAAGTTACATTTTAGACATGGTAGCCCCCTTGGTGGTTCTTATGAAACTGGGATTCATTTAAATGAAATAATAATAGCTACAATAAGCTTTACTGTAGTCATCTTAATATATTTTTAATGTGATCCTTAGTTGTAAACAGAAGCTCAGTTCCCACATCAGTACTTATTCCCTGCTGAAAGAGCGCCGAACAAAACCCTTTTTTCATTCGAACACAGCCCTATGTTCTCCATTCATCTCCCACTGTTTGGGGACATTAACGGGACATGAACGCACTGCCTAATTATTGCTGCAGGGCTCTGAGTCACAGCTTCCACGGATGATGAAGCATCAACGTAATGAAGTAATTTATCTTAGAGCATCTCTTCTTGTTTGAAGACCATGGGAGGCCTTTAGCATTTGCTTGAGTAATAGATTGTCTTTAATTCCTGATTTTTTTTTCTATTGCTTCTAAGAAGAGATAAGTATACAGTAATGCATTGGAAATCATCGAAGCCTTCTAAGTCTTCATTTTTCCTTCTTTCATTTCCCATTAAGTAAATCCATTGAGCTGCTCCACAAAGAACACCATGGATATTAGAGGATATTTGCCTCTAGAGATTGCTACCAATCCCTTGCCTCTCTGGGTTCCTAGGAGAACTGACTTGTGCAGAAGGTGCCCAGTAAATGTCAGTTTCATCCCTTTGGCTTTGCCAGATTTAGCAAAATAATTTTTTTCTTTACGTTTTTTAAATTTTTTAATTTTTTTTTTTTTTTCTGAGACGGAATTTCGCTCTTGTTGCCCAGGCTGGAGTGATCCTCCTGCCTTGGCCTCCAGAGTAGCTGGGACTACAGGTGTGCACCACCATGCTCAGGTAATTAAAACAATTTTTTTTTTTTTTTGTAGATATGGAGGTTGTATCAGTCCGTTCTTGCATTGCTATAAAGAACTCCCTGAGACTGGGTAATTTATAAAGAAAAGAGGTTTAATTGACTCACAGTTCCACAGGCTGTGCAGGAGGCATGGCTGGGAGGCCTCAGGAAACTTTGAATCATGGCGGAAGGCAAAGGGGAAGCACGCACATCTTACATAGCTGGAGCAGGAGGAAGGGAGAGAAGGGGGAAGCGCTACATGCTTTTAAACCAACCAGATCTCATAAGAACTCACTCACTATCAGGAGAACAGCAAGGAGGCACTCTCCCCCCATGATCCAATCACCTCCCACCAGGTCCCTCCCCTAACACTGGGGATTATAATTCGGCATGAGATTTGGGCAGGGACCCAAATCCAAACCATAGCAGGGGGGTCTCACTATTTTGCCCAGACTGGTCTTGAACTCTTGGCCTGACAAGCGATCCTCCCGCCTCAGCTTACCAAAGTGCTGTGATTACAGATATGAGCCACCACATCAAGCTAACATAGGGATCGGCACTCTAGCCTGGGCGACAGAGGAGACTACGTCTCAAAACAATTAATTAATTAATTAAAATAAATAACCCCATACTTTCTGCCTCTGTGGCTTTGCCTGTTCTGGGTATTTCGTGTGAACGGACCCATGCATCTGGTGGTCCGGGCTCATTTCAAACGCTCAGCCCCCATGTCGGCCCATGGCCTCCGGATTGGATGGTGTGAGCTGGGTGTGCGCGGGGTGCTCAATCCCTCCGGAGCATCTGGAGTGGCCACGTGCAGGTGCGGGAGGCGGCGGCGGCGCAGGGGGCAGCTGGAGGCCCGGGAAGCCCGGACGTGGTGTAGGGAGCTGCCGACCATGCTGGCTTCTGATCGCGGGCTCCCAAATTCAAGACAGCCCTGGTGACATAGCAAGAGCCTGTCTCTATAAAAAATTAAAAATCAGCCAGGCATGGTGGTGCATGCCTGTGGTCCCAGCTACTCGTGAGGCTGAGGCGGGAGGATCACTTCAGCCTCGGGGTTTGAGGCTGCAGTGAGCTATGACTGTACCACTGCGTTCCAGCCTAGGTGACAGAGTAAGACTTTGTCTAAAAAAAAGAGAGAGAAAGGGAGATGGGAAGATTTATGCTGCTGACTTTGAAGATGTTGGATGGGGAGCCAAGGAGTGCAGGGAGCATCTAGAAGCTTGGAAGAGGCAAGAAAATGAACTCTCCTTTAGGACCTCCAGGAGGAATGCAGTCCTGCAGACCCATTTTAGACTCTGACACCCCAAATTCTAAGACAAGAAGTTTGTGTTCTTTTAAGCCATTAAATTCGTGGTAATTTGTTACCTCAGCCATGGAAAAATGATACAAGGGGGATATAAGTAAAAAGCAAAGAAGGAGATGTTTTGGTGAGCTGGAAGCCTGCCCAGCTGGGAGAAATCTAACAGAAGTTTACTCCGGACCAGTAACAAGGATAAGGAGCCGGAGAAGGCTATAAATCAATAAACGGGCAGATAAAAAGGGTCAGAGAACATAGAAATGGGCAGATTTCCAAGAACTGAAGAGAATGGATATATTAGTTTGCTGGGGCTGCCATAACAAAATAGCGCACACAGCGTGGCTTAGACAATAGAAACTTATTTGCTCACCCTTCTGGAGGCAAGAAGTCCAAGACCAGGGTGCCTGCTGGGTTAGTTTCACACGGCTGCCTTCTTGCTGTGTCTTCACATGGTCTTTCCTTGGTGTGAAAACATCCCTGGTGCCTCGTTTTATTTATTTATTTTTTAAATAAAAAAAAAGAGAGAGAGAGTGACAGGGTCTCACTACGTTGCCCAGGCTGGTTTTGAACTCCTGAGCTCAGGCAATCCTCCTGCCTTGGCCTCCTAAAGGGCTGGGATTACAGGCATGAGCCACCATGCCCGGCCCCTGGTGCCTGTTTGTGTGTCCAAATTTTTTTTTTATTTTATTTTATTTTTAAAGACGGAATCTTGCTCTGTCACCCAGGCTGTAGTGCAGTGGCTCGATCTCCTCTCACTGCAACCTCCCTCTCCCAGGTTCAAGCGATTCTCCTGCCTCAGCCTCCCAAGTAGTTGGGATTACAGACATGTGCCACCACACCCAGCTAATTTTTAGTAGAGATGGGGTTTCACCATGTTGGCCAGGCTGGTCTCAAGTGATCTTCGTACCTCAAGTGATCCTCCTACTTTAGCCTCCTAAAGTGCTGGGATTACAGGTGTGAGCCACCAACCATGCCCCCAAATTTCCTCTTCTTATAAGGACACCAGACAGATTGGATTAGAGCCCATCCTAAAGGTCTCACTTTAACTTAATTGCCATTTTAAAGGCCTTATCTTCAAACACAGTCGCCTTCTGAGGTACTGGAAATTAGGGCTCCAATATATGAATTTTGGAGGGCATCATTTAGCCCATAACAACTGGGTTGATAAACTGAGGGACAGCCTACAGAATAGCCGGTTAGTGATCTCACTTGGAGACTAAGGCCATTTGACAGTTCAACACAATGTGAAGCAATCTGGGATTGGAGGCCAGACTGGGAACAAAGAACCTTAGGGTGACGATCGGTGATCATTTGAATAAGATCTGTAGATTAGGTACGTGTATGATTTCCGTGCTTATTTCCTTGTTTTGATCATTGTACTATGGTCATGTAAGATATCAATATTTCAGGAAGCTTGGATGAAGAGTATGTGGTAACTCTTTGTACTATTTTTGCAACTTCTTTCAAAGTCTGTAGTTATTTCAAAGTTAAAAGCTAAAAATCAAGGCCAGGCACGGTGGCTCATGGCTATAATCCCAGCACTTTGGGAGGCCGAGGCCGGCGGATCACCTGAGGACAAGAGTTGGAGACGAGCCTGGCCCACATGGCGAAACCCCGTCTGTACTAAAAATACCAAAATGATCCAGGCATGGTAGCGCATGCCTTTATTCCCAGCTACTGGAGAGGCTGAGCCAGGAGAATCGCTTGAACTTGGGAGGGAGAAGTTGCAGTGAGCCAAGATCGCACCACTGTACTCCAGAGCCTGGGCAACAGGAGTCTGTCTCAAAAAAAAAAAAAAAAAAAAAGAAAAAAGAGAAGTTAAAATCAGGGCCAGGTGCGGTGGATCATGCCTGTAATCCCAGCACTTTGGGAGGCCAAGGTGTGTGGATCACAAGGTCAGGAGATCGAGACCATCTTGGCTAACATGATGAAACCCCATCTCTACTAAAAATACAAAAAAAAAAAAGAAAGAAAGAAAAATTAGCCGGACATGGTGGCGGGTGCCTGTAGTCCCAGCTACTCAGGAGGCTGAGGCAGGAAGCTACGTTGAGCCCAGGCATTTGAGGTTGCAGTGAGCTATGATTGTGCCACTGCACTCCAGCCTGGGAAACAGGGTAAGACCCTATCTCAAAAAAAAAAAAAAAAAAAAAAAAGGTGAGAAAAAGAAGCAAGGAGAAAATGAGTTCTATGAGGTGCGAGACTCTATATTGTCTGTTGCTTGGGTTCCCACTGACACCCCACTTTTGGGACAGTGCCTGGAAGCTGGGAGCTCAGCATATGTTTTGGGAGGTGATGATCATTGAGGCACAAACCGAAGAGGAGAAGGCACACTGGGCCTCATCTCACATTCATAAAAGCCATCACATTGTAACTTTTGACATTCTCTCTAGAGGAAGTCACACAATCAGTAGTGTATTGCGTGGGTTGCAAATGTGAATTCTTGGCCTGTAAACAGTTCAAACACATTGCCATTTTGGTAACTGAGTTTTGCTATCCCTTCAGTACAGCAAATCTTCAGTAGAGATTTGTTTAATAGAGATGGGGTTTCACCATGGTCTCTACTAAACCCTGTCTCTACTAAAAATACAAAAATTACCCAGGCGTGGTGGCACATGCCTGTAGTCCCAGGTACTCAAGAGGCTGAGGCAGGGGAATCACTTGAACCTGGGAGGTGGAGGTTGCAGTGACCCAAAATCATGCACTCTAGCCTGGGGTCTCGCTTTTGCCCAGGTTAGAGTGCAGTGGCACAATCATAGTGGCTCACTGCAGCCTCAAACTCCTGGGCTGAAGGGAATCCTCCCACCTCAGCCTCCCAAGTAGCTAGGACTACAGGCATGTGCCATCATGGCGAGTTAATTTTTTATGTGTTTTTATTGTCTCGAGACAGAGTCTTGCTCTGTTGCTCAGGCTGGACTGCAATGGCGTGATCTTGGCTCACCGCAACCTCCACCTCCTGGGTTCAAGCGATTCTCCTTAGTAGAGACAGGGTTTCGCCATGTTGGTCAGGCTGCTCTTGAACTCCTGACCTCGTGATCCACCTGCCTCGGCCTCTCAAAGTGTTGGGATTACAGGCATGAGCCACTGGGCCTGGCCTGGTGAGCTAATTTTTAAATTTGTTATAGAGACAAGAGTCTCTCTTATGTTGCCCAGGCTGGTCTCGACCCCCTGGCCTCAAGTGATCCTCCCACCTCAGCCTCCCAAAGTGCTGGGATTACAGATGGGTGTCACCGCACCTGGCCTCTGAGGAGGATTTCATTATAAAGCTGCCCTGAAGGGAGGGAATCCAATTTTACGAGAGGGTGTAGCCTGGTGAGGCCTGGATGACCTCCGGAGGCAGGGGCTTGTGCCTGGGCTGAGGCCTAAGGGTCAATGGGCAGACATGAAGTTGCCCCAGGCAGAGGGTACAGTGTGGGCAAAGTCAGGAAGTGGCAGGGCTTGGATCACTAGGAAGAGAGAGGAGTCATGTGTCACAGGAGCTCGAGACCCAGAGAGGGAGGCAGGCAGGCAGGCAGGGACCAAGCTTGGGCACAGCCAGGAAGGCAGAGGGCATGGTGGGGCCAATGGAATCATTACCCAAGACGGGGATTTTCAGGGAAACAGCTTAGATAAGGCCAGGTGTACAGTAGCTCCCACCTGTAATCCCAGCATTTGTGGAGGCTGAGGTAGGAGGACTGCTTGAGCCTGGGAGTTCGAGACCAGCCTAGGCAACATAGTGAGACCCCATATCCACAAAAAATTTAAAAAAGGAGTTTGTGTTCCTGTAGTAGCAGACTTGGGAGGTTGAGGTGGCAGTATCACTTGAGCCCGGGAGTTCAAGGCTAAAGTGAGCTGATTGAGCCATTGCACTCCAGCCTGAGCAACAGAGAGATACGCTGTCTCAAAGGAAATACAAATTAAAAAACCAGCCAGGCATGCTGGCGTGTGCCTGTAGTCTCAGCTACTTGGGACACTGAAGTGGGAGGATCGCTTGAGCCCAGGAGTTCAAGGCTGCCGTGAGCTATGATTGTGCCTCTGCAGTCCAGCCTGGGCGACAGAGAAAGACCCTGTCTCTTAAAAAAAAAAAAATCTTAGATAAGAGGATGCTGTGCCTCCCTGGGGGTCTTCAGTCACCCATAGTGCTGGCAAGAGAGGAGGGCCAGGAGAGAGTTTCACCCACCTGCTGTCCTGCCCATGTGACATCCGCAGGTGCTGCCATGGCCACGACTGTTGTTACACTCGAGCTGAGGAGGCCGGCTGCAGCCCCAAGACAGAGCGCTACTCCTGGCAGTGCGTCAATCAGAGCGTCCTGTGCGGTGAGTCCCCAGCAGCACCATGCCACCCACCCCGAGTATCCCCTGGGCACCCTGGCATAGCCAGATGACTTCCGTGCCCCTGTTGCAATAACCACTGCTTCCAAGTCTCTATAGACCACCCCTTGGGTATATCTAATGTAAGTGATATTTATTTTATTTATTTTTTGAGTCAGTCTCGCTCTGTCACCCAGGCTAGAGTGTGCTGATGTGATCTCGGCTCACTACAACCTCTGCCTCCTGGGTTCAAGCGATTCTCATGCCTCAGCCTCCCAAGTGGCTGGGACTACAGGCATGCACCATCACGCCCAGCTAATTTTTGTATTTTTTCAGTAGAGGTGGGGTTTCACCAAGTTGGCCGGGCTGGTCTCAAACTCCCCACCTCAAGTGCTCTGCCCGCCTCGGCCTCCCAAAGTGCTGGGATTACAGGCATGAGCCGTGGTGTCTGGCCCTAATGTGAGTGATCTTTAACACTGAGCACTTGAAAAAGAAAACCCTGAAGAAACCTAATTCTTTGATGTCTGGATGACAAGGAAGAAGATAGAAATGGCATCAGATAATAAACAGTGTAAATGTTTATCAGAAAGAGGCTGGTGGTCGGGACAAGTAGGAGGATTGCTTGAGTCCAGGAGTGCATCTCTACAAAAAAGTTAAAGGATTTTTTAACATTGGCCAGGCGTGGTGGCACACATCTGTGATCCCAGCTACTTGGGAGGCTGGGGCAGGAGGATTGCTTGAAGCCCAGGAGGTTGAGGCTGCAGTGAGCTGTGATCGAGCCACTGCACTCCAGCCTGGGTGACAGAGCAAACTCCAGTCTCAAAAAAAAAAACAAATAATAATATTTTACATAACCAACCACTTCTAAAGATTAAAAAAACCCCTACGATTAAAAACCTCAGGTCCCTCAGGCAATCATACCAGATATTGAAACAAAGCAATAACATAAGGACTGCAGTATTCATTTTATTTTTATATTATTTATTTATTCTTCCTTAGTTTCTTGAGATTATCATCCGCTGAGGGTGGAAGGGGAGTGAGCAGACACACTCGGGAGGTGTCTTGAGATTATCATCCACTGAGGGTGGAGCTGAGGGTGGAAGGGGAGTGAGCAGACACTCGGGAGGTGTCTTGAGATTATCATCCGCTGAGGGTGGAAGGGGATAGAGCAGACACTCCGCAGGTGTCTTGAGATTATCATCCGCTGAGGGTAGAGCTGAGGGTGGAAGGGGAGTGAGCAGACACTCGGAAGGTGTCTTGAGGCTCAGGGAGTTATCAATTATAGAATGTTGTTGAGTTGGAGGAGGTGGCTGGTGGCCCATCCTGTTTTTTAAAGTTTCAGCTGTGAGGTAGGGCCAGTAGGGCAATCCTGAAGAATGACGATGCTCCACTGCCGCCATTCTGACCTGTAGGGCCAAAGGAGGGAATGTTTTCACACATATTCATTTGATGGACAAAATTACCGCCACCAACACAGTCTGCACCTTCTGTTGCTGGTGATAGATTTTTGCACCTTTCCATCCTCCAGGTTTCAAAATAGCAGTGTCAGTGTCATAATATCACCCTTCCACTGAGTACTGCCGACAGCTAGGGGGTAAAGAAAAGTCATTGGGACACACTGTTGTCTCCACATGCCACTGTGTCTGTCTGCAAATGTAGGCAGGCTGGGGTCCTGCCCCAGGGAAGACAGAGTCATAACAGAGTAATAAAGAAGCATGTTTGAGACACAGGAGTGTCTATGTCTATCCTCATTCCTCCCTCACAGCCATCACCAGAGCATGTTTCTTGCACCAGGTCAATAGACAGTAAGAGACAGTAAGAGAGGCATGAAAAGCCCATTGTCCACACATGTTGCAGCTTCTTTTTGGAGAATGTTTTCCAGGCCTTTTATGTTCTGTCTCTGATTCTCAGAACTCTGCAAGGTCAGTGTGACCACCCTGCTCCAAATCTAAGAAAACAGAGGTTTCCAGAGGAAGGAGAAATTGTGCCCAGGGTCACACAGCTTGCAAGAGGCAGAGTGGAAGTTGATTCCAGCTCTGCCTGCAGGACCCTCTCATTTCCCCTCTGTTTCCCTTCTTGACAAAGGATCTTCTTCACTCTGGAGGTGCCACCCATGAGAACAAAGAGCTCTGGAGAGATGTGGATTCCTGAAGAGCTGCAGGGGAACTGGGAGAGGGTTTTCTGACAGAACAATCTTACCTCAAGAAGTCAGTTAGGCATGGCTGTAATATTTCTTTTCACTCCCAGGTAATACCAAATTGTAAGTGCACTAGGACATAAAGAATACTTTTGTCCATGGAAAAATGAGGTGGGAATTCTAAACAAAGCAAGTTTTAAAACTGTGTTTCATTTCAAGTGTACAAGTCCCATCGCGTGCAATCATAGGACTCGGCAGCTTTTGAAGGTACAGAGGCCACACAAGAACCAGCTTAGCTGAGCATCATTTAAGGCCCTCATTTGGAATTGTCCCTGTGGGTAATAAGTTACATTCACTCTTCACTAATTTACAGTCAGGGCCCATTTGCTATTACAAATACGGAACCTCTGACACTTAGAATATTAGATGGGGGCCCCACTGGGTGGGGATGAAGGTGTTTTTGCGCAACACGGTTACCAACAGGGATGGGACTGTGATGCTTGTAGGCAGCCTTCCTCTCTGCCATCTCCCTCTGCAGGGCTTGAGCACAGAGCCGTAGGGAGAAAAATGTATCCATGTCCTGACCTGGCAGACTATGTCCAAAAGCAAGGAAAACAAGCAAACTTACCCGGTTGCAAAGAGGCTTTCTTGCAGAAGGGGTGATCTGAAAAAGCCAACACATGAGAAATTGAATGTTGAGAGAGTCTAAGGGCCGTGGCATCATCTGCATCAGCACTGAACTATCCTGCAACTGCGGGGAGGAAGCTCCTTACTTTGCATCTGTAGTAGTCCTCTGCCCGCCGCCGCAACGCTTGCGCACGTTGAAACATTTCCCTATGGATTACAATCACTTTCATCAGATAAAGCACCACTTTCAGGATGATTTTAAATAATCTGCCATGTTTCTGTTATCCTCACAACTGTACCCTTACACAATCTATCTCTACCTAGAAAACGTATTTCAGATGGCTAGAAGAGTACAGTCTGAGCCGGTCACGGTGGCTGACGCCTGTAATCCCAGCACTCTGGGAGGGCGAGGCGGATGGATCACGAGGTCAGGAGATTGAGACCATCCTGGCTAATACGGTGAAACCCCGTCTCTACTAAAAATACAAAAAATTAGGCGGGGGTGGTGGCAGGCGCCTGTAATCCCAGCTACTCGGGAGGCTGAGGCAGGGGAATCACTTGAACCTGGGAGGCAGAGGTTGCAGTGAGCCAAGATCACGTCATTGCACTCCAGCCTGGGTGACACAGCAAGACTCCATCTCAGAAAAACAAAAACAAAAACAAAAACAAAAAAACTGTACAGTCTGATCCAAACTGTTGCTATATTGATTCCTCCTCTTGCTTACTGCCTGACTTCTGAGATGATAGTTTCCTTCCCCATTCTCAGTATATCCCTAATTCATCCTTCATTGAGCATCTTTTATCATAAAGCTGTATTCTCTTTGTATTAATATCTTTACCGTGTTTCACAGGGCAGAAACAGCTGGGCTTATAAACAGGCATAGTCCTTTTGAAGGATGTGGTTGATCCTACAACAACACACTTTCCTAAGGATGACAACAACTCACCCCACCCCTAGAATGGCTGGTATGAACCGAGTTTCCACACAGTCTAGCTGGCAATGGGGTCAGGAGCCGTTTTGCTACTTCACATCTTTTGGTCACTGGTAAATATTAAGGTACTTTGTTTTCTGTTTTGTGAACTCTCTCTCTCTCACGATATGTCTTCTGACCATTTGTTTCTATTTCTGCATTTACTGGGTCTAAACATTGTACAAAGGTTAAAAACAACACTCCAATGGGCGTTTCCCAAGAGGGTGGGGTTCAGTTTCTGAACTCACATGTAGGTGTGTATTTCTTTCATATCCAATTTCCCATTTTCCTCTGCCTCTGACACCTGCCTCTCCTTTTCTCCGTGCTCACGTTCTTTCATGCTTAGTTTCCTCAGACTAGAAGGGAGAGAAATGCACACACATGATCCACCAGCACGTGTGGGATTCCCTCTGCCCTTCTGGCATCTGAAGGCTGATTCAAAGATCCCCCCTGCAACCTTCCCACAAATGAACCAACTGATTCTCACAACCGAAGGAAGAATGGACACCTCCCATTGAGGGACAAAAAAAAATCACACTCTGGCCTGCTGGCAAGTCACCTGTCATTTCCAGCTCATCTTCATAGTTCCATAGTTAGTCCTATTCTTTAGTAAATATAAAGACTATTAAAAGCTTCTATGAGGTGCACTATGTGCGTCTCTGGGGTCAGTCTTGTGCTTGACACAGCGAAAGCTCATTTTAGTTCAGTGTGAAAAACCAGACCTCACCAATTCATCACAACTAACTCCATCGGAAGCAGAGGATTGCTCCTCATCTGACTTCTCCTGTGTGAGACCTGATTCTCAGTCAGAGGCTGATGCCGGAACTGAGACCATCAGCCATAGAGAGATCCTTCCAGAATATGGTGTCATTAACCCCGCAGTTCACTACTGCACTTTGCCATGATTCAGGACTGGAACTCTTGTCATCGACTTTAAAGATCCTGAAAAGGCAATCTGAATGCTGGGTGCATCTATTGAATTAGAAATGATCGGAATGGCTCCTAAGTCAGGATGTTATGTCCTGAAAATAGGTGACAACGGCAAACCATCCACCCTGGTGTTGACTGACTTTAACAAGGTTCAGTTCACAGAGATTGAGGGCAGAAAAAGGAAACGGCCTCAAAAGGGTAAGTTTGCTGTGTTGCCCTCACACCACTTGATTCATGGTCCTGATCCTAAGGATCTCACCTGATACTTGGTTTTATAGGAAGGATGTGTAAAATTCCCAGAACGCTAGGAAACAGGGACGAAAACACTTCAAAGAGAAAGTTAATGAACTTGTTTCTGACCACAGGGCATCCTTCAGCACATGCTGTCTGGAGTGGCCTCAAACAAGGTGTGTGTGGTGAGGTGCTGACAATGCAATGGGAGCAGGGTCCTGTCCCCACGCTAAAGAAGCTCACAGTTTAATGCAAATGAGAAGCCAGTGAGGACATCACTACTCCTGCTGTGCACTTGGGAACTAGAAACACAAAACCTGACTCTGGAGGGAGGCTAAGGAAGCATTCTACTCTTGAGTTGACATAAGTGCATCTGAAGCTTCTGATCTCAGATGAGAACAATGGGGGACACCAAACAGAATATAAAACCCATGATTGAATACATCAAATTGCTAACATGGCAGTAAACAGACATGAGGTGAAGATGGAGAAGAAGGAAACCCAGGACGAAAGTCAGCCTCGCATTTGGAACCCATTTCCCTGAGTTTCATTGCTGAATTCCAGAAGGAACTACTGAGATGCAAAGAAGCACAGCAGCTTTTGCACACATGCGTGGGGTTAGATGGAAAACAAGTGGATTGAGGGTCTGCCAATGAAAGCGATCCATACTGAAGTCCACTGGCTCTGGTTGAGACCCAGAAGAGTCATGCATCAGAATAGAGGTGGACAGGAAATACCCTGGCCTTTGTAGGGACTGAGCCTGCAGAGACGACCTCAATTGCAGCCTGTACGGAGGACCCCTGACCATCCCCCAGAAGTAGACTCCCATCTCTTCTGCAGCAAGATAACATGCTACTAGGCCTCAATTCATTGTTAAATATTTTTTAACAAGTATCTCACATTTAACAAAAAAAGATCAGTCATATGGCAGCAAAATACAATGTAGTATGACCAAAACATGAAAGACTGTGAAAATGAATCTGGAGGTGACCCAAGCATTGAGTTCAACAATCCAGGCTGGGTGCGGTGGCTCACACTGGGAGGCTGAGGTAGGCAGATCACCTGAGGTCAGGAGTTCAAGACTAGCCTGGCCAACATGGTGAACCCGTCTCTACTAAAAATACAAAAATTGGGCTGGGCACGGTGGCTCACGCCTGTAATCCCAGCACATTGGGAGGCCGAGTTGTGCGGATCATGATGTCAGGAGTTCTAGACCAGCTTGGCCAATATGGTGAAACCCCGCCTCTACTAAAAATACAAAAATTATCTGGGCATGGTGGCATATGCCTGTAGTCCCAGCTACTCAAGAGGCTGAGGGATAAGAATCGTTTGAACCTGGGAGGCGGAGGTTGCAGTGAGCCAAGATCATGCCACTGCACTCTAGCCTGGGTGACAGAGTGAGACTCTGTCTCAAAAAAAAAAAAAAAAAAAAAAAATTGGCCGAATGTGGTGGCACACACCTGTAATCCAAGCTACTCGGGAAGCCAAGGCAGAATTGCTTCAAACTGGGAGGCAGAGGTTGCAGTGAGCCAAGATTGCACCATAGCACTCCAGCCTGGGCGACAGAGCGAGACTCTATCTCAAAATTAAAAAAAAAAAAAAAGCCTGGGTGTGGTGGCTCACGCCTCTAATCCCAGCACTTTGGGAGGCTGAGGCGGGTGGATTACCTGAGGTCAGAAGTTCGAGACCAGTCTGGACAACATGGTGAAACCCCATCTCTAGTAAAAATACAAAAATTAGCTGGGCGTGGTGGTGGGCACCTGTAATCCCAGCTACTTGGGAGGCTGAGGCAGGAGAATTGCTTGAACCCAAAAGGCAGTGAGCTGAGATTGTGCCATTGCACTACGGCCTGGGCAACAAGAGCAAAGCTCCATTTCAGGAAAAAAAAAAAAAAAGAGAGAGAGAAAGGAAAACCAATGCCAGTACTAGCAACTCCTCTTCCCCTGAAAAAATGACAAACAAGAATGTAGGAAGGGAAAGGAATTATACAGCTTAAACTAATGAAGCAGAAAGGACAAGCTCAATTTTGAACCCACTGAATTTGCCACAAATATTGTAGAAAATATTCTCAAGGACTTTACAGTTGTCTACTTTGATTGGCACATGGTTCATACAACAGTATTTGTGTCAAGGCACATCTTACTGTTCTTTGGCGGTCTTCCTCTTTCCATTGATTTTGTCATGACGGTTGACTTTTGTTGTCACCTTCATCTTACGGATTTTAGCTCGAACTTTGGTTTCCACCTGTCTCCATAAAGTAAAGATGTCTTCCAGGACAATTTTAATTCCTGGAAAGGAAGAAACTCTTTTCTTTGTGTGCATACAAACGGACCTCAGCCCTTGGTGAGAGTGAGGAGAGGAGAAGGTGAGAAACCTGAGGGCAAGAAGCTGTTCTTTCCCTTTCCAGGGCAAACTCATTTCCACACTATGGGGACTCCAACAGAGCCATACCTTCCTGTCTACGGCGGTTGGACCTCCTGGCTCTCTGCTGTACATCCGTGGATCCATCATGTCCATTTTGAGACGGGAAGATAGTCTTCAGGAAAGACACCTAGGAAATAATAATATAAGAATGACGGCTGGGCACGGTGGCTCATGCGTATAATCCCAGTACTTTGGGAGGCCGAGGCAGGGTGGATCACGGGGTCAGGAGTTCAAGACCAGCCTGGCCAAGATGGTGAAACCCCATCTCTACTAAAAATACAAAAATTAGCCGGGCATGGCAGTGGGCGCCTGTAATCCGAGCTACTCGGGAGGCTGAGGCAGAGAACCGTTTGAAGCTGGGAGGTGGAGGTTGCAGTGAGCCGAGATCACACCACTGCACTCCAGCCTGAGTGACAGAATGAGACTCTGTCTCACACACACACACACACACACACACACACACACACACACACCACACAAGAATGACATGAGGCTGGCATGGTGGCTCACTCCTGTAATCCCAGCACTTTGGGAGGCCGAGGCAGGCGGATCACCTGAGGTCGGGAGTTTGAGACCAGCCTCACCAACATGGAGAAACGCTGTCTCTGCTAAAAATACAAAATTAGCCAGGCATGGTGGTGCATGCCTGTAATCCCAGCTAGTCGGGAGGCTGAGGCAGGAGAATCACTTGAACCCAGCAGGAAAAGGTTGTGTTGAGCTGAGATTGTGCCATTGCACTCCAACATGGGCAACAAAATTCAAACTCTGTCTCAAAAAAAAAAAAAAAAAAAAATATAGGCCAGGTGCGGTAGCTCACGCCTGTAATCCCAGCACTTTGGGAGGCCGAGGCGGGTGAATCACAAGGTCAAGAGATGGAGACCATCCTGGGCAACATGGTGAAACCCCGTCTCTACTAAAAATACAAAAATTAGCTGAGCATGGTGGCGCACGCCTGTAGTCCCAGCTACTCCGGAGGCTGAGGCAGGAGAACTGCTTGAACCCAAGAGGCAGAGGTTGCAGTGAGCCAAGATCCCACCACTGCACTCCAGCCTGGTGACAGAGTGAGACTCCGTCTCAAAAAAAAAAAAAAAAAATGACATGAATATACTTCACACAACTGAACTGTACACTTCAACACGGTTAGATGGTAATTATCATCTTGTAAGTATTTTACCACAGGTTAACATGTTTCACAACTTGAAAAGGAAGTAATTAATTACCTTCAGCTCTCTGAGTTCTAGAATTTGTAACATTTCACCCCCTGCTCCTTCCTGATCTGCACTGGAGCATCTTTCTTCTGTCCCTGCTCTACTCAGAGTTCACTTTCCCTTCCCTCACATCAGCTTCGTTGAGGCTGGTTTGAACTTAATGCAAAACATTCTCACTAATGACTGAATTCCCACCAAGATTTCCATATTATCACAGTATGCTTTTAATCTTCGAAGATATTAAATATTTGTTCTCATCATAGCTAAAATGCAATGCAAATCCCATCTCAGATGTGGGTCAGATACCTATGAATCTCCTGAGGTAGTCATTGAAATGACTTTTTTCTTGAGACGGAGTGTCACTCAACCATGCTGAAGTGCAGTGGCGCTACCTTGGCTCACGGCAACCTCCACCTCCCAGATTCAAGCGATTCTTGTGCCTCGGCCTCCCAAGTAGCTGGGATTACAGGTGCCTGCTACCATGCCTGGCTAATTTTTGTCTTTTTAGTAGAGATGGGATTTCACTATGTTGGCCCATCTGGTCTTGAACTCCTGACCTCAAGTGATCCACCTGCCTCAGCCTCCCAAAGTGCTGGGATTACAGGCATGAGCCACCACACCTGGCCTGAAATAATATCTTTCAAATTCTTTGTAGAATTTGTTTTTTCCTGATTTCTGCACATAGGATAAAAAAAAAAATCATGTACTAGGATTTCAAGAGAAGCAATGGGTAATCTAAAAAGATGAAAAGAGCAACCACGTCTATCCCACAGCTACTGCTAGATTTCATAGGAAAGGTAGCTGGCCCAGTTTGGAGCTAGGAGAAATGTCAAACACATGAAGAAATGAGAAGCAAAGAAATGCCATCACACATGAATGCTTCATGGCACCCATGATGTCCCTGCTTAGGAGGTAATGGTATAGATGACTAGATGACAAGGACAAAGATGAGAGGTACAAAGTTGTCCAAGTCCAACAGCTCAACTGAACTTTCCTAAATGGAATTGTTAAAAAGTGGTAAATTTAAAAACTTCCCCTGGCTCACGTGGTGGCTCACGCTTGTAATCCCAGCACTTTGGGAGGCTGAGGCGGGTGGATCATTTGAGGTCGGGTTTTGAGACTAGCCTGGCCAACATGGTAAAACCCCGACTCTACTAAAAATACACAAATTAGCTGGGCATGGTGGTGGGCACCTGTAATCCCAGCTACTTGAGAGGCTGAGGCAGGGGAATCACTTGAAGCCAGGAGGTGGAGGTTGCAGTGAGCCGAGATCACACCATTATACTCCAGCCTGGGCAACAGAGGGAGACTCCTTTTGGGGGTGAGAAAAGAAAAAAAAAAAAAAAAAGCTTCCTCCAATTTATACCAAAAATTCTCTGTTCAGGACTAAGTGGCATAGAGAATGTTAAATGTGCCTAGATATCTTCATAACTCATATATTTTCTGTTTTCCACATATCTTGAAAGGCAGTGCCAAATGACGTGTAATTATCTAGGCGGTAAAACTGAAACATACTTCCTCTTCCCTTGAATATCAAAAAGCATTGTGGTATTAGTACTTTTATCTTGGATCATTGTTCAGAAGGAGGTTCAGCCCCCACACAACCACATTTTTACTGTCATGAATGGCAAGACAAAATGTAGAGCTCAACTTACCCAAAGGAAAAAAGGCTCAAAAGACAAATTATGCCACAACTTAGCAGCCAAATTCTTACCAAGTACAGACTTTTGACATACGGATCTCTCTCCAGTTGCAAGTGGGAACATGCACTTTGAATGATGTCATTCAAAATTACCCTGCCCAGACACACTTTTCATTGATTCTCTTGGAGGGCAGTTCTAAGAGATTCTCTGGGGCTTTCTCTGCATCATGAGACGCAGTGCAGTTCTGCCCTTCACCTTCCGGCAGTTTGTCACCTCGTCCCTATGACCTCAGAGGAACTTTGTCTCAGGCCAACTGTTTGTTCCTTGGGCTCTTTCATTTCCCCTAAAAATCATTTGCTGACCCTCTAAATGGCCTACATCTCCATCTATCTCCCTCTACCCTCAGAAGAGGGTGCTCTTTAAGCATCAACCATCCAGCCCTTCTAGCAGTCTCATTTTTCAGCTGGTTCCCATGTTTATGCCTGTTCTATGTTTTTCTTTTCCTGTTAAGCTGTCTGTTGTCAGCTCATTTCTGCAGTGAATCTTCAGAGAGGAGATTGGAAGCTTTCCTTCCACCCATACGATAGAACTATAAAGCAGAAGAGTTTAGAAAGACTTTCCCATTTAAGTGACGAAATCTCATACTCCATTTGTGACAAATAGCACAAAGGTTAAAAAAACTTATTTTTGACCAAAAGCTCTGTTGACATTCTATTAAACACCGACCTATTTAATTTTCATAATGTAAATGGCAGATATTTTCATAATTCTTATGCTAATAAATCATTTCCCTGATTTTTTGGGTAAAACCACATATTCATAATGAAGTCCAGAAACGTGAATTGTTTCATATAATTTATTCTTATTTGTGATTACAAGTATACCTCTACAGAAAGTTAGTATACTCACACAAAGGTAACTTGTGCAGAGGGAGATGGCAAATTTATAACTTCTCAGAAACACAGTAATGATAAGTAACCAAGGACTTCCACCAAAGTCAGTCCCACGATGACGATGGTCAGCCAGAGTATTGATAACCTGGAATAATAATAGTTGAAATAATGAAAAGGTCAATGACACTGACAATATTTCACTCAGAAAGAATCATCCTTAGAAACCGTCAACCTCCTCCAAAAGGTAACCACATCCCTCAGATATCACCGTGGGATTCCACTGCTACAAAAAAGAACAGAAGTTAGAGAAGTCTCATGTTTTTCAGATGGCTGGTAGTGTTTTTAGGCATTGCAAATGTGGGGTGTTGTCTTTCTTGGTATAAAGCAGGGATATCCAATCTTTTGACTTCCCTGCCTATATTAAAAGAAGCAAAGTTGTCTTGAGCCACACATAACATACACTAACACTAACAATAGCTGATGATCTAAAAAAAAAAATTTTTTTTTTTTTTTTTTTGAGACAGAGTTCCGCTCCACTCAGTCGCCCAGGCTGGAGTGCAGTGGTGCAATCTCGGCTCACTGCAACCTCCAGCTCCTGGGCTCAAGCCATTCTCCTGCCTCAGCCTCCCGAGCAGCTGAGATTACAGGTCTCTGCCACCATGCCCGACTAATTTTTGTATTTTTAGTAGAGATGAGGTTTCACCATGTTGGCCAGTCTGGCCTTGAACTCCTGACAGGCGATCTGCCTGCCTCGGCCTCCCAAAGTGCTGGGATTACAGGTGTGAGCCACCGTGCCCGGCCATTTTTTTTGTTTTTGTTTGTTGTTTTTGAGATGGGGTCTCACTCTGTCACCCAGGCTGGAGTGCAGTGGTGTGCTCTCGGCTCACTGCAACCTCTGCCTCTCAGGTTCAAGTGACTCTCCTGCCTCAGCCTCCTGAGTAGCTGGGAGTACAGGTGCCTGACAGTGCACTCAGCAAATTTTTGTATTTTTTGTGGAGATGGGGTTTTGCCATGTTGGCCAGGGTGGTCTCGAACTCCTGACCTCAGGTAATCTGCCCGCCTCAGCCTCCCAAAGTGCTGGGATTACAGGCATGAGCCACTGTACCTGGCCAAAATCTCCTAATGTTTTAAGAAAGTTTACAAATTTGTGTTGAACTGCATTCAAAACTGTCCTGGGCCACATGCAGCCCGTCACTCATGGGTAAGACAAGCTAAGTATAAAGTAATTATCTTATCTTTTATTTTTGTTTTGAGACAAAGTCTTGCTCTGTCACCCAGGCTAGATTGCAGTGGCATGATCTCAGCTCACTGCAACCTCCGCCTCCCGGGTTCAAGCGATTCTCCTGCCTCAGCTACTGAGTAACTGGGATTACAGGCGCCTGCCACCACGCTCGGCTAATTTTTGTCTTTTTAGTAGAAACAGGGTTTCACCATCTTGGCCAGGCTGGTCTCCAACTCCTGACCTCATGATCCACCTGCCTCGGCCTCCCAAAGTGCTGGCAATACAGGTGTGAGCCACTGCACCTGGCCAGTAGTTATCTTTTCTTTAGTTATTTGTTTTTTAAATTGATGTATAACATTGGATGCATTTATTATATATCACATGGTAAAAGAATCCCTCTAAATAATACTTCTCTCTTGGATTATATGAATCTTTGTCATTTAAAGCTCAGCATAAGTAAAAAAAAAAAAAAAATACAATGAAGAGATTACTTCATTCACAAATAAGTATCGAATTTTAGTTCTTAAAAAGTAACAAGGTGGGCTGGGCGTGGTGGCTCACGCCTGCAATCCCAGCACTTTGGGAAGCCGAGGTGGGTGGACCGCGAGATCAGGAGATTGAGACCATCCTAGCTAACACGGTGAAACCCATCTCTACTAAAAATACAAAAAATTAGCAGGGCATGGTGGCACGCGCCTATAGTTCCAGCTACTTGGGAGGCTGAGGCAGAAGAATCACTTGAACCTGGGAGGTAGAGGTTGCAGTGAGCCAAGATCGCACCACTGCACTTCAGCCTGGGTGACAGAGCGAGACTCTGTCTCAAAAAAAAAAAAAAAATTACCAAGGTGGAGATCATGAAAATGGCATGAATAGCGTGGGATTTCTCTAAGATTGTTGATATTAATTCCATTAGACTCTTATGTGAGTGAAGACGAAGACTTCCCCTGAGTAAGTTCAGACAGCTTCTGATAACATTTCTACATCGATTCCTCAGGATTTAACTATATATTCTTGAAAACATCTCAATTTTAAATGTTTCTTTCAAGATGGTGAATTAAACAGAGATAGCCCTTCAACAGGTTGAACTCAGCATATGCTGAGTCTGAAATGGAAATGATGGAGTTAGAGAACCGTACAACAATGGTAATGATTTCAGAAACATGGTGTTGAGCAGAATAAAGCAGACACAAAAGAGTACCTATGGCATGGCATGCATCTGTATACGCGAAATTCCAGAATAAGCAAGCTAACCTATGATAAGAAAGAGACTGGCTGGGAAGAGTGAGAGTTCACTTTCTGGGGTGACATAATAGTGTAGATCTTGGCTGGGCACGGTGGTTCACGCCTGTAATCCCAACACTTTGGGAGGCCGAGGCAGGCGGATCACCTGAGGTCGGGAGTTCAAAACCAGCCTGACCAACATGGAGAAACCCTATCTCTACTAAAAATACAAAATTAGCTGGGAGTGGTGGCACATGTCTGTAATCCCAGCCACTCGGGAGGCTGAGGCAGGAGAATCGCTCGAACCTGGGAAGCAGAGGTTGCGGTGAGCTGATATTGCCCCATTGCACTCCAGCCTCAGCAACAAGGGAGAAACTGTCTCAAAAAAATAAATAAATAAATAAAATAATGTAGATCTTGAAAGGGGGTTGGTTTATGCTGGTGTATGTACTTTCCAAAGTTAGTAAACTTACACTTAAGGTTATATATTTTGGCCAGGCGCGGTGGCTCACGCCTGTAATCCCAGCACTGGGAGGCCGAGGCAGGCAGATCACGAGGTCAAGACATGGAGACTATCCTGGCGAACACGGTGAAACCCAGTCTCTACTAAAAATACAAAAATTAGCCAGGCGTTGTAATCTGAGCTGCTCAGGAGGCTGAGGCAGGACAATTGCTTGAACCCCGGAAGCGGAGGTTGCAGTGAGCCGAGATCTTGCCACTGCACTCCAGCCTGGGCGACAGAATGAGACTCTGTCTTAAAAAAAAAAAAAAGTCATCAAACCAGATGACACAAATCAAATGACATTTCACTTTGTTTTGGTCCGTTTTGTTTGTTAGAGACAAGAGTGCAGCGGGGCCATCTCGGCTCACTGCAACGTCCAGCTCCTGGGCCCAAGCGATCCTCCCACCTCAGCCTCTCCAGTAACTGGGATAACAGGTACGCACCACCAGGCCCGACTAATCTTTTTTGGAATTTTTTGTAGAGATGGGGTTTCGCTATGATGCCCTGGCTAGTCTTCAACTCCTGGACTCAAGTGATCTGCCCACCTCGGCCCCCTAAAGTGCTGGGATTACAGGCCTGAGCTGTGTAATTTCATGCCGCGTGACACAGCCCAGTAAAAAGGAAGAAACCCCGCGGGTCCAGCGTCTACTCACACAGGTGGACTGATGGCTGATAAATCCCAGCAGGAGCCAAAAGAGCAGCCACAGCACCCATCTACTCACACAGGTGGACTGATGGCTGATAAATCCCAGCAGGAGCCAAAAGAGGAGCCAAAAGAGCAGCCACCGCACCCGCATGTCCTGGTCCTTTCAGGGCACCCGGAGGTGGCCAGGACAGAGGTGGAGGTGGCTTAGGGCAGGGGGGAGGGAAGGGGACGGGGACCGGGCCGGATCTGAGTTGGGGAGGGGGAGGGGAGGGGGAGGGGAAGGGGAGGGGAAGGGGGGAAGTAAGGGAAGGGAAAGGAGGAGAAGGGGGCTGTTGGGGAGGAGGAGGAGGAGAAGAAGAAAGGGGTCTGGGAAAGGATCCGGTTCAAATTAAGTTCTCAAGCGCTGGTGGAAGGTTTAGCTACAGGTCACGGAGAAGATCAGGGAAGCAACAGGACACGCGGGGCAAGGGAGCGTGAGGCTTAGGAGCAATTAGAGGGAGACAAAGGTTCTGCTTTCCACCAAACCTTCTTCGGTCTGGGCCCTCCCTTAGCAACCCTGGGGCTTTAGACTCTCTCTCCACCAATCCCTGATGACCCCGGTGGTGCCTCACAATGGACATTCCAAGTAGCGCCCGCATCATCCCAATGACCCCTCCCCCATCTCAGTCCCCCACGCTCCTCCCAAGGCCAGGTCCTCTCTGGAACCTTCACAAACCTGATTTCTGGTCCTCCCCAACCAGCTCCCTGTCCCTGCTTCTGGGCGCTCCTTCCTTCCTGAGCTCCCAGGGTTCCTCAAGGTCACTTTTGGCGACAAAACATAAAAAACAAATGATGGCAGGATGGCAGGAAGAACCTCATACCCAAGCAGAGTGCCAGGTTTTACAGCCTCCGCTCAGCCATTCATATCCTAAGCAACAAAACATCAGCAGGATGCGGAAGGTCCCGATAGTAAACCATCTCCATCACATCCATGTAGCCATCCGTCCATCAACCTGTATCTCAGGAACAAATGTACATACATTCATTTTAAGCATGCATGGTACATTTACAAAAATTAACCTGACTTATTTTGTTCCAGCAAATCTCAATATATTTGAGAGCAATCAAATCACACAGCATGTTTCTGATCATAAAACTGTGCTAGAAGTCAATGATTAAAAGCTAATTCAAAATTATTATTTGCTTGGAAATTCAAAGTGCCCTTATAAGACATAAACATAAGAAAGAATCCAAAATGAAACAAGATTGCCTTTCAACTCAATGATGAGATCATAACATGGCAATAAAATGTCTCCCTCTGGCCTGGGAATTCCTCTTTGTGGCACAAGGTTGCGTGATCTCAAATCACCCCTAACCCACCTAGACATTTTAACATCCGAAACCGAGTGATGATGTCCTTATCTATATTATCTTACTGCCCGTGTGTGTGGACTTTAAATTCTGAACCCAAATGAGGGGGAGAAAACCAAGCTGACTTTCATGACTGGCCTCTCAGGGATGTCCAAGGAATCTGTGCATTTCAAGAAACAAAGCTCATCAGCTTCTCTCCTAAGGTATTTGCCCACAATACCCAGAGGGCTTGGCAGCATCATGTGTGATGGGTGGGGAGCTCCAAGCAGGTGGGCAGGACCCAGGGGCCTGGTGACCAGGACAGACCCCCACTGTCCATCACCTTTCCTGGCCCTGTCCTCAGCTAAACTTCCCACAGGCCTTCTGCCCGATCACACAGAGTGTGCCCAAACTCAGGCCTCTGGCAGCTGAAAACCACTGCTTTAAATCCCTTTACCATTTACTATGACATAAGGTTATTGTAAACAGGAAATATTCTATTGATGCTACAAATGGAAAGCCAATGCCTTTACCATAAATAGAAAAACAACCCTAAGAAACAAGCAAAACAAAAACAAAACAGGGGCTGGGGGTGGTGGCTCACGCCTGTAATCCCAGCACTTTGGGAGGCCGAGGTGGGCGGATCACAAGGTCAGGAGTTCCAGACCAGCCTGGCCAATATGGTGAAACCCTGTCTCTAATAAAATACAAAAATTAGCCGGGTGTGGTGGTGGGCGCCTGTAGTCCCACCTACTTGGGAGGCTGAGGCAGGAGAACAGTTTGAACCCGGGAGGCAGAGTCTGCAGTGAGCCGAGATTGCACCACTGCACTCCAGCCTAGGCGACAGAGCGAGACTCTGTCTCAAAAACAGCAACAACTACAAACAAACAAAAAACAGGGTTAACAAAACTATGGAATTCAATTCTATTTATATGCTGCAGCCATGTTCCAGCCCTAGATTTGGCTGGGCATGGTGGCTCACGTCTGTAATCCCAGCACTTTGGGAGGCTGAGGCAGGCGGATCACGAGGTTAGGAGTTCGAGACCAGCCTCACCAACATGCTGAAACCCCGTCTCTACCAAAAATACAAAAATTAGCCAGGCATGGTGGCACACGCCTGTAATCCCAGCTACTCAGGAGGCTGAGGCAGGACAATCCCTTGAACCTGGGAGGCGGAGGTTGCAGTGAGCCGAGATCGTACCATTGCACTCCAGCCTGGGTGACAGAATGGAATGAGACTCTGTCTCAAAAAAAAAAAAAAAAAAAGAAGAAGCCCTAGATTTCGGTTGTGTTGGTTGTAAAAGGAGAGACCCAGTAAGTGGGGGTCGTGCCGCAGATTGCTACCCACAATGGACGGGTCACTGAGCAGGTCCGGCTAACTGGGCGTTCCCTCGCTGGAGGGCCAGCACACCAGACTGCAGGTGGCGCGGGTCAGCAAGGTACCAGGGGATGTGTCACACACACAGCCCACCCCCGTCCAGTCACGCACGGACACCCTGGGCTTCCGAGCAAACCTGCTCCCAGGTGGTGTGACCACATGGAGCCACAGACACCCAGCAAGGACACGCAGCCCGCACACCCCCGGCACTCCAGACACAGTGACCTGCACCAGGGCTCGAGGTTTCTCTAGGGAACCCACCTCTTAGAATCATCCAGAAACAAGTCACTCTTCATCTGTCCAGCAAAGGCCTGCTGAGAGGTGCACAGGGTCTTGAGTCCAAGCTGCGCCAAGGCGGCAGGACCCCCAGTAGAGCCCTCACCTCAGCGTGGAGGCCTCAGAACGTGAGGAAGGAGCTGTCCAGCACGGATGAGTCCAGGCAGCTGTCGACGTCCAGCACCTGCTGCCCGGCAGGTGTGGGGCTCGGGCTCCCAGCCACCTGCAGGACAAGGGCAGTGGTCAGCGGGCAGCAGCTCAGACCTGCTCAGGACAGGGATGAGAAGCCACCTCCTCAGCAGACAGGACAGAGCCCGGTGCCATCTGACAGAATGTTCTAGAATGCTAGATATATGGGACATCTGCACCGTCCGTGATGGCAGCCCCTCGCGACATGTGCCACTGAACACTTGACAGCAGACTGGTGCAGCTAAGGAACAGAGTTTTAAATTTCATTTTTTTTTTTTTTAGATGGAGTCTCGCTCTGTCACCCAGGCAGGAGTGCACTGGCGCAATCTCAGCTCACTGCAACCTCCACCTCCCGCGTTCAGGCGATTGTCCGTCCTGGCTCAGCCTCTTTAGTAGCTGGGATTACAGGTGCCTGCCACGATGCCCAGCTAATTTTTTGTATTTTTAGTAGAGACGGGGTTTCACTGTGTTGGCCAGGCTGGTCTTGGAACTCCTGACCTCAAGTGATCTGCCCGCCTCCGCCTCCCAAAGTGCTGGGAGTACAGGTGTGAGCCACCACACCCGGCCATCGTTCCATTTTAATTAACTTAAATACGAGCAGCCACATGTGGCCTCTGGTTCCTGCCACGGACTCGGGAGCAACCCCTCCTGGTCGCGGCTTATGCGCCTTCTCTGTGTGCTGCTGGGGTTAGTTTGCATGTAACCTCTTGAGGACCCCACGTGTGCATTCCTAAGGGGTGCGGCCTCCCGTTTCCGTATGAATGGGAAGAGTTCCCACCTGCTGTATTCTTGGAAAGAGTCTGTGAAGGATTGGTGTTAATTCTTCCTTAACTGCTTAGAAAAATTCTATCGTGAAGGCTCTGAGCCTGGGCTTTTCTTTGTGGGATTTTTTTTTTTTTTTTTTTTGGAGACGGAGTCTTGCTCCGTTGCCCAGGATGGAGTGCAGTGGCGCAATCTCGGCTCACTGCAAGCTCCGCCTCCTGGGTTCATGCCATTCTCCTGCCTCAGCCTCTCGAGTAGCTGGGACTACAGGCGCCCGCCACCATGCCCAGCTGTTTTTGTATTTGTAGTAGAGATGGGGTTTCATTGTGTTGGCCAGGCTGGTCTCGAACTCCTGACCTCAACTGATCTGCCCGCCTCGGCCTCCCAAAGTGTTGGGATTACAGGCGTGAGCCACCGTGCCTGGCCCTTTTTAATGTTTTATATAGATGGGGTCTTGCTATGTTGCCCAGGCTGGTCTCAAACTCCTGGACTCAGATCCGCCCACCTCGGCCTCCTGAAGTGTTGGGATTACAGGCGTGAGCCACCACACCCGGCCCGGCCACTGGGAGGTTTCTAAGGGACTAACTCGGCCTCTTCACTTGCTATAGATGTACTGAGATTTTCTTCTGGAGTGCATTTCGGAAGCGTGCACAGCCGCGTGCTTGCTTCTTCTGAGTTATCTGGCGTGCTGCTGTGCAGTTGTCCGTGGCGTCTGCTTAGCGAAGTGCCCTCGTTCTTTCACGATTCTGGCTTCTGAGTCTTCTCTCTTTCTCCCTGGTCAGTCTAGCTAAGGCTGCTCAAGTGTGTTGACCCTTCCCGAGCAGCCTTTGGTGGACGCCTTTCCCTCTGGCTGCAGCACTGGAAAGTGGCGGCCCTGGGCATGGTGCCGAGGCCCAGGCTCCATTCCCAGTACTCCCGGGTCCCCAGCCCCAGCCCACCTTGCTCCGGGACATCCGGAAGAGAAAGAGGATGGCCAGGTAGACGGGATAGACAACCACGCTGGACACCAGGCCAACAGCGACTGTGTCGACGCTCAGCGGGTTCAGCCTGGACACACGCCCCGTGCTGTGTGGAGGAGAGGAGGCCACACAGGTGAGGCTGAGGGGCAGGAAGGGCTGGGCAGGAAGAGGCTGTCCCGACCCCTACGGCACCCACCTGTAGGCAGAGTCTCCAACAGCCCCGTACCACACGGCGTTGGCGCCCAGGAAGAGACAGATGAGGAGAACGCAGCAGGTGGCCCTCTGGATGTGAGTGAAATAGCTACGAGGCGGCCGGTCCCATATGGAGAGCCAGATGTGCTTGTCAAAGAAGCCACGCTGCAGCTCAGCCACCAGCAGGCGCCGGAAGCGCAACAGGGCTGCGTGACCTAGAAGGCAGGGAGGGCCGCACTGCAGGAGGCCACGGGGCAGGACCACCCTGCCCAACCTCCCACGGAGTGGGAACACGGAACGAGGCCTTACTCGCGGCCAGCACCTCCTTCTCCACCAGGCCCCCGTTGGCCTCCGTCTCCACCGAAAGCCAGTCATTGACCAGGAAGAAGGTGCTGCGTGCCGTCTGCAGGTCCCTGACGATGATGTGCTGCAGGAACCGGGCAGGGCTGAGCCCTGCAGAGGCGCGGGAGGGAGGTCAGGTTCGCAGGGCGCCCCAATGCAGGGGCAGAGGGGCAGAGCTTGGCAGGGTCCATACAGACCTTTGTTGTCGTGCCACACTCGGATCTTCCACACGCTACCCAGGCTGTGCGGGGTGGCGATCTGGAAGATGTCCAGACTGTTGCGGTGGAAGGCTCTGTCGCCGTCCAGGTGCCGGTGGCCGCTCCGGCTGTCCACCCCATACAGCATGATGCCCACGTGGGCCGTGGTACCTGGAGGGCAAGAGGGAGGGGTGGGAGGCTCGGTCTGCTGCCCAACACGTGTGGCATCCCAGGCAAGTCATCTCAGCTTTGGCCTCCGCGCACTCAAGGAGCCACACAGGCAGTCCCGGCTTTGCACAGCTCTGCTATACACGAGGAGCTGCGGTTACTGCAATTTGTCCAATAAACAGCAGGACCTCAAGGACATGATTAAGTTACATGGAAAGAACTGTAACTTGTGACATGCAAACATGGCTGCACACGCCTCAGTCCACACCACAACCAGTGACCCGCACTGCACACCTGTCCACGCCTCAGTCACGCCACAACCGGTGACCTGCACCACACACCCGTCCCTCAGTTCATGCACAGACTGCGAAGCGTGAAGCTGTGTCACCTCCTCTCCCAGTGACAGACCCAGGTGACAGTATTTTTTTTTTTTTTTTTTTTGAGATGGAGTCTTGCTGTGTCACCCAGGCTGGAGTGCAGTGGCGCAATCTCAGCTCACTGCAAGCTCCGCCTCCCGGGTTCACGCCATTCTCCTGCCTCAGTCTCCCGAGGAGCTGGGACTACAGGCGCCTGCCACCACGCCGGCCTAATTTTTTTGTATTTTTTAGTAGAGACAGGGTTTCACCGTTAGCCAGGATGGTCTCGATCTCCTGACCCCGTGATTAGCCTGCCTCAGCCTCCCAAAGTGCTCGGATTACAGGTGTGAGCCACCGCGCCCGGCCGACAGTTTTTAAAAGTAGGTAATCAAAAGAAAGAACTGGGAAATGAAGATGAAAGCAGCATGGAAATAAAAAATGGGAACACGGCCAGGTGTGGTGGCTCACACCTGTCATCCCAGCACTCTGGCAGGCCGAGGCAGGCGGATCACCTGAGGTCAGGAGTTCGCCTGGCTGACATGGTGAAAAATTAACTGGGTGTGGTGGTGTGCACCTGTACTCCCAGCTACTCAGGAGAATCGCTTAAGGGGAATCGCTTAAACCCAGGAGCTGGAAGTTGCTGTGAGCCAAGATCACGCCATTGCACTCCAGCCTGGGCAACAGAGCGAGACTCCGTCTCCAAAAAAAGAAAAACGAAAACAAAAAGGGAATGCCAGAAGGGCAATTCCAATAAAGGAAAATGGAGGTATTGAAGAAACAGCCACGGGGAGGGTGCTGGCACCTCCGCCTGAGAGACGAGCTATGCAGTCAGGATCGCGGGTGGATGCATGGTCTCCCACAGTGGTAGCGATGCTCATGTCACTTGTGGGGCCACGCTACTGTGCAGAACGTGGGCTGCCCACCCTGACTGACTGGCACCTACTTCCAGCTAGGAGCTGTCCTAGTCCTCAGGGACAGTGAGTGCTCACGAGGTCATTCCCAGGATGAACACACGAGCCCTTCACACAGTACTGCAAAAACTGCCTTGTTCTGACGCCTGCGACGAGACTCATTCCCAGAGGGTGCAACCAGCACAGCCAGTGAGAGCAGGGGAGGCCCTGCCACCCCGCCGCGCCCCTCACCTGAGCCCCGGCCCCAGCCTGTCTTGACGAGGATCTCGTACTTGAAGCGGCCCCGCTGCCCACAGAAGGGGATGGCGCGGCCCCGGCTGGCATCCAACTGGTCCAGCTTGTGCAGGATGGCGGCCATGACCATGTAGGTCACCAGGCACACAGCACATGTCAGCATGACGATGTAGTTTACATCCGCTGTTGGCTCCTGTGAAGACACAGCCGCCAGGCCCAGGAGGTCACGTGCAAGCTGTGCCTTCTCAGGATAGAGCCGAGCCCACCCAGGCCCTCCTCGACTCTGCAGAGGCTCCCAGGAGCACAGGGTCACTCACAGGAAACACAAAGCGGATATGGCTTGGGGGCACGAAGAGGCTGGTGCCGAAGGCGGTGAGGTGGCGGGTGAGGCAGACGGCCTGGCGGGGCGAGGTCTCCTCCAGGGGCAGCAGCCCCTCTGTCCGCCACACCACGTCCTCCTCGCTGAAGTACTGGCACAGGGACGTGTACAAGCCCACGGACACCTCCAGCGCCGACCAGCGGAAGTGACTGGAGAGGTTCAGACGGTAACTCCCCACTGGGTCTCTGGTCCTGGGAAGGGAAGGGGCAGTGGACGTGAGCCCAGGCTCCGCCAGGTTGGATGTCGAAGTCCCAGAGCCCATACCCGGTCCAGTCCCCTCGCTGCCTGCCGTCCCCACGGGGCCCGTAACCCGGGCAATGCTGACCCATGATGCCCTGCCCTGCCCTGCCAGGCCGGCCCGCAGAGCTCACCCCGGGGAAATGAAGAAGGTGTAGGGCCGGTGGTCGGCACCCTGGAGGGACTCTGGGCGGATCCTCCTGCTAGCCGAGCAGTTGCGCTCATTGGGCCGGGGCTCCGAGTGCAGGTAGACTGCCAGGTAGGGCTCGGGTTCCTCAGACAGGTAGCGGCCTGGGGCAGAACGCGCAGGTCACACGCCTGCCGGGAAGCTCAACCACCCGGGGGACACCCACGATGGCCCTCCTGAGCCCACCCTCTGCCATGGGCCTGAAAGGCCATAGGAGCCTCTGCACCAGAGCTGGCACCTGCTTCTCCGTGGCCCCCAGCTCCTCTCCGGCCAGGCCCCCAGCAGCCCATGAAACAGAAAGCAAATTTCACCAGAGACACCCATGGAAGCCCTACGAGAAACGCCTTCCCCCCAAGAACAAGGCCAGGGGGCCGCGTGTGCCCCAACCGCTGCATGCACCGTCCAGCAGCGTATAGTTGAGCTGCAGATGCAGCACGGCCGCAGGGTTGCTGCTGTCCAGGGTGACCACAGCACCGACGGAGGCCTGGGGCTGGACCACAACGGAGTTGGCGGAGCTGCGGTGGCCCCGGGCAGCCCAGTCCGAGTTGTTGGGCACCTTCACGGTGAGGCGCGCTCTGAGGCCAGCCGCTCGATGGGGATCTGGGCGCCGGCCTGTGTCTGGAACGCCATCGAGGCCACCTTGGTGGAGACGGTGTAGTTGCTGATATAGCCAAAGGGAAAGGGATTGGAGTCCACCAGAAAGATGAGCTGCACCACGTCACTGAGGTTGGCCGGGGCCCTGCTGAAAGCCTAGGGGATGGAGAAGTGGCAGCCAGGCCCTGGGGCGCCGCCATAGCACAGCAGGCTCCGCGGGTCCGAGCGCTTGCCCTGGGCCACGATCTCCTCACCCGCCAGCGTCAGGGGCTCCTCGTTGAGCACGCGGGAGCGCGTGAGGATGGGCGTGAGGGCAGAGGTCAGGTTGTAGGCCTGGGACGCCACCATCCGCGATGGTGACTCGGCTCCCAGCTCTGAGCGCTGTGGTGCCCGCACGTCTGAGCTGGCCAGGTGGATGAGGTCTCCTGCAGACAGGCGTGAGGTCAGTGCAGAGACAGGGAGGCAGAGGGAGGGTGGGGGCAGGCAAAAAGGGGGAGCCGGAGGGTGGGGACTGGGAGAAAGGGGGAACCTGAGGGGGCAGAGAGCGAGGTGCAGGCAGAAGGAAGGGGGAAGCTGGAGAGAGAGTGGTGGAGGGGGAGGGGGAAGGGGATGGGGATGAGGACGAAGATGAGGGGGATGATGGGGAGAGGGAGGAAAAAGGAAGGAAAAGGGTAGAGAAAAGAGAAAGGGGAGAAGAAGAGGAGCAGGGGGAAGGGAGGGGAAGGGGATAAGGCGGATAAGGGAGGGGAAGGGGGATAAGGGAGGGGAAGGAGGATAAGGGGGATAAGAAAGATGAGGGGAATGGACAAAAGGACGGGGAGGATCGGGGGGGAAATGGAGAAAAGGGGAGAGAGATGGAGAAAAGGGATGGTAATAGGGAAGGGGGAGGGGGAGGAGAATGGGAATTGGGGGAGGGGGATAAGGATGGGAATTGGGGGAGGGGGATAAGGATGGGAATTGGGGGAGCGGGATGAGGATGGGAATTGGGGGAGGGGGATGAGGATGGGAATTGGGGGGAGGGGAGGGGGACGAAGATGGGATGGGGCAAAGGCGAGGCGGTTGTGGGGAGGAGGGAGGCAGAGGAAAGGGCGGCATGGGGCGGACGGGCCACGTGGGGCGGGCGGGTGGCGTGGGGCACGGGCCGCGGCACCTGTGATGTTGAGGATGCTGTCTCCGATGGCGGTGGGCGTCACGGTGCCCGCGGTGGTCTCTGCCTGCAGGATGCGCATCATGGCCTCCAGCTTGTGCAGCGTCTGCTTCAGGCACGAGCGGCATACGAGCTCCCTGCTGGGCCCCTGTGTGGAGCCAGCAGTGTCCAGCCCCGCTCCTGGCCCCACTCCTTGCACACGCCCTCCTCTCTACACGGGTCCTCACCTGGCTCCCACCTCCAGCCCTGCAGCTGGAGAGCCCACTTGACTGGACCCCCCCAGTCTCCTCACTAAGCATTTTCTGTGGCTCTGCATGACCCACGGCCTCCACTTGGGGACCACGTGATGCAGCCCACCGACCACACAAGGCACCTCTTCACATGAGAGGAGGAGGAGGGGAGAGGGGAGAGAGGAGAGGGGAGTGGAGAAAAGGGGGGAGAGGAGAGGGAAGGGGAGAGGAGAGGGAAGGGGAGAGAAGGGGGAGAGGAGAGGGAAGGGGGAGAGGAGAGGGAAGGGGGAGAGGAGAGGGAAGGGGGAGAGGAGAGGGGAGGGGAGAGAAGGGGGGAGAGGAGAGGGGAGAGGAGAGAAGGGGGAGAGGAGAGGGGAGGGGAGAGAAGGGGGAGAGGAGAGGGGAGGGGAGAGAAGGGGGGAGGGGAGAGAAGGGGGAGGGGAGAGGGGAGAGGGGAGAGAAGGGGGAGGGGAGAGGGGAGGGGGAGAGGTGAGGGGAAGGTCTAGGGGAGGGGAGGAGGGGAAGGGCTAGGGGAGGGGAGGGGCTGGGGGAGGAGGCAGGGGCTAGGGGAGGGGGGAGGGACTAGGGGAGGGAAGGGGGAGGGGAGGGGTTAGGGGAGGGAAGGGGAGGGGAGGGGCTAGGGGAGGGAAGGGGGAGGGGAGGGGAGAGTGGAGGGCACAGAGCAGCATCTTCTTAGTCCCTCCCCACATCTGGGCCCCTCTTTACACCCTGGGTCCCCCGAGAGGCACCCTGCGTTCACACAGGACAGCAGAATGGCTGAGGCTACTGAAGCAGGTCAGAGACCGAGGAACGCCATGGCAGGAAGGAGCCCAGGCTGGAGGCTCAGCTCCTCGGCCAAGCTGCCCGTCTGCCCTGGGGGGCTGAACCCAGTACCCTGGCAGGCATGCGGGGCGGGGAGAGCATGTGGGGCCATCCTACCATGCACTGGGCCAGCGCAGCAGCGATCTGCTGGATGTCATCCACAGTGTGGACCCTCAGGGACACCAGAGTCTCCGTGATGTTCTTGCGTATCTGGGCTCGGCGCTGCCGCTCGTGCTTGGGCTCTGCCGCCACGTCCAGGGCCCGCTCGTACTGGGGCAGGCAGGGGGCACAGCAAGCTGTCAGCAGGGCAGGAGGCCGGCAGGAGGCCAGCAGATGCCCACGACTCCCGGGGTGCAGTTACGTGCTAGATGCTGTGTGATGTGGGCACTGACCCGCAACACTGAGCTGTTTCTTCATGGGCAAAACAGGGTAAGCACATGGGCCCTCCTGGGCGGGGGCTGCATTGTGGAAAGCAGACGCCGGAGAGGGCCCGGTGGGTGTGGCTGCTGGGAGCGGAACGTCGGGGTGCTGCTTCAGGGTCACTGGGATTTATCTCTGGGGCCCGGGATGAGCCCTCCGCAAAGCTCCAGGCAGGGGAACAGGTCTTGGTCCCCAGCACGCATGCAGCAGATGTGAGGTCCCCTCCCAGGCTGCACTCACCTCGTTCAGCACAGTGACCAGGGCCAGCGAGTACTCGATGACGTGCTGGGGATCGGCCTGCCGCAGCAGCCCCGGGAGCACACTAGCGGTGAGCCCGTGCAGCCAGACTGTGAGCCCCATTGCGCTGCCGTTGGGCTCTGGGAGGGTGATGGCCAGAGACCTACGAGCAGAGGGGGGTGGTGAGCAGGTGGCAGTCTCGGGGGCGCCCTCCCACGGCCTGGCTCACCTGTTGAGGGCGACCACAGCGGCTCCCAGCTGGTCCTGCACCACCACGGCCAGGCCCACCTCGAAGTGTGGCCTGAAACCCGGGGGCAGCACGGCTCCGTAGCCGGAGAGGCTGCCCTTGTAGACACAGAACTCCTCGCAGTGGCCCTGGCGACAGCGCTGCAGCAGCAGGGCGTACACCAGCGGGGCGCCAGCATCCTCCGCGTCATGCCAGCCTGAGGGACGGTCCCCACGGCATCACGGGAGGGCTCCGTGACCTCACAGAGTCGGGGGATCCCGCTGCTCCCCCTACGCAGGCCTGCACTCACCCATGCATTCGAAGTGCACCTTGGTGGTGAGAGCGTGCACAGCGCCCAGTGGGAAGAGGCGGCAAGAGCCCCCCAGCGGCGGGCGGTTGGGGGACAGGGGGATGGAGGCGCAGCCCTCCTCCTCGCCAGAGCGGCCCAGCACCGTCAGCGTGAAGGTGTATCCCTCGCCGTCCCGCAGCACGCCCCGCCGCAGCACCAGTCACATGCCTGCGCTGCCCGTGGATGTGGTGGTCTCATCCAGCACCAGCGTCTTGTTGCTGAACGTACGTGCAGCCCACCGCTGCAGGCAGAAGGGATGGTGAGGGGGCGCAACCCTCTGCCCTGTCAGCCCCACTTCTGCCTGCAGGCCCCGTCCCCTCGGCCATGGGACCCATCCCCAACCCGCCCACACCCCGCTCAACACTCACCCCTCGCTTGGAGCCGCTGCTGCAATTGAGGCAGCGGCCCTCCAGGTACACGTAGGAGCTGCGGCTCACTTCGTACACGGCCTGTGCCTTGCAGGACACACACTCCAAGGACACAATGGGCACCCGGCCACTGCGGATCAGCACCTGGCGTGGGAGTGGGGTTACCTCCAACACAGGTCTATTTGGCCTGCTGGAAGGTCTGGGGGACCCGTGGAGGATGCTGCTCCCAAACTCCAGGTTTCCCAGGGGCCTGGCCACTGCCGGTGAGCTCACCCCCTCCCAGGATACTCATCCGGTTTGCCACCTTCCAACCTGGGCGGCGGAAGGGCATACACAGGGCAGAGGACACTGGGGTGTGTGTTCTGGTGTACTGGAGCCAGCTGGACCCTGACAGGAGGCAGGCAATGCTCACTGAGGGCCCCTGGGGGGATGCGTGTGGGAACAGACGTATGTGGGGGTGTGAGGACCGCAGTTGCCACGTAGGCCTGACTCACAGACTCCTGCAGCCCTTAGCCAGGGCCTGGGTCAGGAGGCTGAGCCGGGATGGAACCTGCTCCCACACCCTCCCCTCAGACGACCCCTCTGGGCAGACCCCCAATCAGGCCAGCTGAGGAAAGCAGGGACTGGGGAACAGACACCCACTCTGGGGTACCAGCAGGCCCCAGTCAGGGAGGCGCACACACTCACAGAGGGCAGGGAGGCGCACACGCTCACAGGCACCTGCTGCGTCCGGTTCTCGAAGGCATTAGATGCCAGCAAGGTCAGGACGTACTCACCTGTGGGGACAGGCCCAAGTGGGGCAGCCGCGGCACCCCCACCTGCTCCCCACCCGCTCGGCAGAAGCCCCCCGCCTGAGGAGCCCGGGGTGAACGGCTGCGCCTGCGGCCCAGCCTTAAGGGTCCCAGGCTCCCAAGCCACGTGCGGGACGGAGCACAGGTGCAGCAGCACTGAGGGCTGCCTGGTGAGGACGGCACCGCCTCCAAGTGCAGCTGCACTCGGGGCAGCAGAGCAGCAAGAGCCAGGCCGCGGT
Source organism: Homo sapiens (assembly GCF_000001405.40). NCBI lineage: Eukaryota > Metazoa > Chordata > Mammalia > Primates > Hominidae > Homo > Homo sapiens. The sequence continues at coordinate 14,924,846 of NC_000016.10, read as the reverse complement.
GGGGGGCAGTTCAGGGGGCCCAGCTTCCCTGTCCACTCCTCCCACGCCTGGCCCCTCCCTCACCCCAGTAGGGGCCTAAGCCATCAGCCCAGGTGAGGTCACAGTGAGGGCTGTTGGGGAGGAAGCGGGGCAGCTTGACTGGGGGACTGGGGGGGCCCCGTGCTCAGAGCCTGAAAGGCAGTGGCCCCCTCACCCCCTCATCCCTCACCTGGGGCAGCGTAGGTGTGGGTGACATTGTGCTCCACCAGCACCTGGGCCACCGAGGGGTCTGGAACCGGGAAGGACTCGTTGTATGGAGGCTGGAACTGGTGGAGGGCCTGCTCCCCATCCCCAAAGGTCCACCTGCCGGGGCGGTGGGAGGCAGTGAGTGAACCGGGACAGGGGTGCGCAGTGGCGGGGCACAGGTGCGCGGTGGCGGGGCAGGGGGTGCTTGGGACCCAGCCGAGGCTCCACTCTGCAGTCACGCCCCGGGCCTCCATTCAGGGCCCACCCGGCTGTGCTGAGGCCTCTCCCGGCTCCCGTGCAGCCTCAGGGCTCCTGTGCACCCAGTACCTCCCAACAGACAGGGAAACCGAGGCTCAGAAAAGCAACCCCCTGATGTGGGGTCCCTCGGCTGAGGCTGGAGCCGGGACAAGAGCCTGGTGCCCGGACAAGAGCCTGGTGCCCACCCCAAACCGGCCCCTGAGTCACTCACAGGAAGGCCACCTCCACGGCCGAGTCCACCAGCACGCCCGCCGTCAGTGCCAGCGTGGCATTGGGGGACAGCACGGCTGGCACTGTAGAGACCCGCAGGCCCTGCATCCTGTTCATCCGCTCCACGGTGATGTTGTAGTTCACGGTGACGTTGCTCACGTGGTTGGAGGCCGTCAGCTGCAGGGACAGGCATCAGTGGGCCCAGGTGGCAGGTGAGAGGCCTGCCCTGCTTGGCGTCCCTCCCTCCACTCACCACAGCCATGGCAGCGTCCTCGGGCAGCATGAAGCAGAGCAGAAGGCAGAGGTGAAGGTGGAGCCCGCCCCCGCCCCGCCCCATCCCCTCCCCTCCCCACTCCCGCCCACCTACTGAGAGCTTGAAGACCGCCGCGCTCTGATAAATGACATTGAAGACCACGTTCTGGAAGGTCAGGGACTGCTTGTCGTTGATGGTCCACCAGAAGACCATGTCCGAGCCGGCCTCCACCACGGGGCTGTACCTCTGCGGGGGGACTGGTGTCAGCCTGGGCTCTGTGGAGGACTCTGCCCTTAGCCTGTCGCCTCCTGGACACACCTCCCGTCGGGCTGGAGAGTCCCACGTGGGGCACAGAGGAGAGGAGGTGCCCGGGGCTCTGCATGCCATGAGAGCCAAGCCCGGGCTGGGACACTGACTGTCCGGCTCTCCAGCCAGCCATGTAGTACTACTAATGCCTCAACCTCTCTGTGCCTCAGTTTCCCCATCTGTAAAGCAAACCTAGTACCAGCTACAAAGAGTCCACCTCTCTCTGAGTCTTCTCAGACCCTCCCGGGGCTCCTGCCCCAGCTCCTCAGCCAGAGAGCTCGGAGCAGTGAGGGGAGGCACACGGGCCTCACAGGGACAGCACCTACACTGGCTTACAGAACCCAGGACAGGCTGCACAGGTCACGCCATTTCTCATGGCCCCTCCCAAGGCCCCTGGTGAAGGGGCAGGTACCCGCAAGATGGAACAGCCCTGTCCCCCATGTACCCAGCATGGTGGCACCGCGGGCAGCCCGCAGTTTCCCATCAGGGGTTCGGACTCCACCTCAAAAGCCACTTGCTTTAGCCAGGCGAGAACACAGCAGAGGGCGTGAGAGACTCACGGGGACTCGTGTGAGGTCAGGGAGCGGAGTTTTAAATTCATTTCGTGAAATGAGACGGTGGAATGAGTTAGCGGAGCCGCTGTCAGAGCCGTGACTTTCCAGGAATTTAAAGCCCACCAGGTAGCCTGAGGAGCCAGCCAGCAGGACCTGCCCGGGGCCGACGTCCCCAGTAACTGGGCTGCTGCCCTCACTGGGAAGCCAGGCCTCACGCCCTGTGTGAGCACCCTGTCTGCAGGCACCTGCCTGGGGGCTGGTGGTGGAGCCTCGGCCATACTCACCACTGGGACTCCCTGCAGTACACGGGCCTCGGGGCTGGGCGTGGCGCGGAGGCCACAGATGGGCTCCTCCGCCGTCACCCGCAGGCTGAGGTTGGCCCGGCTGGCGCTGTTTTCCACCACAACGTCCATCACGTGCTCCCCCTCACCGAGCCACGGCAGTGCTACCACTGAGAACAGGGTATCATTGGTCTCCCAGGGGCAGCCGGGCACGAAGGTGGCCACCAGGGCAGGGCAGGCATTCTCAAAGCGGGCGCTGACACTGCCCCCAGGCCAGCAAGCCGTGGCCGTGGCGCTGGCACCAGAGTCCACCTGGAGCACCGAGGCTGAGCCGTTGGTGGGCACGTAGAGGCGGCCGTCGCGGGGGGCAGGGTAGATGACCCGCAGCCCAGCCACTGGGGAGACCACGTCAAAGCTGCAGGACAGGTTGTGCCTGGACACGCCATTGCCCACCTCTGCCCGGACCTCATAGCGCCCAGGCAGCCGCAGCCCAGGGTTGGGCCTCAGGCCCAGCAGCACGGTGAGCTGTTCCGTGGCTGCAAGCAGCCGCAGGGCACAGGCAGGGCAGGCCCAAGTGCCCTCCAGCTGGGCTGGCAAGTGGGGCAGCCATGACGAGGCGTTGGCGGAGAGGTACGGGGCCTGGGGACCAGGGTGGCCGGGAGCCGGCGAGCAGTGCGGGAGGGCGCCAGGGCCAGCGTCGTGCTGCAAGCCAACGAGGTCACCAGGGAGCATGAGGACATCCTGGCCGTGGAGGGTGACCTGTGGAGAGGGAGGCAGGGCTGCATCACGTCCTCACGGTCATGGCCCGTGGACCCCTGCACGACGGATGAGGGTGGACACGCAGGGCTCCCCGCTTCGTCAGCCACACCTCAGGGAGCCTCCCCACAGTGCTCGTGACAAGGACAGGCAGGACAGTTGCAGACAGGGGGACACACGGGGAGAGGACACAGGCCAAGACCTGACAGACAGGAAGGAGCGGCTGTGCTGGGAGAGAGGAAGAGGAGGCACAGCTCGTGCCAAGGGCCCAGGCGAGAGCTTCTCCCACTGGGAGAGGGGCAAGGGCACTGCAGAGGTCGGAGGTTGGAGGTCGGAGGTCGGAGGTCAGAGGTGGCAAGGACGTGGGAGGGGCCTGCAGGCTGGGTGTGTCTGCTGCGCAGACCCAGACCCTGGGCAGCAGACAGGAAGGTGGCCTGAGGAGATGCAGGGAACAGACCCAGGTCAGGGCCACACACCGAGTACTGCGCGGGGGGCCCCGCGGGAACGGAGAAGAGGAACTCTCTCCATAGCGCATAGGGGGACCCGAGTAGCCCTGGCCCTGACGTGCAGCCATTGGCGCAGGCCTGGGGGTGGCAGGAGGCGTCCAGCGGCAAGCAGATGTTGGCTCCAGGGCACCAGCGTCCCCCTGGCATGCACGCGGGGACCAGCTGGGTCCTGTTGTCCGGGGACCTGCTCTCAGGCTCGCTGCCGTTCTCCGGGGTCCCTGCGAGGAGGGGAGGGTGTTGGGGCCCTGATTCGCCCATGGGCCACCGTCAGAGATGCCCAACTGCCTGCACCAGCGAGCCTGGCCTTGCTGTGAGGACAGGTCTCCCCGCCCGGGCAGCACTCCCAGCCCAGTGCTGCGTCCCTGTCTCCGGCCAGCTGACTGACCCAGGCCGGTCCCCAGGCAGGCCCCACCCGATCCACCCCCAGGACACCTGGAATGAGCTGGTGTCTCTGGAACCCCTGCTCTGTCCACCTAAGACTGGGAACCACTCTGATGGCCACAGGACCAGCAGACGTGAGAGCTCAGAGAGGCCACCCCGAGTCCTGCGGCGCCCACCACCCCAGAGTCCCACCTGCTGTGCTGAGGAGCCGGTACACCTGCAGCCGCAGCTGGGCGGGCCGCCGGAGCTCCTGGGTCCCAAATTCGGCCGTGGTGAGGAAGGCTTCACGGCTCAGACGCAGGCCCGGGAATACCATGACCTGGTGGGCAGGGGGCCGCCTCAGCTCCACAGACCCCATCCCAGCCTGAAGCCCAGACTCCCCCCACCCGAACTTCCCAGGAAGAGGGGAGGGAAGGAGAGCGAGCCATCGGACCCCCACAGGCCTGGCTCCTGTCGCTCGAGAGGAAGACTCCGATGGAAACTGTCCATGGGGGGCAGGACCCCTGACCTGCCTTTCAGGAATAACTCACCCACACTCAGAGAAAAGGCCTGGGGGTAATGTGAGTAAACGCTTTCCTCTCTGCCCTCTGGATTTTCCCAACCATCTTCACTGGGCACAAGCAACATTAAGGCCCCCAAGTTTTTTGGCGAGACCCACAGTGGGCAGGGCAGGCGAGGCCTCCAGGGGCAGGCAGGAGGGCAGGTTATAGAACGTGGGGGGCCGACTACCTCCAGGGGCTCGTGCGGGGCTGAGAGGCCGTACTGCCGTGCCAGAGGCATCAGGGGTCCCTACAGGTCCCCACTGGGCGCTCCCACGAGGAGGTTCTCGGCATCCTGCACTGGGCCTGGGGTGGCAAGTGCACAGTGAGGCGCCGGGCCAGGGCCCAGGACACCAGGACGAACAGACTGGGGACCGAGCCGCCCGAGAACCCCCCCACCAGCCCCTCCTCCTCAGCCCAGGCTCCACCGCGGGCGCTCGGCAGGCCCCTAACCACAGCCAGCGTCTCAGGCCCCTGCCTGGCCCCCCGCACACCTCCAGGCCGCAGCTCGCAGACGTAGCTGTGCGGCGCTGAGCACAGGTCGGTGTTACACCACCCGGTGGGCCCGAGCCGGACGCAGTGCTCAGCTGTGGCTGGGTGTGGCTCCCCGGGCAGCCAGTTCTGGCAGCTCTCCAGGCTGAAGGCCTCGCCCTGCGGCGCTGGGCCCACCTCCACCCCCTGCACAGTCGAGAAGCCGATCCACATGTCTAGGCTCCTGGGGGCGGGTGTGGGATGGCAGGGGGCTCAGGGCACTCCTCCATCCTCCCACCCTCACAGCAGCCCGCTGGGAGCCCCGTCACTGTCCCCCTTTCCAGATGGGGAAACTGAGGCTCAGAGCCCGGAGAGCAGGGCCCACCAGCCCAGGCTCACAGCAGCACCCACCCACGGGGCCTGTGGGCACCGGCAGGGATCCCCGTGCAGGCCACCTCCCGTATGGCGTGCCCAGGAGTGTCCGGAGGCTGCCCCCAGCTCGCGTCCACCTCTGCATCTGCAGAGCTGACAGGAACGGCCCCACCGGCCGGCGCCACCTGCTCACCAGGGCCGGCCCAGCTCCCACCTCCCTCCTCCTGAGACTCCCCAGCCGCAGGCTCTGCCCCACTGCTTCAGAGATCTCCCAACCTATGGCCCCTCGGGGGGTGGGGCAGGCACCTGGTGACCCGGGAGACCAGGAAGCGCTGCACGGCGGGACTGTCCACCATTGCCAGGGTGGCCCCGGCCCAGGCCCGACACTGCTCCTGCGCCTGCAGCCAGGCCGCCTTCTCCACCACCAGGCGGTAGCAGTGCCCATTGCCAGAGAAGATCTCCGTGTCCGAGGGGCAGAGCGGGTGCACCGCTGGAGACCGGTGGGAACGAGGGTGTCAACGGTCAGTGTGGGCCCAAGACGGGGGTACCAGGCTCTGCCCCATCTGGATGGCCCTGGGGAGGAAGGGGAGTGGGCAGCAGACACTCACCTCGGGCCGGCTCCTCGCCCAGGGCCACGATGCTGTAGGCGGCCTCCAGGCCTGAACCACCGCGGTTCTGGATGCTGAGGTCGAGGCTCTCGTCACTCTGCACCGAGGACGGGCACACGAGCTTCAGGGCGGCAGGTGCCGCTTCCACCTGCACGTCTGTCCCCAGCAGGGCTGAGCCGGTCCCCAGGGCCAGCACGGCCGTCACGTGATAGCGCCCAGGCAGCACATAGCGATGCGAGGCAGCCGGCCCAGCGGCATCCACCTCGGGGGAGCCGTCTCCAAAGTCCCAGCATGTGGCAGTGACAGGGAGCGGGGCAGCGATGTGGAAGGCTGCTAGCTGGCCGGAGGCCAGGGGTCCGTGGGGCCCCACCAGGGCGGCCCCTGGGGAGGCAGGGAAGACGTGCTGGAGGAGGGTGGGGCTCCTACAGGTGGGGGCAGGAGGCGGCAGGGGGCCGGAGCAGAGGGACAGGCAGGCGAAGGAGGCACTGGAGGGCTGGGCCGCCCCACACAGGCACCAGCCCTGCTCCGAGAGGGCTGCGAGGCCCTGGCCGGTGGAGAAGCAGAAGGCGCTGCAGGCCTCTGGCTGAAGCAGGCCTTCGTGGGCAGCTGAAAAGGACACTGCTGCCACGGTGCCTGAGCTGTTGTCAGGGAGGCAGGCGACATACTCCTCACCTAGAAGAGGCAGCCACTGGACCCCGGGTTCTGCTCCTCCTGGCTCCACCCCACACCCCCCCATCCGCCCGCCGCACTCACAGGCTCCCATGCTGTTCCCTTGGCCCGGAGGCCCCCCCCAGAGAGGCCTTCCTGAGCCCTGCCCAGTGTCTGCAGGGCCCAGGTCCCACCTGGCTGGGAAGGACAGAGCTGCCCCACCCACCGGCACTCACCACAGCCACTGTCCAGCAAGGGGATGCCAAGCAGAGGCTGGCCAGCCAGGGAGCCAGGCCCAGCACACGTGGCTGCCTCGGGCTGCACCACCCGCACCTGCTGCTCCTCCGCCCATCGCGGCAGCCACGCCAGGCCACAGTCACACTCAAACGGGTTCCCACTCAGGTTTCTGCGGGGCAGGGGCAGGTGTTGGGGACCAGGTCTGGTGGGAAGGGTCTATGCCAGCCCCCCACTGGCAACCAGGCCCTGGAGCCACCCTGACAGCACCGCCTCCCCTGCCCCAACCAAGCCGGCACTGGGGGGCTCCAAGCAGGTAGTGAACTGCCCCCAGGATCTGGTCTCAAGCCTGGAAGGGGACACGGACCAACTGGGAGGGCAGAAGGGATACTGGGGGCCTGGGGTCCAGCCAGGACCCCACCCAAAGAACCACAACTTACATTTCACTTAAATTAAATAAATTAGCAAATATTCCTTCTTCTAACGTAGAAATCTTGTTGTTGCTTATATCCCTGGAAGAGAGGGGGGATTCGGCAAAGCTGACGGAAGCCCCCACAGCTGAGCAGCAAGAGGCGGTGCCGCCAGCCCACCCGGAGTGAGCCCCGCATGCTGGCACGACTGGGGGACACTCACAGCTCTGCCAGCGCCGAGAGGTTCGCCAGGAGCCCAACGTCCAGCGCCCGGAGCAGGTTGTGGGAGACGTCTCTGAGGAGTGAGTGGCCGTGGGTCAGGGCCAGAGCCCTTAGTAGGCCAGAGGCCATCCCTGGGCCCATCCCACACATTGCCAGCATCCCCAAGCTATGGCCTCCCACCCTTGAGCTCCCCACTCCCAGAGGTCAGGAGGGGCCTTTCTGATGGAAGACCCAAATGAACACTCATCTGGGGAAACCAAGCCGGGAGAGGCCTGGGGGCCTCAGCCCTCTGCACCCATCTCAGCCCTATGCCGAGTGCCACCTGGACCTGTCCACCCAGGGCCAGGAAGGGCACGGACCCCCAACCCATCCCACGCAGGGACAAGGCCCCCCATCCCCTGTCCACAGTCCCCCACAGAGCCAAGGTCTCCCAACCCTGTCCACAGCCCCCACACAGACTCGAGGGGCCCCCATCTCCTGTTCTGAACCCAACAGGGTGGTCCCACTGTGGGACCACAACCAGGTATGACTGTGTGAGAAGCAGGCTCACTACCAGGCTACCAGGGAGCACAGGGGAGCAGGCGCCACCTTGAGGCATAAACCCAGAGAAACAAGACCTCCAAGACGGCCAGGCACTGGGGCACACGCCGGTAACACAGCACCGTGGGAGCTGAGACGGAAGGATCGCCTGAGCCCAGGATTTTGAAACCACCCTGGGCAACACAGTGAGACCCCGTATCTACAAAAAAATACACATTAGCCAGGCATGGCGGCATGCGCCTGGGGTCCCAAGTACTCGGGAGGTAGAGGAGAGAAAAATCACTTGAGCCCAGAGAGGTCAAGGCTACAGGGAGCTGAGATCGCATCACTGTACTCCAGCTGGGGTGAAACGGCGAGACTCTACCTCAAAAATAAATAAATACATACATAATTAATAAATAAAACATCAAAGACCAGCCGACCTAACTCCATCTAAAATACACAACTTCTACGCAAAATATAAATAAAATTAGAAAACAAACTACAATCTCAGAAAAGCACTAGCAACTTAGACGACATACTAAAGGCCAAAAATACCCTCCTGACACACAGCTAATAAAGAAAAAGTCAACTATTCCAGTTAAAAAGAAGAAAAGGAAACTGGCTGTGGTGGCTTATGCCTGTAATCCCAGTGCTTTGGGAAGGCCAGGAGTTTGAGACCAGGATGGACAGCATAGCAAGACCCCATCTCTACAAGGAAAAAAAGAATCAGCCAGGCATGGTGGTGTGGAGCTGTAGTTCCAACTACTCGGGGGGCTGAGGAGGAAGGATCGCTTGAGCCAGGGAGGTCGAGGCTGCAGTGAGCTATGATTGTGCCACTGCAGTCCAGCCTGGGCGACAGAGCAAGACCCGGTCTCGAAAGAAAAGAAAGAGAAAGCAAGAAAAGAAAGATGGCTGGGCACGGTGGCTCACTCCTGTAATCCCAGAACTTTGGGAGGCCAAGGTGGGTGGATCATGAGATCAAGAGATCGAGACCATCCTGGCCAACAGGGTGAAACCCCGTCTCTACTAAAAATGCAAAAATTAGCTGGGCGTGGTGGCGGGCACCAGTCCAGGCTACTCGGGAGGCTGAGGCAGGAGAATGGTGTGAACCCAGGAGGCGGAGCTTGCAGTGAGCCGAGATGGCACTGCTGCACTCCAGCCTGGGCAACAGAGTGAGACTCCATCTCAAATAATAATAAAAAATAAATAAATAAATAAATAAATAAAAGACATCACTCACACCTGTAATCCCAGCACTTCGGGAGGCCGAGGCAAGCAGATCACCTAAGGCCAAGAGTTCAAGACCAGCCTGACCAACATGGTGAAACCCCATCTCTACTAAAAATATTTTTAAAAATTAGCTGGGCGTGGTGGCGCGCGCCTGTAATCCCAGCTACTCAGGAGGCTGAGGCAGGAGAATCGCTTGAACCCGGGAGGTGGAGGCTGCAGTGAGCCGAGATCACACCATTGTCCTCCAGCCTGGGTGACAGAGCCAGACTCCGTCTCAAACAAAACAAAACAAAAGACATCAGCTAGCTGGTCCAAGCACAGTGGTGTTCACAACGAATTGATCACAGCCAGGTAGAATTCTTCATTCTTTCTCCAGTTCCACTGCTTTGCTTGACCAGCCTTAAAGACACACATACACATTTTTGTCTGGGCGCGCTGGCTCACACCTGTAATCCCAACACTTTGGGAGGCCAAGGCAGGCGGATCACTTGAGGTCAGGAGTTTGAGACCAGCCTGACCAACGTGGAGAAACCCCGTCTCTCCTAAAAATACAAAATTAGCCAGGCATGGTGGCACACGCCTGTAATCCCAGCTACTGGAGAGGCTGAGGCAGGAGAATCGCTTGAACCCGGGAGGCGGAGGTTGCCGTGAGCTGAGATCGCGCCACTGCACTCCAGCCTGGGCAACAAGAGCGAAACTCTGTCTCAAAAAAAAAAAAAAAAAGTATATATTTTTAAAAGACATTGGCCGGGTGCGGTGGCTCACGCCTGTAATCCCAGCACTTTGGGAGGCCGAGGTGGGCAGATCACGAGGTCAGGAGATCGAGACCATCCTGGCCAACACGGTAAAACCCCGTCTCTACTAAAAATACAAAAATTAGCTGGGCACGGTGGTGCATGCCTGTAAACCCAGCTACCAGGTACTCGGGAGGCTGAGGCAGGAGAATCGCTTGAACCAGGGAGTCGGAGGTTGCGGCGAGCTGAGATCATGCCACTGCACTGCGGCCTGGAGACAAGAGCAAGACTCCGTCTCAAAAAAAAAAAAAAAAAAAAAAAAAAAAGACATCAACTAATTGCAGTGTGTGGACCTTATTTGGCTCTTAATTCAAACTATTAAACCAAAAATGTGAACACACCAGGCCTTCGGTGGCATGAAGGAATTGTCTGTTGTGTTAGGTGGGTCTGCAGTATTGCGATGCCCTCCAAAATGCTTGCAGATAAAAGGGTGGCTGGAATTTGGTTCAAAACATGGGTCAGGGCTGGGCGTGGTGGCTCATGCCTGTAATCCCAGCACTTTGGGAGGCCGAGGCGGGCGGATCATCTGAGGTCAGGAGTTCAAGACCAGCCTGACCAATATGGAGAAACCCTGTCTCTACTAAAAATACAAAATTAGCCAGGCATGGTGGTGCACGCCTGTAATCCCAGCTACTCGGGAGGCTGAGGCAGGAAAAGCGCTTGAACCCAGGAGGCGGAGGTTGCCATGAGCCGAGATCGTGCCATTGCACTCCAGCCTTGGCAACAAGAGTGAACTCTGTCTCAAAAAAAAAAAAAAAAAACACATGGGTCAGGAGGGGAAGGGTCGGGGCAGGGAGGGCAGGGCAGGCTCTGGGGTGGGGGGTCTGTGAGTCAGCCACGGCTCTGCCCACGTCTCCCCACGAAGCTTCGAGCCACGCAGAGCAGCACGTTTTGCAGTACGCCATCTTTTCCAAAAGCCACCACCTCTCGGCAGCATCATTAACCCAAGGCAGGCTGTGGCCTCAGAAGCCCCGGCTGTCCTCCACCTGGAACTGGACACAGCTGTCCCTGCTGAGCTTCAGCAGCCAGGGAGCCACAAGTGGAGAGGCACCTGCGTGAGCCCCCCAGGAAGGCTACTGGTGACACCCAGACAGCAACGCTCCTGGACCCTTGAACACCTGCCAGCAGCTGTGATCTGTGTCCTTCACCTCTCCCAGCTTGACCCCTCTTCCCTGGGGAAAACCCAGCCGTCTCCCCGAGGAGGAGTTTGCAGGGTAGACAGCAAAATGGCTGGGCTGCCCCACAGCACAGAGGGTGGCCTGGGGGGCCAGCCAGGGCCTTCACATCCTTCCTAGGGCCCTAGTTTCCCATGGGTCCCCTCACCCCACCTTCCAGAACTCTCCCAGCGGCGGCCCCAGGTGTGTACAGAACAGCACCCACCTGCCCACATGAGGTCACCCTGTGCCCTGTTGCACACTTGAGGGGCCTGGCATTCGGAATCTTGCCAGCTCAGGCTGGGACAGGCCACCAACCCCCAGGGTCCCCCTCCTCCAAACCCCAGGACCAGAGCCTAAGAGGACAACACAAGGCAGGGGCGGGGGCTCCACTGCTGTGCCAAGGGCCTGGAGAACACGGGCCTTGCTCTCCGCTCAGCAGCCACCAGCGCCCTTCTCTCCCGGACAGCTCCCGAGGGGCTGCTCTCATGGACACCATCAGGTGCTGGGAAGCAGGAACCACCAGGACCTGGACAGAGTCCCCAGTGACCGGCCTGGCAGACAGAGGAGCCCTCAGCTACAGCATCACAAACAACGGGTGGGGTAGGTCTGATGCAATTCTGTGGGTGCTGTTGCCAGGCAGGAGGAGGCCATCTCCACAGAGACAGCCGCGAGACACACGCGTCCGCAGTCAGGGAGCGCAGGAGCAATGTGGCCCCGAGGGGCACGGGCTCCATTGGTCCAGGAGAACCCATTCTTCTCCCACCCTCGAGACCACCCAGCAAAGCCCCAAGGACACACGGCTCCCCTAAGGAAGGGTGGCCACAGGCGGGAGTGACCCAGAAACGTTACAAAACCAAATGCCAGAACCCACCCAATGTTTAGCAAGCCTGGGGATGTGCCACGTCCCCCAGGGATCCAGCACGCACCCAAAGAGACACTGTCCCGGCGAGGAGCCTGGAGCCTGGGAAATACAAGGCATCAGACTGGTCCCAAGACTCTCCCCAGCGCTGGGGACAACTGTCTGCTTATCTTAGTCCCCTGCGCCCTTTTCAATCCAACCCTGGGTCCTGGGCACCTCATAGTTCCAAACCCCTGCTATGCACATCCCGGCTGTGATGCCTGGGACAGGTCCTGTCCTGGCTGTGATGCCTGGGACAGGTCGTGTCACCTCTCCAAACCTGTTTCCTCATCTGTGAAATGCAAATCTCCACGGTCCCTATGCCTCGGATGGTCAGAGTCAGGATTCCGCATGACGACCCCCAACAGGAGCCTGGCACAGACCTGGCTCTGGGCAGCGTCTCCATAAAGGCCACCTGTTGTTTTTATCTCCCGAAAGCGAACATGACAAGGCTTTAACCCCCCACGGCAATCCGCCCTCACCCCTGTTCTCAGGATAGCCTTGGAACCCAATAGCAGAGCGCCTGAGGCCCTTCATGACCCCAGCCCACCCGCGAGCCCACCTCCCACCCTGCCCCTACCCCTCACACCTCCCGTGGCCAGCCTCCAGCCTCACGGTCTTTGCTCACACCGTTCACCCCCCTTCTTCTGGACCCACCTCATCGCCCCTTCCTAAGCATCAGCCCAATTCTTGCACATCCATCAAATCCTTGTCCAGACACCTCCTGGAACTCTTCCCTGCAGCCCCCTACAGCCATCCCCACCTCTCCGGGTACCCCGCAGCCCCAGGCCGCATCCCAATTCCTCTCCAATTAGCGACTGTTTGTCCTCCCAGCTGAGCGCGGCCTCCGCGCCCCGCCCCCGCTGGCGTCTGCACAGCCCCCGGGTGGGACGTCTGTCTCCAGACCCGGGGTTTTTCGGCTCCCCGGGGCCGTGCCAACCGCGGCTCCAGGCGTTCCTTATTTAGCAGGGCCGCTGTGCTGCGCCGGAGCCTCGCCCTGGGAGCGTCCTGGCCCGCGTCCTGCTTCCCGTCCCGGGCCAGGGAACGCGCCCACGCCCGCCCGTCCCGCGGCCTCTCCCGGGTGCCGCTGGGCCCGCTACTCACAGCGCTGTGGCGTCCGCGGGGATGCGCAGCGCGGGACCGAGCGTCCGCAGCCCGCGGCCCGCGGCCCGAGCAGTTGACGCGGCAGGCGGCGCCGGGCGCTAGGCCGCAGAGGCAGGGGGGCTCGCAAGGCCCGCAGCCGCGCCCGGGGCCCCCCGCCAGCGCCCCGAGCCACAGGCCCAGGCCCAGGGCCAGCGCCAGGCGGGCGGGCGCGGCGGGCGGCATCGTTAGGGCAGCGCGCGCATGGCCCCGCCGTCCCCAGGCCCGCCCGCGCGCGGAGGCCGCGGCTCAGGCGGGGCCGGCGGACGGCATGGCGGGCGCGGGGCTGGATGGGGCTGCGGCCGCGACCTGCTGCTGAGCGACGCCCGCTCGGGGCTCGGGGCCAGGCCGCTCCGGGAGCTCGGCCGCCCGCTCGGACGTTGGCGCTGCAGTGCGGGCCCCGCCGCGGCTCCTCCTCCTCCTCCCCGCGCGGCGCAGGGCGGACGGGGCGAGGGGGGGCGGGGCGGGTGCAGGCTCCGCCCCCTTCGCCACAGCGCGACCGGGCCAGCGATGAGGGACTGGCATCCGGAGGCTTCACCCTCCGCTCCACAGGGTCGGCAGCAGGGCGGGGCCTCCGGAAGCTCCGCCCCACGCTTTCCCGGGGCGCATGCGACGTGGGGCGGAGCGTCTGGAAGCTCCGCCCGTCGCACTGTAGAGTCGGCCGAGGCGCACGAGGTATTTTTCACGCTCCGCCCCTCTGCAGGCTAAAGTGCGTGGGCGGGAAGCGGTGGGCAGGGTGCCATCTGGCTCCGCCCTTCTCCTGTGGTGTGGGCCAGGCGGCGGCTTCCTCCTCCTGCAGCAGCCACAGGCTCCACTCTGATCCTTCTCCCGCGGCATGGATCCTTCTCCCGCGGCGTGGATCCTTCTCCCGCAATCTCCGTGCGCGTCCCCAGTCAGTACCCGCAGCCTCCCGACGCACCCGCTGGCTCCAAGCCTCCCTACCCCAGGTTTCCTGGCTAAGAGAGAGACAGAGGGAGAGAGGGGGAAGAGAGAGAACAGGCAATGGGAGGTTGATGGTGAGAGCTTATTGAAAGACAAGAGGGAGGAAACCCACATCCTTCATTCCCCATCCATTCATTTATTGCCTTATTTATTCCATTGAATCTTCACAGCTCTAGAAAAAGTGTGCTACAATTATTCCCTTTATTAAATGAGGTCACTGAGGCACAGTTTAAGAAATTTGCCAGCAGGGCACAGTGGGTCACTCCGGTAATCCCAGAACTTTGAGAGGGGGAGGAAGGTGGATCCCTTGAGCCCAGGAGTTGGAGACCAGCCTGGCCAACATGGCGAGACCCCGTTTCTACAAAAATTAGCCAAAATTAGCCAAACTGGCTCACACTTGTAGTCCCAGGTACTCGAGAGGCTGAGGCCGGAGGAGCGTGTGAGCCCAGGAGGCAGTGGCTGCGCTGAGCCGTGATTGTGCCACTGCACTCCAGCCTGGGCAACAGAGTAAGACCCTGTCTCGAAAAAAAAAAAATGGAAAAAAGAAAAAAAGAACTGGCTGGGAGTGGTGGCTCATGCCTGTAATCCCAGCACTTTGGGAGGCCGAGGTGGGTGGATCACCTGAGGTCAGGAGTTTGAGACCAACCTGACCAACAAGGTGAAATCCCATTTCTACTAAAAATACAAAAATTAGCCAGGCGTGGTGGCAGGTGCCTGTAGTCCCAGCTACTAGGGAGGCTGAGACAGGAGAATAGCTTGAACCTGGGAGGCAGAGGTTGCAGTGAGCCGAGATTGCACCACTGCACTCCAGACTGGGCAATACAGTGAGACTCCGTCTCAAAAAAACAAAAAAAATCCTACCACATGTGCTCCACCAAGCTCTGTCTCCAAGGTGGCCTTGGAAGCCACATGGGGAAGGTGGCAGAGACTCTAGGAGCCTGAGCAGAAACCCAGATGATTATGAAAAATGCAGACCTACCCATCCTTATTCACCTGGGACCACCGTGAACTATATCATAAGAAATAAACCCCTATTGTACATACATGCACCATTCGAGTTGGGTCTATTTGTTACAGCAGTTTAGCCAACCCTAATCCACATATACAGTGTCAACAGTGGCTGAGATGACATGTTGCACAGACATGAGAGTCAGAAAGACCTGAGTTCAAGTCCCAGTGATGACATTTACTATCTGTGTGACCTTGAAAAGCTGCCTAACTACTCTCAGACCGTTTCCTCATCAGTTTGTTTTGAGAGTCAAATGAGAAAATTACTAAAAAGCCCTTAGCACTGCATCTAAGATGGGGAAGAGACAGTCAATGAATTCAAGTTTCCTGAAGCCCAGTTGCATCCCTGCCCTGCCCTGGGCTCTGAGAGACAGTTGCCGAAGCTAGTGTTAAAGTGAACTAAATATGGCCTGAGTGGGACTTCGTACTTCTATAGTTGAGTCCTTGTGGACAAATTGCAACCTAGCTTAATAGGTAGACAAGATTGAAAACCTAACTTAGGAGTATGCGCCTGTAACAATAGCTGAGTCTTGGCCAATCCCAGAGGCCGTAGTTCAACCGCTCATACGCTGCTGAGTGTTCAAACTGTACTCAAATAAGGCAAACGCCAACTTGTAACAATCCAGCCATTCTGTACTTCACTTCTGATTTCTGTACATCATTTCCCTTCTTTTGTCCATAAATCTTCTTCCACCACGTGGCTGCGCTGGAGTCTCTATGAATCTGCTGTGATTCTGGGGTCTGCCCAATTCGCGAATCATTCATTGCTCAATTAAACTACTTTAAATTTAATTCAGCTGAGATTTTCTTTTATCACTAATTTGAGCTGGTTTTCTAATGTTTGCAAATGGGAGGGCTGACTAATATAACACTGCTCCAAATATTAACGTCTTTCTCCCAACCCATCACCCAGGCAGAAGTGGTCCAGCCTGGGCAACCCTAGGAGGAGGCTAGCTCTCCTCTAGGAAGGCTTAGGATGCAGCCAGTGGGCAGTAACTGGCTCACTGTCCCCTGCAACTGAAATCAGAACTGGTTCCAGAAACCAAGTTGACCCCCAACCAGTCTTTCCCAAAATATGGCTCTATGCCCATCTCTGGTCAGGCTGGGCTGTTTTCCTGGACAGAGAAGTCTCAGACAAGCAGGCAGTGGTTAGTGGGCTGTGCCCAGGCTGAGAACATTTCCCAGAGAAGATGGCATCTCTGGCAGTCCCTTAAAGCCAGCAGAGGCCAAGTCATGTCCAAGAGGCCAAAAGGCCCAATATGGTGGAGACAGTATACAGTCCCCATGAATAAGGGATGCTGATGCCTTCCCTATGTACCAGGTAGTCACTGCCTGAGGGGCCCAGAGCAGCAGGAGGGCAGAGCCAGCCTGGGCAGGGGCACTGGGCCGGAAGTGGGGCTCACATCCTCAGCACACACACACACACACACACACACACACACACACACACACACACAAGCGAATGCACACACACACACACAAATGCACGCACACACAGATAGGTGCATTCAAACATCACATACACGTGTACATTCCTTGCAAAATCAACTTCTGCTGATAGCACAACAAACAATGGGGCCACAGTGTGGCATGGAGGAAACCCTGGAGTCTGATCTCATTTTTTTTTTTTTGCATCTGTCAGGGGATAAAGATATTTGATAAAAATCCTTGAGTCACATCCCCACCAGGTCCCTGCCTACCTGTAGACCCCATCAAGCCAGCTCCATGGCCCTTCAGATACCGCCTCACTGGGTCCCCAGGGATTGACCTCAGTCCTGGAAATGCAGAAATATCTGTATCTGTCACAGCTGAGACTGGCGGCCTTCCGCCGGCTTTCCTGGAGGCAGAGCTGGAGACAGGGACTTGGGTGGATGTGGTTTTTGTTTTTGTTTTGAAAGGGGCTTTCAGGAGAAGGGAGGTGAGGACTACAGGATGCAGAAGGGGACAGAGCAGAGTGAGAATGTGGTCCCTTAAAGTCCCGCCTTGACCTATCCCACGAGCAGCAGAGAGCACGCCACAGGATCGTCCCCACCGTGGGGCAGGGACCAGCCATTCACGTTGCTGTATCAGTTAGTCACTGGGCCATTACTGGGCATGGCATCCCATCCCAGGCAATGTGGCTCCCATCTGAGGGTGATTCTCTAGAGAAGGACAGCTGTGAGCTCTCAGCAGGTGAGGCTCCAAAAGCAGCTATACCAGTCTAGACCTCAGGGGAAGGGGGAATTCATCTCTAGGCAGGGATGATTTTCATAACATTGAACTCTTGACATGCAGGAGCACCGACCAATCAGAACAGACACGGTGACCAAACAGGCACAGCCACACCAGTGGATACCAGCGGAATGTCCACGCTGCCTCTGCGAAGGGACAGTCCCATGAGCCAAGCCCTAGACCAGCTGTTCTGGGAGCACTGCATCATTGCACTGAATTCTCACAACCGCCCCATAATGCTGGGACCATCCCCATTTTCTTGCCCAACAGCCTCCGTCTCATAGACACTAGGCGGCTCTCCCAGGGTCACACGGTCCAGTCAATAACGGGCAGAACTCGCACTCCGATCTGTCTGGCTCCAAAGCTGCTAAAAATTTTCTACTTGGCCTCACTGGCTTGACAAAGATAAAAAAGAAGGCAAGTCCTTCTTTCCAAGAGATGCTGAGGTCCCTCGGTGACACTAGGTCATGATTTTATCATGTTCAGAGGGCAATGAAAGGGACAGAAAACAAGCGATGTGTGATCTCCTGTCATGTCAAGAGACGCTGTTTTCAAAGAAACGTACGTTTCGCAGAATCAATACGCTGTGGGGCCTCAGAAAGCAGAGGCAGACACACGGCCCCAACCCGTGCACGTGGGAGCCCTGTTACAAGAGACGGCAGAAATTAAACTGAATCACCTGGAGCAAGTACATTGTAAATGTTCAATATTAATGACCCACCTCGGCCCCAAAGAAGAGAGCGTTGGGCTTTGTCCAGCTGTGTGCTCTGTTGTTAAAAGACCACCTTGTGGCCAGGCACGGTGGCTCACACCTGTAATCCCAGCGCTTTGGGAGGCCAAAGCAGGTGGATCACCTGCGGTCAGGAGTTCGAGACCAGCCTGGTCAACATAGTGAAACCCCGTCGCTACTAAAAATACAAAAATTTGCTGGATGTGGTGGCTGGCGCCTGTAATCCTAGCTACTCGGGAGGTTGAGGCAGGAGAATCGCTTGAACCTGGGAGGCGGAGGTTGCAGTGAGCCAAGATCACGCCATTGCACTCCAGCCTGGGCGACAAGACTGAAACTCCGTCTCAAAAACAAACAAACAAACAAACAACAACAGAAAACAATTTGTGCCTTAATGGGCATTCCTTTCCCTTCTTGCTAAGGGATGAGATGATGGCAGAACTTGTGGCCACTGTCCTGGAGGTTGACAAGCTTTTTCTGTAAAGTGCTAGATAATAAATATTTTGTGGGCCACACGATCTCTGGTGCAACTACTCAACACTGCCATTGTCATGCAAATGTAGCCATAGATGATAATAAATGAATGGGTGTGACTGTGTTCCAATAAAACTTTATTTATAAAACAGACAGCTGGCCAGAGTTGGGCAATGGGCAGTAGTTTGCCCCCCACTCCCCGCCCATCCGTCCTATTCCTTGGCTTTTTTGGGTACATCAAGGAGTGCAGTCTGGATGCTGGGCTATTTTATGGCCACTGGGCATAACCTTAACCTGGGCCTTTTGTCTGTTAACCTGGGTCAGTGGCTACGGTGAAGGTCGGGCAACCAAGGTTTAGATGGCTCAGTACACATTCACGCCCACAAACCAAACCAGGAAAAAGATGTGCTAAGTTGAGCATATGACACTGTTGGTACTCAAATGGTTTGTTTTTTTTTTTAAATAAATGTTTAAGTAAATTTTTTATTTTAGAACAGTTTTAGAAAAATGGTGAAAGCAGTACAGAGAGTTTCCATGTACCCCATAGCTTGATGCATTATGAACTAAAGTCCATACTTTTTTTAGGGGGGTGGGGACAGGGTCTTGCTCGTCACCTAGGCTGGAGTGTGGTGGTGTGATCATAGTTCATGGCAGCCTCAACCCTCCACCTCCCCTGGCTCAAGCGATCCTCCATCTCAGCCTCCCAAGTAGCTGGAAATACAGGTGCCTGCTACCATCCCCAGAGAATTTGTTTTTGTTTGTTTGTTTGTTGTTTGTTTGTTGAGACAGGGTCTCACTCTCATTGCCCATGCTGGTATACAGTGGCACAATCACGGGTCACTTGCAGCCTTGACTTCCCGGACTCAAGTGATCCTCCCATCTCAGCCTCCCGAGTAGCTAGGACTACAGGTGCACACCACAAGCCTGGCTAATTTTTTGTATTTTTTGTAGAGATGGGGTTTCGCCATGTCGCCCAGGCTGGTCTTGAACTCCTGGGCTCAACCCATCCGCCGGCCTCGGCCTCACAAAGTGCTAGGGTTACAGGCGCGAGCCACCGTGCCTGGCCACCTAAAGTCCATAGTTGATTCTGATTGCCTTAGTTTTTGCTTAATGTCCTTTTTCTGTTCCAGGATACCACATGGAGCATTTTGAGGAGTGCTGGCCAGGTATTTTGTAGAATGTTCCTCAACTGGGATTTGGCAGATGCTTCTCATCCTTAGTCTTGGCTTGTGTGTGTTTTGAGGAGGAGGACCACAGAGCTTAAGAATCATTCTCAGCACTCTGTATCAGGCACGCATTCTCTCAAGATGACTTGCCGCTATTGAAGTTGACTTTGATCACCTGGCTGAGGTAGTGTCTGTCCGTGTTCTCCACTGTAAAGTTACTCTCTCCTCTCTTTTCACACTGTACTCTTTGGAAGAGAGTCACTATGCACAGCCCACACTTAGGATGTGGGAAGTCCGCTCCACCTCCTTGACGATGGAATAGCTATATAATTTACCTGGGGCCGGGCACGGTGGCTCACACCTGTCATCCCAGCACTTGAATGGGAGGCCGAGGAGGGTGATCACTTGAGGTCAGGAGTTTGAGACCAACCTGGTCAACATGGTGAAACCCCGCCTCTACTAAAAATACAAAAAATTAGCCGAGTGTGGCAGCGCATGCCTGTGATCCCAGCTACTCGGGAGGCTGAGGCACAAGAATCGCTTGAACCTGGGAGGTGGAGGTTGCAGTAAGCCAAGATTACATCACTGCACTCCAACCTGGGCAACAGAGCAAGACCCTGTGTAAAAAAAAAAATTAAATAAAAATAAATAAATAAATAATCTGGAATTCTTCTGCCTGGGAGATTTGTCTCTTCTCTCTTATCTGATCATTTATAGCAGTATGGAATCATGGGTATTTATTCTTTGAATTCTAATCCAATAGTACTTTTTTGGGGCTCAAATTGTTCTGGCTTTGACCCCTGGGAGCTTTTCCATTGGCTCCTGTGTCCCTCTGAGATGCCCCATCACTGCAGCAGTTTCATTTTGTTTCATTTCGCGCCTCCTCACCCTGTGACCCTACAAGATGCTTCAGGTTCTTCTTATCTATTTCCTCCCTCGGTCCTAGGATCGACATTTGTTCAAGAAGCCTGGTTCCTTTTACTGGAGAATGGTGTTTATTGGAGAACAGAGACCTGGGCACCAGAGGTTTGTTGCTACTGGGGTATCCTTGCTTCTAGGCTCTCTTCGCTGACAGCCAGGATTAGTAACGTGTGTCTTACTAATTTGTGTATATGCACATATCCATAAATATTTCTCTATGTAGCCATCTGTATCTATATTGAGCTAAACATGTGTTCATACTGATGCCTGCCACTCTAATCCACTGCCACATGGATCACTCTAGCCTTGCCTCCTTTGCCGACCTGTAAACCTCCCGCCCCCCACCCCATCTATTACTTAATGAATTTCAGTAAGCATGTGAGGTGGGTGGTTATGGAAACCATTTTTGACCTATATATAAGATGGCAGTTTCGTCTGATTTCTCCTAAATAGAAGACGAGTGTGAAATGGTAACATGGTGTCCGTAGGAGTCATATGGATGGACCATGGCCAACCATATTATTAAGGAATATTCATGCATTCATCCATCCATCCATCCATCCATCCATCCATTCATTCACCAGTGAATGAGTAAAGCATTAGGTATTCACCACACTGTCCTCTCCTGGACTTCCCCCTACCTCACTGGCCACTTCCTCTCTGTCTCTTGGGCAGGGCCCTCCTCCCCCATCCTCTGAAGGTTGCACTGTCCCAGGGCTTGGCCCCCAGCCCTCTCCTTTTCTCAGTCTTCATAAGGATACCTATTATTCAATCCCGTGGCCTCATCTGTCATCCAAAAACACTCCCAGCTCACCACGTCTCATCTCCAGCCGTGATTTCTCACCCAGGCTGCAGACTCGGGTGTCTGATAAGCATCTCAAACTCATGATGGCCAAAACAGAAGTCTCAATTTACCTACACATTTCAGTGGTTCAGCTAGAAACAAACGATTCACTTATCGTTGATTCCTCCCTTCCCTCACCTCCTGTATTAAATACATCAGCAAGACCTTTCTGCTCTATCTCTGAAGCATAGCCCCAAGCTCACCACTTCCTGCCACTGTTACTTCCATCACCCCAATCCAAGCCATTGCTGTCTTTTGCCTAAACCAACACAACGTCCTCTTTGCTTCTCTCCCTAAATTCATTCTTGCTTCCCAATAATCCAATCTCCTCAAAATTTAAAGAAGCAATTGTTTAAAAACATACATCAGATCACTCCCCTTTCCCTACTTAAACCCTCCAATGCCTTCTGTTGCCATTAGAATAAAATCTAAACTCCTTTCCAGGGCACCCACATGACCCGGTCCCTGCCATCGTTCTCATCTCTTCCTCTCAATCACTTGACTCTGGCCACCCTGGCCTCTTTGCTATTCCTGAAACTCAGGGAGCTCATTTCCTCCTGGGGGCCTTTGCAATTATGGTCCCCTCTGCCTGGGCAGCTCTTCCCCCAGATCTTTGCATAAACTGGCCCTTCCCCTCCTCAGGTCTCAGCTCAGATGCTGCCTCCTCAGAGAGACCTTCCATGATACCAATCATCCTCTGTCACATTGCCTTGTTCTGCTTCTTTTCTTCGTAACGCCTGGCATTATCCAATAACTTCTAATGTGTGTGTTTACCTTTCGTCCTCCATCAGCACTGTGCTCCTAAGAGCTGAGGCTCGGTCTCTCTCACACCACTAAACCCCCAGTATGCCAAGCAGCACCCAGCACAGGGGAGATGCTCAGTTAATACTTGTTGAATGAATTAATGATGCTCCCCCTAAAACTAAACTTTACAAAGCACCCACTAGACAACAGATTAGAAAACATTTTATAGGCCAGGCGCGGTGGCTCACACCTGTAATCCCAGCACTTTGGGAGGCTGAGGCAGGCAGATCATCTGAGGTCGGGGTTTGAGACCAGCCTGGCCAACATGGTAAAGCCCTGTTTCTACTAAAAATGCAAAAATTAGCCAGGCTTGGTGGCAGGCGCCTATAATCTCAGCTACTAGGGAGGCTGAGGCACGATAATCATTTGAACCCAAGAGGCGGAGGTTGCAGTGAGCTGAGATCACACCACTGCACTCCAGCCTGGGTGACAGAGAAAGACCCCATCTCAAAAACAACAACAACAACAAAATGTCTTCTGTAAAGACCCAGATAGCAAGTATTTTAGGCTTTTTAGGCTACCTGGTCTTTGCCACAACTACTTATATCTGGCACTGTCAGGCAAAAGCAGCCATAATCTGCAAATGAATGGGCATGGCTGTGTGCTCATAACACTTTATTTATAAAACAAGAACAGTGGGCCATAGTTTGCTAACCCCTGCACTAGCCCAGTCTAAGTCTTGAATATCATCTGTGTAATTAATTCACAGTGAGGAGTTCTCCACTGTAATAATTACTCATTCCGTGAATGCATGCCACTCAGGTGAGGCGTTCTTGAAACTCTGAGAGGCAAGAAGCAAAATGTTCTTTCTCCATACCCAGGCACACTCCAGTCTGTGAAAAGGAAGCAAGAGAGGCAGGCTGCAAGTTTGATCACTGGGTGGCTGCTAGCCACCTCTCCCCCTCAGCTCCAAGAGCAGAAACAGGATGAAAACGCAGCAGCTGCCGGCTTCTGTCCTCTTGCCAGCTGCCTCTCTTGCAAGACTAGACAGGGAGGGGCAGCCGCCAGTCTCCGGAGGCACAGACTGCACAGAATTGAGGATCACTTGTTCCAATGCATTCATCTTATCTTACAAAATCTTCAAATTCCAAAAGCACACGTAAGAAGGGCTGCTGTTTCATTCACACAGTGAAATATTGTGCATCTGAAAGAATATGTAGATGGGTGGCATCTTCAACAACCCCAGGATCACAGACGTTTAAATTTCACCCCTTCTACTGCTGTAAGGCACAGCAGAAGGAGTGTAATTTAAACGTCTGTGATCCTGGCTGGGCGTGGTGACTCTTGCCTGTAATCCCAACACTTAGGGAGCCCAAGGTGGGAGGATTGCTTGAGCTCAGGAGTTCAAGACCAGCCTGGGCAACCTAGTGAGAGCTCATCTCTACAAAGATTTTTTTTAAAAAAATTAGCCAGGTGTGGTGGTGCACTCCTGTAGTCCCAGCTACTCAGCAGGCTGAGGCACGATGATCCCTTGACCCTGGGAGATCAAGGCTGCAGTGAGCTGTGATGGTGCCATTGTACTCCAGCCTGGGGAACAGAACAAGAACCCATCTAAAAAAAAAAAAAGAAAGAAAAGTTCATATTCCAACCAAGATCTCACCATTGCATCATCAAGCATAAACACCTGCCCCCACTGAAAAAGTACAGAGGAAGGCAGTCATATCATATCTTCCCTCCTGACCTCACCAAGTTCCAGGGCAGGAAGAGTCTCGCCACCCCAGCACACAGTAGGCCCACTGGAAAATGAGTGCTCCCTTCTCTAGGCATTTCATTGTCATGGTCATAAAGTCAGGTTCATTTTTCTAATGAAAGAGAAAGCCAAAAATGGAGGCTGATTTTTTTCTTTTTTCTTTTTTTTTTTTTTTAGTCTCACTCTGTCGCCAGGCTAGAGTGCAATGGTGTGATCTCGGCTCACTGCAACCTCCGACTCCCTGGATCAAGTGATTCTCCTGTCAGCCTATCGAGTGGCTGGGACTACAGGCGCCCACCACCACGCCTAGCTAATTTTTGTATTTTTAGTAGAGACGGGGTTTCACCATATTGGCCAGGATGGTCTCGATCTCTTGACCTCATGATCTGCCCATCTCAACCTCCCAAAGTGCTGGGATTACAGGCATGAGCCACCACACCGGGCCTGGAGGGTGATTTTGACCAGGCCTTCTCAAGTTTTGGAAGGAAGTGGAGCTCACTTCTCTTCTGTTGCTTTTGCCCACCCAGGATCACTTATTCCTCTGGGTAATACAGCACCCCAGGCACAGGGGCCGCCTGTCACATAAGCGTGGGCATGGCTCATGTGCGGCCAGGCCCCAGTGATTCTGCAAAGGTTGCCCATAAGTCCTTCCCCCGCCCCAGGACTGGCATATTGATGTGGTGGGATGGAAGCTGTCCTTCTGCTGGGTCTGCAGATGGGGGCAATGTAAAGCCTGACATTGCCGGATGATGTCAGAAGCAGAACCCATAGGCAAAAGCCAGCTTTCCAGCACTCCACTCTCAGTTTCCTGCCATCTCCACTTCTGTGGATGTGTGCCCGGCATCTGCCTCTGCCCCTGCCTCTGAGAGCAGTGACTGAGCAAACAGTCCTGGACCTGGTTGAAAGGATGGGCCTGTCTGTTTCTAGCAGAGTGGTCTTTCAGAAAGCTGATTCCTGAAAGTTGGCATCAAGGGAAGCAGAGCCAGGAGGTGGAAATTGAGACTGGGTCCCGCTATGCATGAAGCCAGAGACTCTTGGATTTCTCCGTTACTTGACCAGAGGAATGCCCCATTTTGCTCAAGCTAGTTGGAGTTGGATTTCTGTTACTTGAAACCAAGAGAGCCTTAACTAATACATAACTAGAAATGCATCCATGGTCACTGCCCATTCATGTGACAGACATTTATTGAGCACTATTCCAGTTACCTAATGTTGCATGAGTTACCCCAAAACTTAGAGGCTTAATTCAGTCGTATAAGATATTCACAGATCCCGTGGGTCAAGAATTTGGGAAGACACTGTAGGTTGAACTTTGTTCTCTGCTTTGTCTTTCTTGGAAAGAGAGGACACAGCTTGAAGTCATTACTGATTTGGGACTGTATGTAATGCATATCTGTGCTTCATTGTCACTGTGTTTTTAAGTTTTCTAAACTTAAAACAGCTCATTTTCGGGGGACATAAAGAACCTGGGAAGAGCTCAGCTGGGCAGCACTGACCTGGGGTCTCTTGAGTGGTGGAAGTCAGATGTCATCTGCAGCTGCACTCACCAGAAGGCTTGACCGGGGCGGGGAAATTCGCTTCCAAGCTGGCTCACTCACGTGGTGGCAAGCTGTACATGCTGGGGGCCAGGGGCCTCACCCCTCCCCACGAGGCTGCCTGAGCACCCTCACGCAAGGCAGTTGGCTTCCCGAGAGCCAAAGTGCAATGCCTGTTACGACCTAGCCCGAGAAGTCACACATCATCACTCACTTCCACCACTTCCCACTGGTCGCACAGAGCCAGCCTGATTCAGTGTGGGAGGGGACCACACACAAAGGCAGTGTGCATCCCTGGGGGCCATCCTGAGGCTGGCTGTGTACCACAAACACCCGCCACATGCCAGGGACTGGACACACAGCCTTTGACCCCCACTGAACATCAGCCTAAACAGAAGGCAACCAAGCAAACCTTATCCCCCAAACTCTTTCCAACTCCTCCCTTAGGACGGCCCCTGCTTTTAAGTAAAGGGAATCGTGCCGAATAATTGTTCCTATTAAGGAACTAGATCTCAGGGTTTGGTCATGCAGCTCTTTGGTTACAGAAACAACGCTGATGAAATAATCGAAGGTCCTCCACCATTCTCACCCCCAGCCATGACCCCGTCCACTGCACACAGTGCTCCACGTCACTGTGCCTTTCCTAACTTTACTACAGCTTATACCTGCCTCTCCTGTACAACATCCACGTGACATCCATCTCTAAACCTCTGAGTCATCCCTAGACAAGCTGGCATGTGACTACATCATCTCATTTCATACATCAAGGGCAGGAAAACATGGTGGTTAAGAACTCTTGGACCTGGGTTCAAACCCCTGCTCTGCCACTTGACAGCTGCAAGATTGTTCAGCCTCAGTTTCTTTCTCTGAAAAATGGGGCTGGAAGCATACCTACTTCATGAACTCATGAAGCATCCACATGCATGCAAGGGCACGGCACAGCGCCCGGCACACAGTAGCTCAAGAAAGGCTGGTTGTGCCTGCTGGTGTGCTTGATCCAGAGAGGCAATCACTCATTTGCTTTTTCCTTATTTCCTGAATCTTTGTTTCTCACATTTAGGCCATTAGAGTTAAGCAGAAGGACTGCCTCTTCCTCCAGCCATCTCACCAGTCCTTCCACATACACATGCACATACACACACACACACACACACACAAACACACACACACACACATTCTCATGCTACCTTCGGCCCTTCCCATCTCCTGTAACCCCAGAAAAGAAGACCGAGGTGAAGCCGTTGCCTTAGAATGGCACTGCCCTGGCCAGGTGTGGTGACTCATGCCTATAATCTCAGCACTTTGGGAGGTTGAGGCAGAAGGATCACTTAAGGCCAAGAGTTCAAGACCAGCCTGGTCAACATAGCCGAGACCCTGTCTCTACAGAAAAATCAAATCAAATAAAAAGCTTTTAATTAAAAAAGAATGGCACTGTCCTAAAGCTCCTGAGGTGTCCTCATCAAGGATTTATGGTTGTTTTTACGGCCACTTTAATAGGCAGAAATGTGCACAGAGCAGAGTTCCCCAAGAATCTGCCATCTTAGACCATTTTGTTTTTTAAATACCTCAGCAAACAAGTCTGTCTCATATGACTTTTGTCCCATTCCAAGTCTAATAACAGCCCGGGTGCGGTGGCTCACGCCTGTAATCCCAGCACTTTGGGAGGCCAAGGTTGATGAATCACCTGAGGTAGGGAGTTCAAGACCAGCCTGGACAACATGGTGAAACCCCGTATCTACTAAAAATACAAAAAATTAGGCGAGCGTGGTGGTGGGCACCTGTAATCCCAGCTACTCGGGAGGCTGAGGCAGGAAATCGCTTGAAACCGGGAGGCAGAGGTTGCAGTGAGCCGAGATCACGCCACTGCACTCCAGCCTGGGCCACAAGAGCGAAACTCAAAAAAAAAAAAAAGAATCTAATAACATTAATGTTTACTTCTCACAGGAGGATCAGAGGACTTCTGTCCTGAGATTGCCAGAAAAATGATGAACAGAAAATTATACACAACCGAACAGGCCCAACTTTCAAATGGACTGAGAATGACCCACACAAGTTCCACCGAGGCCAAGGGTGACCTGCAGCCAGCGACAGGGAAAGACTGCCACTTACTGGCGGCCTCCGGAACTGGAAGGAGTGTACTGACAATTGTATCTTTCGCAAGCTCTTAACCTTTATACCGTCAATAAAAACCCCATTAACATTTAAAAGGGATGTTTCTGGGTGTCCACTTGGAATAAGAGTTGGAAAACACTCCAAGAAATGGATTCTGTATTAATATCACATCTGTCCCAGATCTCCAACACTGTTCACTTTCCTTCCACGGTGCCAACACCAAGCTAGCTGATAGGTGGGAACAGGGCAGCTCTGCGGTTGGCCCCCAAGAGCCAGGGAGTCCCCCAAGCTGACCCCCTGGGGTGGCAGTGGCACCTAACAAGAACTTCCACCTTGTTTTCCCTCTCTCCGTTTTGTCCTTTTGGACTCTGCTCACGCATCACATCCAGAAAGTTCCCTAAGCTCTCCAGTGGGATGAGAACTCTGCTCTGTGCTCCTGTGGTCCTCCATGTTCCTCCACCTGGAGGCCCTCGGCTCCCTGCATTACCCCTGTCTACTTACTGACTTGCCTTCTACCCAGTGATGGGCCATGTGCTGTGAGGGCACACACTGTGTGCCCATCTATTCATTCCTCTGTGCGTGCGTTCATTCATTCCTTACTGAATGCCCACCAAGTGCCAAGCATTGGGGTACGAAGAACAAGGCAGACGGGGCCTCCCTGGCCTCTTCCAGCTCGCTGTAGAGTGTTGTCTACCCTACTCATCCTCACATACCCATGCCTGTCCTATGTGGCACTCAATAAATGTCGGATGGATGGATGTGTCCCCTCCTTCAATATCACTTAATTCACTTGATGACTTCCTGTGAGGATTAAGTTTAGCTGTTAAAATGCTGTGACTTCCTCTGGATCTCTGATGCAAGCCGGCAACCTTTAAGCCTCACCCGGCCGACGTAGGCATTTTGTTTGGCCAAAGTGTGTGGTTTTCTTAAAAAAACACTGCATTTGTGGCTAACATTTAAAATTGGGAAAATTTCACGTAAATCTTTGTTTTTCTGGCTTCTCTAGAAAAATGAACGCACATTTCTGCACAGCAGGGGTGAGCCAGAGCTGAGTCCCTAAGCTTCCCTTAGACGTGGTGGGCACACTTCAACTTGCCACAACCTCCACTATCTCCGATTTCTCTATCACTGACGCCAAAAGCTGCTGGGGACCATGTCGGCTGAGCTCGTGTTTTTCCTGCCCCAGCCAGCTTCACTCAGGACTCTGACTTGCTCTACATTTGGCTCAACTGAAGACCCCCGGGGGTTACGCGCATGTCATCCAAGAAATACATCTATGATGAGCTACAACACAAATGAATGGGCCATTTTATTGATTTTTACCTCCTAATAGTGGATACAGGTTGCTGTGGTTTCCAGCAGGATCTCAGATGCAAAGGGAAGTGAAGAAAACAGATGAATCCCTAGGGTACCCCGCCATGGAACCAAACACCACGTCAACTGGAACTCTCCTTGCAAACGAAGGCTGAAGATCAAGAATGACATTCTCACACCACAGCACAGCTTAAATACTTCTTTGACAAAAATAATAATAAATTATATTTGACTCAGAAAATAAATTCTGTTCAGCAGAGTGACAGGAGGGTCCATTCATTGCATTGCACGAGGGGCTCTACGGAGGGGTGAGGATGGGTGCAGGATGCCACAGTGACAAGGGACATGGGGTGCGGGCCCAGCAGCACAGGCTGAAGTTAGCTGACGCATGCTTTTGGCTTTTATCCCACGGGCGGGTAGTGGCCGGACCCCTGGCTGTGGCCTGTCCCAAGTGAGACTGCAACTGTCCCCTTCCTCCTCAAGTCCGCCTTGTCTTCTGTTTCTTGGCTTGTCTCTTTGCATCTTCTGGGCCGCTATTGTCAGAGGCTGCCTGGCCGAGCGCGCGGACTCCCTGTAGCCGGCTTGTCAACTGCAGCAGCAAAGGAATGAGCTAGAAAAGAGAGAAAGTGTGAGAGAGAGGGGTACAAAGAGGAGGCTTTTGCCAGATGAACAGCGGAGCCTCACTTCTCAACACACCTTCTTCAGACATGATCAGCAGCTGCCACGTGCTAATGGGTGGGTTTCAGTTCAAACGAGGCAGGCCTCTTACTAATGAGTCCCCAGGGATGGGCTGGCCTCTCTCCGGGCCTAATATGTCCCTAGAGGTGTTCCAGGTTTAAGGATTAGGAGATGTTACAGAAGTTTACAGCCTTGAAAGGAGACCTAAGTCTGGACTTGAGGCCTTCACGGGCCCTCCCGACCCGGAAATGTGATTTCTGTGACCCTGGACATCCCTCTGCTATCACTCCTGCAGCTGTGAGGACTCGCTCTCCCTGACATGCCCGCCATCTCCTGAGGCCTCTGGATTTCCTACCTTGTCATGGTTGTAACCGGCCAGCAGAACCAGCAGCGTCAATGGCAGGGCAATGTAGGATCCTTGTGCGATGTCCTGTTCAGGCAGCTTCCTCTGCAAACACCGAGAGCCCCATCACTCCTCACCAAGGCCACACGATTGTCCATCATCCACAATGCCACAGCCACCACCCACCCAGCCTTCCAAAGTGGCCACTTGAGGACACCCAGGGGCCCTCATGATCCAAATTCCTTCTATCCAAAGGAAGGAACCAAAGTGATTTGGATATATTTTCCCATGAATCCTCTTCTGCCCAAAGCTTCACTATTTGCTTCTGAAACTCAGGGACAAAGAGATTCCAATGACAAGGCATTCCTCAGCCTCTGGACCCTCCTCCCAACTGAGGAAATGAAGAGATGCAGCTATCAGAGAGTCTTGGTGGTTGAAAAGCAACTGGGTCTCAGTTTGTTGAGTCCCAGCAACATGCAGGGACTTAGTCCTACAAGGATGTATCAAGAACCTACAGTTCTAGACCCAGGGCACACAGTGATGGGCAGCTATTCCCAGCCAGTACGGTCTAGTGAGGAAGCAAAGCAGGCACTGCTACTAGCATCCCTGTGGCCATTCTCCCTTTCTCCCAATAGAACCCCCAACTTTTATCTGGGCCACCGACAATATAGATCACCTTTTCCAGCCTCCCCTGCAGCAGGCGCAGCCCTGGAACTAAATTTTGGCCAATGGTACAGGAACAGAAGCGGTAAGTGCCACACCCTGGCTGGACCCTAGGGAAGTGGTGTGCCCTCCCTTTTGCTGGGCAGACAGCATTTGGCCAATTGCCCCATTTTGGAGAAAAGCAATGCACTGGAACAGCGCAATGAGACAGAAGGGGCCTGGGTCCCCTGACGCCTTGGAGCTACCAGACTATCTCTGCACTGGTCACTCCTGGACACTTGACATGAGACAGACATTTCCATCTTGCTAAAGCCCCTGAAATGCTGGGTTCTAAAGCATCAAGTGAACCTATATCCCATTGGCCCACTCTACTCTCATAAAGGAAGCAAATAAATGGAAGGAGAACTTCCCAATAATGATAAAAACAAGTTAATGAGCCAGAGCAGTGTTCTCAGTGTAGGATACCGGGACTCCTCTCGCAGAGGTTCCCGAGGCCACAGCTATTTTCAGCCAATAGTAAGATGTGATGTGCCTTTTCCGCCCTCTTTCATTCGCAAGCGCACAGTGGACTTTTCCAGAGACTACGCACCCTGATGTCATCACGCCCACAGCTAACGGAATGTGTAGCTTGTGAGTTCTTGCGTTTTCAACATCTCGGTTTTAATTACTAATATGATAAATATACACAGAGATAATCCATGCAAACTCAAACTCTTTAAAATCCTCAATAATTTTTAACAGTATAAAGGGGTCCTGCAACCAACCCATCCGAGAACTGCTGGGCTAGAGAGTGACTGTGGGCGCCGCTGTACCTGGGATGCCCTTTCATAAATGAAAGAATAAGGGCAGGAACAGATTTCCATCAACAACTGCCTACTCCTGTATCTTTGGACATCTCTTAGAACCCAACCCATTTTTCCACTGAAGTAAACACTTACTTAAAAGTTTAATTCAGGCCAGGTGCAGTGGCTCACGCCTGTAATCCCAGCACTTTGGGAGGCTGAGGTGGGCAGATCACCTGAGGTCAGGAGTTTGAGAACAGCCTGGCCAGCATGGTGAAACCCCGTCTCTATAAAAATACAAAATTAGCCAGAAGTGGTGGTGCATGCCTGTAATTCCAGCTACTCAGGAGGTGAGAATCACTTGAACCCGGGAAGCAGAGGTTGCAGTGGGCCAAGATCGTGCCACTGCACTCCAGCAGGGGCAACAAAGCAAGACTCTGTCTCAGAAAAAAATAATAATGAATAAATAAATAAAAGTTTAATTCAGCAGGAATTAGAGTGATTCAGTCTAGGCTCAGGTCCCAGGCCTCACTGGGTAAACTCAGGCAACCACGTTGAGACTCAGTTTACTCAACTATGACATGGAGATCATATGAACAACACCCACTGGGGGTGGATGCTGTGAAACTTGATGAAAGGAGTATGTGAAATGCTCAGCAGGGCATGGAATACTGAGTAAAATCCAGTCGCGAGGCTGTGGGCAGTCACATCAACAAAGAAGGAAACCAATGTGCTTACAAAGCCCCCGTGAACGTGCAAAGCTGAGCCACTCATCACGCGGAGGGCAGAACGAGGTGGAAACCATGTGGCTTGAGACAAAC
The DNA here is from genome assembly GCF_000001405.40 of Homo sapiens. NCBI lineage: Eukaryota > Metazoa > Chordata > Mammalia > Primates > Hominidae > Homo > Homo sapiens. The sequence goes on along the minus strand of NC_000016.10, from coordinate 14,892,836 downwards.
CGCCTCACTTGAGTCCTGGTTCTGCTAACACTCAGTAAGTGACTCAATCTTTCTGGGCTTCTGTGAAAATGGGAGGAATGGCACACCTGCTCGAAGGCTTGTTGTGAGGATCAACCTGTGAGGGCCCTGTACGGGGTGGCACAGAGTGGGCGCTCTCTTCATTCAACACTTGGCCCTGCTCGGGAATCCAAGCCCCAGCAGGCATAGCTTTTTTTTTTTTTTTTTTTAATTATACTTTAAGTTTTAGGATATATGTGCACAATGTGCAGGTTAGTTACATAGGTATACAGGAAGGGGAACATCACACACCAGGGCACAGTTTCTTACATTCTCAGAAGTGACAGGCAGCAGCTACGAGGCTGGGCTGCTTGGCCACCACCAAGCAGTGTCTCCACATTCCTGCCACTGGCTCCCAGGTGTGTCCCTGAGCCCGGATGAGTTGTCTGCTAGGGGCCCCTGAGAATGTCACTGCCTGCAGCTATCAACGGCCTTCACAGAAGCCTCTCCCAGCAACTGGGGCCACAGTGCAGCCCCAAGCAAAGGTAAGTGGTTCTTGTATATGCTTATCTTTCTGGCACTTTCTTTTTTTTTTTTGAAACAGTCTTGCTCTGTCGCCCAGGCTGGAGTGCACTGGGGCTATCTTAGCTCACTACAAACTCTGCATCCCAGGTTCACAATTCTCCTGCCACAGCCTCTCGAGTAGCTGGGATTACAGGTGCGTGCTACCACGCCTGGCTAATGTTTGTATTGTTAGCAGAGATGGGGTTTCACTTTCACCACATTGCCCAGGCTGGTCTCGAACTCCTGACCTCAAATGATCTGCCCACCTCAGCCTCCTAAAATGCTGGGATTACAGGCGTGAGCCACCACACCTAGCCCTCTCCGGCACTTTCTAACCAGGTCTCTACTGTGAGTAACAAGGAAGTGTTTCCTCGTGGGTCATGAGAAAAACTCTCTTGTTCAGGTAAGATCATATTTACAGGCTCACTGAGCATGAATCACTCTTCACAGAAGCCCGGAATCAGCAGCAGAGCTCTGCTCAAGCCCTAGCACTGCTCCACGTGAGCTGGTGACCTTGGGCTGCTCACATCTCCTTCTAGGTTCCCATCTTCTCATCTCTAAATGAAAGGTAATTCCTGTCCACCTTCCATGCAGGATGGCGTTTGAAAAGCATGAAATGGTAACTGGATAGCATGTGGAAAAAGACAATCTGGAGCCATACTTCACATCTATACCAGGAAAAACTCCAAATGGATAGAGAGATTTAAATGTAAAAACAGAAACTATAAAAGTCTGCCTGAAAAAAACACAATAAATTCCTGTAAAAGCTGGGAATGAAGAAAACCTTCCTATGACTCTAAAATCCAGAAGCAATAAGAAAAAAATCAACACATTTAACATAGAAATAAAGTAAATCTTTGCAGAAACCAAGTGAAAAGATAAATGACAAATTGGGAAAAATATGTACAACAAACATTACAAAGGGTTAATATTCCTAGTATACAAAGAGCTGAAAATGGTTGAAAAAGACCAAAAATTCTATAGAAAAATAGGTTAAATAGTTCACAGAAAATACAAATGGCTCTTAACCACATGAAAAGAGAGAAATGCAATTAGAAGTACACTGAGATAATATCACTTCTCATCTATAAGCCTGCAAAAATTGAAAAATTTGACAAAATACTCTGTTGGGGAAAAAAGGGTACTCATTCACTGCTGGCGGGAATATAAAACAGTAAAACCCCCATGGATGGGAAGTGGCCGTATCAATCAAAATTCCGTATGCATTTACCCTTTGACTCAGCAATTCCACTTCTGGGAGTCTATTCCAAAGAGAGACTGACGAACACTCAAAAACATGCATGCGTAAGGCAATTCATTAAAGGGTTATGTGTAATAGCAGAAAACCAGTAACAACACAAACGCCCCTCAACCAGGGGCTAACTGAATATCCTACATGTAGTGCCAGGATCTGAATGTGTCTGTGCCTACGTAATTCATAGGTTGAACCCTAATCCATAATGTGATAGTGTCAAGAGGACACCCTTTTTAGGAGGTGATTAAGTCAGGGATTAATGCCCCGTAAGAGTGGCCTGAGGGAACTTGTTTGCCCCTTTCCGCCTTGTGGGGACACAGCTAGGTGGCACCATCTATGAAGCAGACAGCAAGCCCTCGCCAGACCCCAAATCTGCCAATGCCTTGATCTTGGACTTCCCAGCCTCTAGTACTGTAAGAAATAAATGTTTGTTGTTTATAAGTTACCCAGTCTAAGATACAAAATAGCAGCCCAAATGGCCTAAGACACACGGTATATCCACACAGAGGAATGCTGTGTCGTTATCAAAAAAGGAAAAAGGAGGATCGGAGGATATTGTTCCACTTACAGTTACATTTTTTGAAAACAATAAAGTTCTTATTCTGCCCACTGAAAAGGCCTAGAAGCAACAACCAACACAGTAGCTATGAGGCCAGATTTTTGTTTTTAATGCAGACTCCTGTGCTACACTTTCACCCCGTCAAGTTCAGAATCAGCAGTCCTGAGGCTGAGCCCTGGACTCTGTTTTTGCTATTGCTGATGTGTCTGTTTAATCATCAGGTGACAATACTGCATCTGAGCTTTAGGAATCACTAAACAATTTTATCAAGAAGGTAAAAGATACGTGTATGTTTTGTTTGTTCCACTGTTCCAGCCTATCGGATACAGGACAGACCGTATGCAACAGATACACATATTGCAAATAGTAAGGGCCACATATTGCAATGAATTAAGCGATAAGTTAAGTTTCTTTTAACCCACAGGTATTCTGTCCATCTGTTGTTGGTTTTTTTTTCCTTGCAATTTATTTGTCAAACAAATCAGGCTCCAGGTGGTTGTCCTGCATCCCTGTGGAGTCATTTGCGTGCTCCTGGGTCCTCCCTATTTCCTGTAAAGTAGCAGTTGGTTCTAGAGGTTTGCGTGGCCATGTACCATGTGCTCCCTCATGGAGAAGCACACGCCACACCAGCGATAGTGGTGTCCCTCCTCCCCCAAAATCATTCCTGAGCCACCGATCTAAACAATTACACTGCTCTTATTACCAGTTTCCTCCTCAAAGGGAATCGCAGGCATCAGTGCTCAGAAAAGCTAAAAACAATCTGGGGAAGCCCAGAATCCAGAAGGCAGAATGAGAAAGTGACCCAATGCCAGGAGCCCTTTAAATATCTGCCCTGCAACCTGCGATCTGGAGCACAGGTTGTATGGACATGCCTTCTTTCGCCACCCCATGGATTGTTTGGTTTTGTTTTGTTTTGTTTTTTTTCTTCTGGAGAAAGGGTCTCACTCTGTTACCCAAGCTGGAGTGCAGGGGCATGATCATGGCTCATCGAGGCCTCAACCTCCCAGGCTCAAGTGATCCTCCCACCTCAGCCTCCCGAGTAGCCGGGACTATAGGTGCGTTCCACCACGCCCGGTTAATTTTTGTATTTTTTGTAGAGTTGGGGTTTTACCGTATTGCCTAGGCTGGTCTGAAACTCCTGGGCTCAAGAGATCCACCAGCCTTGGCCTCCCAAAGTGCTGGGATTACAGGCGTGAGCCACCAAACCCAGCCCATGGGTTTTTTTTTAACTCCCTCTTTTACTTACCGTGGGATTAAAAATCAAGGTGATGTGTTTATGGTAGCCCACTGCGGTGAAAGAAACTTGAGGCAAGATGTAGTCATACTGGGATCTGGGGAGTGTGGAGTCCAGAAGCACAACATAGTTCTGTGCACACATGGGAAGAAGTTATTTTTACAAGGACAGCTCTGGCAAAGCAAATGAAAACTAAAACCTAACGTATGGCTGTGATGTAAAGAACTTTATGTTTTTAAAGAAATCCCCAAGACTACACATCCAAACCAAGGTTGCTGCCTTCAAAGTATCAACCTCAGCGGGCTATTCCATCAGTGGCGGGCATGTGTCCCCAGTGTCTCTGAGACTGTGGCTTCTGATAAGGCTGTCAGAGCCTGCAGCCTTTTTATGAGTACCCAACCTTGACAATTACGGTCCTCTGAGGATCTGACTTTATGAAACACAAAAAATTATTATGAGCCAATTCTGATGAGGGAGGTACGTGATACAACTGAGGATCCACAACGGGGCTGACTTCAAAGGGACGATGCTTGAGAGGCTCGTAAGCTGGCAAATCCTAAAAATACAGCATCCCTGGAACGGCACCAGGGGCAGCCACAGCTCTGTGTGCTGAGCACCGACCAGCTGCCAGGCACCATGCACATTGCATGAGACCCATCACAGCTCTGTGTGCTGAGCACCGACCAGCTGCCAGGCACCATGCACATTGCATGAGGCCCGCGGCTGCTTTGCTTTCTACCACTGGCAAGGTCGGGATCATCACCCCGTCTTATAGACGAGGAAAGTCAAGCACGAAGAGACTAAGAGTAACTTGCCCAAGGTCACTCAGCTAAGAAGGCTGCCACACATCTATGAAGGCTCTGAACTCAGGGGAAGTGTGACCCCAAAGCCCAAGATGTTTCCGCATCGCTGTAGGAAGTGACTATTTCAACACCCCTGGAGAAAGAGGAGGAGAAAATTCCGTGACAGCCTGTTTCATTATTTTGCAGCCATTTTCCACAGAGAAAGGCCAGAGTAGATCATCTTCACGGCAGGTGGTAAGGAGCCAGGAGAGGAAACGTCACCCTCTAGGCTCACACTTGACATCCTCAGGCTAAGACCACCAGAAAAGAACCAAATTCTTTGCAAAGTTTGCACTCCCCACACCAACTACAAGTTAGCTCTGTCCAAATAGAATTGATAATAAGCACTTTATAATCAGTAAATGACGGCCAGAATAATGGCTGAAAACTTCCCAGTTCCAAGGAGGGAGACATCCAGATTCATGGAACCCAAAGGACACTGAAAAGGTGGAGCTGCAAGTGTTCTACACGACACACGTTATAATCAGATTATCAAAGACAGAGAGAACGTTCAAAGCAGCAAGAGAAAAGCAACTCATCTCATTCAAGGGATCCCCCATCATGAGGAAACTGTATTTCCTTAAACTCAATAGCAGAATGTTAAATAGAGGAATTTTTAAAAATTACAAGGCATTTTTAAAAGTGGACTTCTTAGCAGGAAAGCATGGGGTGATATGTTCAAAGTGCAAGAGTCGATCATGCCCAACAGTAGGCCTTGGTTAAATAAATCATGGCGTTTCCTAGTTTATGGACTACTGTCCATAAAAATCATAGTATGAAAGATTTGGCCAGGCACGGGGGCTCACGCCTGTAATCTCAGCACTTTGGGAGGCCGAGGCAGGTGGATCACGAGGTCAGGAGATCAAGACCATCCTGGCTAACATGGTGAAACCCCGTCTCTACTAAAAATAAAAAAAAAAAAGAATTAGCCGGGTGTGGTGGCACACGCCTGTAGTCCCAGCTACTTCGGAGGCTGAGGCAGGAGAATGGTGTGAACCCAGGAGGCGGAGCTTGCAGTGAGCCCAGATTGCGCCACTGCACTCCAGCCTGGGCGACAAGGCGAGACTCCGTCTCAAAAAAAAAAAAAAGAAAGATTTGATGATGAGGAACAGATTTGTGATAAATTCTTCATTGAAAAGCACGGATTACAAAACAATGTACAAAACAGTGTCAGTTTTGAATTATTAAAATAAATGTCTATTTATATTTATACATGCATGCGCACACGTGCCTGAAAAAAGACCCAAAGGATACCAATCACCGTGTTAGCAGTGGCTATTTCTGGATGATGGGCTTATGTCTTCTTTTTCCCAAAATCTCCTGCCATGAATATGTATTCTTTTTGTAAACAGAAAAACAATGAAGAAAAAATAATCCCTACAGAACCCAACCTCTTTTGATTCAGAGAGCGTATTTCTGCAGAGTGGTATTTAGGGAGAAAAGGAGAGAACTGTGCTTCCTTAAACTAAACAGCAGAATTATTAAAACAAAGGCAGAAGGTAGAATCCGGCCACAGGCATTACCTCGCCGTCTCTGAGCAGTGGGGGGAAATGGAAGAACAGGGACTGGCCAAGGGAAACTGTCTGGATTGGATTGTCGAGGTTTTCGCTTTTGTAAAGCTTGACCTGGAGGGAGAAACAAAGTCAGACATGCTTTGAAACTGAAACACAATCAATATTTCATAGCAGACATCCTCAGGACAGCCGCTTTCTGGGTGGGTGTCTTTGGAAACATGGATATTTGAAAAAGAAAGCTCCCTCCATAGACATCACACATCCCTCTGTCATCTGAGACTCCATCCAGTTATGTATCATGCACAGAAATTAAGATTCAAATCAGATTCTGACTACCCATGTTCTTGCTCAAAATAGTAATATAAGTTAATATAATAGTAATATTAAAAATAGCTTCTAACACGTGTTGAACATCTGTAATATGCCAGGCAGGCGCCAGATATTTTATCTACATTATCGCCAATCCTGACTACAAAACAGGTATTGTTATTATCCCTATGGAGACCCAGAGAGCCAAAGTCACCTAAGGTCACACAACTTACACATGGTAGAGCCTGGGACTCAACCCCCTGACGACTCCTGAGGGTCCTTCCCGCCTTGCACTGCCTCATCATATGATGTCACCTTAACTCCACCAATCTGTTAAACTCAAAACGCATTCCATCATGTACGTGGCTCTCCACGCTGCTTCAGGAGGCACTGGAGTACTTTGTTTCTGGCTTTATTTCTGGGGTTCTTGCCTGTTCTCACTCCCACACGGCATGGGGCATGAGCAGGGTTAAGGTGCAGCCCTGGCTGATGGCAAAGGCTGTGAGGATGCCACAGTGCACCTGCCGCAAGAGAATGCCAGGACCACCTCCCTGGGCCCACACTGGCACCTTTCTACATAACACACAAGGGGAATTTTCCTAAAATGAAAGTCACAGACTGAAGGTTATGGGTCGCATTGAAGATCCCTTATGTGTTCTTTTTTCTTCTATAACATCTTAAGTAAATCTGAATTCACCGACTATATTTAAAAATCAGGTGATTTCAAATAATTCTAATTTCCAGCTTCTCCGGAAAACTGGGAAGTGACACCAACCCTGAGCCTCAATTCTAGCACAGCAACACTCAGGAGCAAGAGAGTGGCGCCCTCCCCTCCTCTCTGCCTCTTCCCCTCCCCTGTGCCACTCATGGATGGGGCAGGAGTTCCCCAGTTTGCCCCCCACCCTACCCAACCCTCTGCACTCTCTGACATTACCTGCCTGGTCCCTACAAGCACACGCCTGCAAGCCCTGAACAGAGTGGACTAAAGCGCACACACACTTTCTCACCCATGCCAAATACTTAACTGCTTATAAAATTACAAGTGCATCTTAACAATGTACCCCCAGAGCAAATCACTAACATCCGTAGAGGGTCTGCAGGGTATTTTATAAACATTTCTTCATTAATGGTAACATGGAGATTTTGTTAGAGCTGAACAAGATTATAAGAGGTCTCTGAGTCCAAAATCTAGGTTTTGCAGAGGACGAAGTCGAGGCATGTGGAAATGAAGTGACTGGCCCAGGCAGCAAGGTGAGTCACTACTGGAGACAAGAGAAAGCCCAGACCACCTGCTCTCCAGCCCACCGTCCACCACCTCTGATACTGTTTGGATATTTGTCCCTGCCCAAATCTCATGTTGAATTGTAATCCCCCGTGCCGGAGGTAGGGCCTGGTGGGAGATGATCGGATCTTTGGGGTGGATCCCTCGTGGCTTGGTGCTGTCTTCGTTATGAGTCCTGTGAGATCTGATCATTTAAAAGTGTGTGGCACCATGCCCCAACTCTCTCTTTTGCTCCAGCTTCTCCCACATGACATGCCTGCTCCCACTTCACCTTCTGCCATGATTGGAAGCCTCCTGAGGCCTCCCCAGAAGCAGACACCACTATGCTTCCTGTACAACCTACAGAACGAGGAGCCAATGAAACCTCTTTTGTTATAAATTATCTAGCCTCAGGCATTTCTTTAAACCAATGCAAGAACATTTAATACGACCTCCACTCCAGAGAAAATTTTAAGTTACAAGGCGCTTTCTTTAAAATTGGCTTTCCACGTTAGATTCCATATTGTATTGATCATTGATCAGGCTTCTACTATAATTCTTTGGAAGATTAACTGATGGCAGACAGTTATCTGAAACTGGACCACATTCTCTCCCACAACTGGCAATCACTCTCCCAAATACGTGTTGTGGTCCAAGGTTCTTAAATCTCAACCTCAACCCTCAGCAGGCGGCGCTCTGGAGCACCTCCACCTGTCACACCTAAGGCACGAGACAGGCACAAACCCAAAAACATCCCATTCGTACTTGTCTCAAAGCCAAAGGGAACACAATACTTGGAGCTTAAAAGTCTGGACTTACCCATAATGTAGGAAGGTATTCAGAGGAAGTGATCACATTTCCACTTAAATCAAATTGATTAATCTGCCGGAAAACTATGATGTTTACATCATCGATGTCATTATTCCCAACCTAGAGAGAGAAAGAGGGAATACCAGTAATGAGAAAGCTGGTGGAGGAACTTCTATGCCAGCTGTCCGATGGCCTGAGAGCTGCTTCATGGCAAACTTTGCTTCTTACATTAAGGAAGCGAAGTTTGTCATTGAGTACCCTACGTCCAAGGTCACAAACTGACAGAAGATGGCTATCCCTGGCCCATAGACACATTTCATTTCGAAAGCACAGTATTTTTTTTCTACGTTTGAATTACTTGCCAACATGTTAAAAATTAGGAAATTTCATATATGAAGCCAGATTTTCCAGCTTCTCTTAAAAAAAAAAGGAGAAGGATGCTCTTGCCTGTTAGAGCAGGGGCATGTCCCTGGCCCATAGACACATTTCATTTCGAAAGCACAGTATTTTTTTTCTACGTTTGAATTACTTGCCAACATGTTAAAAATTAAGAAATTTCATATATGAAGCCAGATTTTCCAGCTTCTCTTAAAAAAAAAAGGAGAAGGATGCTCTTGCCTGTTAGAGCAGGGGCAGAGTCACAGCACCCCCTCTGCGTGAGGTCTGTACATGGAGTTTGCGAGATCCCAGAGGGCCGGCCCCCTTCCCTTTCATACCTGCCCGGCCACAGTCCACATTATGCTAGTGATCCTGGCCTAAGTTACTACACCGAGAACATGCAAAGCATTTTGGTGTGAGATGCAGTCATCCCAGCCATTTAAAATGCCAACACCGTAAAGACGTCAAGGAAATCCACTTCCGGCCCAGTGCGGTGGCTCATGCCTGTAATCCCAGCACTTTGGGAGGCCGAAGCGAGCAGATCACCTGAGGTCAGGAGTTCAAGACCAATCTGGCCAACATGGTGAAACCCCGTCTCTACTAAAAATACAAAAATTAGCCGGGTGTGATGGTGTGTGCCTGTAGTCCCAGCTACAGGCTGAGGTGGGAAAATCACTTGAACCCACAAGGAGGAGGTTGCAGTGAGCCGAGATCACGGCACTGCACTCCATCCTGCGTGACAGGGTGAGACTCCGTCTCAAAAAAAAAAAAAAAGAAAAAGAAAAGAAAATCCACTTCCTAGGTCAAAAGTTCTATCCTCCCTCACAATCTTCATGCATAATGAAGCCACCTAAATAAAGCCACTAAGAGGCAGCCCCTCTTACCCTACCTAAGCCCTCTAGTCTTCCCAATGAGAGTTACTCAGTAAGAGAAAAGCCTTACTTCAAATGATTCCCAGGCCACATTCTGTGACTCGAAGGATGTCCTCTTTAGGGATTAATTTAGCTAGGTCATGATCTTGAGTATCAAAAGACTCTGCCCACAAAATGGGAGCAGGAAAAAGGTCATCTGAACCTAAGATAACTGCGTGGCCCTGCCACCCATTAAGCCCATGTTCTATTATTGTCCCTTGATTTGAAATGCTGCTTAGGCCTTAAGTTCCTTAACTTGCAGAATAATGATCAGAGCTTACAGGGCAAGTCGCGGGGAGGATACAACAGTTCCAATTTCCTTTCTGGATGCATGACAGCAACGCTGTTCATTAAAAACCCACATAAGATGCTGCTTGTGAAGATGACACTATTCTAAGAGGACCCTTAATTAGGATGAAAGTTCCCCCCGCCACAGATGAAAGGCAGACAGCCAGAGGAGACGGGAGGACTTCTGATCAGGGAGGCACCCACACCCAGGTGCAGCGGCAGCACTGAATGCCTTACCTCAATCACCCTATGGTGGGGGAGCGCCCGCTCAATGTGGTCGTTGCCTTCTGCCTTGAGCTGAACGTGGTACACACATCCCGGCTGCAAAAAAACTCAGGAGTCAGCTCTCTAGAAAGGGGGCTTGTCGTATCGTGCCTGGTCCAAGCCTGGTTTGGCTGCACGAGATCATTAAGACAGGAGCATTTCTCTCCCCTCATTTCCTAATCTGTGGCCTGTTAACCTTAAGAGTCCAGAGTTCCTTTAAGAACACCCCTAGTGTTGAAACATCTGAAATTTTGCGACTCCTTCCATCCCAACTCAGTTTCATTTTCTCCTACCCCAAAATAAATCAAATTTGGTTTCTTATTTCAAAATTCCAAGCATACTATGTGCTCTTACTCTTCTAAGATGTTTTTCCTCTCCATCCACCCCTCCCCTCTACCCGTATATACACATTGATGGATATCTGGAATGTCCACCATAAGCATTCCCAAATGCTTGTGTTGGGTATTATTTCTGGGAAGTGGGAATTTCTGACTTCTCTTTTTAAAATTTCAAGGATCTGGCAACCCTGACTCTGTCTTCCCCCATGGCTACAATAAGCTGGAACCAAGTGACAGGCTGTCCCTTTCCACAGGCCGTGCCCACTCCACAGCCCTCACCACTCCCTATCATTTCGCACAGCCTCCTCTCCCCCGTTCATACTGCTCTTCTGGCTCCATAGGCGTTTGGCTTGAGCCCTGGCGTAAGCCATGGCCACACACTGCTAGGGAAAAGCCCTACCAAACCCATGGTTTTCCAACTCCATTGTGCCACAGATCCTTGATCTGACCTGTTGGCTAGAAAAAAGGCAAACTCTACCAATTAAAGGTAAGAACTGGGAGGGCTCCAGAGCCCCACCCCCAGCCCTCTCGCCCAACCCACTCCTAGCAGTCTTGGGGCCACCACAAGATACTTCTGGACACAGGATGAAAAAAAAGTCCCCAAAGAAAACCCATTCCAAGTCTCACCAGCAATCCACGTAATCTGAACTTGCCCTCTTCGTCTGTCACGGTGTCTTCTCCGTAAATGCTGCAGTCGTTCTGGCCCACCGCTTCCATGGCAACCCCTTGTTCGGGCTCTCCGTTTAAGGAAGACACTGTGCCATAGCAACTAGTATGGCAAGAACAGGCACGAATGAGATATTCTCATGGTTATCTGAAGGACCCAAGTGTTTCCCGTTTACCAACAATTATGGGGCAAAATAGTTCAGGGGATAACTGTGCCTCAATGACCCAGGCAACTCAGTGTGGCCGGCCCACTTCCAAACCACACCTTCCTGCCGGAGGGATAAGCTGCCATCAATTTCTTTTCTCATACATTTTGAGGGATGCTCTGGAAAATTGTAATTTAAGAAGGCTAAAGCTTTATTTTATTCTTTCTAGGCTTTATTTGAAATAATGGAGCTTTCAATAACATGGAAATAACTCACTTCCTCTTTCACTCCATATATTCAGTAGAAAATGGTCCATTTTTCTAAACCCAATCTTTCCAATTACTCTTCCTCTAAAGTGATTCTGTATAAGTCTACAAAAAATACACATATATGTGTGTATCTGTGTGTATACATGTATATATGTATGCATCTCTCTATCTATAGATGTGTATCTTTTTTATTTTGTATTTTTATTTTTTTGTAGAGACGGGGTCTTGCTATGTTGCCTAGGCTGGTCTTGAACTTCCAGACTCAAGAGAACTTCCCACTTCAGCCTCCAAAAGTGCTGGGATTATAGGTGTGAGCCACTGTGCCTTGCCAGACACTCATGTGTATCTATCTATCTACAGCTGGGAGCATTCAGAAAAACTGGAAGTACTGGTTGTCTCCCAGAAGAGGAACTTGGGTGGCTAGGAGACGAGACAGAGGGGAAATTTTACACTATACTCTTTTCAGCATTTTGAAGTTTTATTCAACTGAGCACATTTTCTCCTTTTAATAATTTAATTCAGGTTTGAAACTCTTTTAAAAAATAAAAGTGGCCAGGCGCGGTGGCTCACGCCTGTAATCCCAACACTTTGGGAGACCGAGGCAGGCAGATCATCTGAGATCAGGAGTCCGAGACCAACCTGGCCAACAAAGTGAAATCTTGTCTCTACTAAAAATAGAAAAATTAGCCATGCATGGTGGCAGTCCCAGCTACTTGGGAGGCCAGGACAAGAGAATTGCTGGAACCCAGGAGGCAGAGGTTGCAGTGAGCCAAGGCTGCGCCATTGTACTCCAGCCTGGGCAAGAAGAATGAAACCCCGTCTCAAAAAATAAAAAATAAATAAAAGCTTTTAGCAACTCAATAGGCTCTCTCAAGCCAATTCCAAAATAGGAAATTTGAGACTGAACCACCAGGTTGAGCTCCTAGGAGAGAAGGGCAGCAGTCAAAACTCCTTTGCCCTCATATCTCATCTCCCTTCCCTCCCAAGTAAAATCAGTGTGAAGCCTGGGATGCGTTTCCAGGCAACAGAGGCCTGAATGTGATTCACCAGCCCAGCCCTGGAAGAGAGTGGGGTGGCCAGGGCACTTACCTGTAAGCGGTTCGGTACCCCGTGATGGTGATCTTCAGGTTCTGGCCTTCCTGCACCTCGATCATCTGTGAGGATGGCTCAAACCGGAACTCCTTCATCATGGGTTTGAAGTAATACTGGCCAGGGCTCTACCAAGATAATCACACTGAGCCTCAGCAGCCACATCTAGGCATGGCTTAAAAGTGAGGGGCGAATGTCACGATGGACCAGAATTACACCAGGGGAGCGCCATGGCTTCCCTGGCAGCCAGAAATAGTAACCCTCTCTCTATAATCACCACTCACAGTCAGGTAGTGGCAATCACAACTCTAACAACGGCAGCTGATGGTATCACCTGCCTGCAATGACTCAGAGAGGTAGAAGTCATATTTAATTTTTCTTTTCTTTTTTTTTTTTTTTTTTCTGAGACAGGGCCTGACTCTGTCCCCCAGGATGGAGTGCACGATCACAGCACACCGTAGTCTCAACCTTCTGGGCTCAAGCAAATCTCCCACCTCGGCCTCCTGAGTACCTGGGACCACAGGCATGCACCACCATGCCCAGCTAATTTTTTTATTTTTTGTAGAGATGGGGTCTTCCTATGTTGCTGGTCTCAAACTCCCAAGCTCAAGCGATCCTACTGCCTCACCCTCCCAAAGCGGTGGGATTACAGGCGTGGGCCACCATACCTGGCTCATATTTGAATTTAATGAATAAAGAAACTGAGGCTCAGAGAGGCAAAGTAACTTGCCTGATAGGACACAGCAAGTAAGGAGCAGTCTGCATCACTGCAAAGTGGTGTCTTCAGATGCCCCCGCTGCCCGGTCTCCAGTAGCCCCACCACAGCCACTTTGTCACCATGACTGACAAGATGACCAACTAACACACACTTCCTGAATCCCCACCAGTCAGGGCCTCCGACTGCATCTTGAAAGAAAAACTGCTGCTCTCTTCCCACCAAGTGGAATGTCTTTTCAGAAGAAACGCAAGCTAACCACCAAACAAGACTCAGCATCATAAGCATGATTCCGTGGCAAAACGAGAAGATGCCTAAGAGAGCAGCCGTTGTGGCCAGGGAAATTAATTACACTGTCTTAGTGACAAGTGGGTGATCAGAAAACAAGAAGCGCGTGTGGAAGGGAACATGAATCAGCAGCATTAAGTTCGAGTAAGAGCAATACTCTAATGACCGTGGGCCCCCAAGAAACTGAAACCACTCCACATTGGCTTTCTCTTCTCACGTTGTCAAGCAACACGTAAGTCTCGCATGCTGCATCCTGGCTCTCTCTCAGGGAAGACAGGCAGGTGGTAAATTGCAGAACACGTTACCAGGTTTGAGAATGTCAGAATGCCGTTGTCCTGGGTCAAGAGGTTGGAACGAAACAGGCCACCGCTCAGGGATAAGAGGACTCCCGGGAGGGGCTGGTCATCCTCAGCTTTTATCTGGGGATGAGAAGGTGAGACCAGAGCAAGGTTAAACTCCTACTAACTATGAAAATAACAGTTCCACAAGTCAAGAGGTCATTTTTTCAAGGTTTTTTTCTTTTATTGTTACTCAAAGGAGGACAGGGGACCTAATCTTCCTCCCCACAGGTAACTACTGTTGTAAGTTTTGTAAGTTTGGTGTGTAGCCTTCTAGAACTTTTTTTTTTTTTTTTTTTTTTTTTTTTGAGACAGGGTCTTGCTCTGTCACCCAGGCTGGAGTGCAGTGGCACAACCTGGGCTCACTACAACCTTCGCCTCCCAAGCTCAAGCAATCCTTCAGCTTTAACCTCCTGAGGAGATGGGACTATAGGCGCACACCACCATGCCCAACTACATTTCTGTATTTTTTATAGAGACGGGTCTTGCCACGTTGCCCAGGCTGATCTCAAACTACTGGGCTCAAGCAATCCACATGCCTGGGCCTCCCAAAGTGCTGGGATTAGAGGCATGAGCCACCGTGCCCCGCCCAGAACTCTTTCTATGCCCACACAAATTTTATAAACATTACATATTATTGTTCACAGACTGGCAAGTTCATTGAGTGGGTGGAGGAGGTGAAATAAAAATGGCATGTTATATGTACAGTTCTTGCTCTCTTCCTCAACAATTTATCCTGGTTCTCTTCTGCCAGCCAATAGAAATCTGCCTGTTTCTTAACTACTGCATAGCATTCTAAGGCAGGGTTTGACAAACCACAGCACCTACTCTTGTGGTACACAAGAGACAATTGGAATATCCCCAAATATGTATCTCTAGGCACTTAATTTTTATTTCCTGAACAATCCATTCCTAGAAGTAGAATTGTTGGATACATGCACTTTAAATTCAGAAAGATACTATCTAATTGCATTCCAAAGTGGCTGTAACCACTTACAGTCCCATAAATTATTTATGCTTGGGAAAACCCACACTTACCAAAAAATAGAGATTGTCTTAATTACAGCAAATCTAATCCCTGCAAAACAGTGTTTCGACTGTAACTTCCTTAGCACATTTCCTCAGTAACTACAGAGGCTTTGTGTTTCTGTGTTTATTAGTCACCTGCGTTACTTGCATGAATTTCCTTTTCATAATCTTTGTTCATTTTTTTTCTAGCGGGTTGTCTTTTTCTTACCAATCTTAGGAGCTCCTTGTAAAATGGGGATATTATTTATGATACAAACATTTCTTCCGAGTTTGAATATCTTTCAGTTTGGTTCCAAATGTATTCAGCAATATAGAATTTTAAATTTTTATGCGATGTAATCTGTCACTCTTTTCCTTTGGCCTATAGTTTATAAATATTCATTCTCAACGATCTCCAGACCCACTCTGTACAATCGCAGCACGCTTCTTCCCAGAAAGGACCGGTGGAAGGGAGCTAGGCAGCAAACGCCTCAGTAAGAACATTCTGTGTCCTTCAAAATGGAACAGTTATGGATGACAGCTTTAACTACTTCCCAGAAGGTACACAAACATGCTAAAGTCAACAGCTCTCCAAATTATGCTACGTGAAAGAAGTCAGACCAAAAAAAAAAAAAAAACAACAGTATATCCCGTTTGATTCCATTTATATACAGGTTGGTGCAAAAGTGATTGCGGTTTCTGCCATTATTCTCAATGGCAAAAACCACAATCACTTTTGCACCAACCTATAAAAACTCGAAAATGCAAACTAACCAATGGTGATGAAAAGCAGATCATCAGCTCAGCGGAAGGGTGGCAGGGAGGGATTACCAAGGGGCAAGAGGAAACCTTGAGGGCCACAGATGTGCTATTTTAATTGTGGAGGTGTTTTCATGGGTGTATTCCTAGGTCAAGACTACCACACTGTACCCTTTTTGTGCAGTTTATTATATGTTAATTATACCTCAGTATAACTGCCTTTTGAAAATACAGTGTTAGTTACCTCAAAGCTTACGCCTGCCAGGGCATAGGCCTTGAAGTCTCCGATGGTTCCTTCCACCGCAGTCAGAACATAGCCCTCCTTCTGTGAGGTCACCGTGTACTCCAGGTCACTGTGCAGGGGGCCAACACTGAAGAGGAGAGAGCAGAATGCTAGCAACGGCTTTGTTCACACCCTGCAGGAAGCCTTACCAAGCCCAAGGAAATGTGGGCCCCAGTTTCTTCAGAGGACTCCCACGCTGATCCCAGGCACATGTGTCTCTATCCCGGGCTCACCTGTAGGCACCTTTGTCATCAGTAAAGACTGTGATCAGCGGTGAACTTGCCCCCTTTTCACTGATGACAATCTCGACTCCTTCCAACTCGGGGTGGATCTGGCCTTCTAAAAACAGGCCTGCCTTCCCATGGATCTCGATCAGCTTCCCTGGGCAGCTTTCTAAGAGGGGAAGAAATAAACACAAGGATGGGGCTTGGTAGCAGAGACAGGAGCTTCTTGGTTGGGGGTTTCCCATGACAAAAGTGGCTAAAACAGATCTTAGAAGCTAGTTCCAAATGCGGTTATTTAACACCCCGGGGAGCTCAATAATCGGATACAGCCCAAGCCTCTTT
Organism: Homo sapiens; assembly: GCF_000001405.40. Lineage (NCBI taxonomy): Eukaryota > Metazoa > Chordata > Mammalia > Primates > Hominidae > Homo > Homo sapiens. The sequence goes on along the minus strand of NC_000016.10, from coordinate 14,876,185 downwards.
CCATCCCTGAAAGGCCTTTCTCAGTGTGAAGGACTTTAGCAAGAGAATCAAAAAACGCTGAAGGCTGGGTTTTTACTACTAGTCTTCCTAGGTTCTCAGGAGGCCACAGATCAGGAGGGAACACTTTACAGCAGACAGGAGGCCGTGCTGCTCAGCCTCTGGAGGACCCACTGAGAAAGACCGCCCCAAACAGCCTGCCTGCTAGAAGTCACGCTCTTCAACACCCTCTGCTTCCAAACACGAACCACATAACACCCACAACTTAACGAAGCCAGAGTGCTGGGAAAAAAATAATAAGTGGCAAAAGACAAATACTCCACAAGTGATCACTTCAGTCATCCATTCCCCAAAAAAAGACCCTCCCATCATGCTCTGCCGAACAACAGAAAGATCATTAAAGATCATCACTGGCAGCTTTGTGCTTCATCTACCTTCTGGTGTCGACCTGATAATGTCAAAGAAAACCAAGTCCTTTTCCAAAAAGATCAACTCAATTCTAACAGCAAAAGTTACTTTTATTTATCTAAATCATTCATTCATTCATCCATCCATCCATCCATCCATCCATCCATCCATCCATCCAACCCAACCATCCATCCATCCATCCATCCATCCAACCAACAGTAACATCTGTGTGCCAGAGAGGATGTAAGGTGGCTTACAAAGATGGCTTCACTATAACATCACAAATCTACTTGTAAATGCAGGCAAGGGAACAACTGCAAAGGTGTGTGTGACATTCGCTCGCTGAGTTGACATTTACCTCCACTGACAACGGCTTCCATTGAAGGGGGATAAAAGAGCAGCTCTTTAGATGACGGTGTAACAGTGATTTTCTCTCCAGACCTAAAATAATTAATATACTTCAGTTTGGCGGGTCCTGTCCCCACAAAACAGAGGACACTGTAGGGAAACGCACAAGAGAGCTTACCGCGCCCAGTAAGAGAAATCATACGAGAAGGGGCCTTGTAACTCATCTACCATCTCCTGCACGGGAGGCTTGGTCATTCTTTCTTCGCCTTCCTCATTGCCGTTTTTCTCCCTCTCCTGCCTGCGGGCCTCGATCTCAGCCAGCTGCTGCTCCCTCCGCAGCTCCTGCACAGACTTCAGAGGGCCTAAGACCAAGGCGGGTTCACTGTCGATGGAAGACCTAGAAGAAAGACGGCCCCTAGGACATAGTTGCGTATCCTTGTGGTCAGTGGGAATTTGACCTTTCTACGAGTATGGACTTGCGAGTTACAAACTGGACATCTTATCATGACACCACAGTGGCGGAGTCTTCTGTTTTAAATAAACTAGTAGTTTCACAAAAAATAACAACTGAGCTTCGCAGTGATGGTGGCAGTATCTGGTAGATCTGGGCTGGAATGAAATACGGTTGATTTTATGGCGACTGGATATAAGCTTGTAGCTTCCATGTAGGACATGGAGTTTTCTCCACACCACCATCCTCTGTTCTCCATTCTACCTTCGCTGAGAACTGCTCTGATAGAGAACTAGGCACCAAGGATACAGCATCAACAAAACAGACCACACTTCCTACCCCTGTGGAATCCACGTTTCAATGGGAAGGGGCTGAAAATAAAGAGAAAAATAATACCAGAGGAAAAGTGCAATAAAGAAAAATAAAGCAGTGTGGGAAGACGGAGAGCCCGGAGCACTGTTTTACATTAAAGGGACAGTCAAGGCCTTTCTGATAAGGTGACGTTGAGCAAAGGTCTGAAGGAAGGGAGAGAATGCGCCACGCAGCTCTCTGGGTAAACAGTAGCTTGGGAAAAGCGATGCCAAGTGCAAAGTCCTTGGAGAGAAAGCTCACTCAGATGTTCAAGCAATGGCAACACCAGTCCAGCCTGGGGCACAGGGGCCCACGGAAGAGTCATATCCAACAGAGAGGTCCAAGGGGCAGCAGATGTCAGACTGAGGCTTCACAGGCTTGGTGCCGACCTGGAGCCACTGGAGTTTTCAGTCGAGGAATGGTATGATAAAAGAAATCGTTCGCTCCTTCATGGAAAATACACAAAGCAATGGCGGAAACAGGAAGGCCAGCTGGGAAGCTGCTGCAGTGACCCCAGAGGGGGGTCAGACCAGGGCTGAGGGCCACGTGGTAAGAAGCGAAGCCCAGCTGGGAAGCTGCTACAGTGACCCCAGAGGGGGGTCAGACCAAGGCTGAGGGCCAAGTGGTAAAAAGGGACTAGATGACGGGTGTATTTTGATTGTAAAGCCAAGGCTTTGTTGGGGAATTGGCTGGGCCTAGGGTTCAAGGGAAATAAGAATCAAGAAACAAGGAGAAAGCGGGAGCTGCCATATCTGAATCAGAAAAGACCACAGAGGGGCTCATGGAGGGCAACTGTCAGCAGTCGGGTTTTGGGTCTGCTGAGTACAAGATCCCCAGGGGGAATCCGAGTGGCTCTGTCTAGCTGGAAGATGCATTCCATACAACCTCCGGCACAAGCAAGCAACACAAACACCCTTGTGAAGTTACAAAAATGAATGTAATCAAGCTGAAAGGAGGTAATATGCAGTTACTACTGGTAAGAAGGTAGATTGCTAGTCCTATCAGTAATTCATACTTTCCAAGCAGGGAGACAGTAAATGATAGTAAAAGACAGCAACAGACCTTCGGCAAATCCACCCCCAGCTAAAAACCTGGCTCCCCATCACCAGAAACCAGGGCCAGCCCTGACATTTCTCCCGCCCTAACCCAGTGGTCACTTTAGTGCCATGTCTCATCAACTCAGTCCCTCAACGACTCTCCGACCAGTCCGTCGCTCTCCATCTCCGCAGCCACTAGTCTGGGGCCCCCATTGCCTCCCCCTGCCTCCACCACCTCCCACTCTCAGGCCTCTTCTGTCTGTTCTCCACTCGGCCAATAGGGGGACCTTTCAGGAAGAAAAATGTCATTCCTCTATGTAAAACATGTCAATTGCATCATGGGACAAAGACTATGGACCTTAACATGGCCTGGCCCCCCGCAGCCTACCTGTCCTGCATGCCCCCAAGGTCAAGCTCAAAGCACTCAGAACAGTTGTCATTTACGGTTCTGCATGTGAGTATCTGACCACTGTTCCCCCCATGAGACTGTCAATCCCATAAGTGTAGGGGCTGTGGCCTCATAAGCCCAGTGCCTAAACACTGAAGACTCTCAGTTTTTCAGTCATCATGTACTCTGCAGGGATGACGGATGGATAAACAGATGGTGGACAGAAAGATGGAAACATAGCTGGAAAGGTGACTTCAACCAGGGGCAGGAGGGAGACAGGGACTGCAATGCCCATTCTACTTGACAGAGACGGTCATGTTGCCAAAACTCGTTCATTTCTCAAGAAAATTGGGGCGTCACAGGTACCTCACCACACTGCAAAAATTCCCTGAAAGGTGACATTCACATGAACGTGACCTTCGGTGAGGGACTTGCCTTTCAAATACTTCCTCTCTCACGACCCTTCTCTTATACCAGGTGCCATCTCTATTTCCCAAGCCTTCAAGCAAAAGTCTAAAGAAAAATAGGCAATTTGAATTTGCTAAAACACTTGAAATACAATGCACAAACCCCAGAGATTTTTTTTTTCCTTAGCAAAGATGAGAAGTACAAAGAGTTCAAACAGAAATTGAAGACACTGAAACAAGCTGTCGCAACGCTCTTCCTCACCCACAGGTAATTTCTGAATCAGAAAAGGAAAGGATCAAGGCTGCTGGGAATTGACGGCAATGTCCTATAAGAGAGGGAAGGCCATTTGTATATACATCTAGAGATAAGAAATCAAAACTAATTTCCAGAGAGCCTATTAGAGACTCCCCAGGCCTCATCCACACCCTCTCCCGCCACTCTCGGCCCACTGCAGAACGCTCATCTTACTTGATAGTCACAGTGACATCCATCATTTTGTCGGTGGTGATAGTTCCAAGGACATGGTGGCGAATGGCTGTCAATGTCAAGATACTAGGTGAAGACCTACAAATCAAAGCAGAGGAAACGCTAGAACCTACTCATTCTCAGAAGATCATCAGCAATACCCTTTTTGGGCATCCTTCTTCACCCTAAATATACTACAGAAAATTGCTCTTAGTCTGGGGTAAAATAACTCTGGAGATCCAGAGAAGTATTTTAAAGAGTAAACTAATTCTCCACTCCACAACTTTATGCTTCCAATTCCCAGTGAAACCCACACACTTCTGTAAAAATACAAAAATGGCAGACTTGAACTTGACAGACGCCCATCGGTGAGGGCTGGGAGATTTGACAAAGCTTCTATTTAAGGCACTTCAAAAACACAGCCCTCTATCCTGGGGTTACAGAATTCTTGGGAAAGGGATCCTGTCTCCGGTTCCTCAGTAACTAATCCAAGTGTCTTAAAATCCTTATCTAGAAATGCTGTTGAAGGCCTAACCTTGCCTCTTTCAGAAAAAAAAACAGAAAAACTCCTTTTGTTCTCTGAAGTAAATGAAGAATCCTCCACGGAATGTATACAAACACCACAAAGCATTCAATTCCCAGGCTTACGTGTCATAGGTGTAGAACGCTTGCTCAAACCGGTGGCAGGAGCGAGGGGTCACTTTGTACACACCTACAGACAGGAAATCAAAAGTAATTTTCAGAGAATGGCATCTATTACACCGAGCAATTCCGACATCTGAAATCGAGTGGCAGCTCTTTGCATGTGAAAACTCAAACGTATCGCAGATCTGCAATAATGGGATCAGAAATACTGGGCAGGCATCGTTTTCACTGCCTATGAAGGCGTCTTACCAATAACCCGATCCATGCAATGGCGCGATCACAGGCGCATGATTTTCATTTTCCATAAGGTAACAACTCACAGTAGTTAAATCTGCACAGACCAGGTGAACGGACCCATGCACGAGAAGGAACAGAAAGTACGTTTCTACTGCAAATTGGACTGAGGATAATTTCCTACTTAAAAGATTCTATTAAGGATCCAAGAGATAACCACAGCCTCAATTTCTTCCTATAAATATTCCTAAAAAGGAGGTAAGGAGTAAGGGAAGCCCCAGAAAAGTGTGAGTCTGTGTGGGAGGACACTCCGGCTAGGGGTACATTTCATCACTTGCCAGAGGAACACAGTCAATTTCAGGAAGATACAAGGAATAACAATGTATTTCCCCCAAATCATCATTAACCAATATTTTGGCCACACTTCCTACAAAAACCTGAAATTAGCTAAAACCACCCTGCTGTTTTCATTGCACTCAACAAGCCCCAGAGTAGTTACCATCAAAAAAAAAAAAAAAATCAGGTTTCTCTGTTTGTTTTGTTTGGTCTTTCATTCAACAAATATCGACAGAGCACCTCTTCCTGGCCAGGTATTATGCTAGGTACTGGTACACAGTGGGGAATGACAGAGCAGTGGTCCCTGTCTTCATGGAGTTTACCATCCACAGAGAGGGGGAGCATTTGACAGCCACAAACATATCAATTGTGGCACATGCAAGAAGGGGATAGAAGTGAGTGCTGATAGCAAGAGTGTAGGAGGCAGGCCTAAGTGGCCCTGGAGGCCATCCTTCCCCAGGGAAGCAATACTGAACTGATGGGTAAGAAGGCCCCAGCTAGGAGGGGCAGGAGGACATGTCCACAGAGAACAGCATCTGCCTCACAGGCTGGCTCATTGTTTCCTCAACAGGCATCCTTCCTGCCTTGAGAACAAACCCTGGTTATGTTGAGGGTGGCAACGTGCTCAGCCTCGGGTAGCACATCCAACTGTCCCAGCCTCCCTTGCAGCTAGAAGTAACCATGTGGCACGGTTCTGGCCAATAATACAGACAAGTAGCTTACTGGAGGAGAGGGCGCAAGGAAATGTTTGCCTGCCCTCTCCTTGACTTTCTCCTTTAAACATAAGTTTTCTAACAACAGCCATCTTGAAAATACAAGGCAAAAAATAGAAGGGAAAGGCCTAAAGAATCACAAAGACACCACCCCTAACATCTACCAGCTGCTGAACCCATGCTGGCAGCCACGCACTGCCACACTTCTTTATTGAGCCAAATAAACTACCACTTGCCAATGGCACTGCTGTATGGATTTTGTTACATGTAGCCAAAGGCAGCTGAACTGACACCCAGAAGGACAGAGTGGCTGGAGTAGAGACAGTGGCAGACAGGGCTGGGTTACACAGGAGCTAAGATCAGGTTAAGGAGTTTGTATTTTATCTTGGGAACCAAACAGAGGAGCCACTGAATTATTCATTAGGAAAATGCAAAACAAAACCACCATGAGACACGACTTCACATCTACCAAGATGACTATAATAAAACAGACAATAACAAATGTTGGCGAAGGAGGTGAAGAAACCGGAACCCTCGTGCATTGCTGGTGGGAATATCAAACGACACAGCCTCTGTGGAAAACAATTTGACAGTTTCTTAAAAGGTTAAACATAAACTTATCACACAATGCAGCAATTCCATTCCCAGGTATCGAAACAAGAAAAATGAAAACATACGGACACAAAGACTTGTACAAGAATGTCCGTAACATTAGTCATAACAGCGTCAAACTGGAAACCACTCAAATATCCACCAACTGATAAATGGATACACAAAATATGATATAACCACACACCAGAATACTACACAGCAATGTAACAGAACAAACTACTGATATGTGCCATGACACAGATAAACTTCAAAAACATGTTAAATAAAAGAAGCCAAACAAAATACCAGCATCGTATGATAAACGTCCAAAAAAAGCCAATCCATGGGGACAGAAAATAGATCAGTGGCTGGCCATGGCTAGAAACAGGGATTAACTGTCAACGGGCACAGAGGATCTTACATTGTGGGTGATGAACAAATCTAAAACTGGATTCTGGCCATGGTTGTGCAACTTGATAAATTTACTACAAATCATTTTATTGTACATCTTAAATAGGTGAGTTTTATGATATGCAAATTCTGCCTCCAAAAAAAGCCATTATAAAAGAGAGAGAAGGTTGGGTGCAGCAGCTCACACCTGTAATCCCAGCACTTTGGGAGGCTGAGGCGGGCGGATCACTTTAGGTCAGGAGTTTGAGACCAGCCTGGACAATGTGGTGAAACCCATCCCTACTAAAAATACAAAAATTAGCCGGATGTGGTGGTGGGCACCTGTAATCCCAGCTACTCGAGAGGCTGAGGCAGGGGAATCGCTTGAACCCAGGAGGCGGAGGCTGCAGTGAGCCAAGATCAAGCCACTACACTCCAGCCTGGGTGACAGAGCAAGACTCCATCTCAAAAAAAAAAAAGAGAAAAAAAAATGAGAAAGAGCGAGAAGCCACTGAAAGATTTTAAGCAAAGTGGGAAATGATTCAAATTTTAAAACAGCTCTATAAAGAGAGGCCATTGGCCAATGGTATATTTTTGGAGGTGAAAGGGCCCAGTGGTGTCTACCCAACTCAAACCCAAGACAGACAGAAAAACAAGAGCAGGTTGAACACACAGAAATTGAAAGCTTGATGCAAACAGAACTAAGGTAGAAAAAAATGCCTTCAAAACCATCCTCTGGTGCCTTTCCATTTTTCTAATTCATGGCACATCAATCCTTCCAAACTTACCAGGCTTGGACAGGCAGAATCGGTTGACTCCTTTGGAGAGGTTATAAATCCCCACATTCTCACGCCCATTTCCATCCTGATAAAATTCCTAAGGAAGCAAAGCCAATACAATGACTACTAAGAGAGATGGAGACACCAAGATGATTAATAATATTTCTCTTTCCAAACCAGTCATCTGTTTTGCCCATTAATCATTGGAGCAGTTGGGTGCCACAGGAAAATTAAAAACCTCCCAAAACTTCCAACAAAAGTGTGCTATTTTTCATTCAATCAACTAATATTTATTGAGCACCTGCTATGTGACAGACACAAGGCTGGGCCTTGGGAGTCATGACCATGGCTCCTGCTCTCACAGGGCTTATGTTCTAATACAGGAAGACAAAATCAACGCATCAACAAATAAATTAGTGATCTCAACTGGTCAGTAACGAAGCTGTGAAAATAAACAGGAAAGCAAGAGAAGAACAATCCCCACCGAGGGGTCTTTAGCTCGCTGGTCCCAGGGCACATCTCTCCTGAACAATAGGGCTGCACCTGAATGAGGAGGAAAAACCAACAACACGTGTTTCTGGAGAAGACACAGCACTCCAGGCAGAGGGGAGAGTATGTGCAAAGGCCCCGAGGAGGGAGTGAGCTTGGTGTGGGACTGCAGAGGACCACTGTGGCTGGGGCCCGGCGAGTGAGGGGACAGTGGGAGGAGATAAAGAAGGGGTTAAGGAAGTGTCAAAAAAAAAAAAAAAAGGATCTTATTACAAGAGAGCTGGAAATCCACTCCACTGCTGGAAGGGAAAGGTTTCCTAAATATCTATCACTTATTATGAACCGGATATTAATCGATCTCCTATAACAAATCGACCTGTCGAGTTTTTGTAATTAAGCAGTTAGGGGAGTAAGTTGGCACATGAAACACCAGTTCCAATTCTTCTAGTTTCTCTACAGAGAAACTAAGACCTGACGATGACATCTGCCGCCGCTCGACATCAAAACATTATAGAAAATTCACGAAGGGATCTACGGAGGTGCTCCTGAAACCCATTTCACACTGCCTTTCAGGCCACAGAGACCACAGTCAACAAGAAGCTAAGATCCTGTTTACAGCTTCTTCCCCTGCACTGGAACAAATACACCAGAGAAGGTGGGGCACAATGGCTCACACCTGTAATCCTAGCACTCTGCGAGGCCAACGCGGGTGGATCCCCTGAGGTCAGGAGTTTTAAGACCAGTCTGGCCAACATGGTGGAACTCTGTCTCTAACAAAAATACAAAAAAAAAAGAAAAAAATTAGCTGGGCATGGCGGCACGCACCTCTAGTCCCAGCTACTCGGGGGGCTGAAGCAGGAGAATCGCTTGAACTCGGGAGGCGGAGGTTTCAGTGAGCCGAGATTGCACCACTGCACTCCAGCCTGGGCAACAGAGCAAGACTCCATCTCAAAAAAAAAAAAAAAAAAAAAAAAAAAAATATATATATATATATATATATATATATCAGAGAAACTCACTTGGCAGTACAGAGCGGTGTACACCAAGGACACTTTGATACCTAAGAGGGTTCACTTAAGCCCTGCCATAACCCTGAGAAGTAGGTATTAAGATCTCAATTTTCGGTGAAAACTGAGGCTGAGAAGCAGTAAACGAATTTACCCAAAGCTATTATTACTAATAATATAAAGCCAGTGTGCTCTGCACTGTACCAAAGGTCACCCCGAATCACCAGTCAGATTTAGTGTAGGGCCAGGACAAGGAAACCTCCTAAATACAGGGGTCCTTCCACTGAGAGAGTATAAATGCTTCCTGATTATGCGTTGCGTAACAGGTGGGCGAGTGGAGAGGCAGAAAAGGAAATCTAACTTGCCTACGTTTACAATATTCCTGGGATGTTAGTCTTTCTTGACATCCACAAGGCGAGCGCTTTTCCAAATAAGAGACTCAATAAGCCGTACATACCAGAGTGATGGCGTGAGACAGGGAACATCTCAGCATGTAGCCCGTCTGCCTGAACTCAACTGCAGACATGTCATCCTCCAGCACTTCCACCTCCAGGCTCTTGTTCTTCCAGCACCAATCCTCATGCATGATGCTTACTGCAAAAGCAAACACCAAAAACGGATACATGGGCGTGGAGCACACCACCTCCCTCCACGCCACCAGAAACAATGATCATGAATTAATCAATTTTAAAAAGCAGGTGTGTATGTAGACATAAAGATAGAAATATACACATACATATATTTATAACTAGCAGTATTTGGAATAAATTACTGCTAAAGAAAACCTGGAGTCGAGCGTGGTGGCTCATGCCTATAATCCCAGCACTCTGGGAGGCCGACGCACTTGGATGGCTTGAAGCCAGGAGTTCAAGACCAGTCTGACCAACATAGCAAAACCCCATCTCTACTAAAAATACAAAAGTTATCCAGGCATGGTGGTGCATGCCTGTAATCCCAGCTACTCGGGAAGCTGAGGCAAGAGAATCTCCTGCACCCAGAAGGCGGAGAGGTTGCAGTGAGCCAAGGTCGCGCCACCACACTCCGGCCTGGGTGACAGAGCGAGGCTAAATTTCAAAAAAAAAAGAAAGAAAAACTGGAACCAATTTCCATTACATCAAGAAAGAAATCTAATGGGGCCTGTAAGATCAGGCTGCAAGTAAGGTATTCAGGGATCCACAAACTTTTTCTGTAACTCTTTTCAGTTTTGCAGGCCACATGCTTTGTCAGCCTCAACCACTCGACTTGGCCACTGTTACACACGAGCAGCCATAGAGAATCCATAAACAAATGGGCAAGGCTGTATTCTAAGGAAACTACGCTTATAAAAGGCAGTTTTTGTAGTCTGCCAAGCCCTGCCATAACAGAAAATATTAATATAATTCCAGAAAAAGCAGTCTGTTTTATGAGCTATCCACTGCCAGCAGCCCCAAGCTGATTTCTGAAAAAGCAGAAATACAGGCAAGAAGTGGCTTCTTAAGAAGGGCAAGGAAAAGGGAAGTAACATTTGTGGGCACCAGCTACTTAGCTGGCTCTCTGCACAACGGGCTTTATAAACTTTACTTCTTTTAGTCTTATATTCTGCAGAAAGGTTCTATTACGTCTATTTTACAGATGGGAAAACTGAGTTTCAGGGAGGTCAAGTACCTTGCCATGGCCAGTACTCAGCACCAGTACTGCTAAGTTAGTAGAACACATCAGTGGAACTATTTCACACTCCTTTCTCTGGGCTTTAGAAATAAAATGCCATACGTCGGGGCACCCTCCCTTAACAGAAGCCGCCAGTGGGCTGTGCAGACAAGCTGGCGGTCAGCTCAGGGCCTGGACTCCTCCATGCTTGTCCAACGCTAAATAATGCAGTCAAGGTCACGAGGCAAAGACGACTTAAAACAAGGAAAGGTACATGGTCGTGATACAATTTGAGACCTGAGTTTTAGAAAGTTTACAAAGACAAGAAGTGTGTGAGGGCCACAGGATGTTGCATTCCAATTCTTACTTTTGTATTTTCCAGGGAGCACGTTGTCAAAGGTGAAAGTCATGGCGTTGACCTTGCCGGAGAGCTGGAGGCTCCGCTTCTCACCCTGGCGGCTCAGGGACTGTAGAGTCACCAGCAAGTCACCACAGGTGTCTGCAGGGAAAAGAAGGGAGGGCTCCATGTGACCCCTTATAAGGCTTCAGCACAGGTTTGAATCCTAACCCTATGTAATAGCTTCTTGCTACTGCTGAGCTCCTAAGAGGCAGTGGCCGGAGGCAGACGGAGTGCTTCTTTCAAGCTAACATGCACCCACTTGACTCCAAGAAGCCTCCCTCGCACGCAGGTGATCAGTAGCAAACAACAAAGGCAAAAGGAAAAGTTTCCCAAATCCCACTCCTACCGGCTGACTTCTTTGAAACTATGTGTTCTTACTTTCCAGTGATATCTTACCCAAACAAGAGACTTTCCCAGAAACTGATGCCAAGAACTGTACAAAGGCCACATCCATCATGGGCCTGTTGGTCACAGTAAGAGGAAATGTCTGGGGTTTCAACGTCAGCCCTGCTCTGGTTTCTGCCTCAGGAACCATCACCTGTGGAAACGTGGATGGAACGTTAGAGGCTGCATTCGGGGAGATCTTCCCCCTGACCTACAGGGCGCTAGAACATTCATCTGGGACCAAGGCTAAAGAGATTTTGAAGGCCAAAGGTTCGTTTCCAGGCCGATTTTACAATCACAACAAATCCACGAATAACTTGTGTGAAGTAAGCACAGTTCTACCCAGATGAAAAATTAGCCTCAACAGACCGATGTGTATGAACAAAAGTCTATCTGGCCTAATTCCCCACAGGCCCGCAATGCGGACACGCCTCACTTACATACTAGAAACCATACTACATCCCAGTCACTTTTCCCGGCTTCGGATCACTTGTAGCATAAGCTCTGAACCTGTTAACACTATGTGGATGACACTTTGGTGGAATTAAGTCATTTTCTTCCTCCTATTGTTCTGCGTGCCTTTCATGGGCTAAGAAGAGGAACAGGTGAAGGTAGCAGCGGTCAACTCTTTCATCCCTAGTAAAGACGACACTGCCCTTCCTTGGAGAAGTCCATCATGCTTCCGAAAGGGCTTCCAAAGACTTGTCAATGTGGACATCTTCGCAAGAAGCCAGCTACCATCTAATAAAGGCAGCTGTCAACCCACACACCACGCTGTTCTGTGGAAGCAGGGAGAACGCAATCTCCTACCCTGTTTCCCACAGAGGGAGGGACCCCACTTTGCCCTAGAGGACAGCAGAGTCTAACAGGGAACCTTCTCGGCCCTCTCCCTTTGTGTTATTTGCTCTTCCACAGGGAGGAAGGGCAGCTGCTGATTTGATGGGTGACAGCCCACGGAAACAGTCTCTCCCCAAGGGCAGGGCCACTGCACTGAAAGGCATGGTGGGCTGACCTCTGCTCTGTCCTGTCTCTTGCTTGCTTGGGCCAGCTGTGGCTTGGGCCTTCACCATGGTGATGAGACCACAGGCCAGACCGTCTCCCCGTTCTCGGCCTGCTTGAATGGATAAGTCGCGTGGTCCCTGCCTAGCCATCTTGAAGTCAAGGCAAAGCAGGAAATGGGAAGCTCCATTTTGGCCTGGGGTCCCAGAAGCCACGCACTATGGCCATTTTTGAGCGGCCATTAGTAGAGTTCATTTTTGGTGTCCTCTTGGACTCATCGACATTCTACAGCAGCCAGAAGCCTGAAGGTAGAGGAGTGACTGGCAGCCTGATACTAATAAACATCAAGACTGGAAAAAAGAGAGGCAGATGGCATTATTTTTTAGCTGGATGCCTATCTGACTCTCCTCTACTGGTGCAGGATTGTAAAGACTTAGAAACAAGAAGTTGGAAACTGGAATGCTCCTTCTCTAACCCCATTCGACCTAATAACCCTTCTAAAAATCACTGCTTTTTCTCAAAACATTTTAAATTTAAAACAATGCATCGCACCTGCACTTTGTAAGTCCCTGGTTTTGCTTTAAAACAAAATGATCCATGAGCATCTGTCTCCACGGTGACCAAAGACTTGTCCTTGTCTTGAGATGACAGGACAACTTTGTATTTATTCATCTGCTTGACGGTGTCGGGGAAGCGAATGATTGATATCTGACCACAGACACTGAACCTGCAAAGAGAAGACCATTCATTCCAGCACGAGGACTCAATTATAACAGGAAAGGCTCTTATAGACCAAAAAAGATGCAGCCCTCTCCCAGCCCTTGTTCCTGAGAATAGTCTAATCTTAATGAAGAGACAGAATGCAGTCCAGATGATTCTGGTTTTAAAAAGCAACCTTCATTCTGGTTTTAAAAAGCAACCTTCAGAAGCAAGACTGGGCATCTTTCTACAGAACAGGGGCCCGTAGTGGGGCTGTTTGTGTGTTCCGGGTGACATCTGGCAATCCCCCACTGCAGAGGCAATTTTAAGAAAATCTGCAGATAATAAAAACGTTTCAGGTAATTGGATCGTTGACAGCGGAGCGGCCTTGGACTGAGAATGTGGGCTAGCCCTTAAAAGCAAGAGCTCTAAGCTGCCTAAGAAACTGTGGCATTACCAGGCCATCAAATAAGTCAGGATTATCAAAGACGTCTTCCTTGCTTGTGATTATATATAATACATGGATGAAAGCAAACAGGGAGATTGGAACAGAAAAGGTAATTAAGTTAAAAAATGCAAAGCTAAAATTGAACTCCTTGGGAGGTAGGAGCCACAAATGTAACTTATAACTGAAAAGCCCTATTAAGGTAATGCTTCAGATTTGAGATTCTAAATAAGGAGTAAGGTGTTGCAAGGCATCCCTCGAATAACACACGAGAGGCCCCCCTACAACGACCATCATCCTTGGAGTGCTGGTCTTCATTTCTGAAGCAGCTGGTGTGTTAAAGTGTAATAGTACATCCTAGCTGGGGGTCACAGTTGTCTTTTCAACTGTTCATTTTAAAGAATCTTCAAGAATCATTTTAGATAAAAATTAGTTACTTCTGACATAAAGATAATCAAGAATGTTGGATTCTGACAATTAGGGGTACATTAAATGTTGGAACCACCACTCCGCCTCAAATAAAAAAAACAGTGGAAAACACAAGGAAATGGTGGAAGATTGTGTATGTGAAATCTAGGAATCATGAAAAACACAGCCATTTCTTCAGAGTGAAGGGACTGCCCAGCCATATGAGCTCACTATCTCCAGCATGGGTCAGCAAACTACCACCCAAGGACCCCCCTCCCGTTTGTGTATGAACTGCAAGCCGAGAAAAAGAATTTTACACTCTTAAGTGGTTAAAGTTAAAAAAAAAAAAATCAAAAGAAAGATAATATTTCACATGTAAAAATTACATGAAATGCAAACTGTGGTGTCCAAAAATGTAGTTGTGTTGCGCTCTGCCCATTCATTTACAAATTGTCTATCTCAGCTGTTGTCCTAGAGACCGTATGGCTCACGCAGCCTAAAATAGTTATTCTCTGGCTCTCCACAGAGAAAGTGTCCCAGTCCCTGACCTAGCATATGCATTTTGGTTCTCACATTCCCCTACTGTGAACTTTCAGAATAAAAGGATGGGAAGCGAACACTGACACAATCATTCCCAAGGACCTGTCATATTCTCTTGATTTGTGTACCTGTCAGAGGACACATCACCTTGTCTATTTCCTATCAAATCTCTTTGCCTCCTTAAGTTGTAAATATTTGAACCATAAGATCTGTTTTAGCCCACATTCTTATTAAAAAGAAGTGCCTATTTTCCCTAAACCTCAAATCTATACTGGCTTAGTCTGGAAAAATAAACCAAAAGGGTGGTAGAAAAAGGTTCCGTTATACTGAAGCCCTTAAAAATTGATTTGTATCAATAAATTCTTTCAACAGGGTTTAAATACATATATGGACAGAAACAGGTAATATTGGTGGATATTGAGAGAAATCTATTTTCACAGTCATTTGGACAGAAGCCAAAGAGTTTGTTTTTACAATAAATTGAGTAATTTTTTTATTTTACTTTAAAGGAAGACTAGGCACCATGGCTCAGCCTGTAATCCCAGCACTTTGGGAAGCCGAGGCGGGTGGGTCACTTGAGGTCAGGAGTTCGAGACCAGCCTAGCCAACACGGCAAAACCACATCTCTACTAAAAAATATAAAAATTAGCCTGTAATCCCAGCTACTCAGGAGGCTGGGGCAGGAGAATCACTTGAACCCGAGAGGCGGAGGCTGCAGTGAGCCGAGATGGCGCCACTGTACTCCAGCCTGGGCAACGGAGTAAGACCCTGTCTCAAAAAAAAAATAAAAAGGAAAAGAAATAGTAAGAAGTATCAGTGTGCTAAAAAGGCAAATGTACTACGTCGGCCAATTAAAAAACAGAGATTTTTCCAAAAATGTTCAACAAATGCTATTTTTCTTTCTTTGACCCAAATACTCTACTTTAAAGGAGAAAATAAATATATTTCCTCCATCTCCGTGAACAGCGCCGCCTCCATCTACCCAGTGGCTCAAATAAGAAACCTGTAACCTCAACAGCACAGGCCTGTGGGTGTGTTCTCCATGTGACCTACCAAATCCATCTACTCCTCGCTCCCTCGCCTGCCAGCCGCCTGGGCCCGGCCACTACCATATCTCCTCCAGACAACCACCACTGCCTCATATCTGGCCCCTCCATTCACACCATGGCTTTCCTCCAATCCATTCTCCACACAGCAGCCAGGAAGAAAAACAAACTTTTTAAAGTACCATGATCCCTATCACTCCCTTGCCAACTGATAACTCTTTTTTTTTTTTTTTTGAGACGGAATCTCACCCTGTCGCCCAGGCTGGAGTGCAATGGTGCAATCTCAGCTCACTGCAACCCCTGCCTCCCGGGTTCAAGCGATTCTCCTGCCTCAGCCTCCTGAGTTGCTGGGATTATAGGCGCGCATCACCATGCCCCGCCAACCTTTTGTATCTTTAGTACAGACCGGGTTTCACCATGCGGCCAGGCTGGGCTTGAACTCCTGACCTCATGATCCGCCCACCTCAGCCTCCCAAAGTGCTGAGATCATAGGCGTGAGCCACCGTGCCCGGCCAACCAACAGACAACTCCTAACGGGTTTCCACTGCATTAGGGAGCAAAGCCCAATCCCAAAGCAAGGCTACAAGGCCCCAGAGCTCCCTGACCTCACCCACCTCCTCCAGCTGCGCAGACTGCCTTTCAGGTCCTTCCTATCCTATGCAGGCCTCTGAGCATGTTGCTTCTCTACTAGGGAAGATCTTTCTTTAGCTAACTTTTAGTCTTTACTAAGGTCTCTGCAACCCAGAGAGCCTTGCAGAGCTCCCACTCTAAATTAGCTCTTCTTGCAGCACCCTGATCTCTTCTCTGCACAACACTTGCCATAATTTAGCAGCATAAATGTATTTGTCTTGTCTTTTTTTAAAATCTTGTTATTTTATTTTTTAATTTTTATCTCTTTATTTATTTATTTTTAGACCAGGTTATGAAACTAGCTAATTTTTGCATTTTTGGTAGAGATGGTGTTTTGCCAAGTTGCCCAGGCTGGTCTCAAACTCCTGGGCTCAATCGATCCGCCCACCTCTGCCTCCCAAAGTGCTGGGATGGATTACAGGTGTGAGGCATTAAGCCTGGCCACAGATGTATTTGTCTTCAGTCTGTCTCCCTGGTAGGGTGAAAGCCCCATCTCTGGAACACTAGTTTGATTAATTATTAGGTATGAAGCATTTTTCAGTGCCTCATCTAGAGTAATTGCACAAAGTGTTTATGGAAGGTGGGAAAGACTTAAATCCAAGAATTACTTTCTGAGGGTAATTTGCTTCCCTGTCTTCCATTCACCACTGGACTCCTTGACCTCGACCTCCATCTGTCTACAGAAAAGAGTCACTGTGGCCTCCTCAGTGATCAAGCCAGGGGACTGTGTTCACCAGGGCCCAGCTCCCTGCACCTCCCTGTTGGGCACTACCTCCTACCCCAAACTTACTTTCTTAGCTCCTGTGACCTCATGCTCCCTAGGTCCCCCCTGGGCCACCTGGCACTCTGTTTTTGGCCTACTGTTCTTCTAATTCTACTTGCACATACATATTTGAGGTCCTGGCTGCCACCTGCGGCCAAATCTTCAGGATTTACCATCCATCCAAGTACCTATTGAAGAGCTCCACCCAGTGGTCCTACAGACCAATGTGGCCAAATCTGAACCCTCATCACCTAACTGGCTTCTCTTTCTGTCCCCAGCCATCACACCTCTCAAGCTGGGCACCCTAAATATCTCACCAGTCTGTCCCTGACTTCCCTACAAGGCAAGCCCTTGTCGTCTCTGCTTTCAGAGCTCCTGTGCCCAAGTCCTGTCCCCTTCAAAGCCACTCTACTCCATGCCATTGTTTTCAGAATGCCCTATTGAAAACAATGATCAAAGCTTGTTATATTAATGCTCAAAACCACTCATGGCCCGTTGGCCCCAGTGGGAGAAAGCCCCTACGCCCCGGTGGGGTGTGAGGAGGTGCTATGGGGTTGGCCTCATCATCACCTTCACCTGCCAGTATATTCTGCTTCAGTAGCACCCAGCTTTACACCCGCAGCCACCTCATGCTGCTGTGAGACTGCCTGACTTTGCTCATGCCGCGCTTCTCCCAAGCAGACCCTGCAGTCTCCTTCTAAGCTACTGTTTTGTGAGCACCTGTTATGTCTAAAGCTGTTCTGCAGGTTACATACAGGTGGATCTGGTATCTGACTCCAAAGCCCAAGTTCTTGGCACTACACAATCTTGCTTCAGATGATGGTAAAACCACATGAATTCAACCACAAGATGTCCCTGCCTGTACTTATAGTATAATGAGTAACTACAAGCAGGAAGAACTACACCAATGACCTGAAGCATCTTCCAATAAGCTTTCTCAACCAACAATACCATCTTCCAAAAATCCTCAAAGATTAAGCAAAGAGGGGTCCTGTGAAAGATCGTGAAAGTCAGACATGAAAGATTTTTTAATTTCACAAGCCCATTTTAATTTGAAGCAAGGGACTTTTCATTAAGCATCCGACATGTCAGTACCTTCAGTTTGTAAGATTTAGAACTAATCTTTCTTGGCCGGGTGCAGTGTCTCACACCTATAATCCCAGCACTTTGGGAGGCCAAAGCAGGCAGACAGCCTGAGGTTAGGAGTTTTGAGACTAGCCTGGACAACATATAGTGAAACCCTGTCTCTACTAAAAAATACAAAAATTAGCTGGGTGTGGTGGGGCACGCCTGTAGTCCCAGCTACTTGGGAAGCTGAGGCAGGAGAATCACTTGAACCTGGGAGGCAGAGGTTGCAGTGAGTCGAGATGGCACCACTGCACTACAGCCTGGGCAACAGGGCAAGACTCTGTCTCTCAAAAAAAAAAAAAAAAAAGTACTAATCTTTCTTAAGTTCTTAAGCTCGGCAAAGACACACAGATCACAGGTCATTCGGTTCTACACTGGCTGCCAGCATATTTACTGGCGCTTCCAAATCCACACGATAAGCTTACCCTGTTGCAATAATGTCAGCCAGCTGAGGTGTGTTCGGTGCAATTTTGATGGTGACCGTTTCAAAGTAGAGGTGCTCTTTCTGAGCATGGATGGTGTATGTCCCTGTGGTTATGTTCTCAAGGCGGAATGAGCCATCAGCTTTTGTTTTAACTGTAAAACAAAAACACACAAACAGAAGATAAGCCAAAAACAACAGTGTATCCTTACATGTACACCAGAATACTTGGACCAAAAGCTGCCATGTTCTCATATAGTCATCAGTTCCTCTCCATTTCTCTCTGTGATCCAAAAAGAGCGCTGGCCATCAGCCTGGGGCTGCTGTGTCAGCCCACCTTTGATTTGGTTATTCAGGGTGACTACTGCTTCTGGAACACCATCTCCTTCGGGTCCGTTCAAGACCCTCCCGGTGACGGAGAATCCCATGACGTGGAACACGGGCTAGAAAACAAAGAACAAGAAGAAGGTGCTCGAAGGTGCTCCTGTGCCAGAGCCACAAAGACTCCTTCTGCTGCGCCGGCCACCACCTACCATGTCTGCTCCTGCCGCCCACCTCCCAACACTCAGTGCCCCGGTCCTGTGTGCCAGCCAGGCTCCCTCTCACTTTACCCACATCTGTCTTCTCTGTTGTGTTCCCAACACACTGCTGAGTGTCAAACAACAGAAAAGTCTAGAGACTTACTTCCCTCGTTAAAAGGTCACTGACTCAAGCTTCTAGAAGCCCCCCACCCTTACCCCGGTGCCATCTCCTCCCCTCCAGATGCCCCCATTTTGGTGAACCACGTCTTCCTCCAGTCTCCCATGCACACCCCGGCATCACTTTGGATGCCCCGCCCCGCTCCTCCAGCATCGATCAGTCCTGTGGATTCCACCTCTGCAAGGTCTCACGTGCCCCCTCCTGTCTTTCCACCACGACCTGAACACAGGTCCTTATGAAATCCACCTAGGCCAGGCGCAGTGGTTCACGCCTGTAATCCCAGCACTTTGGGAGGCCGAGGCAGGCAGATCACTTGAGGTCAGGAGTCCAAGACCAGCCTAGCCAACATGGTGAAGCCCTGTCTCCACTAAAAATACAAAAATTAGCCAGGTGTGGTGGCAGGCGCCTGTAATCCCAGCTACTCGGGAGGCTGAGGCAGGAGAATCGCTTCAACTCGGGATGCGGAGGTTGCAGTGAGCCAAGACAGTGCCAGCCTGTGTGACGCAGCAAGACTCTGTCTCAAAGAAAAAAAAAGAAATCCACCTAGACCACCCTCCTCCACCACCATCACTGGCTCACACGTGGTCCCATGCTCCATGTGTCTGTGTCTGTGTCTGTGCCCCACTCGCCTGTGAGCAGCACACCGGTGCTTTCTCTGCAGTTACTGAGTTCCAGCCCTGATCTGTGTATCCCCAAGGTCACCACTGCTAACCCATTTTAGTATCTTCATCAAACTTACCAGTATCTGAAATGTCCTCGTTCGATTTCTTAGTTGTCTCCCTCCCACTAGCATGTTACCTCATGGAGACAGGGATTTTTTCTGTCTTAGTCACCTGGTACACAGCAGGCACTCAATAACTGACTCCTGAATGAATGAATGTGTGCACGCACGTGTGCAACAGCATTTGAGATGAAGCTTTAAATAATTAAATGACTTCCTTTTTATGCAGGGAGCCCTTCTTTTTTATTTTTTTATTTTTTTTTCAGCAAATGGTTTCTTAGTGATGGTCTCACATGACAGGTAGTCCTTCTTGATCTTTCCAAAAAGACATGTTTCATTCCATGCATTACCTACTTATTAATTCACATATGTACTCAACAAATATTTTTGCTGGGCACCTACTATGTGCCAGGCACTAAATCACACGTTAGGAAAACAGTAAAGAATAAGACACGGTACCTGACCTCAGGGAACTTACAGGGCCCCATTCCCTGAAATTCCATTCATCATTTTCAAAATATGTATTTGGCTGTAATCTGGGAATAGCTGTCTCTGCTCACCTGCCCCCATCCTTCTCTGCAAGCTATGAGAAGCAAAGTAAAGGCTTCATCTTCTTACCCTTCTCTTTCCCCTCCAGTGTACAGCAGAACGGTCAAACACTCCACTGAATCTTAAAATGCAGAGTCTGCACCCCACTGTGCATATGACCTAAAAGTCCGCTTCTGCCAGTTTAAGCGATTTTAACACAGTACTTTCAAATGTAATATTAAAAGAAAGTGATTAAAATATAATTGCTTCGATAACTCTAACATTGGGTGGTCCACTTAGGAGAGGCTGTTATTTTCTTTTGGGATTTGTTCTAGCTAGCCAATTTTCTACAGTAACCATTTTCTACTTCTGTAATTAAAGGAGACGTAAGTGAGATGAAAAATACATTTACCATTTATGTGAGGGTCTAGGCAGTTTATCAAGCCATGTATCACACTGCCCATTCCTACCACCACGGTCCAAGCTCTGCCAGTTCTCACCTGGTTTACGGCCATGGCATCCCAACTGGTCTCCCACTTCCACCCTGACACCCTGCAAACTCTCCTCAATGCAGCTGCCAGAAGGATCACGCCACTCCTCTGCTAGGAACCTTCCAGTGGCACCAATTCTCACCCAGAGTTATAGGCAAAGTGGCCCACCAAGCCCTGCACAATCTGCCCTGTCACCTCCCTGACCCTCTTTCCGCCTCCTCCTTCCTTGCTCATTCCCTCCACTCCAGCCACCCTGGCCTCCTTGGGATGCCCCAAACCCTTCAGCACACTCCTGCCTCAGGACCTTTGCACGTGCCGTTCCCTCAGTCTTACACACTCTTCCTGCAGGAGTGAAGTATGGTTCTCTTGTTCTTTCCCTTCAGGTTGTTGCTCAAATGTCACCTTCACAGGGAGGACTTCCCAAAAACACCCTATGTACAACTGCAACCCCTGTCTCCACCCTGATACTGTACGACCTCCTTTCTTCCTTTATTTTTCTAGAGAACACTTATCACCTTCTACTGTACTTTCTAACTTATACATCTATACATGTATTGACCCTTCCTGTCATTAGAAAATGAGGTCTAGCCAGGTGCGATGGCTCACACCTGTAATCCCAACACTTTGGGAAGCCGAGGCAGGCAGATCACTTGAACCCAGGAGTTAGAGAACAGCCTGGGCAACATGGTGAAACCCCATCTCTAACAAAAATACAAAAATTAGCTGGGCATGGTGGCACGTGCCTGTGGTCCCAGCTACTCAACAGGCTGAGGTGGGAGGATCACTTGAGCCCTGGAGGCAATGGCTGCAGTGAGATGAGATCGTACCACTGCACTCCAGCTTGAGCCACACAGTGAGACCCTATCTTAAAAAAAAAAAAAAAAAAAATGAGGTCCACAGGGACAAGAATTTTTGCCTCTTTTGGTCACTGCTATATCCCCAGTCCTGGAATGGTGCCTGAAATGCATGTCACTGGCAATCAATAAATATATTTCATTGAATGAGTAGATTTAACTAGGAATCCAGCTCTCTACGATAAGGACATCATGGGTAAGAATATAATACCAGATGGCATTTTTTCCAACAGCCCTTCCAGATAAAATAATTGATTTTTTTTTAAAACATGTTTGCAATACCTGTGCCTAGGGATGGGAACTCAAACACCTGTCCCTCCAGAAGACAGAAAAGCCTTACCTCGATTTTCAAGCTGTCATGCTCCACTGTGAAGTCAAGTCTGGAAGGCGCCACATCAAAGGTAATCCTCTCCCCTCGATAGAACGGAATCTGGAAGGAAGAGTCTGTTAATCACTAAGAACCACTAACATGATCAATCAGCAATATTAATAATCGATCTAGCAGCCCACAAATGACAAGGGGTTCAGACAGACCAAGAGAAACATTCATCATAACTGTTGCAGATTCGAAAAGAGGAAGCCTTGCCCTTTTTGTAGCTATTACGAAGGGGTGAGTGTCTCATCTTAAGTAAGTTACTGCTTAACAGCGTGTTCAGAGAACTGCAGGCCAACCATCTTTTCCTTTAACACCCAAACAGCATTGGCTTTTACTGTGTCATGAGAGTCTCAGACATAAACAGAACGGAAATCTGCTTTACTCACCACAGTGTAGCCCCCACTTGGCAAGGAATAGAAAGAGAACGAGCCATCTTCTCTGGAGACCGTGTAGCACAAATACACCAGACTCTCGTCTTGGGGCTGGAACCCAGGCACTGGTGAGACATTGCAGCCCAGGACATCCTATGCCAGGGGGTAAAAAAGACAAGACTTCCTTTTCCATTTACATGTTCTGAATACCATCAATTAGCCACATTATAGGAAAATTTTTTTAAGTTTCATGTCAATATATGTATTTCTGAAATCTAAGACACATTAATACAGATAAAAGGAACAAAAATCTTGACATTCAAGTTGCAAAGTTAAAAACTGGCACAGTCTTCCCGGGAAAGATGACATGACTGTCCTTCCTTATCATGGGTCACCATTCTCCAAATAAGGAAACGGAAGCTCAGGAAGGTAATGTGACCGGCCCAGGGTCGCATAGCTAGGAAGAGGAATTTGTTTAAACCTGAGATTTGTTTAAACCCAGGTCTGATTTCAAAGCCTGTGTACTTTCCATCACATACCACTGCCTCCCAGTGTAGATGTGCAATGTCTTGTGAGTCAACAGAGACACATGATATTCTTGAATTTTTTTTTTTTTTTTTTGAGAGTCTCACTCTGTCACCCAGGCTGGAGTGCAGTGGTGTGATCTTGGCTCACTGCAACCTCCACCTCCTGGGTTCAAGCGATTCTACTGCCTCAGCCTCCCACGCAGCTGGGACTACAGGCACGTGCCAACATGCCCGGCTAATGTTTTTGTATTTTTAGTAGAGATGGGGTTTCATAATGTTGGCCAGGCTGGTCTAAAACTCCTGACCTCAAGTGATCCACCCACCTTGGCCTCCCAAAGTGCTGGGATTACAGGCATGTGCTACCACACCCGGCCTGAGACAGACGATATTCTTAAGTGTTAAAATGATAAATCAACTCAGACCTGCATTTTTTAAAACAGTACGTTCTGGTCTATAATCCCCCACCCTCCTACCCTTCACACCATCTCTTTTGTTCTTTTCTTTGCTTACCTCTTTAGTTACTAAAGAAGAAAAGAGAAGAAACTTCACGCCTTTCATGGGCTCCCCATCACTTCGGACAGAGCCAGACACATTGTAGCCAGCAACTATGAGGGGACTGGCCGCATTGGCATTGGAGTTGGTTACACGCACTGTGGTGCTTGCCTGTAACAGAAAAAGATTTTAACCTGTAAAAAAATAAACACTTGCA
Organism: Homo sapiens; assembly: GCF_000001405.40. Classification (NCBI taxonomy): domain Eukaryota; kingdom Metazoa; phylum Chordata; class Mammalia; order Primates; family Hominidae; genus Homo; species Homo sapiens. Next base: position 14,852,383 of record NC_000016.10, on the reverse strand, counting down.
AAGTGCCTAACAACATGAGGACATGCTGAAGCTAAAATATTAACTGGGAAACGTAATCTATAAAATTGCTTATTCAGTATGATCACTTCTTTTCTTGAGACGGAGTCTCAGTATGTCACACAGGCTTGAGTGCAATGGTGCAACCTCGGCTCACTGCAACCTCTGCCTCCTGGGTTCAAGAGATTCTCCTGCCTCAGCCTCCCAAGTAGCGGGGATTACAAGTGCTCGCCACCACGCCCGGCTAATTTTTGTATTTTTAGTAGAGACAGGGTTTCACCGTGTTGGCCAGGCTGGTCTCGAACTCCTGACCTCAGGTGATCCGCCCGCCTCAGCCTCCCAAAGTGCTGGGATTACAGGTGTGAGCCACCGTGCCTGGCTTATCATTATTTTTTAATGCCCAAAATGAAGTGAAAGGAAATGTGGCAAAATGTAAACAATAATGATTTTGTCTATATGGTGCTATTTTACTTGTATACTTTTCCAGCTTCCAAAATTTGTTTCCACTGCTTTATATTCCTCTATATGTTCCAATTTTTTTAATGAGCATATTTTGCCTTTTTTTCTATTTTTAATGATATATAGTGTTAACTGAAGATTAGCCTAAAGCTGCCTCCTTACATATTTTAAGTTTGGCCTAAAGGTTTATCTGTACGTGTTGCCAAGTCTCACCCAATTCAAGCAGCCACCCTTCAACTACTCACAGGCAGCCAACTGTTCAAACCATGTGCAAATAAGACAAACGTCCAGCTGTAACCAATCCAACTGTTTCTGTACCTCACTTCCACTTTCTGTCCGTCACTTTCTTTTTCTGTCCATAAACCCTTTCCAATCACGCAACAGTGCCACAGTCGCTGTAAACCTATTCTGGCTCAGGGAGCTGCCCAATTGACAAATTGTTCTATGCTCAATTAAACTCTGTTTAATTTGCCTTAAGTTGTTCTTTTCACAATATGTGTATATTTTTAAACATTTTTGTTAAGGTACAATAAACACAGAGAAAAGTGTACAGATTCTAAGCACACAGCACAGGGCTTGTCACAAATTGGGTACTGGTTACCCAACAGAATAGCACCAGCAAGCCAGAAGTGCCCTCACACTTGCTTCCGGTCACTAACACCCCAGGAGGATAAACATTATCCTGACTTCTAACAACATGCTTTACTTGAAAATCCCAATCTCATATTAATAAACTCAGATTCTTCTATGCAGACAATTAACATACAATGTAAACCTTAAAATCTCTTCTATTTATAAATGTGTAAGCTCTTTCATTTCGAATAAATTTTTTTTTTTTTTTTTTGAGATGGAGTCTCACTCTGTCACCCAAGCTGAAGTGCAGTGGTGCAATCTTGGCTCACTGCTACCTCCACCTCCCAGGTTCAAGCGATTCTCCTGCCTCAGCCTCCCGAGTAGCTGGGATTACAGGTGTATGCCACCATTCCTGGCTAATTTTTTTCTATTTTTAGTAGAGATGCGGTTTCACCATGTTGGCCAGGTTGGTCTCAAACTCCTGACCTCAAGTGATCCACCCACCTCAGCCTCCCAAAATGCTGGAATTACAGCATGAGCAACTGCGCCCAGCCTTGAATAAAATATTTTTAAATGTTGCTGCAGAAGAGAAAAACCCCCAAAACCAAAAGTCATAAACAGTAAGAAGAGAATCTAGGTGTGAAACTATCATCAATTATAAGTGCGTAAAACCTACAGAGTAAAAATAATAATAAAACAGATAGAGTAGAAGCTGAAATACTGATTCCAATGCTTCTTTAGCAAAAATGAGATACAGCTTCAATACTAACACAGAAGCTAACATGTCAAGATGTCCCTTAAGTCTTATTTCAATTTGGTCTTTCACGGCTATTACAGAACCTCACCTACTAGGTGGAGTTCCTTTTTTGATCTTTGACTATAAACTATTTCAGTCAAACAAAAAAAGATATGCTAAAGAACACTTACATACCTTCTAACCAGCTAAAGAAATTTAAAAAAATACAATTCAAGATGCTGGCATACCCCGAAGTCCCCCTCCTCCCTCTTTCTCTAGAAGTCAGTATCATTTTGAACAGCGTCTGCTATTCCCATACATGTCTTCATAATTTTTCTACATAAGACTGTATCCTCCCTGTCCCTACTAAAAATACAAAAATTAACTGGGCATGGTGGCAGGCACCTGTAACCCCAGCTACTCAGGAGGCTGAGGCAGGAGAATCGCTTGAACCCAAGAGGCGGAGGTTGCAATGAGCCGAGATCGCCCCATTGCACTCCAGCCTGGGCAACAAGAGCAAGACTTCATCTCAAAAAAAAAAAAGACTGTATCCTTAGCTAGGGGCAGTGGCACATGCCTGCAGTTCCAGATCCTTGGGAAGCCAAGGTGAAGGATCGCTTAAGGCCAGGAACCAGAGGCTGCAATGAGCCATGAATATGTCACTGTACTCTAGCCTGGGCAACAGAGCAAGACCCTGTTGCAAAAAAAAAAAAAAAAAAAAAGACTGTATCTGGCCGAGTGCACTGGTTTATACCTGTAATCCCACCACTTTGAGAGCCCGAGGCTGGTGGATCATTTGAGGCTAGGAGTTCGAGACCAGCCTGGCCAACATGGCAAAATCCCATATATACTAAAAATACAAAAATTAGCTGGGCGTGGTGGCACATCCCTGTAATTCAGCTGCTCAGGAGACTGAAGCCGGAGACTCGCTTGGACACAGAAGGCCGAGGTTGCAATAAGCCAAGATCATGCCACTGCACTCCAGTCTTGGCAACAGAGCGAGACTCCGTCTTTAAAAAAAAAAAAAAAAAAAGACTGTATCCATAAATGATTATCACAAGTATTTAAAATCATATTTCCTTCAACTCTGTTTTTAAATGTAGTTACATTGATATATGTAGCTCTGGTTCATTCATTACTGCTGACATACAGCAGCCTATTGTATGATGGAACCCCAATCCATTCTTCTCTTAAAAGGCATTTAGGTTGTTTACAATATTTTGCTATTACAAACAAAGCTGCAATAAACATTCTCATACATTCTCCTTGGTCACGCGTACCACAGTTTCTAGAATGTTTAGTATATTTACAGATTTCTGTTTCAGGCTGAAAAAAGAACAACAAATAAATCTCGTCAGGGCCTTCTGTTGTTGATTTAGTTTAAAATAGCTATAGTTAATAAAACAGATCTATTTCACAGCAGGAAGACAACACTGTCACCTAAAACTGAAACTAACACAAGCAACATCTGCTACAGTGAGGAGTTACACCTTATAAATAACTACCAAACTAAACAACAGCACCATTGGTTCTTCATCTAGTCCTGGAGGAACCATAAATTCTTTTCATATCCTAAATTGAAAAGCCCTACATTTGTCCCAAGACCAGCATATTATTGGCATGGCTATAGACGTAGCTGTCACTCACCTCTTTCAACGCCCAGGTTGGATGAGTTGCGAGGATTTCATAATCTCCAGGCAGAACTTTAAAAAATGCAAACCTAAGACATAAAAAATAACCATTTAACTTTCTCCAAACAACCCAAGTATTTCTAATTCTATGACTAATGTTGGCAGCACAAGAAAACAATGTTGGAATTATCGCAAACTTCCATTAGCTTGTTAAATGAGCATGAATGAAATTCAATCCTTCACTGTACAAATCTGCATAAAAGAGCGCTTATTGAGCACTTACTGTGTGCCAAGAGGGGTGCTCCATGTGCTGATCGGAAAGAGGAGTGCTTACGTCTCCCTTAATCTCAAGGATTTCTGGCATAAAACCAATCCTTGCAGCACAGCAGGGACCAGTCACAGAACATTCGACTGGGTTTGACAGAGGTGACAGGCATGAACTGACAAGGAGAAGGGGACAGAAGTGTCCAAGGAAACACATGGGAAGGGAGAAGTGGGGTGAAAAAGAACAGAACAGATGCACAGGCTGAGGGGGACGCTGACCCAAGATGATGCAAATGACACAGGGCAGGGTAAACTATGATAAGCTTTGAATCCCAGAAAAAAGGCTTTAGAGAAACACAGATAAGTCATTCTGGGTTTTTGCACAAAGCAACTGAGATAAGAAACCAGCAGCTGATGAAAATTACTCTACTAGCCATAGACAGACTAACACCAGAGTGAGCCGAGCTAAAGCTGGAAATGCTGCTGCCAGTATACTAACATGTTTATCCCTTCAAATTTGTAAGGCAACTGACAAATGAGAAGGCTAAGTCCGGTGAAATGAACTAGAAAACGCATTTGATTTCTTCTTCTGTGGTATTTTATTGTGTCAAATCTTGCCTGCAATAACTGGATAGGGCTTGGAAATCACATTACTACAAGTATTGGTAAGATTGAGCTTCTATTTCATTTTCATAATAGCCCAGTGCTACATGTTTCATTGTTTCAGTTAGTGCAGATGAAAGGTATTCAGAAGGCTCAAGACACTATTTTTTTCTAGTAAGGTCAACACCAAATTACTAGCCCAGAAAAAAAATTACAGCTTCATATTCCTGCTACACACCAGGCCTGGAGAGGCACCAGTCAAGCAGAAGTAAATGTTATTTCAAAAATGAAAACTAGTTTCAACAATAATAACTTTAAAATTGAATAACTTACTGACAGACTCATTATAAACTTCTATTTTGCAATTTACTTAGTTTGTATATTAACGGAGTTAGTAATGATTTGAACGCTTTCGGAATTATCAGTTTGAACTATTCTGGTATTAATCTTGGCATATCTGTTAACATTTACAACTCAACTATATACATCCATTAAATAAATGCTTTAAATCTGACTCAGCAAGGTCAGCTAGGCATCTGTTCCAACTACAAAGCAGTTTTGATATAATAATGATAATGATTTTTTCTAATCATAACTGAGCTAACCTATTTGAGCTAATATGCCAGGCAGCTTGAAGTAATAATATTAATTTCATCTTTCCAGTACCTTAGGAGATAGGTTCCACAATTATCTTCATTTACAAAAGAGGAAACTGAGGCACAGAGGGGTTAAGGAACTTGCCCTAGGTCAACCAGCCAGCAAATGGGGGAGCTGGGATTCAAGCCCGGGCTGGCAGGCTCCAGAGCCAGGCTGAGCTGCTAAATGAAGACCCACTAAGCCCCAGGCCTTGAAGCAGGTGCTTTATGGGTATTAACTCTTTTTTTGTTTGTTTCAGACAGGGTCTTGCTCTGCTGCCGAGGCTGGAGCACAGTGGCACATGATCACGGCTCACCGCAGCCTCAACCTTCCAGGCTCAAGCAATCCTCCCGCCTCAGCCTCCCGAGTAGCTGCGACCACAGAAGCATGCCACCACACCCAGCTAATTTTCTTCCCCCGTGGGACTCTACTTGATATAATTTTTTAAATTATTTGTGGAGATTGAGTCTCCCTAAGTTGTCCAGGCTGGTCTCGAACTCCTGAACTCAAGTGATCCTCCCATCCTGGCCTCCCAAAGTGCTGGCATTATAGGCGCAAGCCAATATGCCTGGCCAGTATGAACTCATATTTAATCATCTCATCAATGCTAGGCAAGATGGGTCAAATGGATTCCATTTCACATGTGGGGAACTCAGCACTCTGACGGGCATGAACTCACCCAAAGAGGCTGAATCAGGATCTGAACCCAGAACTCCCTGAATCCAAACTCCCAAACCCAGCTCCATGACCCCTGTCAGAGCCCGGCTCTAAGGCAACACTAAGAGACAGGACGCTACTCACTTTCCGCCAGGCTGTGTAACTGTGGACTGGATCTTTGCTTCGGTCCCAGTGTTTCTCAGAGACACCTGAACTCCCGCAGGACCCAGGGGCTGCCCTTTGCTGAGGACCTGCCATGGAGAAGAAAGTTAGGGCCCACCCAGCAAAGCACCCTCCTCTCAAAGCACTGGCAGTCCTGCTTACAACTCCCAGGTGGAGCCCAGGAACCCTCTTTGGGTCAAGAATCCCATTGAAAAGATGCTATAAATCATGGATATGTTTCCTGGGGATGAGGTAGGAGAGGGAACAGTAACAGTAAAATAAGACTCTATTTCAATGAATCTAAGACATCATCAGTTATAGATTCACCATTATTGGTCTGGGCGGGTGTGGTGGTTCACGCCTGTAATCCTAGCACTTTGGGAGGCTGAGGCAGGCAGACCACTTGAGGTCAGGAGTTTGAGACCAGCCTGGCCAACATGGTGAAACCCTGTCTCTACTAAAAATACAAAAATTAGCTGGGCGTCATGGCACATGCTTGTAATCCCAGCTACTCCTGAGGCTGAGGCAGGAGAATCACTTGAACCCAGGAGGCGGAGGTTGCAGTAAGCTGCAATCGCGCCACTGCACTCCAGCCTGGGCGACAGAGGGAGACTCCATCTTAAAAAAAAAAAAAAAAAAAAGTAAATGTACATAAAAATAAAAATATAAAAATTAGCTGGGTCAGGTGGCACACGCCTGTAATCCCAGCTACTGGGGAGGCTGAGGCAGGAGAATTGCTCGAACCCAGGAGGCGGAGGTTGTGGTGAGAGAGACTGCGCTACTGCACTCCAGCTTAGGCCACAGAGCGAGACTCTGTCTCAAAAAAATAAATAAATAAAAATAAAAATAAAAAAAGATTCACCATTATTTTGCAAACCATCGATAAAGAAAAAACTACCCAAGATCCCCATCTCTAACAAGAAGCCCACACATACAGCTGGGATGGAAGGGCCTCCCCGTCACCGCAAAGGTAGAGGAGAAAGAAGTCCATCATGAAGAGAAGGACAGGAAGGAAGGAAGCACATCTCAACCGCAGGCACAGGGCAGGTGGAGGAGAAATGACTCTCCCCTGAGAATCTGAATCGCGGGAGCTGGGCACACACCCATTAGGACTCTAAATTCACACCACCGTGGCGGTCCAAAAAAATCTCAGAACTTAAATAATAGGAATCCTCCTAGGTAAGTGTCAGAAGCAGATGCATGCTCTCTCTGGGAGAAGCTGACTTCAATTCACCCACAGGGACAGCAAGATGCCACAAGGCTTAGAGAGTGCGTCCTTCCAATTCGGCATCCCTGTAAAAGGCCATCCCTGACATAAACGCTAACAGCGGCTGGGTGCACAGCGTACACCTGTAATCCCAGCACTATGGGAAGTGGAGGCAGGCGGATCACCTGAGGTCAGGAGTTTGAGACCAGCCTGGCCAACACAGCAGAAGCCCATCTCTGCTGAAAATACAAAAATTAGCCAGGCATGGTGGCACACACTTGTAATCCTAGCTACTCGGGAGGGTGAAGGAGCGGGAGGGTGAGGCAGGAGAATCACTTGAACCTGGGAGGTGGAGGCTGCAGTGAGTCAAGATTGCACCACTGCACTCCAGCCTGGGCAACAGAGCAAGACCCTGTCTCAAAATAAAAAATAAAAAAATAAAAACACCAACAGCCTATGCTCTGGGAGCAGAGGGGATGACCAGCAACCTCAATCTCATTCCTAAATACACCTGCTGCGTTCTACACGGATGAAGTACAGAGTTCACAGGCTCACTTGCCACTTATCCATGGGTCCCTTGTGGGATCAAAGTCCCCAGGTTAAAATATCCTGCATTTTTTTAAAAAAGGATTTAGTATACATTATAGAGTGAACAGGAAAAATAATCAAGTTCCAAAGACAAACCTTGCCATTCACAGAGAACCCAGTGAAGACAAAGTTGATGTCCCCACCCTTTGTGCAGATGTCACTGACTCCATCCACATGGAGCTCCACGGTCGTCGGCTCTGAGGAACGAAGCAGGGGAGGAAACCGGGGCACAAGACACAAAGGCAAGCTTAGTTTTGGGGTACAGTGAACCTAAGTAGAACGTATTTTTATTATTCAGGTTTCATTTTACTTTTGAACACTTAATACACTCGTGTGTTTCCAAATCCAAAGGTACAAAAAAGTATTCTGGGAAAAGTCTCCCTCTCACCCCTATCCCCCTAGCCTCCTGGTTTCCTGCCCCAGAGGGAATTCGTGTTTAGAGTATAAAATAATTTTACAACGCCTTTCAGCTAAGTTATATCTCAGAGTTCCAGTGAAAATTCAGTGAGCACCAAATAATTTTATTTCCTGAATGCTCATCAACGACCAGGCACTGAGCTGAGTGCCTTTAATCCTCACAATTATCTTAAGAGACAGGCAGTAATAGCTGCAATTTACTGAGGGGTAAATTAAGGCACAGAAAGGTTAAAGGAGCTCCCAAGATCACAGAGCTTCTGAGTGACAGAGCCCCAATTCAACCCTAAAAGTCTGGCTCTGGATCTGTTCTCTGACCAAGGACATGAGCTCAGCCATGTTAAACCAGGAACACAAACTCCAGGGCCACAGGGGCCTCATGGGTTCGAAGTGAGCGGAGCATCCTCAGGGGGACTGTGGCAAATTGAAAGGAGACAACCGCCACTCAAGTCTGCCAACCACTACCATGCTTTGCCAGAGCTTCCAACTTCTCCGAAAAACTGGAAATCTGGATTTTATATACCATCTCTTGATTTTTCAATATCAGCAATTAACTCCATTTTTTAACTGAAGAGTTCATCATAATAGGGGTTAAGGTTGAGTTTTTGAAAGGTTAGGAAGAATATGGAGTAATGAGTAGAGAAAAAAATGGAAAACCATGAGATGAGATTTTCAGTTAAGATGAATTACACACGTGCTTGCACGCGTACATGCACACACACACACACACACACACACACAAAGACTCCAATAAAAAATGGGCAAAAGACTTGAACAGGAATCTTACAAAAATAGCTAGCCCATGGCAAACAAACATAAACATACAAAAAAGTGGAATTTTCATTTACATTCCATCAGTGGAATGTAAATCAAGGCCACAGTGAGATAATACCACACCCCCACCAGAAGGGCTAAAATTAAAAAAAACTGACGATACCAAGTGTAGGTTAGGATGTGGAGCAATGGAAACCCTTGTACACTGCTGGGAGAACACCAACTGGTGCATCCACTTTGGATGTTTGCAAACACCTAAAGCTGAGCATGTATCAGCTCTATGGCTCAGCGACTTTACTCCTGTGATATACTCAGCAAAAATGCAGACACATGTATCAAAATATACATACAAGAATGTTCACAGGAGCACTGCTCTTAGTGGCCAAAATCGGTAAGCAACTCAAATGGCCATCAACAGTAGAAGAGATCACTGATACAAAATATGAATATAAAATATAAATATAGGCCAGGCGTGGTGGCTCTTGCCTATAATCCCAACACTTTGGGAGGCCAAAGCGGGCAGATCACTTGAGGTCAGGAGTTCGAGACCAGCCTGGGTCAACATGATGAAACCCCATCTCTACTAAAAATACAAAAATTAGCTGGGTGTGGTGGTGCACACCTGTAATCTCATCTACTGAGGAGGCTGAGGCACAAGAATTGCTTGAACCCGGGCAGAAGTTGCAGTGAACTGAGATCACACTCCAGCCTGGGCAACAGAGCGAGACTCAGTCTCAAAAAAAAGAAAAAATAAAATAAAATATAAATATTTTATAAAATATAAATAATTTTATATTTATGCATCAGAATTCTCAACAGCAAAGAGAATGAACTAAAGCTACAAATGATACAGATAAAGTTCATAATGTTGAGTGAAAGAAACCGGATATTAAAAAGTTCCCTGCATGATAGCATTTGTATAAAGTTCAAAACAGACCAAATGGATCTCTAATTTGTAGAAGGTGAGGGTGGTGGTCACCTGGAGGGTGGGGCGGGATGGCTAAGGAGCACCCAGGATGGGGACTTCTGGGGTGCTGGTGAAGTGCTATCTTATCATCTGGATGGTGGATACATGGGTGTGTTCACTTAGTGAAAATTCATCCAAGGCACTTTTCTGAAAGTATAATTCAATTAAAAAGCTTATCAACAGCACCAGTTGGGGGTAGGGTGGGGGGTGGCAAACACAACACTCCTCCAGGCCACCAATCTGGACTTCTGCTTTGGCCATGAGCAGGGCTGCATTCCTCTCCAGCTTTCTGGAACGTACCAGCCAGGCACCCCCCACCCTACCCCTGACTATAAACTGATAAAAGAGCTGCTCTCACAGAGCCAAATTAGCTGTCAGCTGCCTGAGCCTCATTTTAGCCTTGGCGATGGCAGGTGCTAAATTCTTCCTTGTCTAATGCACGAGCAAGCCTGATATCAACAACGGTGATCCCTACTCCTCTCCCCAAGCCATGGACTGGGGTCACCCACACCTGCTCTACTGAAACATCAAGAGTCTCTCCTCTTCAAAAATGTAAACTACATCAAAACAGACCCTCTCTTCTGATCTCAACCCCATCCCCGACTCCCCAGCTATGCTTGAAGGCAGTTATATGAGGAAAGTTTGGAGCTTTTGTTTGGGATGTGTGCAGAAGGGCTGTTTCTGAATACTGAGTACTTGCTAATTACGTGCCAGCCCCTCTGAACACTCAGTATTGGTTTATTAATCGTCCAAGTACCCAGTGGGGCAGGGACTATAACTACCCTTGCTCGACAGTGAGGAGCCAGGCTGACACGGGGGAAGTAACTTGCCCAAAGTTATTTAACTGGTAAGGTATAAGGCTGACAGTCTTCTCATCTCATGGGACATAAATCTGGATTTTTATGACAAATCTCACAATCTTTAAATGTTTCAATTAATTCCATAAAAACTTAAAAAACTGAGGGGGCTAAAAAAGAAGCCATCCTGGGACGGGAACCAAGTCCCCACTCTTGATTTCTATACTGTTCCACGGCCACGTAATGAGTGAAACTGCAAGGGAAGAGTTTCCAGAAAGGTAGAAGAAAAGATGTCTATTTTTCAAAGGTGACAGAAAGTCTTAAGGTAGATTAAGGTAAATCCGAACTAAACCAGAGTGATGGGGGCAAGGAGGGGAGGAATACAAACCCTCTTCCATACTGGAAATGATCCTTAATATTTTAATAGTTTATGCACTCTGCTAGCCTAAATTAATATTCGGCATATCATCTAATCTTTTACAAAGAATGTCTAGTGATTCAGTTAACTTACCAAAACTCCACCCTAGGGGAGGCTCAATCTTCAGAATGAAATCCCCCTAAAAGGAAAAAAAGAAAATGTAATTTCAAGAAATGAGAATTGTGACTCTGGCTAAATTTAGTTTAGTGTTATCATTTAATCTAAAATTTTTTTACACCGGAAATGAAATTCTAAGAGTGAGCCTTGTTCTTCTACATGGTACTGAGCACTGATTCTCTTCAGAAGCTACAAGCTGAAGCTGAACACCAGAAGTTTTCATCTAAACAATCAGAAGACAGTGCTGAAGCCCATTCATGAGTTCTAAAGACACTAGGTTCAGCCACTCACTGTCTTTTAATACTAAACATACTATAATTCTATTAATTGAGTCTCCCATTAAGCCCTCACATGCCTACAGTTGCACAAGTTAGCATGTATCTTCAGGAACTAAAGGCACCCCCTAAAACTAGATTTGGCCAGGCACAGCACCTCACACCTATAATCCCAACACTGTGGGAGGCCAAGGCAGGAGGGTCACTTGAGGCCAGGAGTTCAAGACCAGCCTAAGCAACATAGCAAGACCCCATCTGTACAAAAAATGTTCTTAAAAAATCAGCTGGGTGTGGTGGCAGGCGCCTACAGTCTTAGCTACTTAGGAGGAAGAGGCAGGAAGATCACTTGAGCCCAGGAGGTCAGTGCTGCAGTGAACCATAATTGTGCCCCTGCACTCCAGCATGGGCAGCGGAGGGAGATCCTGTCTCTAAACAATACATTAACTCATTAATTCAATAAATAAAACTAGATTTTACTTATCAACCCTGGTTTCTTTGTTTTTGTTTTAGTTTTTTTTTTTTGAGATGGAGCCTCGCTCTGTTGCCCAGGCTGGAGTGAAGTGGTGCGATCTTGGCTCACTGCAACCTCCGTCTCCTGGGTTCAAGCGATTCTCCTGCCTCAGCCTCCCAAGTAGCTGGGACTACAGGCATCCACGTGACACCCGGCTAATTTTTTTGTATTTTAGTAGAGACGGGGTTGCACCATGTTGCCCAGGCTGGTCTCACACTCCTGAGCTCAGGCGATCCACCTGCCTCAACCTCCCAAAGTGCTAGGATTACAGGCATGAGCTACCACGTCCAGCCTCCTGGTTTCTTGAGACTGATACTGATACTATTTAAAAATTAATTAAATAGATTTCAGGACAGACCCAGCTAGTCCATCTCTAGAAATCAGTCCTATGCATTCTGGATGAAGAGTTAAGTTCAAGAATATTTCCTGGTGTGTTATGTTAAAATTACTATTATTTTAAAATTGGGGAAAGTCTATATGTCCAAGTAGTTAAATAAATTACAGTTTGGGTTTGACTCTGACACACTATGCAGCGATTAAAAAGAAGTCAGTAGGCTGAGCATGGTGGCTCATGCCTGTAATCCCAGCACTCTGGGAGGCTGAGGTGGGCGGATCACCTGAGGTCAGGAGTTCAAAACCAGCCTGGCCAACATGGTGAAACACCATCTCTACTAAAAATACAAAAAAAATTAGCTGGGCATGGTGGTGGGTGCCTGTAATCCCAGCTACTTGGGAGGCTGAGGCAGAAGAATCACTGGAACCCAGGAGGCAGAGGTTGCAGTGAGCCGAGATCGCGCCACTGCACTCCAGCCTGGCTGACAGAGTGACACTCTGTCTCAAAAAAAAAAGAAAAAAAAGTCAGTAGATCTATCTATGCTAATGTTGAAAGCATGCAAGAGGAAAAAACCAAATGTCCCTCTGGTATTGAAAGCATTAACACAGGGGAAAAAATGAAACTGCAGAATAAATCCTATTGTTTGATTTCATTTGTATTAAAAAATATATCAAAATCAAAACTATGTGTATTGACTATTTTTGCAACTTCCTATGAATCTGTATTTCCAAATAAAAGGTTTATATGTGGGAGGATGGGATTGTATAGAGGTGTTTGTGGATACATATCGATGTGCATGTGTGCTTGTGTGTATTTCCATGTATACATATGCATGTGTACCCGTGGCTATCTGAATAACTATAAATAGAAAGCAATCTGTTAGGATGCACATCAAAATTTTATAAGAGGGCCGGAAACATCGGCTCACACCTGTAATCCCAGCACTTTGGGAGGCTGAGGCAGGTGGTTCACTTGAGGTCAGGAGTTCGAGACCAGCCTGGCCAACATGGCAAAACCCCGTCACTATTAAAAATACAAAACATTAGCTGGGTGTAGTGGCAGGTGCCTGTAATCCCAGCTATTTGGGAGGCTGAGGAAGGAAAATGGCTTGAACCTGGGGGGTGGAGGTTGGAGTGAGGCAAGATCACACCACTGCACTCCAGCCTGGGCGACAGAGCGAGACTCCATCTCAAAAGAAGAAAAAAAAAAACAACAAAAAAACCCTTTATCAGATTATCAAAGGTTATCACTACAGAGGGAGGTAAAATTGGAGGGAAAAGGGTACAAATTTATTTCACATACTTCTAAAGACCTTGACTTTCTTTTTCACAAAGTTCATGAATTCATGTATTACTTGTACAATTGTTTTAACAATACTTTAAGCTGCTTGCAAGTAACGGGTTCCATGAAATCAGGGTTTCTCAGCCCTGGCACTACTGACATCTGGGCTGTCGTAGGCAGCACTGTAGCGCATTTAGCTCCACGCCTGGCCACTACTCACTGGGTGACTGTAGCGCACAGCCACAGATGTCACAACAAAAACGTCTCTAGACATTGCCAAATGGCCCTAAACACAGAGAGAGCCACTGTATTCGTCAAGGCAGTTTGTAAGTTGTCTCCCTCCAAATGTGGCTAGGATTATCATATTCCACTAATAATTTACAAAACAGATGAGCATTTGCTAGTGTAGGAAAGGGCATGGTTAATGCAGCCTGGTGAGGCACACTAGTGATTTCCCATCATAAGTGACAAGCAGTCCCCTCTTACCTTATCATACAAAGGGATCATAAAGTAACCATTATTAGGGGCACAGTCTGTCTGGTATTTCAAAGTCCCATGCTTGGTGTACAGCTTTATCTGGAAAGGAAGGAAGGAAAACAGAAATCATAACATTGCCTTTGGGAATTAACTACACATGTTACACCTGAATGCACTCAGTCAGTATACATTCACTGAGGACCTATTATATGCCAGCTTTTAACACGGGGCATTACTGGGGACAGAGGGAAATCAACAAACTCTCTCCCAAATCATGTGACTCAATGTTTTTCAGATTAGAAACCATCTACAGCCTATTACAATGCCTTATTTTTCAATGCTTTTCTGTTTATTTTAGTGGCTGTCTCTAGGTTGCTCGTGTAAGTTTCCGGGTCTAAAACAAATTTGCAAACTTTGCCATTAGTAAGGTGCTTATTAACATGCAAATTCCTGGCTGGGCACGGTGGCTCATGCCAGTACTCCCAGCACTTCAGGAGGCTGAGGTGGGCAGATCACTTAAGGTCAGGAATTTGAGACCAGCCTGGCCAACAAGGTGAAACCCTGTCCCTACTAAAAATACAAAAAAAGTTACCCAGGCATGGTGGCAGGCACCGGTAGTCCCAGGTACTTGGGAGGCTGAGGCAGGAAAATTGTTTGAACTCAGGAGGCGGAGGTTGCAGTGAGCCAAGATCATGCCACAGCACTCCAGCCTGGGAGACAGAGCAAGACTCCGTCTCAAAAATAATAATAAAAAAAAATAAAGTAAAATAAATTGCAAATTCCTGGGGCCCACCTCTATTTCTCAACTAAAGGTCTGGAATGAGGGCCAGAAATCTTCCTTACTAACTCTGAATAATTTCAAATACTTGGAGCAACATTCATCTAGAAACTTAATTTTCTCATTACTTTCATTCTCCGAAGAAAAAGAGACTAAAAAGACATTTAATATCTGTCCTCTCTTCAAGGACTCTCTAAAACTCTTACATTCTGAGCATTACCAGACACGAAGTGTTAACCCAGTAAGATGCCCAAATGCCATCTGAGTCTTCCACGTGTTGCGTGGCCTTGGGCAAGCTCGTGTTCGGTTTCTTCAGATGTAGACACAGAGCCACTCCTTTTCATGTGGTTGTACAGATTCACATCAATGCATATTAAGCACCTGCTACAGAATATGGATTCAAAGAAAAATCAGTTTGCGGCCAGGCATGGTGGCTCATGCCTGTAATCCCAGCATTTTGGGAGGCCAAAGAAGGAGGATCACTTGAGCCCAGGAGACCAGCCTGGACAACATAGCCACACCTCATCCCTACTAGAAAAAAAATTAGCTAGGCATGATGGCACGTGCCTGTAGCCTCAGCTACTCAGGAGGCCGAGGCAGGAGGACTGCTTGAGGCCAGGAGTCAGAGGCTTTGGTGAGCTATGATGGTGCCACTATACTCCAGCCTGAGCAACAGTGTGAGACCCTGCCTCAAAATAAAACAAAATAAAATAAGTAAAATGGGGCCGGGCGCGGTGGCTCACGCCTGTAATCCCAGCACTTTGGGAGGCCGAGGCGGGTGGATCATGAGGTCAGGAGATCGAGACCATCCTGGCTAACAAGGTGAAACCCCGTCTCTACTAAAAATACAAAAAATTAGCCGGGCGCGGTGGCGGGCGCCTGTAGTCCCAGCTACTCGGGAGGCTGAGGCAGGAGAATGGCGTGAACCCGGGAAGCGGAGCTTGCAGTGAGCCGAGATTGTGCCACTGCAGTCTGCAGTCCGGCCTGGGCGACAGAGCGAGACTCCGTCTCAAAAAAAAAAAAAAAAAAAAAAGTAAAATGGAAAAAGCAGTTTGTATTACTATTTAATATCTCTCTCTGAAGAAAAAGGCAACACAGTGTAATACGTAGGGAACATACTGGGCTCAAGGAAAATTTCCTAAATGTACCTGCACAGCTCAACCACTCTGAGGCTCAGTTTCCATGTCTGTAAAAGGAAGCAGTTGGGTCTGATGCACCTAAAAGCCTCACCTCCAAAATGTTAATGCTCTATGACCATGAAACAAACCATGACACGAGCTGCAATGAAACAGTCGAATCTCACCAGCTAAGAAGATGTACAAAGTGACTAACTCATAAAACGAACATTTGAACATTTGGGAAAGGACTCGTGTGAAATAAGGTTAAGCCTGTATGTAAAGTTCTCTGAGGTCAGTGACAACTTCATTCCCCAGTGCCTGAGACAGTGTCTAGCTTACTCTAGGTACTCAGTGAATTTGCTACAGGTGACAAAGAGATTCAGATACATGCATTTAAGGCAGGGACTGGAAATTCACCAGCCTAGACCGGTTAGGGAGGCAACATCAAGGGACATTCATCCAAAAGGATTCAGATCACTACAAAACCCAAGCCAAGTGTGGCAGCCTAAAGATCGGCTGGCTTTCCAGAGAAATAAAGAACCCGGTTTTTAATGTGAAACCTGCGGATTGTTAAAGTATTAGCAACCAGTATAATTTTTTTTTTTTAACAGTAAGGTCCCTGTTAGAGAACAAAATGTCAGTCTCATGAGAGTATGGAGTTTTGTCTGTTCTGTTCACTGTACTGCTATATCCACACTGGGGACAAGGCTTCAGTATGTGCCAGGGCTCAGTAAATAGTTGTTGACTCAATGAACACGATGTAAAAACACTCAGGATGGGAGAAAGCTAGAGAAGAATGGCGGCAGTTGCATAGGAACACAAAAAACACAATCAAGAAATAACCGTGAAATATCATGATTATTTCTACATCTTTCATAAAGTACAATCAGGACACAGGATGGCAATGTAATCTACATCAAGATGGCCAGTATGAAATGTCTGATTTCAGAATCTGAATTACTTATGAAAGAATGAGTGTCCCACACCATCTGGACAGGCAGCCCTTGGGCTTAAGGAACACACTTTGAAATGGGTCACAAAACCTGTTCTCTGCTCTCAAGGTCACTATTAGTATGAGGGTGAGGGTGGAGGGGGGTGCCTGTCTTTTCCTTCCTTCCAGAACCCCTGGAAACTACAAGTTGCAAGAGGCCTTAGCGGCCTCTTGCATTTCAGCTTCTGAAATGCCCTGTGCCGTCTACAGCCATACCACCCTGAACGCGTCCTGTCCCCAGTGCAGACCTAGGCGGTGGCATGGGCACCCAGAAACATGTACCCAGGAAATCCTAGGAGCCCTGCCGCTGCCAGTGGGTAGATTCATTCAATGCCTGACCTCTGACCTCTTCAGTCTGAAAAAGCAGTAAACAAGGGGGCCTTGAAGAAGATCACGGATCCGCTTGTTAAAGAAATGTATCTGCTGGGTTCCACTGTTTCTCTCCCAACACCATCCTATAGGTACAAAAACTGAAACCTAGAGCAAGGGCAGGTCGCAGAGCTGGTGGGGTGTGGAACTGACTCCCTACCCCTCCCCCAATCCTCAGCAGCCCGCTTTGCAGAACACAGAGCTTCACCCTTCACTGCCAGCCCTGGAACAGCTCAAAGGTGCTTTCAGACGATCTTTGGGGTCTTATTCCCCAATCCCTCTCTTTGGCATTTCCCAGCCTCTTCCTTCGTTTTCTCCTAAATTACCTCCGAGGCACCCGCTCTTTTCCTCTTCCTTGTCCTACCCCACCATAAATCCCCTCCCAAAAATGAGGCCCAGGCCTTGCTCTGGTCCCCTCCCATCTACCGGGACAAATGACATTCTGCCCCTACCTCCATCCATCCCTTTCCTCTTTACGGGAACCTTTCTGGGTCATAATCCCACCGGGCTGATAAACATTTAACAGGACTTTACAACTTAATTTAAAAAAAAAAAAAAAAAACCTTCAGCACAAATCTCTAGGGTAATTCCATTAACTACTCATTAAGGCAATCAGGGCAGCTGGCAACTCTCCATTTTCAGAAGTGGAGGGGAGCCGGAGAAATAAAAAATAGCTTTCCGGCCCCAGGGTTGCCAATACTGATCTACTAGGTCAGAATCTATGGGATGGGAATTGATGCTCTTTAAAATCATGCCGCGGGGTTTGGAGGAGCAGTGGATTAGAACTTCGGGGGGTTCTGGGCTGTGGAGTTTGGGGGATAAGACATGTGGTCTCTAGGTTCTGGAATGTGGGTTTGGGGAAATCTGAGTTTCAGGGGGTCTGATTCGAGGAGATCTCAGGTCTAAGTTTTAAAGAAATGGAGTCTGGGCTCCAGGGAATTTAGGGTCTGGGTTTTGAGGATCTGGGGTCTGTGTTCCGGGGATCTGGAGTCGGGGTTTTGAAGAACCTGAGGTCTGGCACCCCTCAGTCCTTAGACGACCCCATGATAAGAACCTCCCCTCCAGCGCGACTGGGGAGGGGCTGCAGGGAGCCCGCGGACAGCATAGCCTCGGAAGAGGTAAGGGCTCCAAGGACTCCACACCGCCCGGTGTCAGAGACGAGGCCAGCGCGGCCCAGAGAGGCTGAACCACCGGCCCGGCGACTCGGCGCCGGGCGGCGGGGCGGGCGCTCACCTCGATGAGAGAGTAGTTGATCTCCACGTCCGACTTGACGAAGCCACCGCAGCCCACCACGATGTCCTCCGAGCCGTGCGCCGGCCCCACGCCGCTCAGCAGCAGCACCACCGCGGCGGTGACCACCGCGGGCCCCAGCGGCCCCGCGCCCTGGCCCACCAGCATGGCCCGACCTCCCCCAGCTAGACCCACCGCCGGCAGCCGGGTCCCGCCCCTCACACTGCACGCCGCAGGCTCCTTCCTCCTCCTAGGCCGGCTGACAGCCCAGGCCCCGCCCCACCGCCGCCGCCAGAGCCGCCGCGCACGCGCGCTTCGACCCCACGTTCACAGCCCCAGAAGAGAGAACTAAGGCGCATGCTCGGCAAGGAAACGAGACCATCTCTGCCTTCTAGAGGCCTGGAGGACTCCGCGCGACATCTGGCAGGCGCAACGCAAGGTGCATGCCTACAGGGAGAAGCTCCAAAGATGAATTCTACTTTAGAATTCACCATCACAGCTGGAAAGGACGGGAGATTTTGTTGGTGGAATTATCTAACAACTTTCTCAAATCTTTCTGACCCATATATTTCGCAGGTAAAATATATAATCTCACAAAAAGCTTTAGGGCCGGGTGTGTGGCTCACGCCTGTAATCCCAGCACTTTGGGAGGCTGAGGTGGGTGGATCGCTTGAGCCCAGGAGTTCGAGACCAGCCTGGGCAATATGGCGAAACCCCATCTCTACACACACACGCGCACACGCACACACACGCACACACACACACACACGAAAAACACACACGAAAAACGCTTTAAGAATTTGTGTAAGCTGGTGTATTTTTCCATGATAAATGATCGATACTTTTTTAAGCAAAACGTGTTAATGTTAGCATATTAAAGAAAGTATGTAAGATTTATTTTAATCCTAGCTCTAATAACATATGCCTAGAAACAAATTTTGATGAGTTTTCTTCCCCTAAGCAAGAAGTGCATGCAGTCAGTATACTTTGAATTAGCTCTGCAAGATGAAACATGATTTGCCTAAAAACAAGCTCAAATCCAGCATATTTTGTCCCAAGAGTGAATTCATATGTACACTGAATTTAACTACCAGTCACCACATCAAAATACACACCAAAGAGGCCGGGCACAGTGGCTCACGCCTGTAATCCCAGCACTTTGGGAGGCCAAGGCTGGCAGATCATGAGGCCACGAGATCGAGACCATCCTGGCTAACACAGTGAAACCCCGTCTCTACTAAAAATATAAACACTTAGCCGGGCGTGGTGGCGGGCGCCTGTAGTACCAGCTACTCGGGAGGCTGAGGCAGGAGAATGGCGTGAACCTGGGAGGCGGAGCTTGCGGTTAGCCGAGATCGCACCACTGCACTCCAGCCTGGGCGACAGAGCAAGACTCTGTCTCAAAAAAATAAATAAATAAAATTAAAAAAACACCAAAAAATTGCTTTTCTTACCTAATATTAGGATTTCTTCCATTTTGTCTCAAAAAAAAAAAGCTAGTGCTTTATTTTGATAGGTTTTGTATTTTGTTTCCAAATGACAAAGTAAGACTGAATTTCCCGCTGCAATTTGCCATTGTGGCTAAAACTTAAGCAATAAACAACTAAGAAGCACAGGTTCAAACCATACAGTAGTCAAACTTTCATGGGGGCAAGGAGGGAATGAAGGGAATGACACATTGACCTCAGGGTCATAATCATGAGTGCATCTGATTTCAGTTTCTCGTGCTGCATTTTCACTCAAATACAGTAGACTCTCAACTATTCAGTGATAATGAGAAACCATTTAAATAATTCGTCTACTTATTGGGGTTTGTTATTTATAACCACAATTGAAATAGATGCCTTTTATGCAAATCACCAGAGGATTGAAAGCCACCAATTAGAAAGTGTAGGCCTATGGAAACCTCTCATCTTACAGAATGGGAAACTGAGGCCCAGAGAGGAAAAGGAAGTTGTCTAAGACTCTGCATGCAGCCATAGGTTTTCCCGGAGCTAGAGAGCAGGAATTGGGGCCAGAAGCCGTGGCTTACTACTGTAATATGAACATGTTGGGAGTCCGAGGTGGGCAGATCATTTGAGGTCAGGAGTTCGAGACCAAATTGGCCAACATGGCAAAACCCTGTCTCTACTAAAAATACAAAAATTAGCTAGGTGTGGTGGCGCATGCCTCTAATCCCAGCTACTCAGGAGGCTGAGGCAGGAGAATCACTTGAACCAGGGAGCCACAGGTTGCAGTGAGCTGAGGTCTTGCCACTGCACTCCAGCCTGGGCGACAGAGTGAGACTCCATCTCAAAAAAAAAAAAAAAGCAGGAAGTGGGATCCCCAAGTTTTGTTCTGGACTCACCCCAATTGATTTCTGCTGTGTTCTTCTTGACTTTCTGACTATTTCCCTCAAATTCATCTTCAAATATAGAAAGAAATGAAGCACCAGGACTGTGACAATGCCAATTCATGGGGGTGGGATTGGGGAGTGGCTTGCAGAGAGACAGGGATTTAGCTTCCCCATAATTTCCATCAGTTTCCACCAAAACCAGCTCAGATAAGCAGACATGATTTACATGGAAACAGTAGACCTGCCACACTGAGCTTCATGACAAATCCTTGGGTTCTTTCTGTCCCGAAGCTTCCAGAAGACTCAGGCAGGAGGACAGCTGAAGGGGGCAGGGGAGGGGGTGCTCCCTGGGCCCAATACTGGATTTAGAGTGATACAAAAAGATCGGGGAAAACACGCTGTGGGGTCCCTGCAGAAGGCAAGAGTAGAAGATGAGGACAGGACCCCGAGAATTAGCAAGGCAGCATGGAGAGTGCAGAGGATTTTAATTCTTCTCCCAAACTGAGCACCTGTGCTTGTCTGTCTAAAAGAGCCGAATATTTCATTCCTATCTTGAAACAAGTACTTGCTCACTGCAACAACAAAGAAATTGGAAAAGAAAACTAGGATTCCCCAAGATCACTGTGTTACCACATTTCCATCTTTTTATCGATGCATTTATGCTAGTATGACATCGAGTCATTTCTAAGAAGTGGTGGCTGGGTCTTTGACACTTTGCTTTAAGACCCAAGAGAGAGCTGGGCATGGTGGCTCACGCCTGTAATCGCAGCACTTTGGGAGGCCTAGGCAAGAGGATGGCTTGAGGCCAGGAGTTCCAAAGCAGCTTGGGCAACAAAGTGAGACAAGTCTCCACAAAAAAATTTAAAAATCAGCCAGGCTTGGTGGTGTGTGCCTGTAGTCCCAGATACTCCGGAGAGGCTGAGGTGGAAGGTTGCTTGAGCTCAGGAGGTCAAGGCTGCAGTGAGCCATGATGGCACTACTGCACTCCAGCCTGGGTGACAGAGCAAGACCCTGACTCAAAAAAAAAAAAAAAAAAAAAAGAGACGGAGAGAGAAAAAGACTCAAGAGAGGAAGGTAAATGCCTTGGCCTTCTTCTCCATGTTCCCTAATTTAGGCATATCCTTTTCTTTTTTGCTTTAAAAAAACCAAAGCCTATTTTATATTATAATCTCTTTTATTCAATCATCACTTAGCAACCACCTTTTCATATTCATATATGTCTTCAATGGCATTTTGTTTGTTTGTTCTGAGACAGAGTCTCGCTCTGTCACCCAGGCTGGAGTGCAGTGGCACAATCTTGGCTCACCGCAACCTTCGCCTCCCAGGTTCAAGCGATTCTCCTGCCTCAACCTCCTGAGAAGCTGAAACTACAGGCACGCACCAAAACACCCAGCTAATTTTTGTATTTTTAGTAGAAACGGGGTTTCACTATGTTTGCCAGGCTGGTCACAAACTCCTGACCTCAAGTGATCCGCCCTCATCAGCCTCCCAAAGTGCTGGGATTACAGGCATGAGCCACCGTGCCCAGCTGCAATGGCATTTTAAACCACTGGTTAGTAACCCATGGCCTCAATTATAACGGTAGTAATAAAAGCTAAGTCTTCTGAGCATTTAATGTATATCTGGCAGTGTGCTAAACGCTTGCATAATCTCACTAAGTTCTCCCCACCACTCCACGGGTAGACAGTGTCCATTCCAGCAGTGAGGGGACTGTGACGTGGTCTCCATCCTATCTCCCTCGGATATTATGAAACATATCACAGAGTGTACACCCACTGTGATATTAGGAGAAAGCTCTCCCTTGGGTATTAGAATAATATCACAGGGTATACACTCACTGTGATATCAGGAGTAAAATCACCCTCAAATATAATGAATAATATCACAGGGTGTACACTCACTGTGATATTAGGAGTAAGATCTCCCTTGGATACTATGAATAATATCACACAGTGCACACCCACTGTGACGCGGTACACCCACTGAGATATTAGGAATAATATCTCCCACGGATATTAGGAATAATATCTCCCTCAGATATTATCACACCCACTTTGATATTGGAAGTAATATCTCCCTCGGATGTTATGAATAATATAGAAGGGTGTACACTCACTGTGATATGGAGAGTAATACCTGCCTCAGATATTACAAATAATATCATAGGGTGTAAACCCACTGTGATATTGGGAGTAATATCTCCCTCGGATATTATGAATAATATCCTGGGGTTTACAAACATGGTGTATACCCACTATGATATTAGGAGTAATATCTCCCTAAAATATTACTAATAATATTACAGGGTGTACACACAGGGTGTACACCCACTGTGATATTAAAAGTAATATATCTGTAAAATATGAGTACACCCACTATGATATTAGGAGTAGTATCTCCCTAAAATATTACAAATAATATCCCCCCAGTATATAACAGATAATATCATAGGGTGTACACCCACTGTGATATTAGTTATAATAATATCTTCTTGGGATATAAGGAATAACATCACAGGGTGTACACCCACTGTGATATTAGGGGTAATAATATCTACTTAGCACATAACGAATAATATGAGAGGGTGTACACCCACTGTGATATCAGAGGAAGTAATATCTCCTCAGGGTGTACACCCACTGTGATATTAGTAGTAATATCTCCCTAAAATATTATGAATAATATTACAGAGTGTACACACAGGGTGCACACCCACTGTGATATTAAGGGTAATAATATCTCCAGAAAATTTGACACACCCTGTGATATTAGCAGTAATAACATCTCACCAGGATATAATAAATAATATCACAGGGTGTACACCCACAGTGATATTAGATGTAATAATATCTTCCCATGATGTAATGAATAATATGACAGGGCGTACACCCACTGTGATACTAGGGGTAATAATATCTCCCCAGGATATAACGAATAATATCACAGGGTGTACACCAACTGTGATATTAGGGGTAATAACATCTTCCATGAATATAGCGAAGAATATCACAGGGTGTACAACCACTGTGATAATAGGAATAATATGTCTCCAGGATAAAACAAATAATATCACAGGGTGTACTCCCACTGTGATATTAGCAGTAATGTTTCCCTCGGATATTGCAAATAATATCACAGGGTGTACATCCACTGTGATATTGAGAGTAATATCTCCCTCGAATATTATGAATAATACCACAGGGTGTAAACCCACTGTGATACTGGGAGTAATATCTCCCTCAGATATTATGAATCGTATCACACGGTGTACAGGGTGTACACCCACTGTGATATTGGCAGTAATATCTCTCTCAGATATTATGAATAATATCACAGTGTTTACAAACATGCTGTACACCCACAACGATATTAGGGGTAATATCTCCCTAAAATATTACAAATAATATCATAGGGTGTACAAACATGGTGTACACTGACTGTGATATTAGGAGTAATATCTCCCTAAAATATTATGAATAACATCACAGGGTGTAAACACAGGGATACAGCCACTGTGAAATTAGGAGTAATATCACCCCAAGATATAATCAATACTGTCACAGTGGGTACACACACTGTGATATTATGGGTAATAATATCTCCAGAAAATTTGACGAATAATATCACAGGGTATACACCCACTGTGATATTAGGGGTAGTAACATCTCTCAAGGATATAACGAATAATATGACAGGGTGTACATCCACTGTGATATTATGGGTAACAATATCTCCCTAGGATGTAATGAATAATATCACAGGGTGTACACCACTGTGATATTAGGGGTAATAACATCTTCCCCAAATATAACGAATACTATCACAGGGTGTTCACCCATTGTGATATGAGACATAATAATATCTCCCCAGGATACAACAAATAATATCACAGGGTGTACACCCACTGTGATATTAGAGGAAATAATATCTTCCCAGGATATAATGAATAATATTACAGGGTGTACACCCACTGTGATATTAGAGGAATTAATATCTTCCCAGGATATAATGAATAATATCACAGGGTGTACACCCACTGTGATATTAGAGGAATTAATATCTCCCCAAAATATAATGAATAATATTACAGAATGTTCACCCACTGTGATATTAGGAATAATAATACCTCCCCAGGATATAACCAATAATATCACAGGGTGTACACCCACTGTGCTATTAGGAGTAATAATATCTCCCCAGGATATTACAAATAATATTACAGGATGTACACCCACTGTGACAATACGGGTAATATCTCCCAGGATATTATGAATAATAGCACAGGGTATACACTTACTGTGATATTAGGAGTAATAATATCTCCCCAGGATATAATGAATAGTATCACAAGGCGTACAGCCACTGTGATACTAGGAGTAATATAGTAGTATCTCCCCAGGATATAACAAATAATATCACAAGGTGTACATGCACTGTGATATTAAAGGAAATAATATCTCTTCAGGATATAATGAATAATATCACAAAGTATACACCCACTGTGATATTAGGGGTAATATTATATCTCCAAGATATAGTGAATAATATCACAGGGGGTACACCCACAGTATATTAGGGGTAATAGTATATCCCCAGAATATAACGAATAATATCACAGGGTGTACACCCACCGTGACAATATGGATAATATCTTCCAGGATGTTACGAATAGTATCAAAGAGTATACACCCACTGTGATATTAGGGGCAATATCTCCACAGAATATTACAAATAATATCAAAAGATGTACACGCACTGTGACATTAGGGGTAATATCACCCAAAAATATTACAAATAATATCACAGCATGTACACAATGGTGTACGTTCATTGTGATATTATGATATCCATAGGGTATTACAAATAATAGCACAGGGTGTACCCCCACTGTGATATTAGGAGTCATATCTTTCTGGGAGGTCACAGCGTGTACACGCATGGTGTAAATTCACTGGGATATTAGGAGTAATATCGCCCTAGAATATTTCGAATCATATCACAGGGTGTACACCCACTGTGATATTAAAAGGAATATCTTTCTAGAACATTACAAATAGTATCACAAGGTGTACACCCACTATGAGATTAGGAGTAACATCTCCCTAGAATATTATGAATAATATCACAGTGTGTACAGGCACTGTGATTTTAGGAGTACTACCTTCTTAAGATATTATGAATAATATCATAGGGTATACACCCACTGTGAAATTAAAAGCAATAGCTCCCTACGATATTACGAATAATATCACGCAGTGTACACTCTAGGTGATATTAGGAGTAGTATCTCCCTAGGAAATTACGAATATTATCACAGAGTGTACACCCACTGTGATATTAAAAGTATTATCTTTCTAGGATATTATGAATAATATTACAGGGTGTACTCCCTCTGTGATATTAGGAGTTATATCTCCCTAGGATATTACAAATCATATCACAGGGTGTACACCCACTGTGGTATTAGGTGTAGTATCTCCCTAGGATATAACAAATAATATCACAGGGTATACACCTACGGTTATATCAGGAGTTATATCTTCATAGAATATTACGAATAATATCACAGGGTGTACACCCTCTGTGATATTAAAAGTAATATCTTTCTAGGATAGTATGAATAATATCACAGGGTGTACTCTCACTGTGATATTAGCGGTAATAACTCCCTAGGATATCACGAATTCTATGACAGAGTGTACACCCACCATGAGATTTGGAGTAATATATCTCTAGCATATTATGAATAATATCACAGGTTGTACACCTACTGTGATATTAGGAGTAAAATCTCCCTCGGATATTACAAATAATATCACAGTGTGTACTCCCACTGTGATATTAGGAGTAAAATCTCCTTCGGATATTACGAATAATATCACAGGATGTACACCCACTGTGATATTAGAAGTAATATCTCCCTTGGATATTTCTAATAATACCACAGCGTTTACACACATGGTGTTCACCCACTGGGATGTTAGGATAATATCTCCCTTGGATATTACCAATCGTATCAGAGGCTGTACACACGTGGTGTTCACCCAGCGTGATATTAGGAATAATATCTCCCTCGGATATTAGGAACAGTCTCTCCCTGGGACTTAGCAGAACGTAGCCCCCCAGTGTTAAATAAGCGACCACAGCAAGAGGTAG
Source organism: Homo sapiens (assembly GCF_000001405.40). Taxonomy (NCBI): domain Eukaryota; kingdom Metazoa; phylum Chordata; class Mammalia; order Primates; family Hominidae; genus Homo; species Homo sapiens. The sequence continues at coordinate 14,825,528 of NC_000016.10, read as the reverse complement.
AGGCGCAGGGACTGAAATGACGACAAATATCTGACAAGTTTAAAACACGTATTTAAAATAGAATTTATAAAATGCTTAATCTGCCGACTCAGGAGCCCGCGGTGCAGGGTGGGGTGGGAGTTGCCAGGTGACCGCTACACCAGCAGAGTAAGACTGCAGGGCTGCGGCCCTCCCTCCTATGCCCTTCTGTTCAGACACCCGAGGGGCCCATGTGCACTCCTGGGATCATACGACCAGAAAACAGGACCCTAGAGGTTTCTTGAGTTTCTGCTTACCAGGGCGGCTGGGTATAGCCCTGCCAGCCCATTGCATAATCTTCTAAGTTCTCCCCACCACCCTCCATTCCAGCAGCGAGGTGCCTGTGACGCGGTCTCCATCCTCTCGGCCTCGACCC